>NC_000005.10:65109807-65734807 GCF_000001405.40 Homo sapiens
GACTTTCATTTTTATAAAGTCCAATTTATCTATTTTTCCTGTTTTTGGTGTCATATCTAAAAATCCATTGCTAAATCCAAGGTTGTGAAGATTTCCCGTATGTTTTATTCCAAGAGTTTTAATCTTTATATTAAAGTCTTTAGTCTATTTGAGTTAATTTTTGTATATGGTGTGAAGTGAGGATCCAAATTCATTCATTCTTGCATCTCATCGGTTAAATTTATCCAGTTGTCTCACCACCATTTGTTGGAATTATTTTCTTAATTTTATTTTTATAACTTTCATTGCTACTGTATAGAAATGCAACTGATTTTTGTATGTTTTCTTTAGAATTTTCTCTATATTAGATTATGTCATCTGTGAATAGAAATAGTTTTACAACGTCCTCTCCAAGTTGGATGTGTTTTATTTCTTTTTTCCCGCTTTTTTCCTAGCTGCTCTGACCAGAACTTCCAGTACAATGTTTAATAGAGGTGGCTAGAATGGACACCCTTGTCTTGTTCCTAATCTTAGGGGAAAGCTTTCATTGTTTACCATTAAGTATAATGATAGCTGTGGGTTTTTTCCATATGTGGCTTTTATCTTGTTAAGGAAGTTTTCTTTTATTCCTAGTTTTTAAACTGTTTTTGTCATAAAAGAGTGTTACATTTTATCAAATGCTTTTTCTACATCAATTAAGGTAATCATGTGGGTTTTCTCTCCATAATTAATATGGCATATTACATTGATTGATTTTCATATGTTGAAGTACTTCTGCATCCTGGGATAATTAGAAATCAATGTTGATTGGCATAAAATATAGAGAGATGTAATTTGTCATAACAGCATAAGCAAGGTGAGAGAGGAGTGGAACTCTATAGGAGCAAAGTGTTTGTGTGCTGTTGATATTAATTCAAAGTAGATTTTTATAAATTAAGATGTTAATTGTAATCCTCAGGGCAACTACTAGAAAATATTTAAGAAATACGTAGTAAAAGAAATGAGAAAGAAATCAAAATGGTACACTAGAAAAAATCTAACACAAAGAAGACAGTAGTAGAGGAACTGAGAAACAAAACAAAGTTATAAGACACATAGAAAACAAATAAAAAATAGCAGAAGTAAGTCTTTCTTTATAATTAACTATATTAGATGTAGATGGATTAAACTCTCCAATTAAGATGCAGAGATTGGTAGAATGGGTGCTGTCTTTTAAATTATATAGAAAAAAAGAAAGTTATGAGCCAAAAATAATTTAAAACTGAGTCTTCACCTATGTAGTTACCTTCACTGGTGTTTTTTATTTCTTTGTTTGGAATTGAGTTGCCTTCTGGTGTCTTTTCATTTCAGCCTGAAGGATTTCTTGTAGGGCAGGTCTACAAGGGATAAACTATCACAGTTTTTGTTAATTTGGGAAAGTCTTAATTTCTCCCTTATTTGTGTGAAGCATAGTTTTGCCAACTATAGAATTCTTATTGACAGTTTGTTTTCTTTTTTTTCTTTTGGTACTTTGAGTATGTTGTCCCACTACCCTTTAGCTTCACTGACTTCTGATTAGAAAGCTGTTTATCTTATTGAGAATCACTTGTCCATGATAAGTCACTTCTCTCACATTGCTTTCGGGATTCTCTTATCAAGTTTGGGAAGTTTTCAGCCATTATGTCTTCAAATCAACATTTTCAGTATAGTCAATGTGCTAAAGAAAGCCGTGTACACAGAACTAAAGGAAAGTATGAGAATGATGTTTCACCAAATAGAGAATATCAACAGATAGACTTATAAATTATAGGAAAAAAACAGAAATTATAGTGTTGAAATGTATAATAACCAAAATTTTAAAAAATTGATTAGAGAGGTTCAACAGCAGAATTGAGCAGGCAAGAGAAAGCGTTGTAAACTGCCTGGCTGAGTGTTGAAGGCATGCCTCAATATACACAGACAGCCTATTTACAAAGACTGGGAGTTTGGTTTTTGTTTTTGGCTCCAATTATTTCAGGGAATCTCTGTTGAATCACTAGATGACCACTAAGCTAAATGAACAAAGACTTCTGTAGCCACACACAAACACAGACTTTACAAAATTTGTTCAAAAAATGACAACTGCAACAACACCACAACAAATCTCAGAGAGGAGAGAGAACCTTATTTCTGGAGTTGCAACATTAAAAGCTCTAAGATGTCCAATTTTCAACAAAAAAATTGTGAGTCAGGAAAAGAAACAAGAAATTATGGCCCATACACAGGGAAAAAATTAATAGAAACTATTCCCAAGGAAGCCCAAGCACTGAACTTACTAGACAGATACTTGCTCCAGGTAGCAGTGGTTAATACATTTGCCTTTCGGTATTTTCGGCAAATGGCCCCTGGGTAGCCACCTCAGTCCGGGAAGAGTTCCAGATTAGGTTACATAAAGGAAAGTCCTTTGAACTGGTCCTTCAGAGAACCCTGAGAGAGGTCAAAACAACTACAAATCTTTGAGAATAAGATCTGTTCTGCTCCCTTCAGTATTAGGAACCTATACCAGAAATGTGGGCTGTTGTCTTCAATTTTGCCAACAAGCTGAGGTATGGTGTCAAGGTTAAGATAAAATGCCATAAAGCTCTCTTATCAAGATTCAGGGCGGGGTACGGTGGCTCACGCCTGTAATCCCAGCACTTTGGAAGGCCGAGGTGGGCGGATCACAAGGTCAGGAGTTCGTGAACAGCCTGGTCAACATGTCGAAACCCCGTCTCTACCAAAAATACAAAAATTAGCCTGGTGTGGAGGTGTGCTCCTGTAGTCCCAGCTACTCTGGAGGCAGAGACAGGAGAATTGCTTGAACCCGGGAGGCAGAGGTTGCAGTGAGCCAGGATCATGCCACTGCACTCCAGCCCGGGCGACAGAGGGAAACTCCGTCTCAAAAAAAAAAAAAAAGATTCAGCTGGGATTTTTTTTCTTAGCATTCAACTGCTTGCTGTAAACTTTTGATTCATTTCCAGAGTTCCAATAAAGTTGATTCTGATGGTTTTTGCTAATTTATTTGCTGCTTTTAGGGAGGAACAAACTTTGGCTTTCTCCACTCCACCATTTTCACTGATGTCACTGTCTTATCTAGTCTTTTTGATAGCCGAATTCATGGGAATTACATTCAGAATGATGTGACTGCAACAAATTAAGCGCACTTTAAAGGGGAAAAGGAAAGAGTTTACCAAGTTCTCTTTGGGAGTGCCTAAGGGGTGGTTAATAGGTTAATTGGGCTGGGCACGGTAGCTCACGCCTGTAATCCCAGCACTTTGAGAGGCCAAGGCGGGCGGCTCACGAGGTCAGGAGATCGAGACCATCCTGGCCAACATGGTGAAACCGCGTCTCTACTAAAATACACAAAAAAATTAGCTGGGCGTGGTAGCGCATGCCTGTAGTCCCAACTACTCGGGAGCCTGAGGCAGGGGAATCTCTTGAACCCGGGAGGCGGAGGTTGCAGTGAGCCGAGATCGCGCCACTGCACTCCAGCCTGGGAGACAGAGCAAGACTCCGTCTAAAAAATAAAAATAAAATAATAATAATAACGGCTTAATTGTTAACAATCTACTGTAGGGCAGTAAGGTAATGGCTACATAATGGGTGACCCTAGAAGGTTTACAAGGAAAAGTCTGTGGAAGTTACCAGGAACTGTGTGAAGAAGGGTGAGCTAAGGCCTGCTTGCTTATATTGAGGAAACTGCTCCAGGGACCTTACATTTAAGGACTCTGATTCCTACTTAGCGTAGTCCCTAAGTGTGTTCACTACAGATGCAGGCTGGTCTCTCTGCTGAGGCAGGCTGGTCTCTCTGCTGAGGGAAGCCAAAAGGCTCATGAGGCATGGGCCTATTCTCTAGCATACTAGAGAGGATGATGATTTTCTTGGCAGAATGGAAGAAATCTAGAAAGTCAAAAAAAAAAAAAAAAGAAAAAGAAAAAAGAAAAGATGAAAAAGACATATAAGAAACAATCAACGTAAAGGAATGAATTAAATAATATGATCTGGTAGAAAACCATAAGGAAAATAAATTGTGCTTTCATAGTTACTAGTGGCTAGTCAACTAAAAATAACCTTTGCTTCAGTTTGATTTTAAAGCCTGGAATACTAAAGCTTCCCAGATATCATCACATCAGAAACCTCCTGGCATTTGTTTGGGAAGAGCACAGGGGTAATATTGGCTGATGACTTCCACTCTAAAGATTGTGGAATCAACCTTAGCTGTAAGCTCTGGAACTTGTACTTGAGCCTGTTCATGTCTGCTGATTCACATGTATAGAACTAGATAGAGTCAGAAAAAGTCTGGAACGTATTTCTAATGACAGAGACGGTGGGTAGAAGACAGAATGATTTAGGAATCAATTTTTTTTTTTTTTTTTTGAGACAGAGTCTCACTCTATCACCCAGGCTGGAGTACAGTGGCATGATGTTGGCTCACTGCAAACTCTGCCCACCGAGTTCAAGCGATTCTCCTGCCTCAGCCTCCCAAGTAGTTGGGATTACAGGTGACTGCCATCATGCCTGGCTAATCTTTGTATTTTTAGTAGAGACAGGGTTTCACCATCTTGGCCAGGCTGGCCTTGAACTCCTGACCTCGTGATCCACCCACCTCGGCCTCCCAAAGTGCTGGGATTACAGGCGTGAGCCACCTCGCCCGGCCAGGAATCGATTTTTTAAAAAAAACTTTTCTGCTATTTTGTGATTCTGACTTTGAAAAGTAAACAAACAGCTTTGCCGGTGATGTCAAAAAGTTGTTGAGTTTCCTGGCTGTGAGCCAGAAATCAAGGGACAGAATATGCCACAAAAAGTCTTGCAAGAATGTATTTGACAGAAGACTCACCAAATAAATCAAAAGGGTTATAAACTGAATTTCAAGGGCAAATCATTTTAATAAAAGCTAATTTTTATTAAGCTCTATGTACACTGACCTCAACATTTTAGATGTATTCACTCATTTAATTTTTACCACTTTATAATATAGGTACTATTATTATCCTTATTTTATAGATGAGGAAACTGAAGCACAGAAAGGTAAAGTACTTGCTTAAGAAAACAAAGCTCTTAAGAAGTAGAATCAGGATGAAAAATGGACTTTAAAAGGATCTAGGCCAGGCGTGGTGCCTCATGCCTGTAATCCCAGCACTTTGGGAGGCCAAGGAGGGGGTAGATCACCTGAGGTCGGAAGTTCGAGACCAGCCTAGCCAACGTGGTGAAATCCCATCCCTACAAAAATTGGCTGGCATGGTGGTGCACATCTGTAATCCCAGCTACTTGGGAGGCTGAGGCAGGAGAATCGCTTGAACCCAGGAGGCAGAGGTTGCAGTGAGCCAAGATCGCACTACTGCACTCCAGCCTGGGTGGCAGAGTGAGACTCCATCTCAAAGAAAGGTATCTGAATAAAAAATTGTGAAAGTATACCTTACTGAGGAATACTAAGGTGCCCGAGGAAGAAGCATAGTGAAGAAAGTACCAAAAAATTCCCTGTTGAAGGGGAAAATGAAAGAAGGCTGAGAAACAAGTTTTGGCTTTGTTATTAGTGTACTAATGGACTGAAGGTAGAGACAAGCATGGCAAACCAATAAAATACTAACTAAAATTTTTAGAAATGTAAGCTTATACAGATTTATTGAAAGTACAGTGGCTTTATATGAATAAATGGAATATTATACTGAACTAAGATCATTTGAAAGAGAAGCTTAAGATAGAATAAGGGTTAGGGAAATAGGACTTGAGTCATGAAGCTATGTACCTGTATGGGAATTCATAAACCTGAGGGCAGAAGCAAGGCAAAGAACATCTGGATGAAAAATAAAAGAATTCAGAAATGGATATGATAATGTCACAGGAGCATATTGCAGACAGCCTGGCCAGGCTGAGCATGTGAGAAATACTTTAGTTTTAAATAATATTTTCTTAATACAGGTTATTAAACTGATGTAATAGCAATAAAATGTTTTAACCATGTAGACATATCTTAAAAGTATTATTCAACCAAAAGCAGAACACTTGATAACATTTTGGCCTTTCCTACCTACAATTTCATCTCTTAAAAGAATGAGTAAACAACAGGGAAGCTGCTAGTCTGGACTTAATTTTGGCCAAGAAGAATTTGGTTGACAGTGGGGAAATGAAGTACAAAAACTTGAAAGAAAGTCATAAAGTCATCTCATTTACTGCGTATAAATGTTTCTTTTAGACTTTAGGAAATCAAATTTAAATTTGTTATTGATTTCTAATTCTATTGGAGTGTGGTGAGAGGATGGGATAAATGTTATGTCAATTATTTGGCATTTGTTGATATTTATATTGGGGCTCAGTTTTAAGTATTCCCTTTTTGTCTAAAAAGACTATCTCTATCTTTTGCATGCAGGATTTGATCTATGTCCGTTGACATACATTGTGTGGTTTAATGTGTGGTTCAAATCTTCTCTATCCTACTATTTTTAGTCTGTTTGATCTTATCAGTTTCTAAGTGATAAGATTAATATCTTCCCAATTTCTCCTTGAATGTCATATTTTGCTTATATGCAGTACTGTTAGATGTGTGTATAGGTTCAGGATTGTTATATTGCCCATAGTGTTATATTACTCATAGTATTATTGTGTGAAATTTTTATATTTTCATAAAGCAAGTAAATTGTTTATATTCTAATTAAGTAGCTTTTTCATATTATATAGAAGTAAATTGTTTATATTATTATTTGAAAGTTTATATTTTATTCATATAATACCTTTTTTCTTTTCTTTTTTTTTTTTTTTTTTTTTTGAGATGGAGTCTTGCTCTGTTGCCCAGGCTGAAGTGCAGTGGCGCAATCTCCGCTCACTACAAGCTCCGCCTCCTGGGTTCATGCCATTCTCCTGCCTCAGCCTCCGGAGTACCTGGGACTATGGGCACCTACCACGACGCCCAGCTAATTTTTTGTATTTTTAGTAGAGACGGGGTTTCAACGTGTTAGCCAGGATGGTCTCAATCTCCTGTCCTTGTGATCTGCCCACCTCAGCCTCCCAAAGTGCTGGGATTACAGGTGTGAGCCACCACGCCCAGCCTACCTTTTTTCCTTAAAATCTATGTTTTTCAGATAGAATTAATTCTTGCTACACTAGCTTTCTTAAATTTAAAATTTCCTGGTACATAGTTTTTCCATTCTTTTATTTTCAAACTTTCTGTGTATTTATGTTTTAATCAGTCTCTTGAAAACATCAAATAGCTGGATTTTGTTATTATAATAATACAGCCTGAGAATTGCTATCTTTCAACAATTAAATTTAAGCTACTTAGTCTTAGGATTACCAATATATTTGAACTTATTTTTACCATATGATTTTGTTTCATCTTTTTAACGTGCTGTTTCTTTCCTTTGTAACTTCTCTTTTCTTTTCTTTTCTTTCAGATTGATACAGATTTGTTTGGTTTTAATTTTTTATTTATTCCTTTTACTGGTTTCGAAGTGATGATCCTTTTATTATTCTTTTAGCGCTTACCTTCAAATTTTAAATGGACATTATTGAGGCTTGTCAACGTCTACAAAAGTGTACTGGAATTTTGATTGGGATTATGTTGAATCACTGGATCAATTTTTGGAGAACTGACAACTCAACAATATTGAGTGTGTAGGTTTATATATGTGATATAGCTCTCCATGTATTTAGATTTTTAGTTTCCCTCCACAATCTTTTATAGTTTTAATTAAACAAATTGCACACATATTTTAAAAAATGTATCCCTAGGTATTTTATTTTTGATGCTATTGTAAATGCTATTGGGCTTTTTAAAAAATCGTTTCAATTTTCTGTTGTTTTTGTTAAATATAAAAATGCAAATAATTTGTGTTCATAGACCTTATATCTGGAAACGTTGCTAAATGTATTTTTTTATTCCATTAGCTCTTTTGCTTATTCCTTACTATTTTCTTTGTGGGCAGTCATGTCATCTACAAATAAACAGTTTTACTCCTTTTCAACCTATATAATTTTATTTCTTTTTCTTGCCTTATTGCACAGGTTAGGACCTCTATTTCTATGTTGAATAAGATTAGGAAAAATGGACACTCTTGTCTTGTTGTTGATATTAAGGGAAAAGCATTCTGTCTTTCACCATTAAATATGATGTTAAGTGTAAGGTTTTTTCTCTATTGACTTTATCAGGTTGATAAAGTTCCCTTTTATTCCTTGTTTGCTGAGGGGTTTTCTTTGGTTGTTGTGTTTTGTTTTGTTTTCTTTAATCGTGGATGGGTATAGAATTTTGTCAGATGCTTTTTCTGCATCTATTGAAATGATCATATGGTTTTTCTTTTTTAGTTTACTAATATAGTGAATTACACTGATTGGTTTTCAAATATTAAACCAATCTTGCAATCCTGGGATAAACTTCGCTTGATCATAATAATGTTTTATCCTTTATATATATAGTTAGATCGGATTTGCTACATTTTTTTCTTCATGATTTCTCTGTGTTCCTGAGAAATATTGGTCTTTACTTTGCTTTTCTAGTAATGTCTTTGTATGATCTAGTATTATAAAATGAGTTAAGAAGTGTTTCATTAAATTTTCCTGTTTCTTGATCAACTGAAATGTCTCTTAAGCTTTGAGCCTTATGGAAGAGGATCAATTCTGACATGACCAAGTCTGTATTTCCTTCCAAAGCCAATAGAGTGTAGCACTGAGGGCCTTTGGGGTGAGGGTCTAGGGTCAGTAGAACCTCATTAAAACCCTAGACCCTTACCCCAAAAGGCCCTCAGTGTTACACTCTGTTGGCTGCCAACATAGCAACTTTTAATTACTGCTATATTACATCAATTTTTGGTTATTATTATAGTTCATATTTCTTTTTATAGTGGAAGGGGTCTAATCTATGTCAGCTAAATCTGCCATGTTGCCTAAAGTTAAGGAAAGAAGATTTCAAAAATGTCAGAGGAAATACAGACAAGATTTCACAGTTAAGGCCAAAGAAGACTATGTATAACTTAAAAAGTATGAGAGGTTATTGAAAATTAAATACATAATCAAAGAGGCCAGGCACAGTGGCTCATGCCTTTAATTCCAGCTCTTTGGGAGGCCAAGATGGGAGGATCACTTGAGGCTAGGAGTTCAAGAACAGTCTGGACAACATAGCAAGACCCCCATCTCTAAAAAAGAAATGTTTTAAGGTAAAAAATTTAAGAAGACTTTTACATAATTGCAAAATCTTGATATTAACTCCTATGGTGACAAGAAAGAAATTGTCCAGCCTCTGGGAGTGCTGTCAGTGGACAGACTTCATTTGAGGGATCCTTGCCAAGGTATTAAATTCTGAATTTAATTGATAAGTCACTGCTAGGATAGCTCCTAGTAGCAAGAAAAGAGTGATGGTTATGCTAAGTGAGGTTGAGATGCCAGAATTGCTGTAGCAGTTGGTGAAGGAGGAATTAAAAGACTTGGAGAGGTGGGCATGTTGAAGTAGATATACTATGTGAGGCTGAAAAACTTATCAATGATTATGTTCCATGGGAAGGTCCAGAGAATTCATCATTGTTATGGTTGGAATGTTTGCGTCCCCCCTGAAATTCATTAGTTGAAATCCTCATCCCCAAGGTGTTAGGGGTTGGGGCCTTTGGGAGATGGTCATGGGTGCTTTGCTCTCATGCATGGAATTAATGTCCTTGTAAAAGAGGTTTGAGGGAGCTTGTTCACCTCTTCCATCATGTAAGAACACAGCGAAAAGACTGTTATCTAGAAGTGCCTGGCACAGAATCTGTCAGAGTCTTAATCTTGGAATTTCCAGCTTCTAGAACTGTGAGAAATAAATTTGGATTGTTCATAAGCAACCCAGTTTATGGTATTTTGTTATATCAACCCAAATGGATTCAGACAATTGCTATCATTTGGATGTTTGTCCTCTCCAAATCTCATGTTGAAATACGATACACGTGTTGGAGGTGGCGCCTGGTGGGAGGTATTTGGGTCATGGGGGCAGATCCCTCATTAATGGCTTGGTGTCCTCCCGATAGTAATGAGGTAATGACTGACTTCTCTCTTAGTTCAGACAAGAGCTGGTTGTTTGAAGGGCCTGCTACCTCCTTCCTTCCCTCTTGATTGCCCCCTCACTTGCCACGTGACACACTGGCTCCCCTTCCCTTCTGCCATGACAAAAACTTCCTGAGGCCTCACCAGAAGCAGATGGTGGCACTGTGCTTTTTGTACAGCCTGCAGAACCCAGAGCCAAATCAATCTCCTTTCTCTATAAATTACCCAGCCTTGGCTTTTCCTTTATAATAATGCAAAATGGACTAACACAATAATCATTTACCAAGGCCAGCAGGGGTGCACTAGTGAGGAAGCAGCAACATCATTAGTAGACGTTTGATAGTGGCCATTACAGAACCAGATTCCCTGATAGCAATGAGGATGCTACAACCCTGAAACAATAGAGTTGAGACAGTGGCATGTAACCCTCAGAAGCCAAACAGTAATTATAGATCCAATTATTTTAATGTGATAAGATGGGAGTGGCAGCCAAGTGGGCCTGACTCTCAGAGAGTTATGGAGATAGATAATAAAACATGGGTATATTAGTCAAGGTTCCCCAGAGAAACAGAACCAGCAGCATGAGTACATATAGAGAAAAATCTATTTATTTTAGGGAGTTGGTTTACATCATTGTGGAGGCTTGGTCAGAAATCTGCAGGGTAGGCTGGCAGGCTGGAGACCCAGGGAAGAGTTGCAGTTTGAGTTCAAAGAACTCTGCAGGAAGAATTTCTTCCGGCTCTGAGGAGGTTAGCTTTGTTCTGTTAAGGCCTTCCCCAGCAGGAGCCAGGGGAGTACACCTCCCCTGAATTCTGAAGGTACTTGATTAAGGAGGCTAGAATATAAGATTGGATAAGGGAGAGTTTATTGACTGAGAAAGGGGAGCTTATCAATTAAATTCAGAATTTAATACCTTGGCAAGGACCCCAGGAGGTGAACGTACATCATTATCACCCCTGGGCTCCTTGCCAACATCACCTTCTGGGGTCCTTGCCAAGGTATTAAATGAGGCCTAACCACATTATGGAGGTTAATCTGCTTTACTCAAAGTCCACTGATTCAAGTGTTAATCTCATCCAAAAAGACACCTTCACAGAAAAATCCAGAATAATATTTGACCAAATATTTGAGCACTTTGGTTCAGGCAAGTTAACACATAAAATTAACCATCATAGTGGGGCAGAATAGATAAGCAGCCCACAAGAGTAGTGTTCTCCTTGTACTATCAGAAGAGCCAAGGATGAGTGATCAGGAAGCTGGAGGAAGTTGCCCTAATAAGAAGCCATTACCTTATCCAATTTCCAGACCTGAGCCAGTTTTTAGGCCTGAAACCATTAAAAGGAAAAATAGAAGGATCCTAAAATACCCTAATAGATGTACATGGTAATGATTCCACAAATACTCCCTCAAAGGGATCTACAGACATTTAATTGGTTGACCGAATGCTGGGGAAAGGGGAATGCCCAATATTTTGAGGACTGTTGGACAGAAGGTCTGAGCTGACATTGATTTACCTCATCGATGACATCAAGCCAGAGACCCAAAACATCATCATGACCCCCTATTAGTGTAGGCATATTTAGGTGTCTTAGACCATTCATGCTGCTGTAACAAAATACCATAGACTGGGTGGCCTATAAACAACAGAAATTTATTTCTCATAGTTTTGGAGGCTGAGAAGTCCAAGATCAAGTTGGAGGCAGATTTTGGTGTCTGGGGAAGGCCCACATTCTGATTCACTGATGGTATCTTCTTGCTGGGTCCTCACTTGGCAGAAGGAGCAAGCAAGCTTCCGTTGGCTTCTTTGGTAAGGGCACTAATTTCATTCATGAGGGGTCTGCCCTCATGATCTCATCCCCTCCCAAAGGCCCCACCTCTGAATACCATCATACCCCATACAACTGGGGATACAGTTTCAAAACATGAATTTTGGGGGGACACAAACTTTCCAACCATAGCAATAAGGGAAGTAATAAATAGAATGTAATGGGCCATGGTCCCACTCACAGTGGGTCCACTGGGGCCATGGACATTTCCCCTGTTCCTGAATGCATAATTAGGAAAGATATACTGGTGATTGGTGTGACCCCAGATTAGCCTGTGGGATAAGGAATATCATAATGGGGACTGTGAAGTACAAATGTCCGAAACCTCCCCCCAAATAGTGAATCGAAGTCAATATAGAATCCCAAGATGGTGGGAGAAATTCCTGGCATGCTACTGGGCCCTGATCAAGTATCTGACCATGGGACACCATGTGTCCAGAACTGCTCATCATGAGCGTGGTTACGTGACTCACCAAGTCATACGGTCGAGAGGGCCCAGCAACAATCTACCCAGGGTTGAGCACAAATAGGACCAGAACGCATGTGCACACCCATGTGTCATCCACCGCTGTTGCATCAGCTCCCCTCCCACACACCTATTGCTGCATGAGATAGTCCTTAAAACCAGCTCTCAGAGGAGGAGAAAACCCGAGCTTCGTTCACACATAAATCTGCTTGGTATGTGAGTGAAAGCAGAAAACAGATGCAATTATACTACAACCTGACTCACAAGTGGTCTTGAAAGAGAATGGTGAAAGAAAATGCTTCCAATAGGCAGGGATTTTAGTGATGTACCTGATCATCTACTTTGTGTAGATAGAGAAGTGGTCTCAAGTTAGAATATAATCTGACTGATAGGCAGTGGTGAATGGCCTGGCCAGCTTGTCAGAAGCTTGTCAGAAGAAATATTGGAATGTAGGGACAGGTTTTCTGGGATAGAAGCATACAGATGAATATATCGAAGTGGGTGCAAAGAGTGCAGATCTTTAATATAGCATGTTTATTCTCACCAGAGAGCATCTTCTACAGTAGAGGCATTAAAAACAGACAGATACATGCCAATGAGTAAATGAACAACGTGGTCTTAGTGGCAGAGATGGACACTATAAATGGACCCAACACTGTGGGCAACCACTTACCAAGACTGATTTAACTGTGCCTGCTGCTACTGAATGTCCAATCTGACTGCACCAGGGATCAATATTCAGTTATTGATATGGTCCCATCCATCAAGGAGACCAACCATCTACTTGGTGGCAAATTGACTTCATTGAGTCCCTTCCACTTAGGAAGGGCTAATGATTCATTCTGAAAGGAATAGATAGACACATAGTCTGCATATAGATTTGCATCCCATGTCCTAAGACCCTTAGCCCCATGATCTGAGAGCTTTTGGGGCATTTGATCTGTTGGCATAAGATCTACATAACATCATATTAGAGCAGGGGCCCACTTTATAGCAAAGGAGATGAGAGAATGGGTTTCTTAATCATGGGATCCACTGGTCATATCACCTACTATATCACACAGAAGCTCCCAGCCTGATAGGACATAGAAACTGCCTATTTAATACTGAATTGGAGTCCCAGCTTAGACACTTTAAGAAGATGAGGCCCCATCCTCTGTGATGCAATGTTTACTTTGATCAAAGTCTTTTATATGTATGTATTCCCCAAAAGGAAGATACACGGGTCTGGCAATCAAGGGATGAAAGCAGGAGTTGCCCAGTGGCTCAGTGTTTTTAAAATATGGTGCCTAGAGGTTGGTCTGAAGGTAGCCAGTGATCTCAATGAATTGTACAGTTACAGATTGAACTCCTTGTTCTATCCTTTCCCCCTTCTCACTACTGCACTTGACCAGATTTAAAAAATAAAATAGGCCAGGTGTGGTGGCTCACGCCTGTAATCCCAGCACTTTGGGAGGCTGAGGCAGGTGGATCATGAAGTCAGGAGATCGAGACCATCCTGGCTAACATGGTGAAACCCTGTCTCTACTAAAAATACAAAAAATTAGCTGGGTGTGGTGGCGGGCGCCTGTAGTCCCAGCTACTCGGGAGGCTGAGGCAGGAGAATGGCGTGAACCCGGGAAGCAGAGCTTGCAGTGAGCCGAGATCACACCACTGCACTCCAGCCTGGGCGACAGAGCAAGACTCCGTCTCAAAAAAATAAATAAATAATAAAATAAAATAAATTGTGGTGCCTAGAACGGTGCACAATATTCCAGCTCTTGTGTGGAGCACAGAGGGACCCCATGTTCTGTACTCCAAACAATACAGTTATCTTCTCAGAGTCTGCTCTCATGTTGAGCTTGAGGCCAACTTGCTTTCTATGAACTGGTATCAAGACATGTAACCCCATCCTGTACTTATTTTTAACGAAAAAATTTATATTTATCCATAGGAAATTACTCCTTGATGCTTCAGTCTCTTGTTTGTGACATCTTTTGCATTTGCTATTCTACTTAGTTTTGTTATTCTCGAATGTGACAAACAGGTCTTCCATACATATTTATCAAAAATCATGGCTAATATTAAATAAGATATGGGCAATGCCTAATATTCATAGCATGCCGCTGGGGACCCCCCTCCAGAGTTCCCTCTGTGTGCCACAGAACATCTGGAATATTGTGCTCAGTTCTAGACACTCTATTTTAAGAACACTGATCCACTGGATTAGGTTTGGTAAATGGCAGGTAGGATGTGAGGGAACCTGGTAATCATACCATTTAAAGAGAGGTGGAAGGAACAAGGACCAGAACCTAGAGAATACAGAACCAAGGGAAACAGGGTAGTTATCCTTGAATATTTGAAGGCCTTTAGGTAGAAAAGAGTAACTTGTATTTTGCTCCAAATAACAGAATTAGGAACAATATCACTTGGTGATAAAGTGTGATGGAGTACAGTCACATAACCCCAAAATATGGCCCCTTTGCATACTGAGTATTTAAAGCTGGAGGAAACTGTAAAAAGCTCAGAAGCAGAAAGGTCTCTCTGAGCTTCTCCTGCTCCCTCTCTTTCAAAGACCCTCATGTGGCCAGTGTCCTGCCCTGTGCATGAAGGGAAGGCATGTTATACAGAGAGGCCAAGAAGCATCTGAACAAACAGACCTGGCTAAGGTCCCCACGGTTTATTACCATTAGGTCAGACCCCCTTTTTTTCCAGTTATACCTCCACATGGACTGTCCATTCCTTGCCAAACCTAAACATAAAAATTCATTATTTTCATAAGGTCTTTGGGTCTTCATTTCCAAAGGCTCTCATGTCACATAAAACTTTGGTTAAATAAATTTCTTATGTTTTTCATTTTTTAATCTGTCTTTTGTTATAGGGGTATCAGCCATGAACCTTGTGATGGACAGGAAAAGATATTGCTTTTCCTCCCCTACAAATTGCAAAGAACAACCCTGCCACAGGACCGTCCCATAGACTGGTATTGTTCACAGGCCACTTAGAAAGGTATAATGTAGGAGTGGGACATTGGATTTGATTTATTTCTTTCTTTCTTTTTGACACAGTCTTGCTCTGTCACCCAGGCTGGAGTGCAGTCATGCAATCTCGGCTCACTGCAGCCTTGACTTCCTGGGCTCAAGCTATCCTCCCACCTCATCTTCCTGTGTAGCTGGAACTACAGGTGCACACCACCACATCCGGCTAATTTCTCTTATTTTATTTTATTTTATTTTTTTTGTAGAGACAGGATTTCGCCATGTTTTCCAGGCTGGTCTTGAGCTCCTGGGCTCAAGCCATCTGCCTCCCTCGGCCTCCCAAAGTGCTAGACATGAGCCACTGCACCTGGCCTAGATTTGATATTCTTTCTGTAAACTGTTTCCACTCTAACATTCTATGATTTTCTTCTATCAAAATCTGCTCTCAAATCTTTTATTCAGACTCAGGCATAAATAACAGATGATAAATCTGTAGCCTCCCCAGTCCCCTGGTAGCTAAATTTTAAAGAGTTAAAGACATATTGAAGATATAATTTGCTAGCTCGTGGTGTGAGGCATTTTGCCTATGGTTGGAGTGAGCCTGGCAAGGTCCGGAGTCCTTTCCCCTGCCTTGTGTTCACATGGACACAGCGGCTTTCTTTCCCCCATGAAGCTCAGAGTCCTTTGCTTTCCTGGCACAAGGAAAAATTCTGCAAGAATAATGTATTTGTTGTTAAATCCGCTCTTCCAGCAAAGGCTGTCATTGCTTCCCATGGAACATCTTTACATCACAAAAGCATCAGCCTCCTTTTAAAATGAATGAATGAATGGACCAAAATGTCAATGCTTTCATTTCTTTTGATCAAAAGCCATGCTTACAGTAATAAAGGACAAACCAGGGTAACTGAGTATACGTGAAAGAGAAAGGAAGTACCTAGTAAAGCTTACATTATAAAAGCTCCTTTGGCTGACAGATATGCCTGTCTGGATACGAAATTGCCATTTCAGAGCCATACAATTTATGTAAACAGTAGCCACTAACACATTTTATCTTGGTCATGCGCCCAATCTGAAAAGAAAAAACTTGAGATTCTCCTTGAGAAGAACTTCCTGCTGGAGCTTTCTGGAGGATTTCTCATGAGACTGCACATGCGGCCACCTCTTTAGGTGGTGGACACTTTAGATGTAATCATCATGACCACTATCTGAGCGCCACTGGAGTCCGGGCTTGGGGACCCCCTCCCTAGCCCCTTGGGCTTGCTGCCACCTCCTGAACAATAGGTCTGACAGCTGTCTCCACGCAGTCTTGCAGCATTCAGCTTCACTGGGAATGATTAGCCCGTCCTGACGAAGCTCTTCCCCCACTGAGACACGCTGGCAGTGCTTTCCTTTGGAGACAGCCCGTGTGTGCTCCTGGCTTGGCGTTTGCTGTTCTCATAGATGTCTAGGGAGCTTGGCCAGAACCAGCCAGGCTGGCAGTTTACAGCAGTGCTTCAGAACAAATGTGTGGTTTTTTGGGAGCTGAGGGGTGGGGGGGGTTGGGGGTTGTCTATACTTAGTATAATTCCATGCAGGGGTGAGAAAACAGTAGGTGTAGTGAGGAGGTTGGGAAAAAAGTGGGATAAAGATGAATCCCAAGCAATGAGAGTGTCCGGGGCTCTCTCACTGCTCTCACTGTTCACGCCCCCACAGGCCTTTAGAGGACCCGCTAGGGTCAGCTTCACTGCAGTTTCCTGGTGGCACTTTGACAGTCTACAAACCAGCTGGAAAGCAAAGACCATCACCATGAAAAGGCCCTGGGCAGCAAACAGAGCCCCGACTTCCATCCAGAGCTCAGCCTGAAGGAAAGCTCCAGCCAGAGGCTCCAGCCACCGGGTCTCAGAGCTACAGGCACTTTTACACAGGGGTAGACAGAGATGAGGTGGGAGCTGATGCATTATGCCTGGAAGGTACCAAGAAAATGATCATGGATATTTCTATTTGACACTTTATTGTGTTTTTCTTTTTAAAAGATTTGAAATCGTTCAGGACAATTTCTTATTTCTAGCAACAGAGTGATCTAAACCACTGATTGCTTGGAAATCAAGAGATTCTGTTTATGGATCTGAACTTAGGTCTAACAACTCTGTTTCACACTATCGGCGGGCTTTAGCAGTGCAGTTTCCAGATAGTATCTGAAATTTTAAAAAAAGGGAGCGTGGGGAGAGAAAATAATTTGGGAGTAATCTGAGCCTCTCCGAAACGGATAAGATCCAAGAAACCTCAGTCTCAAATGACATGCAGAGCAACTTGTACATTCATTTACTGACTCCAAAATGGTCTCATTCTTACTGAATCGATTTTTCTCCTGTATCTTTTAAAACCTAACGCCCTTAGCTGTTAGCAACATATTTTTAAATGACATCAGAGTGCCCTTTTCTAATTGGTAAAAAGCAGTCATCATGAGGATGAGTCATTCCAGGACCCAGACGTCCCCTCAGTGTCCAGTTTCCTCCAGAAACACTTAGGTACGAAAGTGGGTCAGAAGTGCCCATCATCCCAGGCATATTCCTTCTTGAATGTTTAAACCAACATTGTTTTGTACTTATAAGGAATTGTTATACTAATCATTTTTTTGCCAAATTGGCCATAATATAATCCACCTACCACTGACCAACTACAGAAGAAAAATTAAACAAAAGTTTTGCTGTTGTTATCCTTTTTTTTCCTAGGGTTTGAGCTTCTGAAGCCAGGAGGTCACTTGGATTATGTATACAACCTTAGTAATTGCATTCCTACATTCTACGAAATGCCACAGCACTCACTACAGTCCAAAATAGCTGTTGCAAACAATGACAATTACTGCCCAGACATTTTCAAACACAGCAGGTTACTGGCTGAAGCTGTGATGGAAACCCTAAAAAAATATAAATATTTTGAAATGCTCTGTAAATCAGAATGATGCCCCAGACACAGAGTGGATTGTCTTGAAGAAAACTGAAGTCATTTGGAGGCTGCGAGGCTTTGTTGAAGGGTGTTGGAAAATGTTGAACTTGTTAATATGAAGCCCAAATGTCATAATTAAATGATTTTTAAGTTTTCTTTCTCTCCGGGAATAGAGATCTCAGTTTTGTCTGATCACCCTCACCCTATAAAGGCCCCTACTCTATTGGAAAAAAGATGACAAACCCTTAAATTCCCACACTGCTTTCATATGTTCAGTAATTCCAGCATCTGATGAGTGCTAATGGGTGACTGTGACAAGTGTTTATGGAAGGGAGATCTGAGGCCACTGCCTGTGGCGATCTGAGAGGCCTTGAGGATACACAGCCGGGGCCAGAGAGCAGCAATAATGGCTGCCAAGGGGCCAGAGCCACAAGGAATTTTGCTTAAACATTCCAGCAGCTTCTGCCGCTCTGGGCCAGCCTGTGGAGGTTCCGCCTGCAGAGTCATGGGGCTTTCTGTCTGGTCGGGGTGATTTTCCCATGGTGACTTTTGGAGAGAGGCTTCTGTGTCTGTTGGGGTTGAGGGGTAAGGTAAGAAATCTGACACTAATGTAATCCCTCTGCCAGGGGCCAACGTGCCAGAAGGGCCAATCTCATCCTGGGACATGAAAGAACCTGCTTCAGACACCCATATAGGGCAGGCCTCCCTCCACTGCCCTAAGCAAATGGGAAATTAGAATTAAATCCAGGACACAGGGCCGTCTCCTGCAGGGAGGAGTGCACCTAGGGTGAGTCTAGGGAGAGTTTCTTGTCCTCGTGAGTATACTTGGATTTTAGATAAATCTCTGAATTCAAGTAAGTAATTTCCTTTAAATGCTGCAAATTATTAAAATGAAAAAAATCCACCTATATTCTAATTTATTAGGAAATATTTGTGCCAGGTGTTGGCACAGAGGAGATAGCTATTAAATAAAGATAAGATGAGTAATAAATTCCCATTGTAATTGAGTATAGTATTAATTTATTTACATGATTTACTGGCTTTTTATTTTCATATGGCATGTCCGATGCATCGTTTTCAGCTTCCCAGTGAATAAACTGCAGGGAGAATGTTACTATTATGCAGTAATCAAGAGGTGAGGAGGGGGCAGTTAGTGCAGACAACATCTTCTTGGTTTTTCTTTTTTTTTTTTTTTTTTTTTTGAGATGGAGTCTTGCTCTGTCGCCCAGGCTGGAGTGTAGTGGCACTCCAGTCAGCTCACTGCAAACTCCACCTCCCGGGTTCAAGTGATTCTCCTGCCTCAGCCTCCCTAGTAGCTGGGACTACAGCTGTGCACCACCATGTCCGGCTAATTTTTGTGTTTTTTTGTTTTGTAGAGACGGGGTTTCACTACGTTGGCCAGGCTGGTCTCAAACTCCTGACCTCAAGTGATCCACCCACCTTGGCCTCCCAAAGTTTGGGAATTACAGGCATGAGCCACCACACCCAGCCAGTTTTTCAATCTCTGAAGCGACCTCATGAAGCTACTTCTTGGCCCTCTGTGATCATGCTGCATGGTGAGAACTCACTGCTTAGAAACTGCCTGCTTCTTGTCACATCACTCTTATAAATCCTGGGCAGGACTCTTTCAGTTGCTCGCAACACGGATCCAACTTGGCTTCACCAGGAAAATGAAATTCACAGGTCATGCAGCAAACACTAGAAAGGGACAAGGTATACATTCCCTGAGAGGCCCTGCCTCTTGGGTCATAGGCCCACTGTGTGGCACTGCTACTAGAAGAGGTGGAAAAACCATAAGAACTATGTAATGTTGGGACAACAACAATGTTGTTTGTTTCAGATGAAAAAATGTCCCTGTGGTTTATCACTCTGGAATAATCCATGACAAGCTTAATTTCTCTCCAACTTGAAAATCTTTAAGATATTTAAAGATATTTAAGATATTTAAAGACAGGTATAAAGATAACCTGCAAAGGTTATCGTAGGACTGCTATAACAAAATACCACAGGACTACTATAACAAAATACTGTTCAGGACTGCTATAACAAAATACCATAAACTTGGTGGCTTTTAAGCAACATACATTTATTTCTCACAGTTCTGGAGGTTGGGAAGTCCAAGATCATCAAGGCACCAACAGATCCTGGCGAGGGCCCTCTTGCTAAATGGCAGTCCTTTCTGTGTCCTCACAAAGCAGAAGAGGGCAAATAAGCTCCCTCAGGCATTTTTTAAAAGGACACAAATCCCATTCAAGAGAGTGGACCTAATCACCTCTCAAAGGCTCCACCTCTTAATACCATCACATTGAGGATTAGGTCTCAACATATGAATTTGGGGCCTGGGATCCATAAGCATTCAGACTGCAGCAAAGACATCTTCATGCCAAATATTCTCTGATCCAAGACCTTGTTCTTGAATGTTGTCTCCTTACCGTGGTATTTTTATGTGTTCATTCTCTAGTTTATCTGTGTCCATTACTCTGGGGTTTTGAACACAGTCTCCAAATACAGCATGAGGCTGGGCCTGGTGGCTCATACCTATAATCCCAGCACTTTAGGAGGCCAAGGTGGATGGGTTACTTGAGCTCAGGGGTTTGAAACCAGCCTGGGCAACATAACAAGACCTTGTCTCTATTAAAAATTTAAAAAAAAATTAACCAAGCATGGTGGTACGCACATGTATTCCCAGCTCTTCAGGAGGCTGAGATTGGAGGATTGATTGAACCTGGGAGATCAAGGCTGCAGTGAGCTATGATCATGCCACTGCACTCCAGCCTGGCTGACAGAGCAGGGCCCTGTCTCAAAACAAACAAGCAAAATCAAATCTAGCATGAGTGAAGAGTTGAGAAGTACTGCTTTGCTGGAAAGGAAATATCTAGGTTTCCTCTCTTAACATTTTTCTAATATTTGTATGTATTTGGAAAATACCTATTCCTGGAAGTATTTTGTCTGTAATTACCATACAGAAAAGAAGACCTCATTAATGTTGCCTTTCTTGTACTATCTAAACACTATTTGATGCCAGAATATATACACATATTCTGAAAAATATACTACTTAGAAGAGATGAAGCCCCTGCCATTTCCTAAATAAATAGATTATTTAATTATTAGGAAGATTAGTGAGAGGGCTCAGCAGTTTGTTTTCATTGTTTTGCTCTCCTTTACTAAACTACAGTATTAGTCCTGCACATGACTTATATCCTATTTTGATGTTTTAATTCAAGGACCATATATTGAGTGACCATTATGTGCAAGATGTTGTGTCAGACACATTTCGATGTTGTATTTAAGTGATAGTTTGAGGAGCTTCTGCTTTACTGGCTGTGTACTGTCCCCATTGCTTATGAGATAAGGGCTAAGATTTTTCATCTGACCTGCAAGGTTCTTGACGGTTAGCTAAGGTTATTAGAATTGCAAATAGAAGTGAATTCAAATCTAGTGTGAGTTTAAAAAAGAGAACGTGGTATAAGAATTTAGGAGGGCCTCATGGAATAGCAGCGAAAGAGCCATGATTAACAAGGGACTGAACTCAGACTCTGCGATGCTGTCTGGAACAAAGGCAGCCACTCTCTCTGTGGGGCCAGACAGACTCTCTTCTTTGGCTGTCTCTCTGTGGCTGCTTTCTCTCCAATTTATTTTTTTATTAATTTTTTTTTTTGAGGCAGGATCTCGGCTCTGTTGCTGAGGCTGGAGTGCAGTGGTACCATCATGCCTCACTGCAGCCTTGACCTCCCAGGCTCAAACGATCCTCCCACCTCAGTCTCCCACATAGCTGGGACCACAGGCATGCACCACCATACCCAGCTAATTTTTTTTCTTTTTTGTGGAGATAGGGTCTTGCTTTGTTGCCCAGGCTGGTCTTGAACTCCTGGACTCAAGTGATCCTTCCCGCTTGGCCTTCCAAAGTGCTGGGATTACAGTCATGAGCCACTGCGCCTGGCCTCCTCTCTATTTAAATCAGCATCCTCTGTGCCTCCACACACATGGCAGATGTCCACCCCACAGAACACAAGTGTATGTGTCCTGCAGGTGCAGCCATACACATAGATGGGCTGCATCCTTGAATCCCAATTCCACATTCCCAGGGAAATTCCACTGGCTCATCTACACCAAGGTTCCACGCGATTAGCTGCAGGTGAAGTGGAAGGCCAAGCCCGTACATTGACAAGGATGGTGGGACAGGACCACCTTGAGATCTACAATAAGCCAGGGTAATGGTGGAATAGCCCTGGGGCACCCACAACCTTACATCTGACACATAGAATGTCATTCGAGCCTCAAGTCAACACACAGGGTAGGGAAGTATGAACTCCACTTTACCTAGAGGGAACTGAAGCCAGTGATGTACAGACAGGTTGCAGAAGCAGGGGTAGGACTCAGCTCTTATGATCCCTCATCCAGTGCTCTTTCTGCCAGTGTCACCTTGGCCCTCTGGTTAACCGTGCTTGGAAGATTCTTCTCAAGACAGGGCCACTGTGCTTCCGAGGGAACTGTAGCCAGGTTTCTGAGGCACAGGGCTTGGAATATAATCTTGTGTAATATTCCAAGGAACAGATGTAAACAACTGTGATCATCCCGGAGCAATACCATCCAAACCCATCTCCCTGGAGGACTCTGCCCATCAACAACAATCTTGTCATTTTGGCCAGCTGGTGCGCCATATTCACTATGCCATGTCTCTAAGGACTGGCAACTCCTCCTGGCTTTGTATTTTATCCTCTTTGCTGGCTTCTAGTGAATTTTTAAAAAACTGAGTATTTTGCCTCTTCAGTTAAACTAGTTGGCTTCCATTTAATTTTTTTTAAAAAAATTCAATATATTGATTTTTCCTTTTACTGATGATCTCTTTGGCAACCATGCTTGTAGAGAAGCCATTTAGTTTTCTGGTTAAGTTGGACTAGCGTTTCAAACTGTCCCAGACTAGCAGCCCCTGTGGGCACTTCCAGGGGTTCTGAGCCATGCGCTCATTTTCAGAGATGGGGCTGGGCCGAGCCAGCCAAGTGTGGAACCTGTTGTTCACACCTGTGTTAGCCAGTGCCTCAGATGGCCAACAGAGCCCTGAGGGGTGAGTCTCTCCCATTTGCCAGGCTCGGCGTTGCCTGTGGGGCCCAATGGGGAGAGCAGAGGTGTCTAGTGTCTATCCGCTCCCTCCAGCAGAGGACACTGGGGAAGTGGAGCCACACTCACCTCCTGCTTGGCTGTTTCCCTGCCCCTTTTTGGAAAGGTCTCCATTTCACATTGCCAATCGTTTGCCAACTTAAGTTCCAAGCCAAAGCCATGTTGGGCCTTTGAATTTTTGGATGTTTGGCAGGTGACATTTGTATCAGAAGAGTCCCGTGGAAGAGGCAAGAGGCCTAAAACATGCGTCCCTTGGTTGCAAGGCAGGAAACCTAATTCTGGGGCTGTTTGCACCCTACAACCATGGAAGAGCTGACTCACACCTCCATAACTCAACCTCTCCTCCTCAAAGATGGGGATGATGTGGTCAGTCAGAACTTTCTGAGGCCACTGGACACATTCAGAAAGTGTGTTCAAGAGTACCTTGGCCTGTGGGATAAAAAGCTCTCTGATCATAAACAAGCATGATTACTTATCATTTTGTTACAACTTCTCAACCAGGCCAGACTTGGACTGCTGGCTGAATCCCATTTCTCTCCTCTTGGACTGAGTGCCTGAACTATTCAGATCCAATGTGTCCTTCCCTCCTGACAGCCTGCCAGGTCTCCAGTGATATTTATTGACCAGCCTGGTGCATGGGGCACACCATTGGCAGCTTAGACTACAAACTCCCCCAGCACGGATTGTTTCTCACTCTGTGTTCAGCACAGTAACTAGAAATTAGCAATCAAAAATAGTTGAGATCATCATGTTGGGCTGTTTTCTGTCTGGCAAGTGTGTGCATCCTGATCTCTGCCACAGACTCTCCTAGGAAAAACCTGCTGTCATTCCTTCTGTCTGTTCCCTAGCCCAGGGGACAGCAGCCTGCATTTTGTGGGCAGCAGCAGCTCTCATGACTGTACCTATTTTGGTCAGACACTGAGGGAACAGGCAAGAATTCCTACAGAGTTACACAGGGGAAGAAGGGATCTGCCCCACATTTAGCAACTTACACATCTCAAGTGAGACGAGGAGAAAAATTCTGAAGATTGGAATAGAAAAGAAAACCAAGAATAATGGAGAATGTATTCACACGGGCTAAAGACAAAAGTTTAGGGACCAGGCTATGGTCAAAGAGCATTCTCCCTCCACTCTGAGTTTGGGCACCCTCCTCTGTCTGGAGCAATGGCCTGTCCCTTCTGATGCTCTGGCAAGAGCTCCAGGATTTTCCCATAGGCTATGAGGATGGACTCTTCATTTCTCTACACAAATTTAGAGGAAGAAGATTTCACCACAGAATCTCAGAATAGTCACCCTCAGCTAGGACCTTACTCACAAGATAGGGAAGCCAGGCATGTGATGGAAAAGAACACTCTATTTAGGGCAAATGCTTTCTGGAACCATTCCCCCTACTGAGCAAAGTGAGGTTGAGGATTATGGAGAGAAGACAAGGCAGAGGATACACTAAAATGAGCCTCCAAAATGGAAACCATCCAAGCAGTGCCTATTTGGGAGAAGCCGATCTCATGGCAGAGGGAAAAAAGAAAGTCAACCACCAATGGCCAGGATACAGAGTATATCACATTTGCTCACATTCCACTGGCTGAACACAATAAGTAGGATGGCCAGGCCAAAGTCAATGGGGCAGGGAAACAGACTCTTTTCCATAGCGGGAGCCACTGTAAAGCACACGGCAATTGGCAGGGATGAGGAAGGCAGGGAGCAGCTGAGAGCAACCATGCATCCCACCGCAGGCCTGTGTCATGACCCCATACATGTATGCAGCTGGGAGATCCCTTTCCTGTGGACATGGAAGCTTTCCCCCAATCTACACAGTGCCTTTGGAGATGGCAAGTCCTTATGGCTTGTCTTTCCGTCTTTTTTGTGTGTGGTACCATATACATAACATAAAATTTACCCTTTTAACCATTTTTTAAAATTTTGAGACAGAGTCTTGCTCTGTCACCCAGTCTGGAGTGCAGTGGCGTGATCTTGGCTCACCTCCGCCCCTTGAGTTCAAGCGATTCTCTTGCCTCAGTCTCCCGAGAAGCTGGGATTACAGGCGTGCACCACCATGCCCAGCTAACTTTTTTTTTTTTAGTAGAGATGGGGTTTCGTGCCATGTTGGCCAGGCTGGTCTCGAACTCCTGACCTCAAGTGATCCACCCACCTCAGCCTCCCAAAGTGCTGGGATTACAGGTGTGAGCCACCGCGACTGGCCATTTTAACCATTTTTAAGCATAGAGTTCAGTAGCATTAAATATATTCACACTGTTGTACAACCGTCATCACCATCCAACACCAACTTTTTTATCCTCTCAAACTGAAACTGTATACCTATTAAGCGCTCATTCCCCCGCCCTCTAGTCCCTGGCAGCCACCATTCTACTTTCTGGCTGTATGAATTTGACTGCTCTAGATAGCTCATGTATGTGTTAGCATTTCTTTCCTTTTAAAGGCTAACATTCTATTATATATGTTATATATATATGCATAACATATTTTTTTGTTATATATATATATCACATATATATTATATTATATAGATTATATATACCACATTTTGTTTATCCATTTATCTGTTGATAGACCCACGGGCTGCCCCACCTTTTGCCCTTGCGAATAATGCTGTGAACATGAACGTGTAGATATCTCTTCAGGCCTCTGCTTTCAGTTCTCTTGGGTATATACACAGAGGTGGGATTGCTGGATCACATGGTAATTCTGTGTTTAATTTTTCTTGAGAAAGGCCCTTACTGTTTGTCATAGATTGCGGCCTTTCTTGTCTCTGAAGTGCAGCAGGCAGGGGCTTCTGCTTGTGATAATTTTTTCTTGTTTTTGCCAGAGCCACCTATGCAGTCCCTCGGTCTGCTTCTTTCCCCATTTGAGTGCATTAGTGAGAATGTTCAGGAATCTATTGATTCATCTTTCCTAAGTGCCATTTTTTAATACTGACAGCAAAAGGCTATTCTGTGTCTCTTGCTTGTTTACTGCTGGTGGTTTGGGGCATGGGGGTCTTCTTATTCTTTTTTGTTTGTTTGTTATATTTTCTTAAGTTGTGGGGAAGAGAAATTCTATATTATTGTTTCATTCTGTCATCTTATCCGGGAAATGTGTTTCTTCAGTTTTTGCTTAATATTATAATGTATCTTCTATCCAATTTCAGCGATGGTGTATGTCATGAAAGAGACAGCTACTGCAGGCTAAAATGCTGTTTTAAAATCACTATGTGTTATGGCACTTTCCGTAGCTCTTCAAGATACTAAAACGTTCCTTTTAATTACACCAACAACTCTAACTAGGAGCTGTTACAATTTCTTTTATGTAGCAAAGGAAGGCCGATTCTGAGGGTTTGAATATCTTTGTTTTCATGAATATTCAGTAAGACTCTTAATAAAGAAAATAATTGTTAATATGCAATTGGGGATGAAATGATAGGAAATTACTCAAGCTTTTCTCAACAGAGCTGTGATATCATCTGGCTAGGCTTCTTCAGGCTCCCTTGAAATGCAGGAAGACTGATAGTTATTTTTACAAATCTTTGCTCTAAACTTGGATGAGGCTAAATAAAAGATGTCTTAGATTGTGGATAGATGCTCAGCAGGCATTGCAGGCCTCAGCATGGGAAGTTCTAATCGATTCACTCCTAAATATTGGGCTTGCTAGCCCCAGATGAGGCTTTTCCAGACCTGATGTGATCTCCTGGTCTCTACTAACAGCCATTTCTGGCTTCTGTTTGCAGAGGCAGCTTCCAGTACAGAGGCAAAATTGCTGCAGATCTTCTCAGCCTCCCTCATGCTAGGGTGTAGGCATGTGGCTTGGCCCTGGCCATTGTGTCCTGAGGGTAAATTTACTGGGGTTTCTGGAAACACTATTTGTCCAGGATAGAAAGTGACACACATGCAGAAACAGCCTTTCCTCTTTGCTAGCCTCAGCCTCTTCTGCATGTGTCCCTGGCACTGCTGCTGCCATTGTGCAGATGATGGAAGCCAGTGCAGATGATGGAAGCTACACATGAGGGTAGGTGGGGGAGACGGAAGAGGAGCACCTGGCACCTTGCAGAACAAGGACCTGTTTTAGTGTCTAGGTCACTTGTTCAGTCTTCTACTTTTGCAGACGCTAAATAGAAAAATAAGGGCAATGTAGTAGCTTCTACTAAAACAAAAATGTACACACTTTGTGATGGTATTATAATGTACTTTCTTTTAGAAAGGTAACTTTTATGGTAATAATAAATGAAAGATTTTTTTTTAAATGGTACTTGGCAGAGCAAAATGTTAGCAACCGTACATTAGTCTCCAAAGTATTTTTGAAATTTTACTGATCCATGAAATCTGAAATTCTGGGAACCACTGCTCTAACTTGAGAAAAACTCATTCTTGGACTAAGACTCAGATTGGTTTGTAGCCCAGCAGCTCTCCTTTCTGGCCACTCTTTTATAGGAAAGGCTTGTGATTCTCACTCCTGCCCTTCATTCGGTTTCCTGCTTAGAGAGAAGGAAAAAAAGAGGAAAGAGTCGTTCACTGAGCTTTAACTTTTTTGACTGAGGTACCAATAAACCCTTGGGTGCCTTCACACACTCTCTCTCTATACACACAGACACATAGACATGCACACACTTTTCAACTTGCTGATTGTAAAGAAAAATAGAGCTGAGGGCATCTGCATCAACAAAGCAGTTGCACCAAGGCAACACTGTCTTGTGCAGCTAAGGCTCGATCCAGCCATGACCCAAGAGGCCAAAGAAGGAAGATTTGTTTTCTTCATGAGTTACTTATTTTTATAACATTCTTCCGGGCCCAAGAAGCAGAGGATGACGTTGGATGTTTGTCTTCCTGAGTATGATTTGCGCTGGAAAAACAAGGCAGGCACTGGTGTTAGAAAGGTTTTCTTATAAGTCTTGATCCTCTGCAGTCCTGCTGGGCTGGGACTTGCCAGTGGATGAGTGCCTCAATCTCTTAGCCTCAGTTTCCTCTTCTATAAAATCAATAATGATGATGATGATGATAAGATAATGGACAAAAAGCATCTACTATTCTGCCTGGAATATAGTATATACCACGTGCTCATTAGGTGGTATATACAACTACTATTATTTTCCCTAAGTTTGGTGACAGTAGTTTAAAAAAGAGCAAACTCAATTCTACAACAAAAATATGAATTAACAGTAGTGTAGTTTTAGAGTCCTTAGCTTGTAGGAACACATTTCAAAGTATTTCATGATGAAATGGTATAATGATGGCCTAAATAATCCAGGGTAAGGCAGTATAGTTGGAAACAAGATTGGTCACGTGTTGATTGCAGATGCTGGGTGAAGAAAGAGCAGTCATTAAACGATTCCCTCTACTTTTGCATATGTTTGATAATTTCCAAAATAAATAAAACAAAACAAAAATAAACAAACAATAGTTGATAAGTTCTTGCCCAAAGCAAAGAACACCAAATTAAATATTTTCAGTGGTGTAGGAAATACCATTTGTTAGCATCCCATTCCCTCATAAGGATATTGCCTTAGCTAAATACATAACCTCTCACTCTTTCCTGCATTAGAACTACTTGAAGGGACCCCATCTGTCTGTCTCATAGGGCTTTTCTCTTAATCAGTTATTGGCAATTGAATTATTATGAAATTGATGGAAAGAATGATCTGATTAGAATATTTTGATGTGGAATTTTTTTAAAAAAAAATTCAAGTTTCATTTTATTTTCTTTCTTTCTTTCTTTATTTGAGCTAGAGTTTCGCTCTTATCACCCAGGCTGGAACAATGGTGCAATCTCGGCTCACTGCAACCTCTGCCTCCCGGGTTCAAGTCATTCTCCTGCCTCAGCCTCCTGAGAAG
Organism: Homo sapiens; assembly: GCF_000001405.40. Taxonomy (NCBI): domain Eukaryota; kingdom Metazoa; phylum Chordata; class Mammalia; order Primates; family Hominidae; genus Homo; species Homo sapiens. The sequence goes on from NC_000005.10 coordinate 65,138,896, forward strand.
CTAGGATTACAGGCACCAGCCACCACACCCAGCTAATTTTTGCATTTCTAAAAGAGACAAGGTTTCACCATGTTGACCAGGCTGGTCTTGAACTCCTAACCTCAGGTGATCCACCTGCCTTGGCCTCTCAAAGTGCTGGGATTACAGGCATGAGCCACTGTGCCCAGCCCAACTTTCATTTTAGATTCAGGGGGCACATGTGCACATGTGTTACATGGGTATATTGCATGATGCTGAGGTTTGGGGTATGATTGATCCCATCATCCAGGTAGTGAGCATAATACCCAATATATAGTTTTTCCATTCTTACCCTCCCCCTTCCAGTTGTCCTCAGTGTCTATTGTCCCCCTCTCTATGGCCATGTATAACCCAGTGTTTGCCTCCCACTGATAAGACAGGACATATATTTGGTATTCTGTTTTTGTATTTGGTGTTCTGTTTCTGTGCTAACTCACTTAGGATAAAGGCTTCTAGCTGCAATTGTGTTGCTACAAAAGACATGATTTCTTTCTTTTTTGTGTCTGGGTAGTACTCCATGGAGTGTATATACCACATTTTCTTTTTTTTTTTTTTTCAACTTTTAAGTTCAGAGGTACATGTGCAGGTTTGTTACATAGGTAAACTTGTGTCACGGGGATTTGTTGTACAGATTATTTCATCACCCAGATTAAGCCCAGTACCCATTAGTTATTTTTCCTGATCCTCTCCTTCCTCCCTTCCTCCACCCTTCAGTAGGCTCCACTGTGTTTTGTTTTCCTCTGTGTGTCCATGTGTTCTCATCATTTAGCTCCCACTTAAGAGTGAGAACATGTGGTATTTGGTTTTTGGTTCCTGCATTAGTTTGCTAAGGATGATGGCCTCTAGCTCCATCCATGTTCCTACAAAGGACATGATCTTGTTTTTTTATGGCTGCATAGTACTCCATGGTGTATATGTGCCACATTTTCTTTTTCTTTTTTTTTTGAGACAGAGTTTTGCTCTTGTTACCCAGGCTGGAGAGAAATAGCACGATCTCGGCTAACCGCAACCTCCACCTCCTGGGTTCAAGGATTCTCCTGCCTCAGCCTCCCGAGTAGCTGGGATTACAGGCATGCGCCACCACGCCCAGCTAACTTTGTATTTTTAGTAGAGACGAGGTTTCTCCATGTTGGTCAGGCTGGTCTTGAACTCCTGACCTCAGGTGATCCACCCACCTAGGCCTCCCAAAGTGCTGGGATTACAGGTGTGAGCCACCACACCCGGCCTATATGTACTACATTTCCTTTATCCAGTCTATCATTGTTGGGCATTTAGTTTGATTCCATGTCTTTGCTATTGTGAATAGTCCTGCAATGAACATATGCGTGCATGTGTCTTTGTGGGAGAATGATTGATATTCCTTTGGGTGTATACCCAGTAACGGGAGTGCTGGATCAAATGGTATTTCTGTTTTTAGGTCCTTGAGGAGTCGCCACACTGCTTTCCACAATGATTGAACTAAGTTACACTGTCACCAACAGTGTATAAGCATTCCTTTTTCTTCATAAACTTGCCAGCATCTGTTATGTTTTGATTTTTTAATAATAGCTGTTCTAACTGGTGTGAGATAGTATCTCATTGTGGTTTGGATTTGCATTTCTCTAATAATCAGGAATATTGAGCTTTTTTTCATATGCTTGTTGGCTGCATGTATGTCTTCTTCTGAAAAGTGTCTGGAGGATCATGTCCTTTGCCTACTTTTTGATCGGGTTATTTGTTTTTTCTTGTAAATTTGTTTAAGTTCCTTATAGATGCTGGATATTAGACCTTTGTCAGATGCAAATTTTGCAAATATTTTCTCCCATTCTGTAGGTTATTTATTCTGTTGATAGTTTCTTTTGCTGTGCAGAAGCTCTTTAGTTTAATTAGATCTCATTTGTCAATTTTTGCTTTAGTTGCAATTGCTTCTGGCATCTGCCCATTGCTACGTTCAGAATGGTATTGCCTAGATTGCCTTCTAGGGTTTTTATAGTTGTGGGTTTTACATTTAAGTCTTTAATCCATCTTGAGTTCATTTTTGTGTATGGTGTAAGGAAGGGGTCCAGTTTTGATCTTCTGCATATGGCTAGCCAGTTCTCCCAGCACCATTTATTGAATAGGGAATCCTTTCCCCGTTGTTTGTTTTTGTCAGCTTTGTTGAAGATCAGATGCGTGTAGGGGTGTGGCCTTATTTCTGGGCTCTTTATTCTGTTCCATTGGTCTATGTGTCTGTTTTTGTACCAGTACCATGCTGTTTGGTTACTGTAGCCTTGTAGTATTGTTTGAAGTTGGGTAGTGTGATGCCTCCAGTTTTGTTCTTTTTGCTTAGGATTGCCTTGGCTATTGGGCTCTTTTTTGAATTTTAAAATAGTTTTTTTTTTAACTATTTTAAACATACGCATTTTAAAATAGTTTTTTTCTAGTTCTGTGAAGAATATCGTGGGTAGTTTGATAGGAATAGCGTTGAATCTATACATTGCTTTGGGCAGCATGGCCATCTTAATGATATTCTTTGTATACATGAGCATGAAGTGTTTTTCCATTTGTTTGTGTCATCACTGATTTCTTTGAGCAGTATTTTGTAGTCTTCATTCTGGAGATTTTTCACCTCCCCAGTTTTTATGTATTAATACCACATTTTCTTTATCCAGTCCACTATTGATGGGCACCTGGGCTGATTCCAAGTCTTTGCTATTGTGAATAGTACTGCAATGAACATATGAGTGCATATGTCTTTTGGCAGAATGATTTATATTCCTTTGGGTACATACCCAGTAATGGGATTGCTGGGTTGAATGGTAGTTCTATTTTTAGTTCCTTGACAAATCTCCAAATTGCTTTCCACAGTGGCTGAACTAATTTACCCTCCCACCAGCAGTGTATAATGTTCCCTTTTCTCTGCAGCCTCACAAACACCTGCTATTTTTATTTATTTTTTTAACAATAGCCATTCTGACTGCTATGAGATGGTATCTCATTGTAGTTCTGATTTGCATTTCTTTAATAATCAGTGATGTTGATCTTGTTTTCATATGGTCGTTGGCCATTTGTCTGCCTTATTTTGAAAAGTATCTGTTCATGTTCTTTGCCCACTTTCTAATGGGGCTATTTGTTTTATGCTTGTTGAATTATTTAAGTTCCTTCTGGATTCTGGATATTGGACCTTTGTCAGATGCATAGTTTGCAAATATTTTCTCTGAGGGGGAGAAATTTAAACATTACTTTTAAGGTTAAGTTTTCATCTTGATTTAGGGACAATCAACTCCAACAGTGTCCATAACCATAGCTGTCATTGCTAAATTTGGCAAATAGGAATTCCTGGCCACCCATGGAGCCTTTAAAAGCTGTTTAGAGGGGCTGTGCATTAAAAAGGTTCTTTCCGGGAGAAGAAGATATAAGGATTGTGGACTTTAAGGCAAGTTTCCGCAGAAATGTTAGGGAAAAATGTTTGTGTCTTGAGATATACATATATATATAAAATTTTTTTTAAAAAACTCATGATGGGAACTCAAACTTCAAAGTTAAATAAAGGAGTAATTATCCTCTCCAAAAGAGTCACTCTTGGAATTCCTTAAAATAATAGTATTCTCCCCATAGGTTTAAGTATTTGTTTACATATCATTAACAACTTCCTTGAAAACTCTGGAAGGAAAGCAGGCTGAGGGAGAAGACACTCAATGCTGGAATGTCAGTTGGTGCACACAGTCAATTAAGGATCAGTCAAAAGACAGGCTCATTTTGGAATTCTCATGTAAGTAAATGGGAAATGATTCAAGCTACAGAACTTGAGCAAACACACAGTAGTGTGAAAAGGGCACATCGGTATGGTCCCATCTCCCCGACTCTGTAGTCAGGAAGCAGACTCGGGGGCTTGCATGCTCCACAGTGGCCTCATTAAAGTTGCTGACAGACTTCCCTTAATTAGTCCCTTGGGAAGGAGACTTTGTACTCTAGGGACTCTAAGAAAGAGAATCCTGTAAGGATAGCTGTTTGCTCATTTCCAGTTTCTGGAGAAGTGGTTTGTTTTCCTGGCTTTAAGGGTTACTCAGTCCTCAAAGAATGTCAGAGATCTTTCTTTACCCTGACAGAGAGATATGCCATTTAGGTGGTTCAGGTTCCAGCTAACTTTAGAATTGGAAATAACAGTACATTTAATGAAATGTTGTATTATATGAATTTTAAGTAGAATAATGAAGACATCCTAATAATTTTTAGACAAAAACACCAGGATTTTTTTTTTTTTATCCAAATGAACAAAATCCTTTAAAGGTCACTTATTCAAAGCATATTTGGAATACCTTTCATGGTATTACCTTGGGTCAGTTTGTAAGACACATTTGGGGCCATAATGATTATATGCAAATTACTTACCAGATTTTATTTTGAAAGAGTTTGGGCTTTTGTGAAAATCAAATTTATCCTACCCTGGGAGACAGTCTAAAAAGCAATTTTAAAACTTTCTTGAATGATGATTTTACTCTTAGAATGAGTACGGAGTGATCTCCAGTTGCTACATGGAAGGAGACAACATTCATTTGGAAAGTGGAGTTCTAATGTGTTGATTTTAGAGGCCAGTACAGGATAGTTTGTACAATTATTTCTGTAATTGTATTTAAATGTGAGATAAAATGAAACAGTTGGTCCCCCTACTACTTCCCTCTAGCAGGAGCTTTCCACATTGGTGGGGACCTGGACCCTAAGCGCATCAGGTGGGGTCCTGGCCCTACCTACACTGAGATACTCCTCAAGCTAGATGTGCCCGCAGCTTATTATCTTATTTCATAGTTTCAACATAGAGTCTCTTTTAAATCTCAAAATAAAATATTTAATTTCTCAGTTTTGCTTTTTTCCTATTCTAAACTTCATGAATAGAATTATTTCTTATTGCAATTAGCCTGGCTGTGATAACATGGATGTTGCTACCCTCTTTCATTCAGCTCATATTATATTTTAGCCACTTCTGTGGGTGCTTTTTCAGTATATCCAATCATGCTCCTGTGGTTGTTATTATCTGGGCACCTAGCATGGTCTCCCAGATAGCATTTTGCTGAAGTTGGGATGTAATCCTTTTTTACCTTCATATTTATTATAGATACATAGCAACAGGAGAAGATTTTTATTCTAACAATAATACAAACAAGAAACAGGAACTAAAGTTCTATTCATTTACATAACATTAATTTGAATGAGTAAAAATAAAATACCAAAATTGATGATATTGAAAGAAGTATTCTCTTGTTTATTGCCTCTGGGCCACGAAACAGGTTTATGAGTGCATTTAATACACAGTGTATCTACCCTTTGGCTTTCCTTCTCCCTAGTCCCTGAGTGACCTGGCTCAGGGAGAAGTTGGGGCACAGAGGCAGAGGCACAGGAGGGTCCATCTTGCCAGGATGAATCAGGCCAACGCAGCTGCTGGCCTGGGCACAAGCGTGGGTGGCCACCTGTGTCTCCCCAAACAGCTGTTTGGTAGAGGGCCAGCCAAAGCCCCGTTGGTGGGGTGGAGGCAGGCAGCCAGTTGGGCGGCCAATACATTCTGGCATGGGCTGAAAGAACACCTGGTTCCACTCTGTGGACCCACCACAGAAGGTCAAAGAATGTGCTTGCTGGCGGCAACCTGATGGCCCAACTTTTCAAGCCCTGATGGTCTTGCTGTGATTGAAACAGAAAGAAACTCACCTTTCTTCCTTATAATGTATCCTAGAGCCAACATGGAAATCATTCTGTTCCAGTTATGTTGAAATAGGTCAACTAGGCCATCTGTCTGGCACGTCTGGAAATGGTGCATTAGACTATCAGGCAGGGATAGGCTGCATGATTTACGACAAGGTATTTCAGGGGAGATGAGAGCTCCCTACGCTGTGTTTGGTTGCTAACTGCCATTGAGACATCTTCCATCCTAGAATGTTTCTGACCTTCCTTTTCCTCCTCTTGCCATTAACTCTTAGAAACCACTTTAGGTCCCCACTTGTAATTCTGTTATCACACACTGAGATTCCCATAGTCAATACCACCAGCTACCAAGACGGGAACCCAAAGCTCCCTGTTCCCTGACTCCTGAGGCCCCTCCTAAGGCCTCAGGACCATTGTTCCTCAGGAAAGAGGATGTTATTTCCTGTGGTTTGGTGAGTGGGTATCTCTCTAGCCAACGAGCACCCTTCCCAACTTCCTTGCCCCAGATGCAGATCCAGCAGCTGCCCCGCTGTGTGCTGAAGAGGTGATACTTCTCGCATTGGTCCTGTGACCCCCTGGCAACTTAACCTCTCTGTGCCTCAGTTTTGGCACTTGTTAATGGGGACTGATAGTACTGTCCTCCTAGTTTTGTTGTAAAACACTCAATAAGACAGCATATGTTAAGTGCTTAGCACAGGACCTGGGTGCAGCAGATGCTCAGCAAATATTAGCTGTATGAATGAATGACCATGATTGATGCCACTCTCCAGACACAGAGGCTCACACCTGGCCTGGAGTGGCCCTGGAGTAGGACTTCCTGCTGCCACCTTTGCTTGGAATTTCAGGGGCCTCATCTCAAAATTACTGCACTGCCAGCAGGAATTTCAAAGTGAGCATAGTTCTGTGGGCCCATAAGGGGACTTGCTATCCACAACTCCCCTTGCTGGGGGGCACAGACTACACTCCTCCCAGAATCCTATCAGCCTTGAGCTTGTAGAAGCCACCTAGTGTTGAACCATCGACCTGAGGAAGGCACTCTGACTTCTGAGAGGCCTAAAGTTGGTGGGATAACTTGTCGCCTCTTACATGAGAACTTTCTGCAAGGTAGGGTATCCAACCCAAGAAGAAACCTCTTGATTTTCACAAGCCTTAAGGGCTGGGCAATGAAATCTGATTGGTTAGGCATGCTGTCATGTGCCCTGAGGTGAATGGGAATATTCAGGCTCCCCAATCCCTGCAGTCAGGGACATCATGTATTATTGGACCCTTGTGCAAACCACACAGTGTCTTTCTGGTGAAGACAGGACATAGCTGTGGAAATTCACTTCATTACCTATGCAGCTGAAGGCTTTCAGTGGGCTAAGAGGAGCCATTGATCAAAAGACAACACGGGCATAACCTTGGTTTCCCCACAAAGTGGAGCCAGCTTTCAAACCACAGTTCCATTTCAGGACTCAGATATCATCTGTGGATGAAATGAGGGACAATGAATGCTAGAAATAGCCCTCTGAGAAAAAGATGGGAGAAAAGACCATTTTCTTTTTAAGTTGAAGCTTGAGGTTTTGAACTCAGGCACAAAACCATTGTGAACAGCTGTTCTTTTTAAAAACGTATGTTAGTTTATTCCACACATTCTGATGATATGAATGAAACAGAATTCCAAACAAAGCTTATCTGTCACTTTTTTTTTTGTTTTGAGACAGAGTCTTGCTCTGTCGCCCAGGCTGGAGTGCAGTGGCGTGATCTCGGCTCACTGCAAGCTCTACCTCCCAGGTTCACGGCATTCTCCTGCCTCAGTCTCCCTAGTAGCTGGGACTACAAGTGCTCACCACCATACCCGGTAATTTTTTTTTTTTGTATTTTTAGTAGAGACAGGGTTTCACCATGTTAGCCTGGATGGTCTCAGTCTCCTGACCTCGTGATCCGCCCACCTCGGCCTCCCAAAGTGCTGGGATTACAGGCGTGAGCCACCGCGCCTGGCCACGTATCTGCCACTTTTAAATGCAGCAACTTTCCTGTGACCACTTAATTAGAATTTTTCAGTTCTCTTGGGCTGTGACTTCTTTTTCTACCTGAACAAGATTTCTTTTTCTACCTGAACAAGATTTCTTTTTCCTTCTTTAAAAAGTAATAAGTCTTATACTAGCCATGCAAATTCACGTTTTTGCTCCCAACACCCAACTTTTTCCTGAATTTGCTTGGAAAAACATCTGGCGTTTTGGAGGATAAAGGCTTAAGGATGAGCCCCATGCTCCCTGAGGAACGGCTGAGTCTCCATGGAAGGCAGACTGTCCTTGGAGTCAGTACCCTAAGCAGGATAGTGTCCTTTTGATACGTCAAAGGGAAAAAAGGCATTTAGTTGGAAACTTGAAAACAACTGTAGCTGAAAAGATACTAGACTCGATACTTAAGAATCTAAGCTAAAGTAAATCTTGTTTCTTGGTATTTCTCCCTCCCCAACCCCAGCAGAACTATCCTTTGCAACTGCAGTGGGAGGTTAAAATGGTTGGTATCCATGGCTTTCTCATGAACTGAGTATTCATAATTCAGCAGCTTTTGGCTGCTAGGGTAACCTTGGAGAAATACTCTTCTAAGACTATCTAATTGTCTCACGTGATGCAACCTGATTTCTTCTAATGAAGAAACAACTGGGTATGGTGTGTATGAGACATCAGAGTGGGTAGAATAAAGCACCATCGAGCCTGGACATTTCACATCTTTTTTTTTTTTTTTTTGGTAGAGATGATGTCTCACAATGTTGCCCAGGCTGGTCTCCAACTCCTGGCCTCAGGTGATCCACCTGCCTTGGCCTCCTACAGTGCTGAGATTACAGGCATAAGCTACTGCACCCAGCCAATTCCACTCTTCTTATGTAACTGATGAAGCTGTCATTATGAAAGTACTCCAATAGCTGGCTGGGAGTGGTGGCTCATGCCTGTAATCCCAGCACATTGGGAGGCCGAGGTGGGCAGATCATGAGGTCAAGAGATCGAGACCATCCTGGCCAACATGGTGAAACCCTGTCTCTACTAAAAATACAAAAACTAGCTGGGCGTGGTGGCGTGTGCCTGTAATCCCAGCTACTCAGGAGGCTGAGGCAGGAGAATCGCTTGAACCTGGGAGGCAGAGGTTGCAGTGAGCCAAGATCGCGCCACTGTACTCCAGCCTGGCGACAGAGTGAGACTCCATCTAAAAAAAAAAAAAAAAAGAAAGAAAGAAAAGAAAGAAAGTAAAGAAAAAGAAAATAAAGTACTCGAATAGCTAAGCATGCAAGAGGGTCACCTTCATATTCAAATTTTTTTCTGAGTTCCTTTGCATATCATTGTATTCCTCAACTCAGCAAAGACTGAGCCATTAGTTCATCTTCAGCCCAAAAGGAAATGCTAAAGGTAGAAAGTGAGCTCATCACGTTTCTTTGCCCTGACTAGAAAAATCTCTCAAGTATGAATTCATTTGGTTTAGTGACCTTGGCACAGTGAACTATCTTGCATCCTCTAATATACTAAATAATTTACATGGAAGGCAAGAAAAGGAGAGCAGGGCCGGGCACGGTGGCTCATGCCTGTATTCCCAGCACTTTCGGAGGCCGAGGCGGGCAGATCAGGAGGTCAGGAGATCGAGACCATCCTGGCTAACACGGTGAAACCCCATCTCTACTAAAAACACAAAAAATTAGCTGGGCGTGGTTGCGGGCGCCTGTAGTCCCAGCTACTCGGGAGGCTGAGGCAGGAGAATGGCGTGAACCCGGGAGGCGGAGCTTGCAGTGAGCCGAGATCGCGCCACTGCATTCCAGCCTGGGCGACAGAGTGAGACTCCGTCTCAAAAAAAAAAAAAAAAAAAAGGAAAGGAAAGCGAAAGAGTTGTGCACTAGCAGTTGAGGGGGTGTGGCCGTGGCCAGTCTGGACTTCCTTTGGGGCCTTAGAAGAGTGGCTGATGATGGCTGGGGATGTAGCCCCACCAGTAATACCTGACACTCTTGCATTTAGATAGGACTAAAACACACAGAAATAGATGCCATCTCTGAGGAGGGTAATAAGGATACAGCAAATCATCCCAACCAAGATACTACTTGGATAATTTGGATAATGTAGGTGTGGTATCCCAAGGGAATTCATTCCTGGTACTACCAGTTTAACACAGGCTTTTCAGGGAATAGACAACTTCAATCTGTATCATTATTATAAGCTGAATTTTTATTTTACTAAATTATCTATGTCAAAAAAATTCTGTGCCTGGCGTGGAATTTCACTCCATCAAGTGTTACAATGATTTTTTCATTTTCATTACAAGCAGGAGAATGAATGTAGGACAAGTGTTAGGAAACATGGCAATAAATTAGAATATAATTTACAAAAGCAAAAAAATTAACAGTGTACCACATTATTACTGAGTATAAAATAATAAGCAACAACTAATCACAATAATACAAAGGTAATTTCGTTCTGTGTTACTGAGGATACCTATGTGACATTCATTCAAACAAAAAAGTTCCTAATGAAATGGACTATTTGGAAATCATATGTATCTCACGGGGTTTAATCATTAGGGTACATTTACCGTTCCTTTTTTAGTAGGACTTTATCCCAGTGGCAGATACTGCTCCCAGGTGTAGGGTACCAGTTTCCCTGGGGTTCCCTAAGTAGTCTATGTAGCTCACTACTTTTGGAAGGTCTGCCATGGTGGCCCAGCCTCCACTGACAATGCTATTGTTATTATTTAGGAATAGGGCATCATGTAGCCATGGGGGTGGCTACAGAGTAGCAGCAGTATTGTGATGTGCTATGAAATAGAATTGTTTTAACCTACTCAGGTTTCAATTCAAGGCTTACTTGAAACTGTTTCATCCTGTTACATTCTGTGCGTGGCTCCCTCTAGAAAGGCACTCTGATGCTGCCCCGGGGGATGCCTGCATTTTGTTCTCAGTGCTGGGGCACATCCCAGAAGTGACACTGACTGCCCTCCTCTTCCAGCATCAGCCAAGGTGCTGTGCAGTGCCTGGGGGATGGCCCTCACAATGGTAGTTTCCAGGTGAGGTAAAAAATAGCTTTTAGTCGGTAATAAGAAATCTTTTTGAAATAAGAACATGAGCTGATATTTATGTTGGAGAAAATCAGATCTGGATTGCAAACCTATGCCTAAAATGCCACAGAAACTGCCCATCTTTTATTTATTTCACCAGGGCACATTAGCACCAAGTTAACTGTTCTTTGAAAAGGCGCAAGGGAATTCAGTGCTCGGGCCATACTACCCATGGGCTGTTTGCCCTTCACTGAATGGCTAAGACGGCACTTGGGCTGGTCTTCTAAGGGCATCTTAGATCCGGGCCCTGGTGATTCCTCTTGTATCATCAATAGCTCTCTCTGGAAGGCTCAGGGTTGAGAACTGTGGTGTTGAGAGAGAAAGCAGGTAACAAGATACAGATGGTCATGACTGAGAGTGCAGAAAACATTCCATGCTGATTGTCCACAGCAAACCTGGGAGTTGTTTAGATTGGCTTTTGGTGTCTGAGGGTCTGTCTTCCTTTTGGAAAAAGCCTAGTCATCTGCATTAGATCATGATATATGTGATGCACTGACATGTAATTTAAGAGCACCATGATGGAATCAAGTCAAACATGCTGTTTAACTGAAAGTATTAACCTTACAAAATAGCCATTTAGTTTTGAGTTTTAGGTGTTGGTGCATGCATGGTGTACACCTGTGTACAATGGGGAGGCATTTTGGACACAAAGCACATTCATCAAGAACCTGCTGCAAGCTACACGTGTTCAAGTAAAAAATATTAATATAAACAAGTACCCTTTTTCATTCTAAGTCTTGCTGTCGAGTCTTTTGATGACCAGGATGTGAAACTTGAAGATGGGGAAAATACGAGCTAGTCATTTTAATTTAGGTGGATGTGATTCCAGAATTTGACTTGCCCAAGAAACTGGGTTTCACATTTAATTGCCATTCAGAGTATCCATAAAAAATAAAAAATACTTGGTTGAGTGACTATTAAAATTATGCTTTATGATGTCTAGTCTTCATGAAATTTTCTTCTTTGGTTATTATCCCTTGCCTACTTTAAAACTCACAGAAATAGCACATTATGTGCAAGCACACTCATCTATCCACACACTTAAAAGCGCCCGCAAACACACACACACATTTGCTCTCATATAAATAAATGCCCTTCTACCATATCAAAGAAGGGACATCTGGAACTCATCGTAATTGTCAACAAACTGCAAAAGGGTCTGCCTGGTTACCGAGCCAGTCTATCTTTTGCATGGTATCATCTCAGTAAGCTCAACACACGTGCAGCAATCCAAAGGGCAGAAGCCGTGCTGTGGCTGGGGAGGATGTAAACACAAGTGAGTTGGAGGGACTCAAATAAGAACTAAGGCATCCTGTGTGGTGGCAGCAAAGGGCCTGGTCCTTTGGTCTGTACCATACCCCAGGTCTGGTTTCTGCATGAAATTGAAATGTTTTTCTCTTAAAGTTTTAATGGAAATCTCAGCTTTACTTGCACAATGGCAAGTTGGCCACAGTCTTTCAGCACTGAGTTTATAGACTTGCACAGCTGCAGTAACTGATGCACTGCTTTAAACTATGCCCCTCATTATTGTTCAGTTTAATATAGTTTTATATATGGCTCACAGCAGTGTTCAGAACCAGGGGATTATTCCTAAGGAAATTAAGTGGAATGAAGAAAAATAATACAAACTTTCATTACTTTTGATTTATAATTGCTCCTTAAATTATAGTTCAAAGCCCGTTTTATAATTTAAATTGTGGTGCTGTTGTAGTGAGATAAAGTACAGTAAATATTTTTAAGCTATGACTTAAGAATTCTGAACCTTCTTCACTTCCATAGTTGACCAAGTCATAACAGCTACATTTTAAACAGTTTTAAATACAAATGGATTCAGTGTCATTGCTAAGTCCATAATAAAAATTATCTTAATGGTCCAAGGAGGTAAACAGGCTATTGGATTTACTCGAAAGAACACAAACGCTCCACAGTAAGCAAGTCTCCCTGTGTTGTTTGGATCTCTCCAATCTGGCATTCCCTCCTAATACCGTGTCCAGCACTTTGGATCAATAAATCCCACTTCACAGAAGCTAAAATAATATTGAAATTTTGTCAGCTAGGGCTGACCAGTGGTTACGTTTTCCACAGGGTAATGCATTTGCAAGGACATCAATCCTCTTCCTCTGGGTGGCTCTCTTTGATGGATGCATTTCCATGATGAAATGACAAGGCACTCTCTCTGGCTTTCTGTGGGTCAGTGTCCTTGGCAGGTCTTACAACACATCTGTCTGAAGTATGCTCGACTGCAGAACTTGAACTTCAGCACCAGTGGGCAATAAGCCACTTTATTCACATCTTTGCACTCTAACGAATGGGGGCAGAAAATGGAAAACAATTAGAGGCACATAAACAAGTACATAAACAAGCCGATGGGCCTGCATGTTCAGCAAGGACCCCCTTTGGGCCAATCCACCTTGGCTTCGACCTCCATGTGGTTTTTGTTTTTGTTTTTAAGCATACCCTGCCTGGTACAGTCTACTAGAAATATTCTTTTGATATATTTTAACACAATTTAAAAAAATGTTTGCAAGGCTTTCCTTCCAGATTTTTATAAGTATGGTGTATGCCCACTGTGTCTTGAAAGAATTACCATTTGCTAGGATAAGTGATCACTTTAGACAGCTTGGAAACATGAGTCATTTTTCTTACAGCACTTTTATTGCTTCTTTCTCAAGGGTTATTTTATTCAACAGTGCAAGGTTATCCAAAATCAAACATGAGTTGCATTGTTTGATACCAAAGTACACGTCTCCAGAGAATCTCTGCATCTGTGAGGCGTGGGGATGGGCCTGGGTGAATGAAAAGGATTGCTGAGAGTGGCCTAGATTCAGCAACTACACTAGACAAAGAAGAAAGCTTTGAGGGGTTGGCCTCAAATGGCAGCAGTCTGTGGGTTATGGAAACATGTAGAAATGTCTTTTTTTAATTTGGAAGTGAGACATGGTCTTCTTTTTTCCTATGTGTATTTTCTCCTCAGTGCTAGAACTGCCACAGTTGCAGTCTGCAGTTCTTGCAGCCAGAAGGTGAATAAATGATTCTTTCTCCATCTCCCCTTGAGGCTGGTTGCAGAAGGTGGGATGAGGGTCCAGTGTAGAGAAAGGGACATGGGCCTTTGATTCTCAGAACTCCCCCTGGCTCCATACAACCCCACTGCTAGCAATAATATTCTTTTCCAGTATTCTGGTCACTTTTGTTTGGAGACTTTAGGATACTCTGTAAACTTAGTAATGAAATTTTCACATGCCTGCTAGAACCAAAGTTCCACCCTCATTTTTCCAGGTAGTTATACTGAAGCATCCTGGGTAAATTGTTGAAGGTAATTAGGAATCAGGCTGGGCAGTGGGTAATGTTCAGTGTTACAGACAGTTTTTGTTGTTTGCTTGTTTTTTCCTGGCTTCAAAAACCCACTGAAGTTCTAAGAGATCAGATACATTGTAGTTTATCACATGAGCCATATGATAAACATGGAAAATTAAGTACAAAGACATGGAAAAGTTCCCAGTTCTTATTATTGAATATGAAGATAACAATCTTATTGATCTCAATTTTTAAAGGCTCCTTTGGTGAAAGTCTTAAAATTTGAAACTGGAACTCCCAAATCCACTGAAAACATCTCTGCCACCACCCAGCTCCCTTACTCAACATTTCACTTACAAAGAGATTAATAGCTAGAAATATGAATTAAAACTTTTCACACCAGGATTCTCAGTAAATTTAAGTTTTAGCTGGAAGAAGGTAGAAGAGGGACAAATCACTTAACCTCTTTGTGCTTAAGTTTTCTCATCTGTAAAACAGAAATGATTAGAGAACCCACACTCAACGTGTAACATGTAAGACTACACGTGTATCCTTACGAACGTCAACTACAGCAGTGCCTGGAACACAGGAAGTATGGGATAAGTGTAGGATACTGAATTGCTATTATTATTACAATTATTAGTTATTAGTATCTTTATTGCCTGACAGAAAGGAAGCAAGGAGTTACTCTCCAAATATCTCAATGAGGATGCAATATTTGAACTACTACTAAGAAAATACTGCCCTAAAGACACAAGTCAGTTTGCAGACAAAACAAAGTGGAGTATTTCCTGGGGAACAACTTCATTAGATTTACTACTCCATTTTTAGAAGAGTAGCTGGACCAAGAAAACTCTGAGTTGAGCAAATTAGAAGTAAATTCACCAGTTTAAATTATAATACATAATGAATGAAATAGAATATTCATAAATTGCTTCTCCCTTCACCTGCCTACCCACCCACCCATTAAGGCTATTATAAATAGTTGGCCGGGCACAGTGGCTCACGTTTGTAATCTCAGCACTTTGGGAGGCTGAGGTGGGTGGATCACCTGAGGTCAGGAGCATGAGACCAGCCTAGCCAACATGGTGAAACCGCATTTATACTAAAAATACAAAAATTAGCCAGGTGTGGTGGCACACACCTGTAGTCCCAGCTACTCAGGAGGCTGAGACACAAGAATCACTTGAACCCGGGAGGCGGAGGTTGCAGTGAGCTGAGATTGTGCTACTTCACTCCAGCCTGGGCGACAGAGCTAGACTCCGTCTCAAAAAACAAACAAACAAACAAAAAACTCAAATATGAATAGTCAGGGATTTTGTTCCTTAGATGAGTGCTAGAAATAAGACTCTTCTCTACATGCAGAGGCCCAGAACACAGCCTTTTGTTCAGAGGCAGTATCTAGCCTGTGGGCAGGCTGGAGGCCAGCTATCAGGATGTTCCTTTCTGAACTTCCCAATACCCTTGTTAAGTTAGTTCCCACTTAACTTGATTGGAAGCAGGAAGTCCGTAGGTTCTGGGAACAGGATCAAGCTTAGGGACGTTGGGATTATGAGTGTCCCCTGAGTTGCCTGCAGCGGCAACACAACCCAGTAGTTAGGGGCAGGAGATCTGGATTCAGGTGGGCCTGGGGGTGAATTCTGGCTCTGCCTCTTCTAGGAGTTGATTGTCCTCTGCCAAGTTACTTCACCTCTCTAAATCTCAGATACTTCATCTCCAAAATAAAGACTATGATAAGGTCTGCTCATAGGATGTTGTGAGGTTTGCATGAGGTAATACAGATAATGCATGTGCCATGGCACCTGGCTCAGAGTAAGCATTGTTCATTAGTTCTCATTATTAACAGCAAAACATCTGCCTCTGAGAACAACTATCATGTATTATTTCTCTGGGATCCCTGTCAAAATAAATATAGTCTCAGAAAGGGTTACACATTTACGCATTTAAGCAAAATATCAGAAAGCTATTAAACAGAAAGCAAGAAAATTATGATGAGGGCAGGAGTGGGGAAAGACCTGTGGGAGATCTGGAGACTTCAGGACTCAAACATTAATATGGAGATTCCTAGGCTGTATGGAAGATCCGGTTCCTACTTCTTGGTTTTGCCTTCTAGGAACTGGCCTGACTAGAAGAATCAGTTCATTACATCTTTAGATTTGATGAAAATCTATTCACCAACCACGACTCATCTTTTATTCTCTTTTAACTCCACAAGAGCTTAATTTAGTAGTGACAGCATTAAAAATTATAATTTATCAAGCATATCATTTGTGTAAGGCACAACATAAACATATATTATATATATATGTTAATCCTTTTAAGTTCAGTCATGTGTTGCTCAATGATGGGGATATTCTCTGAGAAATGCATTGTTAGGTGATTTTGTCAATGTGCAAACATCTTAGAGTGTACTTTCACAAACCTAGATGGTATAGCCTATTGTACACCTGGGCTACATGGTATAGCCTATTGCTCCTGGGCTACAAACCTGCACAGCATATTACTATACTGAATATTGTAGGCAGTTGGAACACAGTGGTAAGTATTTGTGTATCTAAATATATAACATAGAAAAGATCCAGTAAAAATATAGTATTATAATCTTATAGGACCACCTTTGTATATGTAGTCTGTTGTTGACCAAAACATCATTATACAGTCCATGACCGTATATAAAATGTCAGCTTTATATAGACAGCAAAACATAAGCTCAAAAAGATTATGAAACTCATGCTGGGTCACACAGCTAGTTGGTCTAAGAACAGGTTTATCTGACTCCAGAGCCATTCTATTTCAGCAATATTCTTAGCATCTAAACGCAAGAAGTTTCTACCTGTCTCTGACTCTGTATTCTTGGCTGACAACACTGATAAATCAACTTGGAGCATCATAGTCAGGTTTCGTTTCTTTAAGAGTTTGCTGTTCCACCTTAGAGAAGGGGATCTATGTTTTTTAAAAGGAGGTTTCCAGAATAGCATCTGAATTATTTAGAATAGCCTGAATTATCCCTTTATACTTTTTGTCACTATATATTCCTCCTCAAATTTTGTAAAAGTACACAAGTGAAAAGGTGATTTTAGACACACCAAGAAGTTTTAAAGCCCCATTATTACAGAAAACTGAAAGTAATCTTCAAAATATTAGTACCAGTTTTAAATTATATTGGGGCATTCAACCCATCTACCACTTTTAGCTTAGCTAGAGAGGACTGATTTGCTGTGCTCATTGCAATTATGCTGATGTCGTTGAGAGGCCTTAATTATAAAACTTATTTCATTAATCTGCCTCATCCTTAAAGCCCAGTGAAATTATGAAAGCCTTTTCTCTTCTACCCTTGAGCAGTACAACTTACTATTGTTTAAAAAAAACACAAAAAAACGAAAACAAAACAAAACAAACAAAAAACCAAAAAAACAAAAACAAAAAACACCAAAAAAAAACCACCACCACCACCAAAAATATTCTGGAAAAGCTGTATATAAGTTAAATCACATATCCCATTGAAATTAAAACAATAACAAATGTTCTGTTTTAATTTCTGAATGATTTACAGTTGGCATTGATTTCTAGCTGATACTTAAAATGTTTAAAAATTCAAAATTCCTCTATACCCAAGTAGTGCATAATGTGCAGCAAATAAATAATACTAAGAGGTCCATTCAAAAGAATTACTTAGTTTCAGGTTTTTTTGGTATTATAATCACTCTGTAGTTAATTTGTTTTGAAGGTTTGAGCTTTACTGTCATACTTTCTTCATGCAAACACACTTATATCTATCTACTTACTGCTTTCTAAGTAGTGGAATCTAAGCCAGTGGGTCAAGGATTTTAAGATGAAGGAGGCTTATTTTCTCTTCGACTATCATCATGTACCAGCTAAGTACTCTCCTAGGAGAAGAATGACAAGACACCCTTTCTACCCTTTTCCTGTGAGGATATTGGAAAGGTAAGAGGTCCTTATCTTGTGGTTTCTAGTTAACATTTTGTAAACCTAATTATTCTCTCCTCTTTTTACACCCCACTCCACCCCTGAAAGAAAAGTTACACTTTACCCAGGACTAGAGACTTCTGGTGGGAATGACTTTACGGAGAATTCCCAAATTCTTCTCAGAGAGACTTGGGAAGACATCAAGGGCTGAAAGCCAGCCCCTAGGCGCTGAAATGTGAACTGGATCCATTATTAGAATCTGAAGTAATTTGCCAGGCATGCTGGAGTGGTTCTCATTGGTAATCTGGGTTTTGGTAGAGTTGAATGATAAAATTAGACAACCTGTTTCATAGGCAACACATGAATCTACTTAACATTGATGTGCCAATGAGTTTTTCCCCAGGTGCTTTACATTAATCTTTCAAAACTCTGACCTAAAAGACTTGCTTTCAAAATATACTGAATAGAGGTTTATGAATTTAGAATGCAATTAGATTCAGATTAATTGTGACTTTGAAGGCTTGATTTGGTCCAAGAAATACAAGACCAAGTCCTCAAATGCAGGGCTTTTGCATTTATGTCACTGAATGTTACAAAGCTTGCCTACTTGTCTCACTGGAGTTGGGAGATACCCTTCATGACCAGGTTGGACCATCAGCATCTCTCTTTGGAGAATGCATGCCCTCTGTTTCTGTAAACTCCTTATGTGGTTCAGAAGAAGAAAACAGTAAGTGAAGAGTTATGACTTAAGCACCTAAAGGTCTATCTTTTGGATTTAAAAAGTACAAACAGCTGTGCTTCTGACAAACTGCCCATGGAAATGCAGAACCTGATGAGAAGTGAGATAGCAAAGGTTGTGCATGCGTGGCACAGGAGTTGGGGTGGGGAATGTGAACTCAGTGTACTTCTCCTAATAAAGTTGTACTTGACCCCTTGACATTTTACATATTCAGACTAGAAAAGGATGAAATGGCAACTTTTGCTTGGGAACCTAACATTATTCATTGTAACAGAACAGTACACCAGCTTATTTTTATCCTTGAAGCAAGATGATATCAGCTATCGAACTTTACACTGATTTCAATTTCCCATAGACTAGACCATTCCTTTCTCTCTTTGCTTTCTCAAGTTTCTTTTTATTTAGTCTTATTCCCTGGATGCCACCCACATTCAACCTGGAGGTGGTATAATCTCAACCCAAATCCAGGGTTCCCTCCAGACCAGACAGCCAGGAATGTGAACCTGCATGCTAAGTGAATTACGAACTCTTTGAAGTGGTAAAGAAAAAAACTGGCCTTCCTCACCTCTTTGAAACCAAAGCCTTCAAATGACCTTTATCGTTCCTTTACTGATTTTAATACATCAGGTTCCACATTAAAACCCAAATGCAGTAGCTAGTTTGACCAAAATTCTTGGTTTGAGATTTCTGGAGCTGCCTAAGCTTTCCCAGAGCTATTTACATGAGGGAGTCTAAGAGCCACCAAAGCCACTATTAGACATCCTGGGCTGGTAAACCATTGTACACTAACCACACCTTTCCTGGATTGGTTACCAGCCCATGGCACACCATGAATCACGACCTGACAGCAATAAATACTCTGTGACAGAGTTCCTTGTACTATTGAGAAGCTGAAAAGACTCACTATATAAACTACAAGGGAACTTGAAACTGCATGAAAGATGAATAAAATGGCATTTTGGATAGAATTTCAGGTGAGCTTGAGGAGGTTAGTCCCAACTGACATATGTACTTCAAAAAATTACTCTGAGTAGTATTGCAAATGTACTGATACCCAGGGTGGCTTTAATTCACTTTTAGCAGCAACATAGTGTTACCCTCATCAGTGGCAGTCTGTCAAGATCATGCCTATAATGTTTTAACCCTTTGCCAAAGGCTTTCAGAAACAAAAAACTAAAGCAGATGTTGAACACAGCAAATTGTATCTCCCTTCTTCTTCCTCCCATTTCCCTCTTGCTATTTTAATTTTTTGAAACCCTGCTTCTGATTTCCTTATTATCATTTGTTGCTTGACCTCCCTCCATTTCTTCAATCTCTCTCAATTTATTTTATTTTTTAATCTTATTCAAATTCCATTATCTTATTAAAGCTTCAGAGGACTAATGTGTTTAATTTCCCTACAGATGCCTGAATTCCTTCATGATTAATGATGGTACACAGTTACCTAAATCTGAAATGTGGGAGTCATCCTGAACGCCTCCATATCTCTCATCTCCATGTCTAACTGTTCATCAGGCTCTTTTTATTCTCCTTTCATTTTATTATTTTCCCCCCAGTTCATCACTCTCCTTTTAATCCCTACAATATCTGCCTTAGTTCACGCCTCCATCCTCTCTTGCCTGGACTCTTAGAAAAATTCTTTCTCATTCTACTCCCACACAAGGCTGCCCTCCCTCTGCTTCGTTACCCTTCTGTCATCCTGAGCATATCAAACCCCAGTTTTTTTTCACTTGTTCCCTATAACCCAAAGATAGAGTCCTAGCTTCCTTCCACTACATGTGGAGTCTCCAAAACCAAGTCCCTGCCTCTCTCTCTGTAGCCTCATCTGCACTGCCTGCTCATCTCCCAACCCACCGCAGCGATAGCAAACTGCCTCCATGCCCCTGTGACTGCACACACTTGTCCTCTGTCAGGAATGCCCTGCATTTCAATGTCTTCTGGGTAAACTGTTTCCTACCTTCCATGTCCAGCTCAGCTTGCCTTCTCTGTGATGCTTCTGCTGATTACCTGCTCCTCTGTGCACTCATGGTCACTTCTTGCCACGCCTGGAACAGTACTGCTCATATTGTCAAAATTATTTGTATGTTGCCAATCCTACTAAACCTTTGAGAACAGGGAACCTGTTGTATTGCGTTCATAGTCTTGGTGCCTAGCACATGGTAAGTATGTTTGCTAAGTAAATAAATTAATGATTGGATGAATGTAGGATGTTATTTAAAAAATCATAAGCTTGAGGAATGGATGGGCAGATATATGCACATATATGAAAAAGCATGTTCAGTAAATGATAATGCTATGGTTTGGTGCAAAAGTAATTTCAGTTTTTGCCATTAAAAGTAATATAATCTAGATGGTGGATGTTCACTGTAAAATTCTTTCAGCTTTGCTGTATGTTTGAAACTTCTAATTTTTTTCATAATGAAATACTGATAGGAGGGAGACCATTACCCAAACCTTGGTAGTCAAAACAATTCTCAACATTCTATCTGTGGCCCATTTAATTCATAGAGATTCAACTGAAAGACTATTTTAGATCTCAATACGTCTCCCCAAATCCTGCCCTGTCTTGGGGTAGAGTTGAAGTGGTTTTTCAGTAGCCTCGTACTATGAGTCATGGGAATCTGACTGTGCTGGAGGAAAGGGGATCCTCTTCCACCTCTTCCACTCTCCTGCATTAACCAGAAACTGCTCCTTCTCCGACTTTCTTTTTTTTTTTTTTTTGAGAGGAGTCTCGCTCTGTCGCCCAGGCTGGAGTGCAGTGGCGCAATCTCGGCTCACTGCAAGCTCCGCCTCCCGGGTTCACGCCATTCTCCAGCCTCAGCCTCCCGAGTAGCTGGGACTACAGGTGCCCACCACCACGCCCGGCTAATTTTTTGTTTTTAGTAGAGATGGGGTTTCACCATGTTAGGCAGGATGGTCTCAATCTCCTGACCTCGTGATCTGCCCGCCTCGCCCTCCCAAAGTGCTGGGATTACAGGCGTGAGCCACCGCGCCCGGCCTCCAACTTTCTTCTTAACTTTTCCTTGCTAAAAGGCATTTCTTTCCTCCATTTTTTTTTTTTTTTTGAGACAGAGTTTTGCTCTTGTTGCCCAGGCTGGAGTGCAATGGCGTGATCTCAGCTGACCGCAACTTCTGCCTCCCAAATTCAAGCAATTCTCCTGCCTCAGCCTCCCAAGTAGCTGGGATTACAGGCATGTGCCACCATGCCCGGATAATTTTGTATTTTTAGTAGAGACAGGGTTTCTCCATGTTGGTCAGGCTGGTCTTGAACTCCTGATCTCATGTGATCCACCCACCTCAGCCTCCCAAAGTGCTGGGATTATAGGCGTGAGCCACCATGCCCGGCCTCTTTTCTTCCTTGATCTGCCTCCTACAAACCGTAACAGACCACGTTTGCATTATTTTCACACTAGAACCTCTTCTCTCTCTCTTTTTATTTATTTATTTATTTTGAGACAGAGTCTCACTCTGTCACCCTGGCTGGAGTGCAATGGTGTGATCATGGCTCACTGCAACCTCGACCTCCCAAACTCAAGTGATCCTCCTACCTAAGCCTCCCAAGTAGCTGGACTACAGATGCGTGCCACCATACCCAGCTAGTTTTTAAATTTTTTGTAGAGAAGGTGTCTCCCTATGTTGCCCAGGCTGGTGTCAAACTCCTGGGCTCAAGCAATCCTCTCCCCTTGGCCTCCCAAAATGTTGAGATTGCAGGCGTGAGCCACCGTGCCCGGCCTCCTTGTCTCTTTTGAAATCTATGTTATCCGTCCATTCCATATCTCTATGGATTAAAACTTGTAATTCAGCTCATAATGTTTTATTCACTTTTCCCAAGGTACACACTGGGTTTTTCCAACTATGTGTTATATAGATGGCTTACTGATTACTTAGTCTATGAAGCCTGCCTTGATGGAAAATGTTACCTCATTGGTCCTTCATTTGAGCACTTGTGCAAACTGCTCCACACAACACATTTCCCCTTCCTTTCTTAAATTTTTTTGAATTAAAAAAATTTTCATTTAAGTATTTGCCCTGAAAGACTATGAACTTATAAATATATTTAAATTTTCCATAATAAATAGCAGAGGCTGGCCACAGAAAGCATTCAGTAATTAGCTGCTGATTAAATGAACAAATAGTTTCAGATATTTAAATGCATTCCATATATGCTATTGGGAAATTAAAGGGAACACAAAACAAGTTATGACAGATGTATCATTTGTACTTTAAATCTAATTTTGTAAAGAGAGTTATCTTCTTTCTTTTAAATGAGTTGACAGCTTTAGATAATAATGATTCTAACATGAGTCATACTTTGCAGGATTAATAATTTCCTAAAAATTTCCTCCTTTACTGAGAAGTCTAAATATATTGTTTTTACTGCTTACTTTAGAATAATATTAATAAAAAGCGATTTAGCCAGGTAGATGAAATAACCATGAGGTGTTTCTCCAAATAACCCAAGAAACCTCAAATTAACACGTATCCATTTTAAGACAATTCCCTTAAGGCAGACATTAGCACAGGTACAAATGATATTCTGCCTACTCTGAAAATAGTTTTGAAACTTATTATACATAAACTGCAAAGTTTATCTATAATGATTATGCATTATAGAGAAGATTTTGGAGAAATTATTAAAATTGTCTGAAATGAAGGTATGAGCATAACTTCCACAGATATATTGTTTTAGGCATGTCAAAAGGCAGTTCTTTCAGCAATGACTTAGGCTTAATCTATTGAATTAGGCTGACAGTCATGCCAGAAATGTTTTACTTCAAAATCAGAAACTCTTGCTTTTATGTCAAAATACCCTACTTTAAAGACTAAATTAAGAATAGCATGCAAATATAGTTGAAATGGACAGGTACTTGGACCCTACCAAATGTGGGTTCAGATCCTGACTCTACTACTTCCTAATCTTTAAACTGGGCAAATCACTATCTTCCCCTGTGCCTCACTTTCTTCATTAATAATACCAACTCTTAGAAGCTTGTTGTCAGGATTATATAAGATACTACACACACACACACACACACACACACACACACACACACACTTGCAGAGAGAGATCTATTTGTGTATGTGAGATATATAAGACAGATAATATATATAAAGGGCCTAACATAATACCCAACACAGAATAATTTAATATGATAGTTATATCCTCTCTCCTACCTTAACCTTGTATCTTCCAATTCTGAAAGAAAAAGAGAACCCCAAACTCATGTGATCTATTGCTAACTTACAATGGATAAAAGAAATCATTTGCTGGAGTCTTACAGAAGACAGATTTTGTTCTGTTTTGTTTTGGGGGGGTTTTTCTGAGACAGAGTCTCAGTCTGTTGCCCTGGCTGGAGTGCAGTGGCATGATCAGGGCTCACTGCAGCCTCAACTTCCTGAGTTCAAGTGATCCTCCTGCCTCAGCCTCCCAAGGAGCTATGACTACAGCCACATACCACCATGCCTAGCTAACTTTTTTATTTTTTGTAGAGACAGTGTCTCACTATGCTGCCCAGCATGGTCTTGAACTCCTGGGCTCAAGTGATCCTCCCAACTCAACCCTCTGAAAGTGCTGAGATTACAGATGTGAGCCACCACACCCAGCTAAGAGATTTTTTTTTTTAAAGATAATTTAAAAGATAATTTTTTTCCAAGAAAAATACTTTTGTTTGTTATGGATTTTGAGCCCTTCTCAAGAGAGGGAAAGCTAGATTTCCAGAATCTAAAGGGACAAAAAAGAAGTAGCAGTAAAGCCAGAGATTCTGCAAAATTTAAAGTTGTGATTTTTAATTAATGTAGCATAGGGTTATACATTTTGAAAGAGTAAATTATGTGTATAATAAGTGCATTGTGTTGAGGCTTAAGTATAAAAAAACAGACCATTTGCAAAGATGCAAGGTGTCTGGATCTTGTCATACAAGATCACTTTCTTAAAATTCCCAAGAAAACACTTTTAAATAGTGAGTATTATTTTTAAGAATCCTTTGAATTAGACAGAGTTGATCAAAAGAAAGAGATCTCTCTTGAAGAGGTTTATAAACATATAGTTTTCACTTGAAAAATATTAACAAATTATTTGACTATATATTAATGATAGGTTTTTTCAGGGCCTTATAATTTAAATTTGCGGCTTCAGGTGTTGTTCATGTGCATATATTTGACCCTGCCTGTATTTTCATGTGAGAAGGCAGTCTAAACTTCTGCACTATGCCATGTTTGTCTTCACATTCTTGATAATTTCTGTCATAGTGACTCGCACGTAGTAGCATTCAAGCAATTCCTAATGAATGCCTAAAAGAATAAAGAAATTACTTTCATTTAAATAACAGATTTTAAAAAGTCACGATTGTGGCCGGGGGGTGGGGCATCTGCTGTTAATAAAGGGATTTCCCAATGAATAAAAAACAGACAGAGGGGGAGGAGCCAAGATGGCCGAATAGGAACAGCTCTGGTCAACAGCTCCCAGCGTGAGCGACGCAGAAGACGGGTGATTTCTGCATTTCCATCTGAGGTACCGGGTTAATCTCACTAGGGAGTGCCAGACAGTGGGCGCAGGCCAGTGGGTGCGCGCACCGTGCGCGAGCCGAAGCAGGGCGAGGCATTGCCTCACCTGGGAAGCGCAAGGGGTCAGGGAGTTCCCTTTCCGAGTCAAAGAAAGGGGTGATGGACGCAGCTGGAAAATCGGGTCACTCCCACCCGAATATTGCGCTTTTCAGACCGGCTTAAAAAACGGCGCACCAGGAGATTATATCCCGCACCTGGCTCGGAGGGTCCTACGCCCACGGAGTCTCGCTGATTGCTAGCACAGCAGTCTGAGATCAAATTGCAAGGCGGCAGCGAGGCTGGGGGAGGGGCGCCCGCCATTGCCCAGGCTTGCTTAGGTAAACAAAGCAGCCGGGAAGCTCGAACTGGGTGGAGCCCACCACAGCTCAAGGAGGCCTGCCTGCCTCTGTAGGCTCCACCTCTGGGGGCAGGGCACAGACAAACAAAAAGACAGCAGTAACCTCTGCAGACTTAAATGTCCCTGTCTGACAGCCTTGAAGAGAGCAGTGGTTCTCCCAGCACGCAGCTGGAGATCTGAGAACGGGCAGACTGCCTCCTCAAGTGGGTCCCTGACCCCTGACCCCCGAGCAGCCTAACTGGGAGGCACCCCCCAGCAGGGGCACACTGACACCTCACACTGCAGGGTATTCCAACAGACCTGCAGCTGAGGGTCCTGTCTGTTAGAAGGAAAACTAACAAACAGAAAGGACATCCACACTGAAAACCCATCTGTACATCACCATCATCAAAGACCAAAAGTAGATAAAACCACAAAGATGGGGAAAAAACAGAACAGAAAAACTGGAAACTCTAAAACGCAGAGCGCCTCTCCTCCTCCAAAGGAACGCAGTTCCTCACCAGCAATGGAACAAAGCTGGATGGAGAATGATTTTGACGAGCTGAGAGAAGAAGGCTTCAGACGATCAAATTACTCTGAGCTACGGGAGGACATTCAAACCAAAGGCAAAGAAGTTGAAAACTTTGAAAAAAATTTAGAAGAATGTATAACTAGAATAACCAATACAGAGAAGTGCTTAAAGGAGCTGATGGAGCTGAAAACCAAGGCTCGAGAACTAAGTGAAGAATGCAGAAGCCTCAGGAGCCGATGCGATCAACTGGAAGAAAGGGTATCAGCAATGGAAGATGAAATGAATGAAATGAAGCGAGAAGGGAAGTTTAGAGAAAAAAGAATAAAAAGAAATGAGCAAAGCCTCCAAGAAATATGGGACTATGTGAAAAGACCAAATCTACGTCTGATTGGTGTACCTGAAAGTGATGCGGAGAATGGAACCAAGTTGGAAAACACTCTGCAGGATATTATCCAGGAGAACTTCCCCAATCTAGCAAGGCAGGCCAACGTTCAGATTCAGGAAATACAGAGAACGCCACAAAGATACTCCTCGAGAAGAGCAACTCCAAGACACATAATTGTCAGATTCACCAAAGTTGAAATGAAGGAAAAAATGTTAAGGGCAGCCAGAGAGAAAGGTCGGGTTACCCTCAAAGGGAAGCCCATCAGACTAACAGCTGATCTCTCGGCAGAAACCCTACAAGCCAGAAGAGAGTGGGGGCCAATATTCAACATTCTTAAAGAAAAGAATTTTCAACCCAGAATTTCATATCCAGCCAAACTAAGCTTCATAAGTGAAGGAGAAATAAAATACTTTACAGACAAGCAAATGCTGACCGATTTTGTCACCACCAGGCCTGCCCTAAAAGAGCTCCTGAAGGAAGCGCTAAACATGGAAAGGAACAACCGGTACCAGCCGCTGCAAAATCATGCCAAAATGTAAAGACCATCGAGACTAGGAAGAAACTGCATCAACTAATGAACAAAATAACCAGCTAACATCATAATGACAGGATCAAATTCACACATAACAATATTAACTTTAAATGTAAATGGACTAAATTCTCCAATTAAAAGACACAGACTGGCAAGTTGGATAAAGAGTCAAGACCCATCAGTGTGCTGTATTCAGGAAACCCATCTCATGTGCAGAGACACACATAGGCTCAAAATAAAAGGATGGAGGAAGATCTACCAAGCAAATGGAAAACAAAAAAATGCAGGGGTTGCAATCCTAGTCTCTGATAAAACAGACTTTAAACCAACAAAGATCAAAAGAGACAAAGAAGGCCATTACATAATGGTAAAGGGATCAATTCAACAAGAGGAGCTAACTATCCTAAATATATATGCACCCAATACAGGAGCACCCAGATTCATAAAGCAAGTCCTGAGTGACCTACAAAGAGACTTAGACTCCCACGCATTAATAATGGGAGACTTTAACACCCCACTGTCAACATTAGACAGATCAACGAGACAGAAAGTCAACAAGGATACCCAGGAATTGAACTCAGCTCTGCACCAAGCGGACCTAATAGACATCTACAGAACTCTCCACCCCAAATCAACAGAATATACATTTTTTTCAGCACCACACCACACCTATTCCAAAATTGACCACATAGTTGGAAGTAAAGCTCTCCTCAGCAAATGTAAAAGAACAGAAATTATAACAAACTGTCTCTCAGACCACAGTGCAATCAAACTAGAACTCAGGATTAAGAATCTCACTCAAAGCCGCTCAACTACATGGAAACTGAACAACCTGCTCCTGAATGACTACTGGGTACATAACGAAATGAAGGCAGAAATAAAGATGTTCTTTGAAACCAACGAGAACAAAGACACAACATACCAGAATCTCTGGGACGCATTCAAAGCAGTGTGTAGAGGGAAATTTATAGCACTAAATGCGCACAAGAGAAAGCAGGAAAGATCCAAAATTGACACCCTAACATCACAATTAAAAGAACTAGAAAAGCAAGAGCAAACACATTCAAAAGCTAGCAGAAGGCATGAAATAACTAAAATCAGAGCAGAACTGAAGGAAATAGAGACACAAAAAACCCTTCAAAAAATCAATGAATCCAGGAGCTGGTTTTTTGAAAGGATCAACAAAATTGATAGACTGCTAGCAAGACTAATAAAGAAAAAAAGAGAGAAGAATCAAATAGACACAATAAAAAATGATAAAGGGGATATCACCACTGATCCCACAGAAATACAAACTACCATCAGAGAATACTACAAACACCTCTACGCAAATAAACTAGAAAATCTAGAAGAAATGGATAACTTCCTCGACACATACACCCTCCCAAGACTAAACCAGGAAGAAGTTGAATCTCTGAATAGACCAATAACAGGAGCTGAAATTGGGGCAATAATCAATAGTTTACCAACCAAAAAGAGTCCAGGACCAGATGGATTCACAGCCGAATTCTACCAGAGGTACACAGAGGAACTGGTACCATTCCTTCTGAAACTATTCCAATCAATAGAAAAAGAGGGAATCCTCCCTAACTCATTTTATGAGGCCAGCATCATTCTGATACCAAAGCCGGGCAGAGACACAACCAAAAAAGAGAATTTTAGACCAATATCCTTGATGAACATTGATGCAAAAATCCTCAATAAAATACTGGCAAACCGAATCCAGCAGCACATCAAAAAGCTTATCCACCATGACCAAGTGGGCTTCATCCCTGGGATGCAAGGCTGGTTCAATATACGCAAATCAATAAATGTAATCCAGCATATAAACAGAGCCAAAGACAAAAACCACATGATTATCTCAATAGATGCAGAAAAAGCCTTTGACAAAATTCAACAACCCTTCATGCTAAAAACTCTCAATAAATTAGGTATTGATGGGACGTATTTCAAAATAATAAGAGCTATCTATGACAAACCCACAGCCAATATCATACTGAATGGGCAAAAACTGGAAGCATTCCCTTTGAAAACTGGCACAAGACAGGGATGCCCTCTCTCACCGCTCCTATTCAACATAGTGTTGGAAGTTCTGGCCAGGGCAATCAGGCAGGAGAAGGAAATAAAGAATATTCAATTAGGAAAAGAGGAAGTCAAATTGTCCCTGTTTGCAGACGACATGATTGTTTATCTAGAAAACCCCATCATCTCAGCCCAAAATCTCCTTAAGCTGATAAGCAACTTCAGCAAAGTCTCAGGATACAAAATCAATGTACAAAAATCACAAGCATTCCTATACACCAACAACAGACAAACAGAGAGCCAAATCATGAGTGAACTCCCATTCACAATTGCTTCAAAGAGAATAAAATACCTAGGAATGCAACTCACAAGGGATGTGAAGGACCTCTTCAAGGAGAACTACAAACCACTGCTCAAGGAAATAAAAGAGGATACAAACAAATGGAAGAACATTCCATGCTCATGGATAGGAAGAATCAATATCGTGAAAATGGCCATACTGCCCAAGGTAATTTACAGATTCAATGCCATCCCCATCAAGCTACCAATGACTTTCTTCACAGAATTGGAAAAAACTACTTTAAAGTTCATATGGAACCAAAAAAGAGCCCGCATCGCCAAGTCAATCCTAAGCCAAAAGAACAAAGCTGGAGGCATCACACTACCTGACTTCAAACTATACTACAAGGCTACAGTAACCAAAACAGCATGGTACTGGTACCAAAACAGAGATATAGATCAATGGAACAGAACAGAGCCCTCAGAAATAACGCCGCTTACCTACAACTATCTGATCTTTGACAAACCTTAGAAAAACAAGCAATGGGGAAAGGATTCCCTATTTAATAAATGGTGCTGGGAAAACTGGCTAGCCATATGTAGAAAGCTGAAACTGGATCCCTTCCTTACATCTTATACAAAAATCAATTCAAGATGGATTAAAGATTTAAACGTTAGACCTAAAACCATAAAAACCCTAGAAGAAAACCTAGGCGTTACCATTCAGGACATAGGCGTGGGCAAGGACTTCATGTCCAAAACACCAAAAGCAATGGCAACAAAAGCCAAAATTGACAAATGGGATCTAATTAAACTAAAGAGCTTCTGCACAGCAAAAGAAACTACCATCAGAGTGAACAGGCAACCTACAACATGGGAGAAAATTTTCGCAACCTACTCATCTGACAAAGGGCTAATATCCAGAATCTACAATG
This sequence comes from Homo sapiens, assembly GCF_000001405.40. NCBI lineage: Eukaryota > Metazoa > Chordata > Mammalia > Primates > Hominidae > Homo > Homo sapiens. The sequence goes on from NC_000005.10 coordinate 65,169,170, forward strand.
AACTCAAACAAATTTACAAGAAAAAAACAAACAACCCCATCAAAAAGTGGGCAAAGGACATGAACAGACACTTCTCAAAAGAAGACATTTATGCAGCCACAAAACACATGAAAAAATGCTCATCATCAGTGGCCATCAGAGAAATGCAAATCAAAACCACTATGAGATATCATCTCACACCAGTTAGAATGGCAATCATTAAAAAGTCAGGAAACAACAGCTGCTGGAGAGGATGTGGAGAAATAGGAACACTTTTACACTGTTGGTGGGACTGTAAACTAGTTCAACCATTGTGGAAGTCAGTGTGGCGATTCCTCAGGGATCTAGAACTAGAAATACCATTTGACCCAGCCATCCCATTACTGGGTATATACCCAAATGACTATAAATCATGCTGCTATAAAGACACATGCACACGTATGTTTATTGCGGCATTATTCAGAATAGCAAAGACTTGGAACCAACCCAAATGTCCAACAATGATAGACTGGATTAAGAAAATGTGGCACATATACACCATGGAATACTATGCAGACATAAAAAATGATGAGTTCATGTCCTTTGTAGGGACATGGATGAAATTGGAAACCATCATTCTCAGTAAACTATCGCAAGATCAAAAAACCAAACACTGCATATTCTCACTCATAGGTGGGAATTGAACAATGAGATCACATGGACACAGGAAGGGGAATATCACACTCTGGGGACTGTGGTGGGGAGGGGGGAGGGGGGAGGGATAGCATTGGGAGATATACCTAATGCTAGATGATGAGTTAGTGGGTGCAGCGCACCAGCATGGCACATGTATACATATGTAACTAACCTGCACAATGTGCACATGTACCCTAAAACTTAAAGTATAATTAAAAACAAAAACAAAAACAAAAACAAAACAGAAAGAGAAATTCCAGAGCACAAAGAACTTTGTCCACCTTTATAAACAGCTACATAATTATTTTTCTACTTTTCTACGATAAGAAAATTAGCATTTAAAATGCAAGTAGTTTCAAACATATGCTTTCATTATATGTATAACAAGAATGAATTTAAATCTTCAGAATGATAGAGATCCACTGTCATATCCAAAAAGAAACAGAAGTTTGCACTTCAAGAGTAGTTCATTAGGAAACAGCTCTAAAGTCCTACTATAAATCAAACTTAGAATACAAGGCTGGATATGATCTTAGAGATTATCTACTCCAATTTCTTATTTTATAGATAAACTTAGCTCCAGAGAGGTTAAGTGACTTAACAAGGTCATAAAGTTACTTAAAAAGTCAGGAAAAAACTTGGGTTTCCTGATTGCTGTCTGCATATAAGCAGCTTTCACAAATGCTCTACTCAAACTACACTACAGTAGTGGGTTTACTGTGCTCTTCAGACCCTGGGAACAGTAAAGGTGGGTCATTAGAAACCACAGGCCCCTCCTCCATGGAAAACTCACCTTCAGTATTAGAAATGGGGGTACTGTCACATTTGCTTTCACACTGCTGCATTGATGGAGGCCGAACAGTTTCTAGACAGTCACTAGATGCCTGTCCGGTGTAGGAGAGACACTGCACAGTTCTCATCTGCTGTCCAAGGCCACACTGAGCAGAACACTAAATCCAAAGACACAAAGAAACAAAATATTAATCTCAACAATTTTCAGGAGGTAAAAAATATACTATGTCATTTCAAATACAACACAATATGAACTTTTTTTTTTTTCTTTTGAGACACAGCGTCTTGCTATGTTGGCCAGGCTGGTCTCGAACCTGACCTCAAGCAATCCTCCTGCCTTGGCCTCCCAAAGTGCTGGGATTACAGGCATGAGCCACCACGCCCAGCCACAATATTAATTTTTTTTTTTTTTGAGACAGAGTCTCGCTCTGTCGCTCAGGCTGGAGTGCAGTGGCACAATCTCAACCCACTGCAAGCTCTGCCTCCCGGGTTCACACCATTCTCCTGCCTCAGCCTCCCGAGTAGCTGGGACTACAGGCACCCGCCACCACATCCGGCTAATTTTTTGTATTTTTAGTAGAGACGGGGTTTCACCATCTTAGCCAGCATGGTCTCAATCTCCTGACCTCGTGATCTGCCCGCCTCAGCCTCCCAAAATCCTGGGATTACAGGTGTGAGCCATCGCGCCTGGCCACAATATTAACTTTTAAAGCCCACATGTGGTTCATTTTTGAGAGGTGTATGATTAGGTCATTCTACTATCAAACTGGTTTGGAAAGTCAAAGATCATGTTATTACCCTAGCAAACAGACTCAATATACTTCCCAGAAGATAATACATAGAGATTTCTTGCTATCACTCCAACAATTCCCGGCAAGGCTGGTGAACTCTAGCAGGAGTGTCATGAGAAAATCCTTGTGATGAAGTAGAATAATGAGAGATTGTAGGGCTAGGAAATCACTATTGCTCCCTATTTATTATAGGTGTGCAGGTAAATAACCTGATGGCTTATTGGAGTGTCCTGTATGTGATTAAACTATTAGTTCAGTGTAATAGCAGTGACAGGCGTGGAGCCTGGTGATGGGGTCATTTAAAAAAAAAAAGAGCTTAAATAAGTCCCTCAGGTTTTCTAAGGGATTGCCAGCCACACAAACCTGAGAAGTAGTCTGTGTTCTCAAATGAGCGTGTCTCCCTCTCCTTTTGCATCTACTCTGGGATTCAGTCACTTCAGAACTGAAGTTACTGTCCGAGAGGCTTAGTTTCACTTGGGACTGATCAGCTGCTGAGGCTGAAGAATGAAGCTGGGTTAATCTATGGGCCTGCCATCGAGAATACCAGAAAGCCTATGAAATTTGGAATCAAAGGCATGAGGAAGTAACTGGTGCCAACACAGGGGATGGTGATGTTTACAGGGTCAACACATTGAAGCCCTGTTGGATTTGTTTGCAAAAACTCTGAAAGCACCCACAGGACTTGTAAGGATATTCATGAAGAGCCTTAAAAATATATATATTTTTGGCCAGGCGCGGTGGCTCACACCTGTAATCCCAGCACTTTGGGAGGCCGAGGCGGGCGGATCACGAGGTCAGGAGATCGAGACCATCCTGGCTAAGATGGTGAGTCCCTGTCTCTACTAAAAATACAAAAAATTAGCTGGGCGTAGTGGCAGGCACCTGTAGTCCCAGCTACTCGGGAGGCTGAGGCAGGAGGATGGCCTGAACCCAGGAGGCAGAGCTTGCAGTGAGCCGAGATCGCGCCACTGCACTCCAGCCTGAGCGACAGAGTGAGACTCCATCTCAAAAGAAAAAAAAAAAAGAGTAATTATCTCTATTTTGCAAGTGGGAAAATGAAGACACTGCTGTTAACTGATTTGTTCCTTTTCAGTTGACAGCTGGGACTAGAATCCAAAGTTTTGGTAGCTTGTTCAGATCTCTATCGGTTATTCTATTTCTCTTTTAATTTTAACCACAATGGATCTGAAGAATAGAATCTGAAGTGGGAAGTGTGTGGGTGTGGGAGAATCACTGGCTCACTCTGTATGTGTCCACATGTGGTGGCTGTGGTTTGTGCACTGTTTCACACTCATGCCTCATACTTAGACTTCTACGTGTTAATTCTTACTCATCTCTCAAGCCCTTACAATGATCACACAAGGAACCTCAGGTTTGTGTCTCAAGGTGCTATTTCAGCAGGAGCCCACAGTACAAACGCCTTACCTGGCCCCAGTCTCCTGTGACCCAGCGAGGAGGAGGGCAGCGGCCCAAACTGCAGCGGATGCGGACAGGAGGTTTGCTTTCCTCTGGACATTGTGCAGCTGGGAATGTCTTAGAAAGGTCACTGCTCTTGCACAGAACAATCCGATGCTTGAATCCTGGACCACATTTTGGAGTACACTGGAAATAAAACAAATAGTAATGAATCACGACAGTTTAAAGACAGAGGAAAATTTGAAGAAAGTCTTTCTTCATGTAAATGTGTGTTTTAGTATAGAATATACACATATACTAAGTTCTAGGCAAAGTCTCTCAGATACAACGTTCCTTAAAAGTTTTGAAGCAGAGGTACTTTTATCTTTTTCTTAAGGTCTTGAAGAGCTAAATCCAACATTTGCTTTTCTTGGCTAACTCATTTTCTTGCTCTATTGGGGATAGGTTGATTCCTCTATTCCTCTCTATCCTTAGCCCCGTCAGCTGTGATAAGATTCTGCTAATTTTTGGAATGTGGAAACCTTCGTTTCCTACTTGGTGGGTGTGGTCTTCTAAAAGGAATTTGTATGTTATTAGTAGACCAAAAGAACTTGTGTCTGTGAAGCAAGTTCAGGGTTGATTTAGATAAACTATTCTTATGTCGGGTCGCTAAGAATACTTGGTCACAGGTGAAGGTTTCTTGCACAGAAAATCTCTGGACTTTTCCCCATCCATCAGTTACAAATCTAAGGAAGTTGTTCTTTAGAACTGGGTCTGTTTGTTCGTCATACTGAGGGAAGGATGTTTTTCCCTATGTCACAAATCTTATGTACCTCATCTCCAGGTGTTTCTAGAAGTCACCTATTTAACATGGTAGCTGACTTGAGTCTTCCAGCTTTCTCCCCTGTATGTCTGGACCCTTCCTTAAAATATGTAATTCAGGCCAGGCACGGCAGCTTACGCCTGTAATCCCAGCACTTTGGGAGGCCGAGGTGGGCAGATCAAGAGGTCAAGAGATCAAGACCATCCTGGCCAACATGGTGAAACCCTGTCTCTACTAAAAATACAAAAATTAGCTGGGTGTGGTGGTGTGTGTCTGTAGCCCCAGCTACTTGGGAGGCTGAGGCAGGAGAAGTGCTTGAACCAGGAGGCGGAGGTTGCAGTGAGCCGAGATTGCACCACTGCACTCCAGCCTAGAGACAGAGCAAGATTCTGTCTCAAAAAAAAAAAAAAATCTATACTTCCTTCCCCTCAATCAAGTGAGGACCTTACCCACAACATCTGGAAGCACTGTATATATACCTTTCATACGAGAAACATTTCCAGATCTCCTACAGGAACTACACTAGACTGGAGAGATATAAAAATGAATGAAATAGGAGCTCGGCTGTTGGAGACGTGAGTCTTGCTGAAGCTCCTGGCCGAATAAAGCCCTTCCTTCTTTAACTCGGTGTCTGAGGGGTTTTGCCCGTGGCTTGTTCTGCTACATTTCTTGGTTCCCTGACCGGGAAGCGAGGTGATTAACAGACAGTCGGACGGTCGAGGCAGCCCCTTAGGTGGCTTAGGCCTGCCCTGTGGAGCATCCCTATGGGGCACTCCAGCCAGCTTGGCCGATGCGGATCCTGAGAGCACTCCTGGGTAGGCAATTGGCCTGGTGGAACGCCTCGCCAGAGGAGCACGTGGCAGGCCCCCGTGGACGATCAACGCAGTGGCTGAACACCGGGAAGGAACTGGCACTTGGAGTCTGGACATCTGAAACTTGGTAAGACTAGTCTTTGGAACTTGCCCACTCCATTTGAGTGGAAGCGTGGCCTGATCACCCACGGTCTGCCTGTACCGGCACTTTGGTTTTTGTTTTTGACTTGACTTGGATTGCTTGATACTTTGGTTTTGTTTTTGACCTGGCTTGGATTTCTGGATACTCTGATTTTGGTTTTGATTCTGAGTTTGGTGTAAACTGTAAAAGTGTGTGTGTGTGCCCTTTTTACTCGTTCTTTGTTTTGTGGTGTGAGCATGGTGTTTTGTCTCGAAGAAGCATGGGTCAGGCACAAAGTAAGCCCACCCCACTAGGAACTATGTTGAAAAATTTCAAGGAAGGATTTAAGGGAGATTATGGTGTTACTATGACACCAGGAAAACTTAGAACTTTGTGTGAAATAGACTGGCCAGCATTAGAGGTGGGTTGGCCATCAGAAGGAAGCCTGGACAGGTCCCTTGTTTCAAAGGTATGGCACAAGGTAACCTGTAAGCCAGGGCACCCAGATGAGTTCCCATACATAGACCCTTGGTTACAGCTGGTTTTAGACCCCACACCCCCCTCACCAGTGGTTGAGAGAACAGCAGCATAAGTGGCTGGCAGAGACAAGGAAAGACCAGCAGAGAGAGACAGAGGAGGAAAGAGAGAGAAAAAGGGGCAAAGAGAGAGAGAGGAAGAGACAGAGAGACAAAGAGGGAGTCAAGGAGAGAGAGAGAGAGAGAGAAAGAGAGAGGCAGAGAGGCAGAAAGAGACAGAGGCAAAAGCAAAGTCAAAAAGAGAGAGACAGAAAGTCAAAGAGAGAAAGAAAGAGAGAAAGAGAGAAATATACCAGAAGTTAAGGAAAAAAAAACAGTGTACCCTATTCCTTTAAAAGCCAAGGTAAATTTAAAACCTATAATTGATAATTAAAGGTATTCTCCGTAACCCTGTAACACTCTAATACCACTTTGTTGTCAGTGTAAACAAGGGCGTATTCCCGAAAGCACTGAGGACTTCCTATCAAAAATCCTTAACCCAGTAACCTGTGGATGGCCCAGAAGCATTCAATCTGTAGGCAACTGCTTTGCTAACAGAAGAAAGTAAAAAAAATAACTTTTAGAGGAAACCTCATTGTGAGCACATCTCACCAGTTCAGAAGTATCCTAAGGAAAAAAAAAAAAGGATGATTTAACATTAACCACTGAAAATTCCCTTAACCCAGCAGGTTTCCTTACAGGGGATCTAAATCTTAATTACCATACAAAGGTCTGACCAGACCTAGGAGGAACTCCCTTCAGGACAGGACAATCGATGGTTCCTCCCAGGTAATTGAAGGAAAAAAAAAAAAAACATCTATACCAATTCTAAGTTAATTTGGACTGAACAAGGTCTTATTAATAGCAAAGGATAATTGAAATCCCAAACTTAAAAGGTTTTCAACAAAAGTAAAGTTTGCTAAAAGTTAACAGTGTAACATGTATTATGGTAACTTCTAATCCTGTGGCCTTAAGACAGTCTAGTCCACAGACATAAAAGAAGTTCGCTTTGGAAAAGAATGGTTATCATCTTCGGAAAAAAAAGGGAAAAAAAGGGGGGGGCAGAATTTATGTAAAAAGAGTGTTATATGGGAAGTTCTTGTCCTGAAATAAATTAACTGGTTATTTAAAGAAATAAATGTTTGTAATAAGTCAGAAAGTTGAGGCATGTCGAAAAATTGTCTGCGAAAGTCGTGAAAGAAAAAAATGTTATTAAAAAAAGAATTTATGCAAGAAATGTTGTATAATTTAAAAGTAACTAGGCCTCCTGAATGTAAAACAAAACAGTTTATGTGCAAGTTGTATAAGGAAAGTAAAATATACCTTTGGTAAAAGGATTATAAGGAGGCATAACAATGTAAATTTTTACCTACATTAAAAGGTTAAAAAGTATATATTGTTTTGAAGATTTAAGCAAGTTTTAAAACGTTAATTGTAAAGAAAATTCTGTGTGTAAACATATTGGCTAAAGTTAAAGGGGTATCATCCAGTTTTTCTGTGAACTGGACATTAAAGTAAAAACACAATGGGTTTTTCTTAAAGCACTAACCTGCTCTTTAACAAAGATTATAAAAGGTTAAAAAGAGTCTATAAAAATCTTACCTTATGGTCTGACATTAAAAATTGAATAAATGTCTACAAAGTTTATTAAAACTAAGTTTAACATTAATAGCACAGTAATAGCACAGTAAAAGGTGAAATTTAGCTTATCTGGTATAAAAATCATACAGGAAGCACTGTCAGATATAAAATGGTGTTTGGCTTCTTTGGTCTAAAAACTAATAAAAATAGGTGCTAAAGGAAATTTCTCAGTAGGAAGGCACCAAGGACAATAAAGTCCACTGCTGATGTCCCCACATTTAAAACAAAAGGTCAATTTCTTAGAAATTATATACTTGGTTTATCTTCCACTTTCCTTTCCCTCAAAACTAAAAGTCTTTTAGCACAGGTACCACCCCTAGAATTTCCAGTAAACCAGCACCAGCCTGAAGATCACCTTCTCATCAAAGGGTGGAAAGAAGAAAAACTCAAGCCAGCCTCAGAAGGACCCTACCTTGTGCTGTTAACCACTGAGACTGCCGTTCGTAGAGCGGAAAAGGGATGGACTCATCACACCCGAGTCAAAGCGCCCCCACCTCCAGAGTCGTGGGCCACAGTCCCAGGGGAAAACCTTATCAAACTAAAGCTAAGAAAAATTTAACTCTTTCATCTATTCTATTACTCTTTCTTCTTCCCTCGCTCTATTGCTGACCATCTAGTTATTAACATAACCAAGTCAATTTCGCCTCAAACTATTGCATTTAATGCTTGCCTTGTTATACCCTGTGGGGACCTGCCAAGTCAAAGACAGCTCTCTACTTCAGAAAAGTACCTCTGTCCCTCCTGACTCTTCTCAGACTGGGCATTAGTAAATTAGGACCATTTAATCCAGGGAAATTTTGATAAAGACCCTAGTGTCAACCAGGATTCTTGCCCCCCAATGTAGAGCTTTTATGCTGTAGTTGGTCCAACATTCTGTGGACCACTAAAGAGCAAGGATGGACTGCCCCAACCAGTTTTTGTAATTTCCTAAAATCGTACATTCATTTTACTCGAGGATCATAAAAGTTAAAGACTTAAAACAAACTTTGGCAATTAAAACAGGATACCAAGATGCAAATGCCTGGTTGGAGTCGATCAAATATTCCATCTGCACGTTAAACAAAAGCAATTATTATGCTTGTGCACATGGCAGGCCAGAGGCCCAGACTGTCCCCTTTCCACTAAGGTGGTCCTCCAGTCGACCAGGCGTGGGCTGCATGGTAGCTCTCTTCCAGGATTCCACAACCTGGAGTAATAAGTCGTGCCAAGCTCTCTCTGCTATATCCCAATGTCCAGCACCTTGCAGGTCAGTCCCCGAGGGCCATCCAGCCTCCCTCTTCCAACACTAAGTTCACTTCGTGTCTCTCACGACAGGGAGGAAACTTAGCTTCCTTGGAGACCTGAAGGGATGCAGTGAGCTTAAGAATTGTCAAGAGCTTATCAATCAGTCAGCTCTTGTTCATCCCCGAGCGGATGTGTGATGGTATTGTGGTGGACCTTTACTGGGCACTCTGCTGAATAACTGGAGTGGCACTTGTATTTTAGTCCAATTAGCTATCCCTTTCACCCTGACATTTCATCAATCAGAGGGAGGAAAAATAAGACATCGTGCGAGAAAGCCCCTTATGGGTCTTTCAACTCTCACGTCTATTTAGACGCAATTGGAGTCCCACGGGGAATACCACATCAATTTAAAGCTTGAAATCAAATAGAGGCAGGATTTGAGTCAATATTTTGGTGGGTGACAGTTAATAAAAATGTAGATTGGATAAACTACATCTATTATAACCAATAGCAACAAGCTTTTCATGAGTTAAAAGAAAAACTCATGTCGGCCCCAGCCCTGGGGCTACCTGAACTGTCAAAACCCTTTACACCCTATGTGTCAGAAAGAGAAAAAAATGGCAGCTGGAGTTTTAACCCAAACTGTGGGGCCCTGGCCAAGGCCAGTGGCCTATCTCTCAAAACAACTAGATGGGGTTTCCAAAGCCTGGCCCCATGTCTAAGGGCCCTGGCAGCAATGGTCCTGTTAGCACAAGAAGCAGATAAACTAACCCTTGGGCAAAACCTGAATATAAAGGCCCCCCATACTGTGGTAACTTTAATGACTATCAAAGGACATCATTGGTTAACAAATGCCAGATTAACCAAGTACCAAAGCTTGCTATATGAAAATCCCCGCATAACCACTGAAGTTTGCAACACCCTAAACCCCACCACCTTGCTCCCGGTATCAGAGAGCCCAGTTGAACATAACTGTGTAGAGGTGTTGGACTCAGTTTATTCTAGCAGGCTCAACCTCCGAGACCATCCTTGAACATCAGTAGACTGTGAGCTGTACGTGGACGGGAGCTTCGCTAACGCCTACAAAGTGACTCTGAAAAGGATGACAAGCCCTGCTCCAGTCACACCCGGAAGCTGACTGGTCCACGCATGGCCGAAGCATGAGAAAACTCATCACGGGACTCATTTTCCTTAAAATTTGGACTTGTACAGTAAGGACTTCAACTGACCTTCCTCAGACTGAGGACTGTTTCCAGTGTATACATCAAGTCACTGAGGTAGGACAAAAAGTTGCTACAGTCCTATTATTTTATGGTTATTATAAGTGTACCAGGACTCTAAAAAGAACTTGTTTGTATAATACTATTCTATACAAGGTATGTAGCCCAGGAAATGACCAACCTGATGTGTGTTATGACCCATCTGAGCCTCCCATGACCATAGTTTGTGAAATAAGATTAAGGACTGAGGACTGGTGGGGGCTCATAAATGATACAAGTAAGGTGTTAGCCAAAACAAAAGAAAAAGGGGTGCCCAAACAAGTCACCTTGAAGTTTGATACCTGTGCTGTCATTAATAGTAATAACTTAGGAATAGGATGTGGTTCTCTTAATTAGGAAAGAGGCTATATGGCAGAAAATAAGTACATTTGTCATGAATTAGGACTGTGTGGAAATGAATGCGGATACTGGTCTTTTGTCATTTAGGCTACTTGGATAAAAAATAAAAAGAATCCTGTCCACCTTCAGAAAAAAAAAATGAATGAAATAGTCTCTACCCTCAAGGAGCTCAGAGTCTTATTTAGGAGACAGACATGGAAACACAGATTAATGTTAAAAGTACCATATAAGTGGATGTAGAACACATAAATTATCGTGTCCCTAACACCATCAGCCTGTTTTATAATTATGTATTTACATGTCTTTTCATCTCTATTAGATTATAAGCTCCTTAAAATTACTCCATTTGTTTCATCTTTGCATGCTTGTGTGCATGCAAACACACACATGTGCACGCACGCGCACACACACACACACACACACACATCCCCCAGGAGCCAGCTGAGGACTCTGAGTAAACACTTGATAAATATATGCTCTTCTTTATCTGGAAAGGTGACAATTTTGATTTACCATTAGGTAAATCAAGATGTACTAGTTGTGGATGAGGCTATCTAGGTGAACACCGTGCACATGTACACACATGGATTTTGTTAGGGGCAATCTTTGAGCCTGGAGTATGTCATAGAAAGACAGAAAAATATTAACAAATTTTTCAGATGAACATCAATGATTCAATGCAAACTCTTTATCACAATGAATATAATCACAGAATGCATTTCCTCCAACTTAGAAAAGGTTTCATTAAGATGCATTTTGAAAGGGGATAACACAATTTTTTCAGTGTAGCTCGAGAAGAGGCTTTAGTTAGGGAGTGAAGATCAAGAGAGAAATTCCTGATTCCTTTTATTCCTTTTCATAGCCAAATCAATATCCTCATAACCTGGTGCTGCCTCACTCTACCCCTACAATCCATCACTAGATCTTATTAATCCAACTCCAAAATCTGTCTCACACCTGTTGATTTCTCTCCATCTCTACTGCCACTAACCTTACTTCAGACAAACATCATTTCCCATATGAAATTTTGTAATGGCTTTCTAGTAGGTCTCCTGTTTCCTCCTCTTGCCTCACTCAAATCCACTCCCTAAACTTTAGTCAGAGGGATCTTTCTAAAGCACAAATCCAATTATACTGCATTTTGATTTAAAAAAAAAATCCCTTAATGGCTTACTATTGCCTTCAAGATAAAAATTCAAACTCTATATATGCTTAGTACCCCACAGTAGTAAGGCTCTACTTACCTCTTGAGGCTCATCTCTCTATATGTCAGCCATATAAAATAATTTCCAATATTCTCCAGTGCTAGCCCAGTGTCAGGCACAAAGCAAATAGTGTTGCTGTTGCAGCTACAGTAACTACTACTACTACTGCCACTAATAGCATCTGTCATTTAATAAATACTGTATATACCAAGTGTGCTAAATGCTATAATTTATATAGTCCTTACAACTCTCCTATGAGGTGGCAATTATTATTCTGTTTTTAAAATGAGAAAACAAACTTAGAGTGACTGGTAAAAAGTCACATATATATTAAATGGTGGAGCCATTCTAATACTAATTCTTACTAAGTGTTTTCTGGATGTCAGGCACTGTACTATGTACTTTATATGTATTGTCTAATTTAATACAACAATCACTTATATTTCAAGAAACCAAGGCATGCAATAATTTCTGTAGAATGAATAAAGACCTAATCCAAGTCTTTGAGCTTGCCTCACTTGTGTCGAGTCCATTTCTATCTCTTGAACTTGTTCCACTTGTTTTAATCCTCTTCGCTTCATGCCAAGTCTCCTCCACTGTTCAAACCAAAGACTTAAGAGGATTTCTGCCACTCTCTTAAAGCTTAATATTATCACTGGTAACAAAAACACTACTATACTACTTTACATTTCATTAAAGATGAACAGTTCAGAAAATATTTTCAAATATTAAACATTATTAAACAAATTTTTAAGAATTATTATAGATGAGGAAAGCTTAAGAGACTTCATTAAGGATAAACAGCAAATGGTAAAGCTGGAACTAAATCCTAGGCCTTGTGACCCATACTTTAGGGCCTACTCATTATCCATTTCTCTGTTATTATTGTATTCACAGGCTGCTCTTAGTATTGGCAGAAACAAACTCATGACAATACATAGTAAATATGAATTATTGTAAGAATAAGTTGAGGTGAAGTCCAAGAGGATACAAGGCCACTTCATCCACATGCTAGGCAAAAACATATAGGATGTATACGGAACTCAGTTTTTGTATTTCGAGGCTATGATTAGTTTTCTAACGGAAGCATTCATTGAAAAATGCACTTGTGCCACTCCCCTGCCTCCTTCACATTTTAAAATCATGTGTATGCATATTAAAGTCTGGGACATACATCTCTTGTTTATTCTAATAACTTTTTCCAGTGGCAAGAAGCTTCTGTTATTATTTTAAGAATGTAGTAGTATCTAGCTGCCTTTCCTAAAATCATATGCCAGGTCGTGCTTACAATTAGGGGAGATGAAGAATGCGAAGAAAGACAATTCATTCATCTCCATCTGAGAAGTCCCCAGGAAACCCAAACCAAAACCAAACCAGATATGACTGATAATAAGAAGGATAAGCCTGGGTGCGGTGGCTCACGCCTGTGAATCCCAGCACTTTGGGAGGCTGAGGTGGGTGGATCATGAGGTCAGGAGTTTGAGACCACAGCCTGGCCAACATAGCAAAACCCTGTCTCTACTAAAAATACAAAAAAAAATTAGCCAGGTGTGGTGGCACGTGCCTGTACTCCTAGCTATTTGGTAGGAAGAGAATTGCTTGAACCCAGGAGGCAGAGACTGCAGTGAATCGAGACCGTGCCACTACACTCCAGCCTGGGTGACAGAGCGAGACTCCATCTCAAAAAAAAAAAAAAAAAAAAAGAAGGATGAGAAGACATAGCAGCACAATATTTATTGTGTCAAGTAGTGTTCTAAATCCTTGGCATGTAATAATCTACCTAATCCTCATAGAAACTCCATGAAGTGAGTACTGTTACATATCCATTTTACAGGTGTGGAAACTGAAATGCTAAGAGGTAGAAACAAATCCTGATGGCAGTTTCCTACTAAAAATAAAGCTCTGAAAGATACATGCACAAAGACTAACCCTCTGTAGAACAATGTGCAGTTATGTGTAAAGCTAAACACATAATGACATTTACTTAGGCAAGAAATCATTTTAGAAAAATTACACCTCAAAATTCACCATTTTAGCCAAGGATATTTTATCTTATAGTAACAGAGGTACAGAGATTTTCAACCATATTTTCAAGAAAATGACTGAAAATCAACCAGATTTTCAAGACAGTGAATGACTGAAAACTACATTGCTGTCACATTTGTTACTCAGTGAATACACTACACCTGAACCCTGCAGATCCAGCCACAAATATTACATGTCTACAGCCAGAGTCTCAACTCTGTTCTCTGCAAATATTGTACTTCTTACAGGTGATTATAAAATTAAATGTTTAAAAATTGCTTGTAAAAATAGTAAAGGCACAGAAATGCCACTTTAACCTGGTTCATTTAAGTAGAACTCTAGCAAGTCCTTCTGACCTTATGTCAGAGATGTTCAAGCAGAGAAGTCCTCAGTTTGTTTTTATATTTACTTATTCCTTCTGCTTTCTTGAGCCTAAATTTCATTTTTCCCTCTTTACCCTACTGATAAATACAGAATCCCTTCCTTATCCACAGTTTCATTTTCCAGTTTCAGTTGCCAACAATCAACTGAAGTCTGAAAATAGATGAGTACAGTATAGAAAGATATTTTGAAAGAGACGTTACATTCACGGAACTCTTTTTACAGTATGCTGTTATAATATTTTAATTTTATTATTATTATTGTTAATCTCTTATTGTGCCTAATTTATAAATTAAACTTTATTATAGGTTTGTATAGATAGGAAAAAAGTATATAGTATATATAAGGTTCAGTACTATCTGCAGTTTCAGGTATCGACTGGGGGTCTTGGAACATGTCCCCTGTGGATAAGGGGGGACTACTATCAATGTGTTTGTCCATCTGAAGTCCTCTGTTTTACTTAGCTATGTAAAAGATAAAAATAAAAATAAAAAAATAAAAATTTCTAGAAAAGCAAGATGAGCCACGGTTACGTATGTATAGACATGTATGTTATGTAATGTATAGACATTAATTTAATTATGAATGCTTCGGAGCAGTCTCCAGAGATAATCATTAGCCTATACCCATGCAAAGAGTATGTTTTTGCGTAACTTTTGAGTGTGCATTAAAATCTATTAGTAATAATTAGAAATTGGGATATTTAGTTCAATAATAATTTTTTTAGATCAAAGAATAGTTATAAACATCAAAATTCATCTCATTCTTTCTCATAATAAACCTTTAGGTAGCAGGGTAGAAGATATTATAAAATTTAGAAGACTAGTGGTCAGTCTATTCTTTAGTAAAATTATTTCTCATTATTTCTCCTTATGTGGGTAAATGCCTATTTTTTCCTCTTTATTCATATAATTAGAATCTCATGATCATTTAAAATCCGACCAGACCTTCTGTTTTTTGTTTTCATCTCAGTGACACAGGAGGTGACTTTTATGAGGGATGCATTTATGCTTCAGCTTAATGTTCCATGATTAAGAAGAAGCAAAAATATATTTTGCAGAAAAAGTATTTGAAACCAACCAGGGAAAACAATTTGGCCCTCACTTGTAAAGGACAGAAACATCAACATTTCGGGGTTACACTGAGTTCTCCCTGGAGAGATGGGTTTAAATTACTTAGTCAAAGGACCAGAGTAGAACCTAGGAGTATGCAAGGTGCTGACACAATTGTCTTATCAAACAAAACACAGTCCCTTGTAGGTAGATTTTCCCCATCTTCCGTAAGTAATGCTATCTAAACATACGTACTATAAAGTCAGTTGAGTAAGATGCCAGTTACCCACTTGTCCAAGAGTAAGTATAAGAAATGTATCTTTTTCAATGGGCATTATTCTATAGGAGTCAAATAAACCATTTTGATACATCAAAAGCATGGGTTAGGGCTGCTGGACCCCATCCACAGTATGCAGCAATGCTTTCAAGAGCTACTTGCCCAGTGAGGGCAAAAACAGAAAACTATGTAAAGTCCAAATAGCCTGGGTGATCCCAAGTATAGATTATAGGATATGCGAAAGCTGTGGCTTCATTAGTTCCAGAAAAGGCTGCTGATGAGCCATTTTCCGCCAAGGTAATTTAACTTTTTTTTTTTTCCTTTTGCCATAAGTACTGGGTGGGTTTCACTGACGCTGGCTTTACAACAATGGAAATTTTACACTACAGTAGCCGGCAGAGAAAAGGAAAGGGTCAAAGGGCAAATTCCTCTTGCTGCAATATGTTTTCACCAGTTGAACCTCACCCTTGTGATTAGCAGAGCTCAGACAGCTGAGAGTTGGAAGTGGGGAGGGGGCAGAAAGGGGAGGTTTTCATGGGTGTGTCAAAAAAATTGTGTGAAATATTTGCCAAAGGTTAACTGAAAGAGACTGAATACCGCCTGCTCTTCCGCTGGGACCTTCTCTTTTCATTAGTGGGAGGTGTTCCATTCCTTTGGGAAGAACAGGCTCCTTGTTCTCATTTTGTTCACAATAGCTACTCAGACATCTATTTAACGTTATTTATTCTTACTTATTGTTAACCCATCTAGGGAAGGAAAGAGATGGGCTGCCTGGTAAACTAAGGTAATGGAAGCGTGAGAGTAAACACACCCCACATACCCCCTTGGGGAAATAAACAGGAGTAACAGTATGGGGCAAAAACCATTTTTCCTCTTGAACAAGGGATGATGACAGTGGTAAAGATGGTGCTCAACTAGAAATTTTGAGACAGTAACAGCAGCAGTTTTCGACCTGTGCTTATCCCAGAATTGTTTCCTGTCTGTGGAAAGACAACAGCAGCTCCCTTGGACAATGCTTTATCTGAGGCAGTGGTCCCCACATGTGTACTCCAGCCCCTCAGCACCATTTCTTGCCCCTAAGCTTTGACTCAGCCATGTTAAAGAGTATTGCAGAAATGCGATTAAAAGTGTCCTCAGCTTAGATGTACATCTTCAGGCAGCCTCCAAAAATGCCTTAGAGCCTCTTAGAGCCATTTGAGTGAGTCACTTCAAAGACTGGATAGATAAGAATCAAAATTCTAATAGAGGGGTAAGATCAACCTATGTGAAGTTGAATTCTGAAGGAAACTTTAAAATAGAATTTGGAATGGAAGCATATCAGTTAATATACACAAGCTATCTCTCAAGGTGACTATATGTGGTTGTTTTATTTAAAAACATATAATGATACAGAATAGTGTAGGTCAGAAGATCAGTGTGAAATGAGGCTTACATGAAGTTTTGATATTTTAGTGGTTGGCAGCAACTTCTTCTAGAAATTTCTCAGAAGGCATTCCTTCTGCTTATGAAGGGTGATATAGTATAGAGTTCTGTATTCTAACCTTCCTAGTACCTATCACTATCAGTCTTTCATTTATTCTTAAAAACAAACCCTTTTCTCTCACACTGCTTTCATTATCCACTCTTTGTGTTTCTGTTTAGCCATTTCTCTTTTCAGGCATCCTTTCTCTAGCTTCCCTATTCTCTTCCCTACTCCCAACTCTATACCCCTCCATATTCAGCTTAAATCCCATCAACTAAAAAGCCTTCTGATCCTACTCCAGGCTATTCTGCCCTTCTCAGCTCTGAATTTCCATATTAATTATACATTTATACCTCACAATCCACTGTTTTATTACACACTGCCTTATATGTATTATTCTCTAGTTGTTTCATGGGTATTTTTCATTTGCCCAAGCTTATGGGATTCTTTCATGTTACCCATGGTGCCTATCCCAGTATGTTTAGTAATCACTCAAACTTACTGACTTGACCTGAAGCCCTCAAACTGTGGCAGCCAATCATTAGGTCTCCTATTATGATTTTCCCATAACAAATTTCTCATACCAATGAATATTTATGGATTTCTATAAGGGTCCTGGGCACTAACATGTGTACAACTCTGCAGAATGTCTATTCTTTATCAATGGATTTTATCTTTCAAATCAATTAGGAGTTAATGTATCCCGTTAGGGAACAGGAGAGTCCATACTGTTTTCCATGACCACTGACAGAATAATACCAAGGATATCTCTACATATGATTGAAATATATAACTAAAAAATCTAACTTAGGTAGGCAGAATGTAATTACTGAAGCTGGACTATGGCTAGGAAACTTGGAAGAACACTCCCAATTCCTGCCAAAGATTCCATGGATAACCACAACTGGTCAGAATCTCCACTTCCATGTACCATCTTAAACACAGTGCTTCTTTCAGTCCTGTGCTCCAGCAAAATAAGGCCACTCAAGCAGTAAGATTCACAGGGGAATAGTAACATCCAAAGGTTCCTAAAGAACAACGTTTAATATTTTTGTTTGTATTTTGACAAATGTATGAGGTCTACAGGAAATACCCAAAGCAAGTACCACAATGTTTCTGGCAGGATATATTAGAACAGAGTCTGAGATGCATCCTGTTTTGCTAACTTGAAAGAAATATCTCTGGTTATATAGCAAGGTACTCATTCTTAACACTTAACACACACTACAGAAGGCTTCAGCCCTTCTTTGGGAGATGTGGAAAATTATATAGTATGCATACGTATCTGTCTCATGGATACTGAGGAGTCAAAAATTAACTACCTCTTACCTAATTTTTCATAAGATAATTTTTCTGAGTGGCTCTGGATTTTATTAGGTATTTTGTACACATCTATGCCAAGAAAACATTATCTTGGTCAGGTCTTCCTCATGTAAGTGAAGGGAATGATCAAGTCAAATTTGATGTTTTCCTATGTTATAACCTTCAGCTCCATGTTTCTTTCACAGTTGAAATAGAAGACATAAAATATATAGATAGGTCGTAAGTGATAATGAATTGATAACAATTCATACCTAAGAGTTACGTAATTAGGCTGCTACATTACTTGAAAAAAGATATTTTAAAAATTGTGCTTTCCAAATGAGATCCTAGAAAAGGTCATTCTAGGTCTTCAATAACTTTTGGGGTAAGAAAGGTTCTTGACTCTCCTTTTGAACTTCAATTTTTAATCATGTATCGCAAATTCTAAACTTGTGATGTGCTCAACAGTAAGAAGGAGAAAAACCACTTATAAGAGTACCCACTATAATGTTATTTCAAATTTACTTTAGACTTATTTTTAATCAAATTGATGACAAGTTTCTCGCTGATTTCCCTTACCCACCCAAAAACACCCCTTATTTCCTGACAAGCAGCAATAAAATATAACATGGTCACTGTTACACAGCCCTTACTTGTTGAGTTCTAAGATGTTCAGGTGTCCTTAATATTAACTGCTTTAGGATAGATAGTTAGGACATTTCAAAACATATACATATAGCCTCAGATTTCCTTACCTCAGACCAGTCCAAAGCCACCCACTGTGGTGGACATGACTGGTTGTTGCAGGGCTCTTTTTCGACAGGCCGGTGTGTTAAACAACCACTGTAGTCCAGCGTCTCCTCCTCAGAAGGTCCGATCTTCCTGATGCAGAGCACTGCCCTTGTGCGCATCCCACCATCACAAGTCTTGCTGCATTCCAACCAATCCCCAATGAACCACCTGCAGCAAGACATGGAAGAAACACAGAAAAGCATTTCCTCAGTGCATCCAGAGATTTTTAGCTAAGTGAAGGCACTTTCACTGATGGACTACGAGCTGACATTTCAATGTTGGTTAATAAGACAAATGGCAAATGAAAGAGCTGCTAAGGAAAAGACCTTTACTGTCATTTGCTTTCTAAAGTGTAGTGTGTGGACAGAACCCAGGTTCAAACAAGTGCACTATGTCTTTAAACCTCTTTTATTTTTCTCCTTTTTAATTACATTCTAAAATGAGGATAACAATGATCAATCTCATAAAAAATTGTCACGAGGGTTAAATAAGGTCATATATATAAAGCTCCCAGTGATGCGCTAATAAATGTTTAACCACTGGCTCCCTATGGCAGGGGGTGGGGGAGTTCTGATTTGTGGCATTTGCCAATTTTTGTAGTGTAAAAACCTCACTATGGCCAATTTCAAGCTACCAGCTTGATATACTAAAGGTGAACAGGAGAAGATATGCTAATAATAGGGTCCTATGAACCAATACTAGCTGGCTCCAGCACACCACTGAATGCTTCTAACATAGTGTCTGTCATATAACAAACAAGAAATAGTAGGTATTTTTATTATTATCACATTGAGGCAGGTTCTCCCATAATTAAAAATTTTATGCTAAAACCACTCTAAGGAAGCTGAGGATTTGTTTTTCAATTTCTAGAAATAAACCTCTATGAAGATAGGATGTGAATGTCCTTACAAGGACAGAGAAGACCAGGTATCCATCCTGAGAACATGGGAGTCTTAAAACACCTTCGGCAAGAGCAGAGCTCTGAGCTAGCTCTATGAAAACAGGCAGATCTCTTGTTTCAACCTTTTGGCTCCTAAAAACAGCTTCTACACAGCTAATGTGGAAAGAAATGCAAATGTCTTAGAAAAAAATAACATGTCTCACATTTGTAGGTATACTACACCTTTACCCTAAAGTCATAAACTTTCACATACATAATTTCAGGGGGTTTGTGGTTTGTTTTGTTTTTTTTGCAACACTTCTGCAGGATTCACTCTTCTGGACACATTAATTAGTCTAAGGGATGTAACTCATGATCTAAATCAGATCAATGAGAATTCTGGTTTAGAATTTTTATATCTCAACTGGAGCAAAAGGGACCCTTTCCTTTCTGGTCACAAAGGTGCATAAGATGATGAGTTCAGAGCTGCAGTGGCTGGGTTCCCTGTCAAGTGAAATTAGCTGATTTCAAAGAATGCACAGGAGCTAGAAAGCCTGGGTGGTGTGTGAGTCCTTGATTCCAGCCATTTCTCAAGCTAGGTTCCCCCTTACACTTCCCTCAGCTGTGTTACGTAAATCTTATGTGCTGAAGCCAGCTCAAGTTGAAGTTTTGTTATCTGAAACAAGGGTCTTGACTGACATATTGTATTTCATTTATTAAATATTTGCTGAATGTCTACTACGTTCAAGGCATTGTGCTTTGTTTTATAGAAGAAAGTAAGATCCAGTGTTAGGAAAACAGTTCTCCAAAATCGTGAAAAGAGCAATGATGGAATCAGGACTGGATTCCCCATTGATTGCTATTTCAATCGAAATTCATTTTAACATTGCTGAATAGTAAAATATAGGTTACAAGCACGGGATCACAAGACATTTTCTTCAATCCATAATTATAAATCATGCAGTTATTCTCAATGAACATGCTCATGCTTTTAGGTGGGAGACTCCCAAGAGAGAAGAATATGGAAAGCTTAAGAGCAAATTTCTCACTGTTTCTGTGAGCATAGCTCCATTGTGCCAGTTTTGTATACGGAAGATAATACTTTAGTGAAGTCAGAGTACTAGTATCCTAAATTTGAGACTGCATTAAGCCAACACTGGCCTTTGTTCATTATTATTCGTATTGTCTTTACTTATAAAGAAAACCAGCATTTAGAAATATAGTTAGCCAGTTTTTCAAATTTAAATTATATTTTATCAACATCTACAAATTTTCAGCCTAAAATTCATTTAAAGAATGATGATTTAATTTTGAATTTAAAAAATCTGACACAAACATTTTTTCTAAGTCATTTTCCAAGGGAGATTTAAAGTAATTTTCATATTCTTTCCTTTCTGTTTTCCACAGATGAACATGATCCCCAGTTGTTAGTACCATTTTTGGTAAGGAGGAAAATGTGTACTGAAAATAATACTTGCATGCCAGCCATAGTGAAACTCTGATTCAACTTTGCAACAGTGATTTCATCACCAAGATTAGGGGATAAAACAGAAATGTGTATTACAGTCACAAAAAGTTCAGTCACACAACCTCCAGCCATGATCTCATTAGTTCTCATAATGTAAGAGGGATGGAGGCCTTCAAATTAAACACAGGTGTCCCGAGTAACCACAATGATTCAGAAGTGTTGCAAAGGGTCAGGGACACCTCTGTCTTTTTATTCTTTGTCCCCTCTTCCATTCCATCTCTCCTCAGAAACTTAACCTAGATGTATCACTCTAGCCTTTAACTTGGAATATATGAAATCAGAAGTATTAATCACCCTCCCAATTTCCTTTCTGACTTTAACTCTCATTTCAGGCTTCACACTCAGTCCCTGTTGCATCTTTATTGCTCATCGTATCATCCCTTCCCATGTCTCTCTGAAGGATTAAATCACACCCTAGTTATTTAAACAGTTTTGCAATTCTACCACTGCATCTGCTTGTCTCAGTTTCTCCACTCTCCCATCTAGTTTAAGACATACTGCTTTCCCTTGTCTTCCTTCTCCACGTATTTGACCCTCTGATGGCATTCTTTCTCTGTCTTCTTTCCCTCCTCTAGACTTGGTGGCAAAAACATGAATACAGAAATTCTCTCTGGGAATATAAATTGCCGAATCGTTATAGCTGGAACAATTCTGGGGCTGTTTCTTTCTGAGCTTTTCCCAATACACAAATTGTCTTTATCTTCACAAGTCCTTCATAGCTATTAGACATTAACAATTAGTGGGATTCATGTTCGAGTGTCTGAAATAAGAGTGGCTTGCTGCAGCCTCTGTAATCTGACCTACAGTCCCGATCTCTTATTATTACAAAAAATAGTATAATTTGGAGAAGGGAATAAGAGAGACAGTATAAAAAATTTGCCCCAACCTTGGTAAACCAGAATATTTTTGAAGAAATAATCATCATAAAACCAGAATATTGTTTTTGCTTTTTAATTTAAAGGAAAATGGCAGAGCATATGAAAATAAACTGATATTAAATATTAGGATTAAGAGAGAGATTTCCTAGGCTTTGTCCCAGAGTCAAGGGTCTAATCATCAACTCTTTTTACAAACACAACATAGCAAAATTGTAAAAATCTTCAGAATTTGACAATAATATCTTTACTCAAAGAGAAATTCATTTATATAAATTATTGTCTACTTACAAAGATAAAAAACTTTCCTACATTTTAAATTAACTTAAAAAAATTTCAAAACAAAAAGTTGTTAAAAAAATAAAAAGAATTTTTTTTCATTTCTCAGCTAATTGGAAAGTGAAACTAATATTAAGCAGAACACTGTATGCCCTAAACATTATACAGTCAAGGTTTTTCTAAATTTTTAAAAATCAACATAATAAACATCTCTGAAGTTGTAGCAACTGAGAATGTGTCAATGAAGCAAGCAAAATTAGATGTATCAAAGTGCCACCAGACATTTGATTTGTACCTTACCAAGCTGGTGATGTCTGATGTAATGGAAAAAACATCACTGGATATTAGCATACCTCAGTCTGTGAAATGATGGGAGTGGACCTAAATAATTTCTATGATTCTTCCTAGGTCTTAAATTTTGGAGTTTTATAGATGACTCTAATGAATTTTTTTCTAAGCTTAAAATAAGAGATGACAGTTGTCCATGGGTGAGGTCCAATGACTCAGAATAATGGTTATTAAACATTATACCTTAAAATATACCAATTAAATAAAACCTAGCCACTGGATAAAAATTAATCTCTTCCCACCCTAAGTTTCCTTCAGCACTTTTGCTTATAACTCTCTTATTGTACTTAACAGATTTTGTCTTGTACTGTAGTTATTTTTGTATATATTTGCCCAATTAGATTACCCTCAGGAAAGAGAACCATTTCTCCCAAAGTACAGTGTCTTCCAACTTGAAGTTGATTAATAAATGTTTTTAAATTCTTGGTCACAATATTATTAAAATGAATAGTTCTCTTGTTTTCACCTCTCTGGTTTTCACAATTTTAAAAACCACAGTATCATACAGGAATAATATTTATCACTCAAGGATTCTTCACATGAGGTCATATGCAGAAATACTCTTGCTATTAAAACACGGCATGGTAAAAACTTAACTCAGCCTTTCTCTTTGGATTCCAACTTATTTTTTTTTCTTATGGTTGGGGATTAGCTTCTTACCAATCATATCCTTTAATATTAATTCCTTTCCTTTTTTTTTTTTCCAGTTATTTAAGGCTATGTCATGGATCCCACTACTTTCATTCATAGTCACTTTACTACCTTGACTACTATACTCTTTCTTATAAAAAGAGTTGCTGCTATGAACATGATAACTTTCCCCAGCAAGGACTCCTCTGGGTCTTCAAAGTCTTCCAAATAAACATAATATTATTTCTCTATCAATGCCTGTTTTGTCTATTTTTCCTAGTCCTCCGTCATTTTCTCTATAAGGACAAATCTTACTGTTCTCCCTTTTTGTATACTGTACTTATAAATTCTCTCAATATAACTAAAGACATTTGAAATATTTCATTATTTGAAAAAATACTTTCTGATAAAAAATACGATTTAGAATTTTAAACTAATGGTATAGGGAAAACAATCGTGATTGAAAATAAGTATAGATCCCTTCCTCAAATCAGGCAAAACATTTCAGATAGATCAATGTTTACATTAAAAATAAAAAAAGAAACTTTGAAAGTATAAGAGTGGGGAAGACCTTTCTAAACAGTGTACCAATGAAGAAATAAAGGTTTGACAGCTTTCTTAAATAAGATTTTCTAAATTTTATCAGTAAAAATAGATCAAAACACCATAAATAACATGGAAAATAGACGACAAACTAGGAAAAAATATTCAGAACACAGATAAAAGAGTTCATATCCTTAATACATTAAGAGTTCATTCAAATCAATAACAAAATAATAAATACTTCAATAGAAGTATTGATAAGTAGTTCAATAGGACAGGCCATGATGATAAAAGGCAAAAGAGAAGTAGTACAAACAGCCACTAAACATAATTTTTAAATGTTCAGTCCCATCAGCAGTCCCATATATGCAAAATAAGACAGCAATTAGATATCAGGGCTTTTCCCCTATAAAATAATGAAAGATTATTTTTAAAATAATAATAACGACTGTTGTTCACTTCCAGGAAAATGGCATTCTCATAGACTGTTAATCGGAATATAGATTCACACAATCTTTCTGGAAAGTAATTGGACAATGTGATCTCAAAGACTAACATGTGCTTCCATTTGAACTATAAATTATTTTCTTCTTTATTTAGCATATATAATTATAAAGAACAGTTTCAGAAGCAAAAGTGGTTAATGCTGCATTATTGCAGGGGATCAAAATAAAAAGTACAGCCAAAATCGTTCAAGAGTGGAATACCAATTTAAATAAACAATCACATATCTACTAAACGTTGTCAAAGACTTCAAATGTTCCAAATGTTGAGAACTGACTATAAAGTGTCATAAGTAGTGTAATACAATTTTTTTTATATACACATGCCTCTGTATACATAGAAAAAATACTGGAAATATATACATCAAAGTATTAACAGTGGTTTATAGGTTTTTTTGTTTCCTTCTTTTTGCTTATCTGCCTATCACATGATCATCTAAAAAAAACCTATCTGCTTTCTTCACACTCGTAAAGTTTTACTGAATTCAGTAGCCTTTCTATGATTTCTATCTCTATAATACCAATGTCAACTGGGAATCTCAGATGGTCCCTGATGTTTGACGGTTTGACCTAATGATTTTTCAACTTTACATGATAAGAAAGCAATACACATTTAGTAGAAACTACTTGAATTTTTGAATTTTAACCTTTTCCTACCCTAGCAATATGAGGTACAATAGTATCTCTAGATGTTGGGCAGCAACAGCAATCTGCAGCTCCCAGTCAGCTACGCTATCATGAGCGTAAATGACCAATACTCTACAGTGTACTGTGTTGCCAGATGATTTTGCCCAATGGTAGTGTTCTGAGCACATTTACGGTGCACTGGGCTATGCTATGATGTTCAGTAGGTTAGGTGAAGTAAATGCATTTCAACTTGCAATGTTTTCAACTTTGTATAGGTTTATCAGGATGTAATCCCACCACAAGTCAAGCATATATAACCATTTTGAAGAATTAAAATTTCCTTTTCCATAGTCTGAATTCAAAAGACTAAAGAAGAAATTAAAAAGCAACTAAGAGAAGTAGGCTAATAATGAGTAATATTTTAAGTATCTACATTTAGGTCTTTAAAAAAAACCCATCAGACTAAACTTTCTATTTTTCCCATATTCTCTGTATCTTTTCTTTTGAATTCCATTCCCCATCTCCAAACTTAAGTAAGTAACTTCACTTCAGAACTACATAAGGAGATAGAAAGCTTAATTTTAATAGTGTACATCAATATGTCAATTATCCTTAAACTGTTAAAAAACAAAAACAAACCTCCAATGTAATACTCAAACACACAACTTATGGGATGAAATGACCAACAACTGAAATCTTTAAGGACACTGGACATTTAAACTTTTAAGCTTAAACAAATGAAAAAGCTTAGGCCAAAATGGAATAGGGTGTGACCAGGCTCACTCAGATGCCTTCACAGGCTGATCAAATGCCAAATATACTACTTAAGATCCTGAATGTCAGAGAATTAACGTAATAGACTGAGACTCACAATGACATGAAAATATGCTGAAGTTACTGGAAACATAGAAAGGGACAAAATTGGCCCATGGATTTTGAGCATCGCATTGCTCTACAGTTTCTCAGTTTCTCTTGAGATAAATTTATAAAAATAATTGGCAGAAAAGAGGAATGTGAAAAAAATTTAATAACTTGTCTTTGTAACACATATGATAGGTCACATTTTGATACTTTCCCATGTCTGGATTTTAAGAGATTAGTTATATGGTGATAACATTTTGAAAAGAACTCAATGTAAAATTGCAAAAGTCTTAGAACAAAAACTATCACTCTAGATTCCTTGTGCTTCTTATTTGGTTGCCAATACCCTACACCTCTTCAAGGGACTAGTAGTGAGTATCACCTTTAAGATTCAAATGTTCAGGCAGACACTGACTTTAAATAATGGAAGTTCAAAAGGCATTATTGCTTTGGAACAAGAAATGCACCTTGAACAAGAAATGCACCTTGGTTTAAACGTTATTTGGGACATGGATTATTTATGTATTTTAACTTCCATGTTTATGTAGCTCCACTCTAGTCATTTTTAGAGAAGCTTCATTATAAAGTTTTTCTCTCCAGTTGTAGAGAGTTTGGAACATACAAATTCATTTGCTTATTCTCTTTTGCCTTATCAGTTTCATGTTGGGATGATTAATTAACCAGGAAGATAACAGTTCATCCAATTTCTCAAACAAGAATGAAATGCCAATCACACATGTTTTCTCTTGCAGTTTTCAATCAGGCAAAATCTCTACAAAGATTACTTTTGTCGTGATCAACTCAACATCACATAATCATCTTGAGCCTTTTGCTCAATCAAGAAACATTTCTGTTCTTACAGATTATAATGTGTGGCTCATTGAGAGCAGGTCTCATTTAAAACCATCATTAAAATGAATGGGCTCTCTCCTTGTTAATCCCTTTACAGTGAGTTGTATTGCTGCATTAATCAACAGAAAGAGACTGAAGTATACCTCTATGCCTGTACCCAACACTCAGAATATAGGATGCCTTACAACAACAGAACTTTAAACTGGGTCAGCAAATTAAAGCCCTGATATTCTATTCCAGAGTATTTCTAAACCATTTTAAAAGTCTTTAGGTCTTGGCTGGGCACGGTGGCTCATGCCTGTAATCCCAGCACTTTGGGAGGCCGAGGCGGGCGGATCACGAGGTGATCCTGGCTAACACAGTGAAACCCCGTCTCTACTAAAAATACAAAAAATTTAGCCGGGTGTGGTGGTGGGCGCCTGTAGTCCCAGGTACTTGGGAGGCTGAGGCAGGAGAATGGCATGAACCCTGGAGGCAGAGCTTGCAGTAAGCCGAGATCGCGCCACTGCACTCCAGCCTGGGCGACAGAGCGAGACTCCGTCTCAAAAAAAAAAAAAAAAAAAAAAAAAAAAAAGAGGTCTTTAGATCTTTAGGACAAATATGTAGAAAAGACAGGAGTGTAAATAAATCACTATATTTTATTACATCTAAGACTTTTTTTTTATGTGCCATTAAGAGAGGGGAAAAATGTCAATTATTATAGTAAGACACCATTAGCTGCAAGTTGAATCCTAATTTCAGAGATGCTAAAATGTGAAAAGATGTGTGCTTTAGAATTGATGAAATATGATCATTTCCAGCATTGTGTCAGAACAAAATTCATTGAAGTTCCTGCTTTAAAGAAGTTAATGACTGAAATCTATGGATAAATAGGAATCTTTGCTCACTAAAAGAGACATCAAAATTCCTCCCTCTCAGGATGTTTTCTACCTTTTTTCAGCCTAATTTATTCTCATCATATAAATATATTTCCAAACATGAATACATAATGTTTTTCTCTTTGCACCTGAAGAAAATAATTCTCATTTCTTTCCCTTACTTACTCAGGTGGGCAGGGCTCAGTGTTGCAGGCTCTTTGATTTTCAGGTGGCTTACTGTCAGGATCACAGTAATTGTTCTGGACAATGGAGTTGTCATCCAACCTTTTACAGACCACCTCCTGTCTTTGGACACCTTGAGAAAAGGAGGACATCATTAATTGAAGAGAAGTTTACCTTCCATTAAGTTAGGTATGCATAGCTTTCCTCTGTGGGGAATTGACCTCACTGGATCGCTGCCGTCTTATCTGTTCCACATTGGACTGCTTCTCTAAAATGGAGAGAAGACCTGGTCATTATACTGAAATTTTAGGCAAAGTTATTTTTCTCATATTTAGAAACGTAACTATTTCAAGTCCAGAAAAGAAACTATTGGTAATCTTAAACAATTTTATTCACATTTGTAAATTCTTCTTCGTGCTTCCCTTAACAAACAAACAAAACAACAGATTACAATTTCCCAAAATAATATTATCAAATAAAATGTACAAATATGCATTTCAATGCAAAACAATGATTGTATATTTATTTAAAAATAGAACAATAGGGACAAATTTACTTTTTGATATTTTGTAGAACAAATCCCATCTATTTAGTTTTTGTTAGGAATACATCACATCCACACATTTCATTTTTTCTTCCGTTTATATATTTATCTCTCTAAAAGCCCATTCATTGTTTAGAAATTAGAGATTGCAGTGGGCCTCTTTTGGACTGTAACCAACTAGTCTGTTTATTCGAACAGAGTTGACCCCTGTTGATTATACCACTGTCAAATACATACATACACAGTTCATTCAAATATTAATTTATCTCATTTTAAAAAATTAGTCTATGTGATATGTTTACCACAGCTAAAAATATTCTCATACAGTTTATAAAATATTAAATATATGTCAATTATTGGCAAAGATATTCACCATAACTTGCTCACATTTCACAAAATATAAAGACACACACAAACACACACTCGTATTTGTAAATGTTCCTGATGAACAGATTTTATGTATACTCATTTTCTCTTTAGTGTCAAGGAAACAAAAGAAGCAGACAGGTATATCAAGATATCAAAGAGAAACACGTCAAACTACAAGACAATGCTAAATGTTTCAGATCATATAGCGGTAACAGGTTACTCCTGGCAATAGAAATAAAAGCACACACTAAGCTATTCCCCCACTCACCCACCCCATCTCTATAAACAGGTAGGCTAAATTACCCAGAAAGAGTTGTAAAAGCAGCATTAGCAGTATCCAGGAAACCACAGCTTCACACCTAGCTAATCCCACACAATCCTTCAGTTGTTTTTCTTTTTTTTTTCCCAGTTGTTTCAAGTAATAATGCCCTAAAAAAACAGTGTGATCACAAATTAGGGAAATATATGTGAAACAGGATCATTCAGTGAAAGAAACTGTCACCTAAAGAGCTACACACCAAATGCTTCCCCCAAGTTCCCCTAAATCATAGAAATTCTGCAGGTGGGAGTGCCTCCGTTATCATGTTATGCACACCTACCTTTAACTAAGCCCTTTAAATTTAAAGACTGACAGGGCAAACTATTAAATCCACCAAGCTCATGACACTTAAATCCTGTAGCTTCCATGACAGTGGTGAGCAGTTAGTCTTTTTTATTGCTTGCACTGACCCAGGGCTCTTGCTGATCACCTTCTGCAACCATTTTTTATGTTTTCCTAAACTTAGGGGTCTTAAACATAGTCAAACAACTTACTGGCAAAATGTCCTAGAGTATGTATTGTATTCCTTCCCTCCCAACCCCTAAAATAAGCCAAACAATGAAGTTTATGTGACGACAACAGTTTGGAATTTTTTAACTATTAAACTTTAGAATTTTTGAGGGAAGAATGATTCACATCAGGCATAGTTGTGATCCATTCACAGATGTTCCATGATATTCATCGGATATCTCCCCATTGTGTCATTCCAGTGGGCAGATAACTAGGTCCATGTGGTCCACCTAGACAGATACCTCTACCATTAGTCATAGGAGTCAACTACCAACTCCAACAGTGGCTCAGATTATCCATCCATCCTGGTTCAATATTTTGCCTCTATCAGGGACAGCAGGGGATTTTTTTTTATTGGTTAGTGTGATTATTTTTTTTTAAGTCATTCAAACATGACTATACTTGAAACAAGAACACTGGCATCCAAAACATATCTTGGTTATTTCTCAGGAAGGAATAAACATTCTCAACACTACAAAATACAACTGATCTGGTTTTGTTTCAGTGGCAGAAACATTAATTCAGTTTCCTTGACTTGTAGAAACTGAATTAAGTCAAGATAAAATTCTTCTTTCTCTAACTTAACCCTAGAAATGTTGTTTGGCTATAATTACATTTGTTTTCAAAAGTAGCCTTTATTGCAAAAGCAGGGCCTCTGCAATTTGAATCATAGATGAGATATGAGTTAGTAGAGCTGTGATTTATATTTCATTTTATGATAAATTCTAACAATGTATGTATCTTGAAAAAAATTTGGTACATAATATTTGTTATCAAAAATTTGGAAAATTACACAAAACCACAAGGAAGAAATAAAACTGACCCATAGTCCAATATTTTGTTTCAGACCCCTTTAATTTCAGGGCTATTTTGCTCTTTAGTGGGATCCAGTAATTAGTTTAAAAATTACATGTATACCCAAACTAAAACTGTCAGCTAAATGTAGTTGGCAGGTCATTCATTCATTTACTCATTCATTCATTCATTCAACAGAGATAGTTACTAAACCAAAGCATTGTGTTTATGAGATATAAACACAGTATCTCTTGGGAGATATTGGGCTAAGTGCTAAGAATTATGAATTGACTTAATTTTGATCATGCCTTCCTTCCATACTTCTTAAAAACTGGGAATCAAGAGTACTTAGGTGTTCATTTTAGCTTCATGATTTCAGAATGCTATTTTTTATGAAGTAAAAATTAAAGTCCTTGAATAGACAGCTGAAATTGCTCTATATTTTATGAAGATGCATGTTTTCCTTACATTTGTCTTTTATTAATTTTCTTCTAGAATGTTATATTAGACAGTGTGGTATTTCACACTCAAGAATTGACTATATCAGTAATCTATTCCAAATCTTCCTACAACACTGTACTATCTTCCTCCAACAGCATACAAAGCTCCTTCCAACTATTACTCCCACACTTGGCAGGTTTACAGATTTTTTTTTCTTTTTAAGTCAGTAGCAACAGGATAACTCTATAAACCAAGGCATCTAAATGAATGGATTTTTAAACACATACTTTTGAATTAAGGAAAATGCAGCTTTTAACTTTAGAAAGTAGAAAATACAGATCAACTGGAAATAATCTAAACTAAGTCCACAAGAGAAATGATTGAGTTTAGATTCTTTTTATATGATCAAGCCTCTTGTACATAACTTCTTTTAAAGTAGTCTGTAAAACATTGCTAAGATGTTGATTTTAAACCCGGTTGGGAATAATTACATCCAGTTACACGAAACCACGATGCTTTCAAATCTAAAGACTTATAGTTTATAACCAAAACATAAAATGTCCACATGACCAGTCAGTGTGTACCTAATCAAAAACAAAATTCTAGTGGCTTAGTGTCCAGATCCCCTGGAAATAAGCAGATGTTCTGCAGAATTTAATAAAAATACACTAATTGTATTTTATTCTTAAACACCTAAAGTTACTGGCATGCAAACTGTATGTATATGTTTTTTTAATGCAATCCTTCCTCCATGCTTAAAAAAAGTAATGGCTTCATATTACGAAAGTTAATTATAAGAGATGATATTGCCAATATATATTTACTTTAAACCCTCTACAAAAGGTATATTCTGTTTAGAGACTTTTAATTTGCTTATCTTTTTATTCTTTGATACTAAAGATTCAAATATGATGGTCCTTACCACAGAAATGTAACCCTCACTTTTTGTCCATAAGTTTAAATGTCAGATCCTATATTTAATTTTCTGCCAATAGTTCAAAGTTAAAGATCTATTTTCCCATCAAAGGTTCTTTTATACAATGGGAAGAAGGCATATTCCACTTGAATCACTGCTCTAGCTACATATCAAGAAATGGCTTTAATGGCATTTTTATACAGTATGTACCAAAGGAAAAGGTGCAAGAAGCCCATCAAATGGCAAATGAGTCCTGGATGGAAACCATCTGCTGTTCTTACTCTAGGGGGTGGTGATGGTTCAAGTGAGTCCCAGTCTGAGCAAAGAGTTCAGAGACCATCGCTCTTCTTCATTTCTTCCCTCCATTCCAGTCCCTCTACTCCTCTTATTAGCTGCCCAATGTTCTCATGTGTTCCTATCTTTCTCTTCTTTCAGAGAATTAAATAATTTTGTAAACTCATTTGTAACATAGTATTTGGCAATATATTGCTTTTCTCAGGGCAATTTACCATCTTAAAAGTAGAAAGAAGGCACTCAAGGTACAGAAATTACAACTTGAATTTAACTTGAAAGGGTGACATGTGTTAAACCAAGAAGGATGGGTCGGGGGTGGTTAAGGGCAGGAGAAAGACTTTCTAAGTCTTCTCAACTCTACTCATCAGTCCCATCATTTCAGTGATAGACCATGTAATGGATAAATGGGCATTCTACAACCTCCTGTGAATGAGTCAACAATAAAAAGAAAGAAATATAAATGTATTCTTGGAATTGATGGGCTAACCAACATCTAAATAATTTAACCTAGTGACATAGCACATCATATCTACCCAAGAAACAGTTTTCTGAAGAGAAGGAGGTAACATTAAAAAGTCAGAGCTTGTACTAAAAATGTGTCTGGTGGCTAAGGCAACAATTTGCTTAGCCACAGCATCCATAGTAGCTAGCAACCAAGACAACACTATATAACTACAGTATACAGAGCATATGGCCAGCAATATTAATTTAATTTAAATCTTTAATGCAGATAGCATCCAAAGAGTGACAAGTGCCAGGAAAAAAAATGTCTCTCCGCTCTGCCTTTCACTGCTGGAATCTGGCTGTTGTGCCGTGTGATTGTTGGCCAGACACAAGCATTTGCAGGGCAGAGCAAAGCCCATCTGCCTTGGATCTAACAGCTGGAACCCAGGGTACCAATCAACTCCACTCATATGGTTCCTTCTTCTGAAGAGCCTCCTGCTAGTTTTTATCTTTCAAAGGCTTCCCTTCTCTTTTCAGTGTCTTTCCTTCTGTCCTTTTCAGTGTATTTCCTTCTGTCCTAAGCAAAACTGGATGTCCTAAGTAAACAAAGGATGATCAAAAGCAAAATGTAGCTCTAAAAATATTGTATTTTTCTAGAACAACTGTGTTTAGTAATGGTAAGGTAGGGTGGAACATACGTATACTGAGCTTATCCCTGGAGAGAATTCCTATTACTCCTTAGCTATTAAGAGTAATCTTTTCCATATAAAGTATCTAAGTTTTTAACTAATTTAGTTCCTACTATGTCTAATGTATACTTTTTTAGTACTATAAGGGAGAAAGTTACTGAGTAAGACAGTCTTGACCTCAATGAGATTACACTAAAATGGGGGTGGGGTGGAACAGGGCAAGTACCATTATAATTATATTACATGATGGAAGATATCTAATAAAATAGTGCATTTTCAGGTCTAATATTTTTAGTTTATAGTTTCCCCATTTTATCTTATTACTGTCTGATTTCTCTTTTCCTGATCCTCACTGATCTGAAGAACTCTTTTCATAGCCAAATTTCATAGCCAAACTCTTTTCATAGCCAAATGATATTACCTTTCACTTTATCTTGTTCCTTTGTTTTTTCTCATCCCAAATTCTGCCATGTTTAGTTACCTCTTTTTGACTTCTAAGTGGTTTAGGTAAATGACCTAAGGCAAGTTTTCATTCTTCTTTGTAAAATGAGGTAATCAAATACATAAAGATAATTTAGAATGCTTCTTCCAGATCCAAACTTCTATAAAAGTTGCCTTCTCTTCTCTTCCTCCACATTTCAATTGTTCAACATTTTTTTCCACCAATTCTCTCTCCCTTATGTGTCTGCTTTTCCTCTGTATTCTACAGAGTAAGTCTAGAAAACAGGCATGTTTCTTTTCATTTGGTTTTGCAGTCTTGTTTCAAGTGCCTAAGTTTGTACCAGTGCGAGGTACATGTCAAAGGGGTTACACATGTCAAGAGGCAGAATACTAACTAGAAATAGGAAATTGTGAAAGGCAAGTTTCCTAATATAAAGAATTAAATCATGCTGGTATACCCAGCATGGGTGTACATGCTCACACCTGTAATCTCAGCAACTCGGGAGGCTGAGGCAGGAGGATCACTTGAGGCCAGGAGTTCTAGGCTGCAGTGGGCTATTACTGTGCAACTGCACTCCAGCCTGGGCAACATAGAAAGACCTGTCTCTAGAAAAAAGAAAGGATTAGTTATATTATACTAGAAAGTCATCTCCATGACCTTAAGTAAGAGCTTGTTTTTGGTATTTTATTTAAATTTTAGAGGAATATTGTTGAGAGTACAAAGGCCTTGAGCTTCTTCCACACAGTGTAATGTATTTATCATCAATAGACAGGCTTTTCTTTTAAACATATATAAAATCCCTTTCTAGGAACCAAATCTTGAAATATTTCAAATTTGAGTTAAAATAAGGATATAATCATATACAAACTGTATAGCTTTTAAACTAAAAATCTTCATTTTCTTCAACTAAAGATGGAAATAGTAATATCATAAGTTCCCACAAAATCAGGATGATCATGCTTACCATAATAAAAGGCTTTATTTTTAAAAGGCTTTGTTTTTTCCAAAAGTATTTTATGCATTCAAACATGTAAAGATGAATAATGTTATGACTGTTAAAAATACTATTTTGGAAAGAATTTTTGTGAAGTGAAACATGACCTGTGATATATAGATCATTAATACAATAGGAATGCACTCAAACTGTGGTTTCAGATTCACCCAAGTTTTTCAGTGACTGAATATGTATCCAAACCCTGCTCGTGTTAGGGAAGAATATAATCACTAAAGCAACACAAATGATGAAAGAGGACTGATGAAATGATGAAACAGTACTAGGAGAATATTTTGGCTTAGCAGAGATTTCTTGCCTTCAGTTATAAATCTTCACATTAGAGAAAATGCAATCCACAACATGCAGAAGTAAACAGCAAAACATGTCAAGATTATCAAAATAACTCTTCATATGTAAGACTTTAAGCTTAAGTTATATTGAAAATATGCAGGATAATTCAAAGAATTTTTGTAAAAGTAGTTATATAGGAGAAGCCATATGCTTAAGGAAAAAAGATAAATGAAAATTATTATAGATAAATAAATGAACACACATATTAGCTTCCAGAAGTGTGAACCAACCACGAACATGAGTTTATATAGAAGAGATACTCTGCAATCTCAAGAGTCAAGTTATATAAGAACTAACCCAGTAAGGTTAATGATTACAGAGCCTAGGATCTTGGGGGCTGTGATGTTCACAGGTGCCCTGTTATGATGCTGGGTACAGCTAATCCCAGGTTAAAGGACACTCTTCCTTCACAACATTGAAAGTGACCTGAGAGGAGGGAATTGTGGGAGAGAGTGAATAGGGGGATGTCATGGTTAATGCAGTGACAGACCATTGTCTAGTCCGATAAATATATTATTTTTCAAAGACCAAAGTGAAAACTAGGGAATAATGATCAACAAAGCTGAATGCAAACCTTTGTTCTTCCTAAACTCAAGTCATTTTTTTATAGGGGATTTGTATTATTTTAAAAATCTCAGTGATAGGTTTTATATCTACGTTTGATATATACAGGACTCAAATGTAAAAGGACCTTCATGATTTCAAAAAATAATAGTACATTGTACAACCCCACACAGAAACTATCTTTCACAGGGAATTTTTCTTTAAAACTAACTATATAATTATGTTTCTTCAGAGGGAAATGAATGGCATTGAATAAAGTGCTTTTAACTATTCAAACTAAAGTTTCCCTCTGTAATCTTTTATTTAACTCTGAAAATAACTTCTGGATTGGTAACTCCTAAGTGAAAGATAAGCACATTTAGTTATAAGATTCAACCTTTTTTATGTCTTTCGCACTTAATTTCAATCAAGTCTATTTTGAATCTTGAAAAAAAAAAACAACAACTGGACTTTGTTTTCCTATGCTCCATTTGGGGCTCCTCTGCTTTGAGTTTCTGTGAAAGTTACAGTGAATGTGTCCTTTATAAGCTGCAATACAAGTGTTAGTCATTATTTTTGTTATTACGTCCGTAAAACATAAGTCTCAGAACCCTTGTTTGTTTGAAGCACATTCTGTTAGTTCACTAATAATGTGAATTAACCTCTTAGTGATATTAAATGTGTTAGACATCTTAGAATTGACAAAAAATTAAAAGGACATCTCTGAAAATGTAAAGCATTTGTCTCTGTTTTATCTGGTACTTTGAGAACTGTTCTCTTTTAGTCAGCTATTAGTACTGGCCTAAAGACTGTACTACATATTTTCTAATAATTACTTTTTTAAATAATTTAAAAACTGTCATTTTAGAATGGACTTACTATACTTTTAAGTCAACATTATGCTTTGTTGTATCATTCCTGAAATATATAACATGAACAAACAACATTTCCATAGAAACAATGTAGAAATACCCAACTTTTTAAAGGGGCCAAGGCATGACAGATTCGTTAAAAGTAATCTGAAAATTGTGTTATTAATAAATGCAATAGTATAGGTTATCACATAAACTTGTTAGCTGTCAGGAAAGAAGTTGCTAGCAATTTCTCCTTTAAATATATAGTTCCTTCTTTCCTTCATTTCTTTTTTTCCTTTGCTTTAATCACCCACTATTCTTACCCCAAACTAACAGAGACAGAGGAAGGAAACATATTCAGGAGGATGCATCGGAAGGAATATAGATATGAGAAATTTACATATTATTCAAAACCTCTAGTCTCTTAGCTAGAAGTACAGAAGAGTCTCCAGTTTTAAATTCTGAACATCACCAGGGCCCTGAATAATGAGCAGCTTATATGCATTTATTTTCTCTTCTGAAATGAAATTCAACATCTAGTAAAAGGAAGTTAGGTGACATTTTTAATCCAACTTTAATGATACTCATTTTACAAATCAGGGGTTCTCAAACTTTTTCAGTTCACAGTATCCTTAGTATCTCTAATTTTAAAAATAACATCCCCAAGACAGAAAAAAAAAGACTAAGAATTTTACTTGTAGTTAGTTCCAAATAACTTCTTTGTAATGATTTGTATGCTGTAAGATCAATATCGCTATGTTTCCCCTGAAAATGTACAATGTTCTGCAGTGCCCTTGGGCACCTTTGTACAGTTTGAAAAACGTGGTCCCACATCAGGAAAATTCAAAATAGTAGTTGGAAATCATATAAATGGTCTTAAAAATCTCAAAGAGTAGAAACCAGCCACAACATGTATAAGAATCCAGATGATTTTGGGAGGCTGAGGCAGGTGGATTGCCTGGGTCAGGAGTTCGAGACCAGTCTGGCCAACATGTGAAACCCCGTCTCTACTAAAAATACAAAAAAATCAGCCGGGCATGGTGGCATGCGCCTGTAATTCCAGCTACTCGGGAGTCTGAGGCAGGGGAATTGCTTGAACCAGGAAGGTGGAAGTTGCAGTGAGCCATGATCGTGCCACTGCACTCCAGCCTGGGCAACAGAGCCAGACTCCATCTCAAAAAAAAAAAAAAAAAAAAAGAATCAGGTAAAGACTCAAAAAGTAAAATAAAAAGAATTTGTCCTAGCTCAAAAAAAAGAAAGACATAAATATCTTCTATGTTTATATGCTGTTTTTTTTCTCTCTCTCTCTCTCTCTCACACACACACACACACACACACACACACAAATACACACACACACAGACTCATACATTAGGCTTAAAATGACATTCAGGGAAGAAAAAGTATAATAAAAGAAGCATCAAACATACAAATAAAATTAGACTATGTAAATGTAAATGTAAAAGTAATGATAGCATTTTAAATAGTCAATGATGATTGATCAGAAACATTCCTGTATAATCATTTAGTATATGTAAAATAAAATCTGTGCTCTTTGATCTTCAAACAAAACAAAAAATATCTCTAACAGTAAACTGTCTCCTTCCTAACTCCTCAGTAATCTAAGCATAGCTTTATCTCTTCCCCCAAAGAACTGCAAAGCAATGTTTGGCAGAGAGATGCTTTTGTGTATTAGCAGAAACTTTGGTACACAATTTTGCACTTCTATTCAAAGAAGAAGAAAGAAAAATCTAGGAAAAAAAATTGGAGAAAGTTATCAGGAGTGTCAATAGAGCCAATGGCAGGACAGACTGTATATTTAGAGCATAAATATAAAATTATAATAAATATAAAATATCGTATGTATTTCTGACATTTCTTTGTACTGCAAATAAACTATTCTTAAGGTTTATTTTCTAACAGAACAGGTACAAAGTTAAATACAACACTATAGCATCAATTATCAGTTAATGGGCTTTGGAAGGTTTCACTTTAAAGCCTAAGCATTGTATAATATTAAATAAGAGGAGGGGATGGGAGTGAAATGAGAATGGTATGAACAGAGGGAAATGAGAACACACCCAGAAAAGTAGGGTAGAAAATTATCATGAATATTGCTGCATTCTGCAAAGATTCATTCTCTTAAAGAAAGTAACTTCCTAAAAAATGAAGGTCTTCTCTGATTAGAACTGTAATTTAAAAGAAAACAAATTGTATCAGTGTTCATAATAACTGAGTTCAAACAGGGGCCATATGCCTCTTCTGTTCTGACTTGTGCATCTAAATTAAAGTTGGTTGAATACCCGACCATCTACTCATTTTAGCTCTGTATCAGATAAACTTGAAATCAGAATAAAGAGCTTTGGGAAATCTGTTTAGCACAATTTCAGTCAGTTTTAAAAGCATTTATTACATTAATTGGATGTTTATAAATGATCCACCAAGTGAAGGAAAACTGTAAATATATAGGCATGCCCAAGGCCAATGGCCATATTAAACAAAATTATGAAATTAAGTGGCATGCTATTCCTTCTTTCATTCCCTTCTCTGATGCTCCTCTCTACTTTCCCATCCCAGATACTCATTCCTAAGTCTCATAACCTTAGAATTCAACTAGTAGCCACTTAAAAACAGAGATCTGTGTTAGTAATGCTCCCAGAGGTACTTGCATCTGAATGTTAATTTTTTGAAGACTAAAACTTTTAATCAGTTTCAAAAGCAGTACTTCTCAACCGGGGCTGTATGTTAGAATTACCTATGGAACTTTTCAAAGCCTGATGTCCAGGCCACACCCCCAGCCAATTAAAGAAGACTCTCTGGGGGTGGGGACAAAGTATCATCATTGTTTAAAGTTCTCCTTGGGTATTCTATTGTGCAGCCAAAGTTAAGAACCATTGCTCTATGGAAGGCATTTGAAAAAATGAAATTTCAAGCTAGTGAAGGAGATCTTTATGGGTGGGGATATATCATGTTTCCCTACTGAGGCAGCCAACTGGTGAAAAAGCTCTTTTTATTACAAAAGAACACCTCATTACTAAATTAAAAAGGTCACTAGAGACTAAGTTGCTAGGTCTTGATTTCAGCAAATTACTTGAATTCTACCTATAAATTATGACTAGTAATTTCATTGCCTATCTTATGGAGCTACTGAAGATGATCAAATGAAATATAGTACCAGAAAATGTTTTAAACTTTACAATTTTATTATTGCATAGCTGAGCAGTAGAACCACCTGTCACCAAAAAGATTAGTGATACTATGGTTACAACTATAATATAGATTATTACCTAAAAGACTTGTCACTCTGTTTAGTGGGCATTTACTTTAGGAAATCTAAGTGTCTACCCCAGAGCCCCGAAGTACAGTTCCTGAGCCAGTGGCACCAGCAACACCTGGAAACTTAGAAATGTAAATTCTTAAAGCCTCCCCTAGACTACTGAATCAGAAATTGTTGGTAGAACATTGCAATCTGTGTCTTAACAAGCCCTTCAGGTAACTCTGATGTGTGCTTAAATTTGAGAACCACATATCTAGCCAAACATCGTAAAAAGAGAATATGTATGAATAAAATCAAAGGATGAATATACAGTATTTGTTATTTGAAACTTTAGAAGTCACAGTGCATAGGTATACTGGCATAAATTACCACTTTTAAAAATCTCCTACAGCTTTGTATTTTAAAACAATACAACTTTCCCTACCCAGACAAGATTCATTAATTAGCAACTGATTATAATCACTAATCCAATGGTAGCATATAAATTCGGGAGTCAGTAAATTATAAAGTATAAATATGTTTGGGTAAGGAATACAGAAACAAATTCTAGTAGCAATGGTTCTGGAAATAGCCATGTTTTTGGGCTTGGATTTCTCTCTGAGGAAGAGTTACAGCAGTATCTCAAAAATCACACATATACTGAAGACAACACCCCATAGCATCTCAATGTTCCTTATGAGGCAAAGGAAGTGTTTCATTACTGACTCAGAGAAAAGACCATTACTTGGACTGAATCACCAATGTTTCCTGTAGCATTAGATTTGTCACTGGATCTGCTAAGCAACAGAAAAAGTCTCAAGCTTCTTATCTTAAAAGATCTCATAAGAGAAAGCTATCATTATTGCTCCCAAACTCAATTAAAGCCCAAAGGTCTGGATATTAATAAAACATATGCAGGAAAATAACAAGTGAGAACACTGAAGGATCTTGTGAGACTGCCACCGAAAGTTCTTTGAGATCTTTCTTGTTTTCTCTTTGCCACTTAAAAGAATTTTGACAGCCTCAAGACACCCAGCACCTCCTTGGAGAGATGAACATGGAGTATCTCAGTTAAGAACTGACTTTATCCCTTTTTCCCACCTAGCACTGCTGGGCCTGCAGGTCTCTGTCAAGTGGCAGACAATAAATAAATAAAAAACACACACCCAAATACAGGTTGATAGCTCACATAACAAACAGAGATACCATTTGTCAGATTGCTTATGCCCATATGTAAGGGGATATGATAGTTTGCACAGCATACGCACATGAACTGCCAAAATATGGTGTGAAGATTGGCCTGACAAATGATGCTGCAGCGTACTATATTGGCCTGCTGCTGGCCCACAGGCTTTTCAATAGGTTTGGCATGGATAAGATCTATGAAGGCCGGCCGGGCGCGGTGGCTCACGCCTGTAATCCCAGCACTTTGGAAGGCCGAGACGGGCGGATCACGAGGTCAGG
Organism: Homo sapiens; assembly: GCF_000001405.40. Taxonomy (NCBI): domain Eukaryota; kingdom Metazoa; phylum Chordata; class Mammalia; order Primates; family Hominidae; genus Homo; species Homo sapiens. The sequence continues at coordinate 65,210,244 of NC_000005.10, forward strand.
AGATCGAGACCATCCTGGCTAACACGGTGAAACCCCGTCTCTACTAAAAATACAAAAATTAGCCGGGCATGGTGGCGCGCGCCTGTAGTCCCAGCTACACGGGAGGCTGAGGCAGGAGAATGGCGTGAACCCGGGAGGCGGAGCTTGCAGTGAGTCGAGATCGCGCCACTGCACTCCAGCCTGGGCGACAGAGCGAAACTCCGTCTCAAAAAAAAAAAAAAAAAAAAGATCTATGAAGGCCAAGCGGAGTTGATTGGAGATGAATATAATGTGGAAAGCATTGATGTTCAACCAGGTGTCTTTATCTGCTATCTGGATGCAGGCCTTGCCAGAACTACCACTGGCAATAAAGTTTTTGGCACCCCAAAGGAAGCTATGGATGGAGGCTTGTCTATCCCTCACAGTACCAAACAATTCCCTGGTTATGATTCTGAAAGCAAATAATTTAATGTGGAAGTACACCAGAAGCACATCATGGGCCAGAATGTTTCAGATTACATGTGCTACTTAATGGAGGAAGATGAAGATGCTTACAAGAAACAGTTCTCTCAACACATAAAGAACAGTGTAACTCCAGACATGATGGGGAAGATGTATAAGAAAGCTCTTGCTGCCACAGGAGAGAATCCAGTCTATGAGAAGCCCAAGAAAGAAGTTAAAATGATGAGGTGGAACCATCCCAAAATGTCCCTTATAAAGACAATAGACTTAATGACAGCAAAAACAAAAACAAAAACAAAAAACCAACAAAAAAAGAACTGACTTTAGAATTCATCCTTAGTTTCTGAGTGAAAGGTAAGTAGAAATGACTTCTTGAAGGGTTTCTTAACGATAAAATGAAGTTTCATTAAGGAGAAGATGACTCTGGCTTTTTCTTGGGTCAAAGTTCCTAAACTCTAAAGGGACTTTACTTCCCTCAATCATAAGCTTCTTAAGAACCTGGGGTTAAAAGTGAGGGTTAAAAGTAAGCTTCTTAAGAACCTGGGGTTAAAAGTGTAAGAAGAGCAACTTCAACAATTGATTCCTGCACTCTATATCCTAGGAAATATTTTCCACCTATTCAAAGTAAGCAAGATGGCTGGGTGCAGTGGCTCACGCCTGTAATCCTAGCACTCTGGGAGGCTGACGCAGGTGGGTCACTTGAGGTCAGGAGTTCAAGACCAGCCTGGCCAACATGGTGAAACTCCGTCTCTACTAAAAATACAAAAATTAGCCAGGCGTGTTGGTGGGCGCCTGTAGTCTGAGCTACTTGGGAGGCTGAGGTGGAATAGTCACTTAAACCCGGGAGGCAGAGGTTGCAGTGAGCCGAGATCACACCACTGTGCTCCAGCCTGGGTGACAGGGTGAGACTCTGTCTCAAAACACAAAAAAACCCAAAACAAAACAAAAAATAAACAAAAAAAACAAAGTAAAAAAGAGAGGAGCTTGGTTTTACCTACCTATGCTAATTAAAATGATACTGTTTTTCCTTGGCAAAGCTTTGCCCCACTCTATAAGAAAAGTAGCAACTCTAAACTTTCATCTCCCACATTAGAAAGGACAAGCACAAATATATAATTGCCAAAATTAATTCCTTTTACTCATTCACTCATCTAGCATTTTGGGAGGCCACCATTGGCCTCATTAAGGTGCTCAATAAGGTGCACTTATTGGGCCCCTACTATGTTTCGGATATTGTTCTAGGGGCAAAATGAGTTTACAAAGATGCACAGACTTCAGTGATGAAGACACGGATTCCACGTGTCTAGAGTGCTGGGTTTGGTTTCTCTGTCAGCCAAGACCAGTGGTACACAAACTTGAGCGAGCAACAAAATCACCTGCAGGGCTTGTTGAAACGCAGATTAATGCGCCCCACTCGAAGAGTTTCTGTTCAGTAGGTCTGTAATGGGGTGCTCAAATTAGCATTTCTAACAAGTTTCTAAATGATGTTGATGCTGCTGGCGGGACCAGACTTTAAGAACCACTTACCGAAACAAATGGCAGCTCTTTACACCATGCCCTCTATATCCCTCATTTGAAGAAGGCAATAGCCTCAAGAATGCTCATAATCACCCACAACCAACCCTAATGTGAGTTCCCAGAACCACCTCCAGTATCTAAGACCAGTAGCTCCAGATCACAGAAAGAAGAATAAATAACAAGGAAGAGAAAGCTCTCCCTTCCAGAGGCTTTTCTCTCTCTTTTTTTTTTTTTTTTTTTTTTTACCCCCTACCACAAGAAATCACTTCTATTTCTCAATGCAAGTGTTATGGAAAAAAATAACACTCATTTAGACTTTTTACTTTCTGACTTCAACAAAATTATATTTTTTTCTTCCAAATTCAGTTCTCATGGCCTTTTTCCTCTTCTTCTTCTTTGCTTTTTTGTTGGATTATCTCCTTTCTGAACAAATAGAATCATAGGATTGAAGGAACATTAAGAATTCATTTAATCCTTTCTTGGTCTCAGACAAGACTGTATCTAAACCATCCCCAAATATAGCAATTTCAGTACAAAGATGAAGCGGCTCTAAGAATTTCCCATTCAACCTTCTGTCGTATGCTAATATGCATCCCCTTAGCTTTCTTTTCTCCAAGCTAATCCACTTTAACTTTAGACTATCCTTATTAGATTTCCTAAACTTCAAATTATTTAAATTATTCTTTAATAAGTTTATCCCACCTTGCCTCAGGGCCTGAATTATGTATGTATTGTTCTAGAAGACTTTTTGTTGGAATATGCAAAGGGAAAAGTTAATTTATAGAATAAAAAGAATTGAATTGGATAAAAGATAGATATATGTATAAATGCCACTAAAAATAATGCAATGGCATATACTTGATCAATTAGTTGCAAATATTTCTTTATTTAAAAATGGTAATGTCCTATGGCTTTAAAAACTTTACATTACAAATCACCAGCCATTTTACACATAAAATGGATGGGAACTAGAGATCTTTTAAAATATGTCACGAATTATACATAACCATGTTTCATGATACTTTACACAGTAGAGTACATTAATATATTATTATTCATCTTTTTTGTTTTTTTCATGTTGTATAGACTTTATATTGAAATTGGAGTTGTAGTTAATCATTGCTTTAATTCTGTATGAGACTAAAAATACTGAATTAGGCTGGGCGTGATGGCCCATGCCCATAATCCCAGCATTTTGGGAGACTGAGGCAGGAGGAATGCTTGAGGCCAGGAGTTCCAGACAAGCCTAGGCAACACAGTGAGATCCTGTCTTTACAAAAATTTTTAAAATTAGCCAGGTGTGGTGGCGTGCTCCCTAGCTACTCAGAAGGTTGAGGTGGGAGGATCACTTGAGCCCAGGAGGTTGAGGCTGCAGTGAGCCATGATCGTGTCACTGCACTCCAGCTTGGGCAACAGAGCAAAAACCTGTCTCAAAAAAAAAAAAGTAATAAGTAATAAAATAAAATAAAAATACTGAATAGATTATATGTTAATTATTTCTCTAAAAATAACCTCTCTGATTTAAGACTTGAAAATCAGAAGATGCAAATACAAGACAGGATGAAGTCTATATAAAAATCATATATTTCTGCATAGTTTAAAAAAGGAGTATAGGTAATGTATTGGATGATTTACTTTATTTTAATTTTTCCCAAAATAAATATCACTATTTAAAATTTAATCTTTGCTTCTGGAATGGTGAGGTGATCTAGTCCAGCCTAGGCCTGAAGGACAGGTTTGTTTCCTTGCCTGTTAGGATCAAGGTGTACGGTGGAGGCGATGCATTTAGTCTCCAGAGAGAAGGAAGATGCTGCTTGCACAGCACTTCTACTCACCAGTCCATGCAGCAGCAAGGGTGTTGGCTTTGAAGGAAGCCAACTGTCCTGCTCTCCCAGCCAGAGGTAAAGAATTGCATTGGTGGCCACTAGAGGGAGGAGGATTAGGAATAGAGTAAATTGTAGGGAAAAGGCACCCATGAAAAACGCACATGGGACAACCAACACATCACCAACCACCGCCTAGCAGCTACCTCTGAGGGACTGTAATGGGGTCAGTATACACCATTAACCCAGAACCCAGATACCAGTAATTATTGTAGCATCCCAGTATACAGCCCCTTAACTTTGATGGCAGGAGAAGGGAGTTTGAATAGGATTGTGGCAAACACACAGGCACACAAACACACACAACAAGCACACAGCCGTACATTCTCATCTCCCATTACAAGAAGTTGCATCTGTGATGTCTGATTCTTGCTCATTTTCTTTTTTAAAACTTTTGATGTTCTTTACCAAGAATGTGTTCACGAAAGGCAAACAGCCCACCTTCAAGATAGTCTTGGGAGAAGCACCAGCAGAGACACTCATTGTGCCAAGATGTATTTTACCAACAAATCTGCACAAATTACATGAGGTTGAAAACAAATGGAATATAATATAATTAAAGCAAAGTTTCTTTTGCTAAATTACAGCTTGAAGCAAACCTGCAAGAAATGTTTCCAATTAGCTTTTTTAACAAACACAAAGCATAGCTCAGAATGTGTTTTGTTCTCCATCTTGCCCTCTGGGTGGGCTGCCTAGTGGGCATCTTACCTCCAGCACAAGTAGCTGAGCATTCTGACCAAGGCTGATGATTCCATGTAAAGCCAACTTCATTATCTCCACTGCCAGTTCGAGTGATGGGAACATTGAACTTATACCTAATTCCCAAATTCTGTTCTTGAAGCAGAACCTGCCATTGAAAACAACTGGTGAAGACAATTAAAATACAATGAGCCTTCATTCAGATATTTATTATTCCTTTTGAAGAAGAAAATGTCAAAACAAGTCTTACAGGAAACTTAATATAAAACACATGCATTTATATCAAATTTTCTCCTCCCATTTTCATGGGTATTTTGGAGCCATTGCTTTCATCTGTCTTGTTTGGTTATAAAAATACTATTCAAGCAAGAGCACTATGGCCTTAACTCTGCACAGCTCTAACACCCTTGGGTAAATCATTTTATCTTTATTTACCTTAATTTCATCACCTGTAAAGCAGAGATAATAAAACCTGCCCCTTCCTACCTCACAAGGGGGAATTAAAAACAGAAGAAATACAATGGCAAAGACGCATTTACCATGACGATGAGATTTTCTGAGGTAGGACCTAGAGCTTCCAAGGATTCTGGTTCATCAGTTGGTCTCTTGTAATGAAAAGCTGTCCCAGCAACATCAAATTTCCTAGGCCAGTCAATAGTCCAGGCACCATTAATATAGTAATCATCTCCTTCAGATTTTAAAGCTAGAAAACAAATCACAATTCACCTAAAAATGTGAAATTTCATTTACCAAAGTGTCACTGATTAATTACTGCAATAAAGTATACAATGAATACCGATTTCCATTTAGAGATGTGACTCTTGACCATATTCTTAAGTACAAATTAAAATGGTATTTTTCATGTGAATGGTAAGAAGATATTACTTAAGTATTTATAATGTCACTAATAGAAAGCAACGAAAGGTTAACCTGGAGGAATAAACATGTGGAAGTAACAAGGAAAATTATGAGAAAAGGAATAACTAGGGATGAGACTTAACATGAGGGTGGGGAGCAGGCTTTCCTTTCCAAATACTGAAATAGTAATTAAATGGATATGGGGTGGGGACAACCTGTTGCACTTGGACACAGACTGATCGACAGAACACGAATCAAAGAGATTTAAGAAATAGACCCAAGTTCATATGGGAATTCTGTTTATGATAAAGGAAGTATCTTAAATTAGTAAAGGAAAGAACAAGAAATGGGGCTAAGGCAAAAGACTATTCTTTTGGCAAAAAAATGCTGAATTTATATTTCTTTCTTTATATAAGAATAAATGCCACAATTCAACTCCTAGGCACATATCCAAAAGAATTGAAAACAGGTACTCAAACAAATACTTGGACACACATATTCATAGTAGCACTATTTCCAGTAGCACCAAATCAAAACAACACAAATGTTCATCAGTGGATGAATAAATAAACAAATTGTGGTATTATAATGTAACAGAATGTTATGCAGCCATAACAAGTAATGAAGTATTGATAACAAGCTATAATGTGATGAAACTCAAAAACATTAAATGGAAGAGACCAGACAGGAAAGATCACATATAGTATGCTTCCATCTATATAAAATGTCCAGAGTAGGTAAAAAGCCACAGAGACAGAAAGCAGATGGGTAGTTGCCAGGGGATGGGGAATGGGGAGAATGGGGATTCACCTGCTTAATGGATATGGGTTTTTTTCTGGGGTGATGTAAATGTTTGGAATGTTTCAAACGCCACTTAATTGTTCACTTCAAATGGTTAATTTTATGTAATGTTAATTTCACCTCAATAAAAACAAAGTTAAAAAAAGAGAAAGGATAAATGCCAGATGGGTAAATATTTAAATATAAAAATAGTTAAATCTTAAAATGTCAGGAGAAAATATAAAAGAACTTTTTTTCTCATAATATTGTGTTGTGAAAAATTTCTAAGCATGACAAAAAACTCAGAAAAAATATTGATAGATAAACATGCATACTTTAAAAAAATCTCTTACAAGAAATACACACACACACACACACACACACACACAGTTTAAAAGCACATGTAGCTGAAAAAGTATTTTTAGTACTACCGTACAAAAACTCCTATAAACAAACAGGAAACAAATAAACATGTCAGCTTAATATTTTGTTAGTATGCTAGCTGACTGCAAAAACTTTGATTCGTCAGACCTGATAAACAAGTAGCCCAAAAGGACTAAAGGGTCATGGTGCAGAGTCTCTGACTCCCTAGACCTCCAGCTCTTGTCCTTCATACTACAGACCATTGTCATCTCCCGACCCCCATTTGCCTGGCAAAAATATTTGTAGTTTCTTAACTTCAGACATGTTTTGAAGATTCATTTAATCTTCAAAATAAATCTAATTAACCTTTTGAGATAGGAACAAGCAAATAGAAGAAATACCTGGCCTTGAACTTTTTGTGTACTTAAAATTTTTTATTTTCAACTCTCACTTGCAGTGGTTTTCTGTCTAGTTTAAAACATTTGGTTTTATAAGGACATCTGAGACTGTCATATATGAAATAGTAAAAATAAAGATAAAAACAACTATGTGGCTTTAAATTCTCCTTCAGTTTGAGCTCTCACTTCCTTTTTTTTTTTTTACAACTACTAAATGAAGGAATTCTAACACCTCTTGGCTGCTAGGAATATATAACTAATGGTGCCATAATGTAGCTCAGAAAAACACCAACCATTTAAGAGGCATTAAGGAAGAATGACTAAAGGAAGATGAAGTGCATTATGAAAAGAGAATTACCAAAGGGGGAAAAAGCTGAGGCTAGAAATCTTTTTGTTTTGAGTATTATTGATGGAGAAAATAATTCAAAATTATGGTGTAAAAATAAAGGAGTCTTCTTAAATAAAAGAAGAGCCTGATGATACTGATATTCTGCCTGAAGACACACTCTGGATGTACCCTTATTTTTAAAAGCTTTAAGAGAAATGGAATGATATTTTAACTAAAATAAAAACTCATTTAGGTCTCACTAAGGGTTTCTGGAGAGACTAAAACTATCTCAAAGGATTAAACATCAAATAAATAGAACTTCTCCTCACTTTCATGCTGAAATAACTGGTATTAGAATTGCCCTCCCATTGTAAATAATCAGAAAACTCATAAAATATATGAATCAGCTTTTCTCATGCATTGACCAGAACTGTGCAGAGACCATGATCTCCACAACTTTCTGCTTGGAGACACTTTCTTTAGGTGGAGAACCCAAGCAGAACACAGTGGTCTCACCAAGTGAAGAAGAGAGATCAGAAACTGGGAAGGCTGACATAGCTGGAATATGCAGGACCAGAGAACAAGAGAGGAAGGAGGAAATCTGTTGCTGAATATTGATCTGCATATGTATAGGATAAAATTACATAAAGCCAGGCAAAAAATCTACTGTGGAGCTGTAAGCAGAACTACTGCATTTCAATCACCAGGCCATTCAGTAGAGACCCAAGAAGAATCATGCTTTTGCAGGAGGGCTGAGCAAGCTCTAGAATAAAGAATATTCTGGATTTACCCAAACAAAGCTCAAAAGCAAACATCAAAAGGATCAAGCAGATCTACAAGTTACTTGACACCCTTTAAAAAAATAAATCAAAATCCAGGCTCTCAACAAAGAAACATTCACAGTGTACAACATCCAATGAGAAATTACTACCAATGTGGAAAAGGAGGAGAATGTGATTCAAACAGGAGGAAGGCAAAGCCAAAGAAACAGACCCAGAAATAACAAAAATTATGGAATTAGCAGAAAATAATTTTCAAGTAGCTATTATAAATATATGCAAGAACTTTAAAGGAAAACATAATGAGAAGAAACATGATGACATTACATGTATATACACACATATTTATAATAGATGGAAACTGAGATCTATACAAAGAAAGGAAGTATGCCAGATAATGGTAAATATGTGGGTAAATACAAAATAATTTTGCTTGTTTTAAAATTTTTTAAAAAGATAATTGGCTCTTTGAAACAAAAATAATAACCATATATTGTGGGATTTATAACATATAAAGAAGTAGAAAGTATTAAAAAAAACAGCACAAAGAATGGAATGGGACAATGGAGGTAAACTGTTGTAAGGGTCTTACATTATACATAAAATGGTGCAATATTATTTGGCAATGTATTATGATAAATTAAAAACGCATTTTGTAAATCATAAAGCAACCACTAATTAAACAGAGCAAAGAAGTATAGCTAATAAGCTATTTATTAGAGATTAAGTGGAATACAATAAAACCCATGGTTATTCTAAAAGAAGGCATGAAAGGAGGATTAAACGGAAAAAAAACACACAGGACAAACAGAAAAACAGCAAGATGGTAGGCTTAAACCCAACGATATTGATAATTACATTAAATATAAATGATCTAAACAAGAAGTCACCAAACTTATGACCCACCTCCTGTGTTAGTAGATAAAGTTCTATTGGAACACAGTCACACCCATTTATTTATTACCTATGTCTGCTTTCACACTACAATGGTAGAAGTGAATAGTTGTAACACAGACTGTAAGATTTACTGTCTGACCCTTAACAGCGATAGTTGCCGACCCCCAACCCCCCCACCAAACTAAAGATTAGAATTTAAAAATGCAATGATTGTTAGACATTATAAGAAATCAAGATTAAACTACATGTGTTCTACAAGAAACAGATTTTAAAGACAGACGTACCTACATATGAAAAGTGAATAGATAGAAAAAGATTTACCATGCAAACACTGATCAGAAGACAGCTGGGGTAGCTAGATTAGTATCAGATAAAACAGACTTTGCATCAAAGAATATTTTTAAGAGATGGGTATCTCACTATGTTGCCCAGGCTGATCTCAAACTCCTAAGCTCAATGATTCTCCTGCCTCTGCCTCCTGAGTGGTTGGAATTACAGGCATGTGCCACCATGCCAGACTGGTCATAGAATATTATCAGGAATACAGAGGAACATTTGAAAATCATAAAATGCTCAATATATCAAGAAGATGTAACAATCATAAATGTCTATACACCTAAAACATAGTTTCAAAATAAATGAAGCAAAAATCTTACAAACTATTGGGTTGGTGCAAAAGTAATCGCAGCTTTTGCCATTAATAAGAACAGTAAACAAATCCACAATTCTAATGGGAGATATCGACGTAATTCTTTCAGTAATTCTTCAACAAGAAGGCAGCAAATAAGAATATAAAAAATGTGAAAAAACTATCCAACCAAAGGATAGTTGTGTCCTTTAATTTCATGAACATTAATGGAATACTAACCCCAAAATAGCAGAATATGCATTCTTCTCAAGTGCACATGTGCTAGACTATAAAAAAACCTTAACAAAAAACTAAAATCATATAAGGTGTGTTTTCTGTCCAAAATACAATTAAACTAGAAATCAGTATCAGAAAAGTATTTGTGAAACACCAAAATATTTGGAAATTAAATAATACCTTCTAAGTCATGAGTCACAAGATAAATAAGGAAATATTTAAAACTTCATAAGGAAAATAAAATGTATCATATGTCTGACAAAATTTATGGTAAAAAAAATGCTTGTTTTATAGCAGAAAAAAGATTTTTAATCAGTAATTTAAGTTTGTATCTTGAGAAGCTAGAAAAAATAAGAACAAATTAAAACAAAGTGAATAGAAAAAAAGAAACAAACAGAAGAGTGGGAATTAGCCGGGCGCAGTGGCTCACGCCTGTAATCCCAGCACTTTGGGAGGCCGAAGGGCGGGTGCATCATGAGGTCAGGAGATCGAGGTAATCCTGGCTAACACGGTGAAACCCCGTTTCTACTAAAATTACAAAAAAATTAGCCGGGCGTCAACGTGGGTGCCTGTAGTCCCAGCTACTCGGGAGGCTGAGGCAGGAGAATGGCATGAACCTGGGAGGCGGTGCTTGCAGTGAGCCGAGATTGCGCCACTGCACTCCAGCCTGGGCAACAGAGCGAGACTCCGTCTCAAAAAAAAAAGAAGAGTGGGAATCAATGTAATGCAAAATAGACAAACAATAGAGAAAATCATTTAAACTGTAAGCTTGTTCTTTAAAAAGATCAATACAATAAAGCCCTCATTAGGATTATCAAGGTAAAGAGACAAATTTTCAGTACGGAAAATGAAAAGAAGAGCCATTGTTACAGATCCTACAGATATTAAAAAGATAATAAGAAAATATTATGCATAATTTTATGCCAATAAATTTGAAAACTTTGTTATAAAAATTGAATTTTTCATTAAAAACTTTCCACAAAGACAACTCCATTCTAGATAGCTTCACAGTTGAATTCTATCAAGCATTAAGAAACAATTCTCTCCAGACTTCCAGAAAACAGAGGAGAAAGGAACACTTCTAAAGCCATTTCATGAAGCCAGGCTTAACCTGATACAAAAACCAGCAAAGAAATCACAAGAAAGACTCTAGAAAAATATCTCTCATGAACATAGGTCCAAATATTCTTAATAAAATATTAGCAAATCAATTCCAGCAATATATAAGAGTAATAATAGATCATGAAAAAGTGGTTTATATCCCAAGAATACTACATGGATTTTACATTTGAAAATCAATCAATTTATTTACTATATTAACAGGGAAAGGGAGGGCAAACCCCACCTAATCATGTCAATAGATTCAGACATCTTCAATACCCATTCATGACTAAAACTCTAATAAAAACTAGAAATAGAAGGGAACATCCTCAAACTGACAAAGGTCATTACATAAATCTTCTAGCTAACATTATATTTAATGGTTAAAAACAATAACAACAAGGAATGATTTGCCCTTATGATTGGTTGAAAACAAAAGGCTGCCTAGTCTCCTCATTTATTCAGCATTGTACTAAAGGTCATGAACTCTGTTATAAGGCAAGAAAAAAGAAATAAAGGGCATAAAGATTGGAAAGATAGAAGTAAAAGTGCCTTTGTTCGAGGATGACATGATAATCTATAGAGAAAATCCAAATGAATTTACAAAACAACTGTTAGAAGTAATATGTGAGTGAACCAGGTCTCAGGACATGAGGGCAATATAAAAAGAAATAAACTATATTATTCCCTAACAACAAAAAACTGGAAATTAAATTAAAATACAATAATATTTACAATAGCACCAAAAAGCATGATTAGATTTAACAGAACATGTGTGCAAGACCTATATACTGAAAATGAAACATTGGTGAAAAAATTTTAAAAAGACCTAAATAAATGTAGAGGTAAATCTTTTCATGTATTAGAAAATTCAGTATTTTTAAGATGTCAATTCTCCACAAATTAACCTATAGATTCCATATACTCTCTTTCTGTATAAAAAGATTTGTCTCAATTGACAAGTTCATGCTAATATGTATATAGAAATATAAAGGACCTAGAAAAGCAAAAATAATGTTGAAAAAGAACACATTCAGGGACTAATGCTTCTGGATTTCAAGACCCGCTGGGAAGCTCGATTACTCAACACAGTGTGGTGTTGGTTTAAGGACAGAAACCTAGATCAATGGGTGAGAACAGAAATAGACTCATCCATGTATGCTTAATTGATCTCTCACAAATGTGTCAGGGTAATTCAATGGAAGAAGTGATAGTCTTTTCAACAAGTAGTGTTAGAGCAATTGAATATTCATATGAAAAAATGGAACATCAACCCTTACTTTATACCTTATATAAAAATTAACTTAAAATTGACTGTATGTGTTTTTCAATTTTATTTTTGAATTTCATGTATCTTACATTTCTTATCATAGTTTTAAGTCTTAAGTCATTACTCTAAGTGTTAAATCAAAGGATAGGGTGTTATTCAAGTAAATAAATAATTGTTCTTCCCCAAATAGATTTGCCTGGTTGTCTCTCCCCCTCATAGGTATCAGTCGTAGTATGCACAATACACGTCTTTAATGACTATATTTTGCATTTGTATTTTACATTTAATAAATATATTTTATATTTTGTAGACCATATATTTAAACATAAAAATAAAGACTATAACTTCTTACATACTGAAAACTATCTTTGCAATATTGGAGCAGGTAAAATTTCTAAGATAGGACATGAAAGCACAAACCATTAAAAAATTAATAAATTGAATTTCATCAAAATTAAAAGGCACTTCAAAAAATGAAGACGCAAGCAGAAACTAGGAGAAAATATCCATAAAATATATCTGACAAAGACTTATATCCAGAATATATAAAGAACTCATAACTCAAAAAAAGGAAAAAAAAATTTTAAATGGGTAAAATATTTGTGTAGACACTTCACTACAAAAAAATCCATATGGATAAAATTAAAAAGACTGACAATACCAAGTATTGACAAGGATGTAGAGCAGCTGGAACTCTTCTATATTACTGATAGAAATATAAAATAATACATCCATTTTGGGAAATATTTTCATACTTTCTTTTTTTTCCAGCTTTGTTGAGGTATAACTCACAAATAAAATATTAAGTTTAAGGTGTACAATCTGATGATTCAACATACATAAACATTGTGAAATGAATACCACAATCAAGCTAATTTACATATCCATAACTTCCTACAGTTGCCTTTTTTGTATGTGGTGACAATAAGATCTATTCTCTTAACAAATTTCAAGTATACGATACATTTTATTAACTAAAGTATATTAGATGTGCAGAACTTATTCCTCTTATAACTGAAAGTTTGTACTATTTGACCAACATCTTCCCATTCCACCTCCTCCCTGCCCCCTGGTAAATACTCTTACACTCTCTGTTTGACTTTTTTAGAATCCACGTATAAATGAGATCATGCAGTATTTGCCTTTCTGTGTCTGGCTTATTTAGCTTAGCATGACGTTCTCCAGGTTCATCCATATTGTTGCAAATGAATAGTTTCCTTGTTTTTTTAAGGCTGAATAATATTCTATTGCATACAGATAAAATAAGTTTTTTAATCCATTCATCTGTTGACAGACGTTTATGTTGTTTCTATATCTTAGCTATTGTGAATAATGCTGCAATGATCATGTGAGTGTAGATATCTCTTTGAGATAGTGATTTTTTTTTTTTTTTTGAGACGGAGTCTCGCTCAGTCCCCCAGGCTGGAGTGCAGTGGCAGGATCTCCACTCACTGCAAGCTCTGCCTCCTGGGTTCACGTCATTTTCCTGCCTCAGCCTCCCGAGTAGCTGGGACTACAGGCGCCCACCACCACACCCAGCTAATTTTTCTGTATTTTTATTAGAGATGGGGTTTCACTGTGTTAGCCAAGATGGTCTCGATCTCCTGACCTTGTGATCCACCCGCCTCGGCCTCCCAAAGTGCTGGGATTACAGGTGTGAGCCACAGCGCCTGGCCTGATTTTTTAAATATATAAAATAACCCGGTGAAGAGTAAGCTATAAACTCTAATTTTTCTCTTTAGCATTGTATATGTGTTCTATAAAACTTAGAGCTTACTTCATTTTAGCATGAAAGTGATCTACCTCAAAGAAGCATGCCTTTTCCTTCATGATACTGTGCTACTTTTCCTCATTTACTTTTAAAATCCAGCAAACTAGCATACCAGTCTAACATACCAATATAGTTCTTTGACATGGCAACTTCTCTAACTTCAATGTGAACAGAGCCTCTTGGTATCTGCACCACTTCCATGTAGCCTGGAACACAGAAGATAGCCAGTATTAAGCAGCCTTGGTCAGGAAATGAGTATTTGGTAACCATTCAATAGTAATAGTTTCCTTATTATTCCATTCTCTCTTTGACTTTGCATTTTATGAATTATGAAATATGGGCAAATTACCCTTTGGGTTCATGAATACATTTTAGAGAAACAGTATTTAACAGTCTTTTTCTCTAAAATTATCTCAAGATATTTTAAAAGCCTCAACACGAATAATGGTTCCTTTTCTTCCTCAGCACATGCCCCTCATATCAATCCTCTGTGAGAATGTACACCTTTAAGAAACATGGCTAAATGAAGTTAAGTAGAGAGAGAGAATATTTCCTTAAAATATTTTACTTGAAGCCACATTTAACACTAAAATGACTGAAAGCAATTTGGGGAAGAAAACATTGTCTGCCTAAATAAAGAAATCTGAAAAACAGGGGGAGGCGAAGCGAGGGTTTTGGCTCCTCCAAGTACACCAGAGGTGTGAGGAAGAGTTCTCTCTACATACTCACCTCCCCTGGGCAGTGAATCATTGAAGAACCCTTCAATGGCATCACATGTGCTTCCGTCCCCTCCACAGACTCGACATCTATCTTCCCTAGCATCAGATCCCAAAATATTATCACAGCCTACGTGCTGAAAACAGAGAGGAATATTCAGTGTGTCAAGAGAGAAATTCTTGGAATCATAACTAATGAAATACATATAACTTATTTATTTGCTTGTTTTTCCAGTAAAGAAAAGAAAAATAAGGTAATCCGTGAATAAAAACCATACTTGGGTCTTTGTTATTTGAAAAACTTGAATACTACTACAAAAATAACTTTTTCTTCAAGAAAATAAACTACCCCTTGCCCACAGATACATAAACACACACAAATATCATACACAAACTGAATCATCAGATATATTTGCAGACAAGTAGCCAGAAGGATAGAAACTTTTCCAAGAAATTATGAGACTAAGTAAAATGGTGCTTTTTATCTTGTCTTTCTCAGTTTGAAGCACTTAATTTGTCCTTCTCTTTAAAGTAAAACAAAACCAGACAAGTAAAAAAATTTATGAAAATAGTGGTTTTTGTGGCTTTTCTTATTATGTTACAATCATACACAGGTCTAGGAAAATAGCATGGATTTGCTCCTACAATTCCCAACTAGTCTGACTAATTCCCTAAAGTAAATGCTTTAATAAGATAAAGACTAATTCCACAATGAAAACCATTGTAAATGCTTCAAAAGGAGATAAAGTAGGAGGAGCATGGCTGTTTCACACTTTGAGGAAAATTTATGCTATGAAATGTATCAAATAATCTTCCAAAAAGAACATATGGTAGAAATATGAATAAGAGCTGAATCCTCATTCTCTCTCTTTTTCTATCATCTTGTTTGTAAACAGAACAGAAGAATAACGGAAATTAAAATCCAAAATATTTTCATACTTCTGGCAATCACTGTAAAAATAACTAGAATACCAGAATAAAGTACATTTGTATGGTGCTTGAATATGAATGGGTCATTTTACCTTTACATATTTTATTACTCTTAATGGAAATTGAATTTCTCTAAAATGTGGTCCCCTTTTTTTAAAAAATTAAACATAGTATTAAATAGGAGTTAATGAGAAAAAGATAAAAGTCTCAAAAACCCCAACAGAAAGGAGTAAAATCTGAGCAACCTTGCATTCTCCATTGATGCAGATATCCAGTGAATCCGCATTGCACTGGGTCCCATCGATCACCGCAGGAGCACGTTCAGTGTAGAAATTATAACCTTCAGCCAAGCAGTTTAATGCACAAGGTTTTACCCCACCTGGACAAATACAGTAGAAGAGAAATAAGTGGAGTGGTTGTCCTAATGAACAGTGATTCAGTATTATCTATGGCAAATTTATAATTCACGTAGACATCATTCCCTGCTTATATGCCTGATTGTGTAGGTTTCTTTCCCCCTTTTCTAAAATTTCACCTTTATTTTAATTGGTGGTGCAACTTAAAGGGGGACTTGCTCAGCAGTTTTCAGGTTTAAAAATTTCAGGTATTTCCATTATTTATTTATAACATAATTATATATTTATAATGTATTTTATATTTCTATATTCCATTATATATTTACAATTTTGGTAAAAAGGGATCATAGTGAAGGTAATTGAATGTTTTTTAAAAAAATAAATGAAAGAAAAACAATTTTTTTTTTGAGATGGAGTCTTGCTCTGTCACCCAGCCTGGAGTGCAATGGTGCCATGTCAGCTCACTGCAACCTCTGCCTCCTGAGTAGAGATTCTCCTGCCTCAGCCTCCTGAGTAGCTGGGATTACAGGCACCTGCCACTATGCCCATCTAATTTTTGTATTTTTAGTAGAGACAGGGTTTCACCATGTTAGTCAGGCTGGCCTTGAACTCCTGACCTCAGGTGATCCACCTGCTTTGGCCTCCCAAAGTGCTGGGATTACAGGCGTGAGCCACCGTGCCTGGCCAAGAAAAACAATTTTTTAAAAAAACCTAAGAAAATAAAATAACCTTGTCTAACAAACAGAAGTTTCTGCTACATATGTTACTGAAGCTGATACAAAAACTCTGCCACATCAAGCAAGGATATGGTAGTTATAAAATAAAACTAAATTTGTACCTGCCTTAAGCATATCATAGTCTGTGAACTTGGCTTTAGCATGGATATAAATTTTTATGAGATTAGCAAATCAAAACTAAAATTAATTATAGCTTTAAATTTGATTAATTCTTATGAAATTAGCCAAGGATAAATATAAAATATAGTATTATATTTGAATAATTAAAACACTAATTTTGTTTGTGAATAAATACACACAGCAATTTGAGCATTTTCATTTTGTCATTGAAATTTGTGTTTTTTAAGGCTGAAGTTAAAAATAGGCTTAGGTAACTGCAATTTTAAAAAACAGAGTACATATCATAACTACAGTATATTGGAAAAATAGCAATAAATGTGGACTTGTTGTATTAAAAGCAGCACAAGATAAAGCTACTATTTGTAAGTATGTAATTATTGACTGAAATCATGACTTAAAATATTTTCTTTTGTAATTCTACTTCATCACTTTGACCATATCTAATTATGCTGCTAAAACTTCTATTTGAAATAAAGAAGACTACTTCTAATAAAGGAAATAAAGCAGAAAGATGAAATGACATGGCTACATCTCAGTGAAGTTCTTAGAAATCATGTTTCTGCAGGTTGACGGTAAGCAAAGAAAAAGAAAATCGACTGGGTGGTAGAGTCAATGATAAATTAGAGACAGCACATTCCAGTATAGGAGATGACTGCTACAGTTGAATGTTGTTATGCAAGAAGATAGTCCAATATTGTCAGTCTGTTTTTTCAAGAGAAGATGAAAACTTAATTTTTTTTTCCATCTAAACTCTTCTTGTTTTTAAATGTAACAATTGATTCAAAGTTTTGTTACAAAAAATACTGTGGGAGGCTAAAATATGTATGTAGATAAAAATTGGTCCCTAAATTGCCAACTTACGACCTCTGGCCTGAGTCTATGTTTTCTTCCATTTTCAATGTTTCTAGGCTATAGAACTTCTATCTAACTTATAATGTGATTTTTAGCGTTAGGTTAATGATTAATTTTGCCATACTGAGCATAGAAATAACAAGTAATAAATAAAATAATTTCTTCCCAAACTGATAATAAAACTACTTGTATTTATTTTTATATGATTCTCATGAATTAAATTACCCAAAATGTCCATGAATCTTACTGGAAATTTTTTCATTATTACCCAATACAGTTCTTCTCTCATTTTTTTATCATAATGCTTTGGAATTTAATATAGCATTTTGTGCATTAGGCTTTAAAAAGAGAAGCTGAGTCTTCTGTTTATTCAATTTTAACATTAATTATGTAACGTAATATTTGATAGGCAGGACATATAAATACTATGGTTATATTCCTTAGCCCACTATACTAAGTGATGAAAATGGGAATAAGTTTCTTGTTTACTGCTGAAGATGTGTTCAGCTTCTTCTGATACAATGAGCTTTCAGAAAAGGTACCACTAGAGTGACATCAGCAAGATGGTGGAAGAGGAGCTTTCTACTATCATCTCCCTGCAGAAGGATCAATTTTGACAGCTACTTATAGACAAGTGTACCTTTATGGGACTCCAGCAGAAAAGTTCCAGCATGCCATTGGAGAAAAAAAAAAATTCCCCAAACAGACAAATCGAAGAGGTTTAAGACCAGTTTAATTTCACCTGTATCACACCTCCCTCAAGGCAGCACAGCTCAGTGAAAAGAGAGACTCCCTGCCACCCTCCCCAGCCTTTGATTCTCCCACAGGGGAAAGTGAGAGTATAGAGAGTAAGCACCAAGCTTCCCTAGCTGTGTGGGACGCTGCCCAAGAGTCCTACTGTTTTCTTGCCTCATCCAGAATACTGAGGTGATCAGCATGGCTGAGTGGTTGGAAGAGGCTGGGAGCAGAGAAGAGAGGCCATAGGCCCAAGTAACCACTCCATGGACTCTGTTGGGAAGCCAACTCATGAGCCATTTGAGATGTTTTGCCTATGGGCCACCTCATAACTAGTCAACAGTTGCCTCAAAAACTCTGCATGCCCCATTCTCCCCCAACTGCTGTAGGCCAGCAGCCCAAGCATGCTCCTATGGACTGAAAGTAAGCATTTTATGCAGACAGCCAACACAACTTTGCAGGATTGGGAGAAGTCATACAACTTGAGCATTTAGGGAACCACCCTAGAAAAAACAAACAGGCAGCTCTCAGCACCTGGTCCAGCTTTGTGGAATTCAGAGAGGGATACATTCTTAAGAATTCCTCCCCAAGAGAGAATAAGAGGTGTGGAGTAGGGACATCCATAGAAAAGGTCTGAGAGAGCCTCAGAATCTTTAACTGGGCTGTTTGGTAAAGACATTTTTCTCTGGAAGCCAGTTAGTAAAGACTGCGTTCTCCACATGCAAAGACAGCAACACAGTACTTCAAGAAACCAGAAGAAAAATCAAGAAAACATGATACCACCAAAGAAACATGGTAATATTCCAATAACCAACCCCAAAGACATGGAGCTCTATGAATGGCATGAAAAAGAATCCAAAATAATTGTTTTAAGGAAGGTGAGGGAGCTATAAGAGAACACAGACAACTTAATGAAATCAGAAAAACAATACATGAACAAAGTGAGAAGTTCAATAGATAGAAATCATTAATAAAAACAGATTCTGGAGGTAAAGAAAACAATGAATAAAATGAAAAATGTAATAGCATCAACAGTAGACTTGATCCAGCAGAAGAAAGAATTTATGAACTTGAAGAGGGGTCATTTAAAAATCTCCAGTCAGGCAAAAAAGAACAAAAAGGATTTATGGGACATCACCAAGATAACTACATTTTCACATTATAGGAATCTTAGGTGGAAAAGAAAGTGGAATAGGCTTATTTAAAGAAATAATGGCTGAAAAATTCCCAAATCTAGAGAGCAATATGGACATTCAAATACATGAAGCTCAAAGATCTCTAATAAGGCTGAACCCAATGAAGACTTCACACACACATTATAATTAAACTGTCAAAAATCAAGGACAAAGAATTTTGAAGGCAAGAGAAAAAAGATTCATAACATACAAGGGAACTCCATAGGTCTATCAGCAGATTTCTCAGCAGAATCCCTGCTGGCCAGAAGAGGCTGATAGCTACACTAATTTGTGAATGGACTACGATATAAAAAGATGTAGACTGTAACATGAAAAATATAAAATAGAAGAGTAAAAGTGTCAAATTTTTGTATATGATTGAAGGTAAGTTGCTAATAGCTTAAAACAGACTATTATAACTATAGATTTTTATATAAGCCTCATGGTAATCACAAAGCAAAATACCTAAAGCATATATATATATATATATATATATGAAATATATATAATACATTATATATATGAAATATATATAATACATTATATATGAAATATATATAATACATGATATATATGAAATATATATAATACATGATATATATGAAATATATATAATACATGATATATATGAAATATATATAATACATGATATATATGAAATATATATAATACATGATATATATGAAATATATATAATACATGATATATATGAAATATATATAATACATGATATATATGAAATATATATAATACATGATATATATGAAATATATAATACATGATATATATGAAATATATATAACACATATGTATGAAATATATATAACACATATGTATGAAATATATATAACACATATGTATGAAATATATATAACACATATGTATGAAATATATATAACACATATGTATGAAATATATATATAACACATATGTATGAAATATATATATAACACATATGTATGAAATATATATATAACACATATGTATGAAATATATATATAATACATATGTATAAATATATATATAATACATATATATGAAATATATATAATACATATATATGAAATATATATAAAATACATATATATATGAAATCAAAGCATACTACTACAGAAAATCATCAAATTACAAAGGAAGACAGCAAAGAAAAATAAAGGAACAAAAAAAGTCTACAAAACTGCCAAAAACAATTGACAAGATATAACTAGTAAGTAATTATTGAAAAATAATTACTTTAAATGTAAATGGATTAAATTCTACAATGAAAAACAAAATGAATTTTTTTTAAAAAAAAACAAGACAACTCTATATTGCCTACAAGTGACTCACTTCAGATTTAATAACACACATAGTCTAAAAGTTAAGTGATGGGAAAATATATTCCATGGAAACAGAAACCAAAAGAGAGCTGGGAGAGCTATACTTATATCAGACAAAATAGGCTATTAGTCAAAAACTGTAATAAGAGACAAAGAAAGTCATTATATAATGATAAAGGAGTCAATTCATGAATTCAGTACAATTTACCATTGTAAATATGCACCCAACATTGGAATACCTAAATATATAAAGCAATATTAAAATACAATGAGAGAAATAGAAAGCAATTCAATAGGAAGATACTTCAGTAGTCTACTTTCAACAATGGATAGATCATCCAGACAGGGTACCAATAAGAAAAAGATGCACTTGAATTATACTTTAGAGCAAATAGAATAAATAGACATACAAAAAATTCCATCCAGAAGCATCAAAACATACTGTCTTTTCAAGCCCACACAGAAAATTTTCCAAGATACATACATGTTAGGCCACAAAACAAGTCTTAACACATTTAAGATTGAAATCATATCAAGTATTTTTCTGACCACAATGGTATAAAACTACAAATCAGTTACAAAAAGAAAACTGGAAAATTCACAAATATGTGGAAATTAAAGAACATGCTCCTGAACCATCAATGGGCCAAAGAAGAAATAAAAAATTAAATCTAAAAGTATCTTATGACCTGTGGCCAGGTGCAGTGGCTCACACCTGTAATCTCACCACTTTGGGAGGCTGAGGTAGGTGGATCACTTGAGGTCAGGAGTTCGAGACCAGCCAGGCCAACATGTTGAAACCTAGTCTCTACTAAAACTACAAAAAGTTAGCTGGTCATGGTGGTACATGTCTGTAATCCCAGCTACTCGGGAGGCTGAGGCAGGAGAATCACTTGACCCTGGGAAGTGGAGGTTGCAGTCAGCCAAGATTGCACCACTGCCCTCCAGCCTGGATGACTAAATGAGATTCTGTCTGAAAAACAAACAAACAAACAACAACAACAAAACAAACCAACAAGAAACCTTATGACAAATAAAAATAGAAACACAGCATTCCAAAACTTATGAGATGCTGGAGATGCACTTCAAGGAAAAAGGATTATAGCAATAAATGTCTAACATGAAAAAAGGAGAAAGATTTCAAACAACTTAACTTTACATCTCAAGGAACTAGAAAAGGAAGAACAACCTAACCCCAAAGTTAGAAGAAGGAAGGAAATAACAAAGCTCAGGGCAGAAATAGATAGAGAAAATAAAATAAATTGAAAAGATAAACAAAATTGAGTTGATTTTTTTTAAGATAAACAAAATTGACATACCTTTAGCTATACTAGGAGAGAAAGAGAAAAGCCTCAAATAAAAATCAGAAATGGAAGAGGAGACATTACAACAGACACCACAGAAATGCAAAGGACCATGAGACTGCTATGAACACTTATATGTCAACAAGTTAGATAAACTAGAAGAAATGAATAAAGTTCTAGAGACATAAAACAAAGACTGAATCATGAACAAATAGAAAATCTGAACAGAACAATAATAAGAAGAGAGGTTGAAACAGTAAAAAAAAAAAAAACCTCTCATCAAATAAAAGTGCGATACCTTATACTTCACCAGTGAATTATACCAAACATTTAAAGAAGAATTAATACCAATTTTTCTCACACTTTTTCAAAAACATTGCAGAGAAGGGAATACTCCAAATACATTTTATGAGGGCAGCATTACCCTAATAACAAGCCAGACAAAGATACTAACAGAAAAGAAAATTATAAGCCAATATCCCTGATGAACATGGATGCAAAAGTTTTCAACAAAATACTAGCAAATTAATTAAATGGCAAAAATTAAAAGGATCATTCATCATGATCAAGTAGGGTTTATCCTGAGGATGCAAGGATGGTTCAACATACACAAATCAGGCACTGTAATACACCATATTAACAAAATGAAGGACAAAATCCAAATGATCATTGCAATAGATGCAAAAACAGCATCTGACAAAATTCAACATGTTTTCATTATAAAAATTAAGTACAGAAAGAATATACCTCAACACAATAAATGTCCCATACAACAAGCCCACAGCTAACATCATACTCAGTGATGAAAGGCTGACATTTTTTCCTCTAAGATCAGGAACAAGGTAACGATGCCCATTCTCACTACTTCTATTCAACATAGTACTGAAGTCCTAGTCACAGGAAGTAAGCAAGAAAAAGAAATAAAAGGCATGCAAGATGGAATGGAAGAAGAAAAATTGTCTCTGTTTGCTGACAACATATTCTTATACATAGAAAACCCTAAAGGCTCCACCAAAAAACTGTTAAAACTAATACAAAAATTCAGTAAATACGGATACAAAAATCAACATACAAAAATCAGTCCATTTCTATACACTAACAATTAATTACATAAGATAGAAATTAAGAAAACAATCTTATTTACAATAGCCTAAAAATACTTAGGTATAACACTGATGAAAAAAATTGAAGAAGACACAAATAATGGAAAGATGTCACGTGTTCATGGATTGGAAAGATCAATATTGTCAAAATGTCCATACTTCCCAAAGTGATCCATGGATTTGATGCAATCTCTATGAAAATTCCAATGACGTTTTTCACAAAAATAGAAAAAGCAATCCTAAAATTCATATGAAACTAAAAAGGACTCCAGATAGCCACAGCAATCTTGAGCAAGAACAACAAAACTAGAGGCATCACACTTCCTGATTTTGAACTATATTACTAACCTGTAGCAATCAGAACAGTATAGTACTTTATTAAAACAGATAAGTAGAGCAATGGGACAAATATTAAGCCTGAAAATAAGCCCATGCATATATAGTCAACTAATCTTTGACAAAGGTACCAAGAAAATAGAGTGAGGAGAGGGCAGTCTCTTCAATAAGTGATGCTGGGGAAAATAGATGGTCACGTGCAAAAAAAAAAAAAAAGAATAAAGAAAGAAAAAGAAATTGGATACTTATACCATACACAAAAATCAACTGAAATGGGATTAAAGAATTAAACGTAAGACTACTAGAAGAAAACATAAGGGCAAAGCTCCAGCACAATGGTCTTGGCAACGATTTTTTGGATATGACACCAAAAGCACAGACAAAAAATGCCAAAATAAACAAGCGAGACTATGTCAAACTAAAAAGTTTCTGGACAGCAAAGGAAACAATCAACAAAATGAAAAGGCAATCCACAGAATAGGAGAAAATACCCAAAACATATAAGGAACTCATACAACTCAATAGTAAAAAAAAAAAAAATCTAATTAAAAAATAGGCAAATAATGTGAATAGACTTTTTTTTTTCCCAAAGAAGAGATACAAATGGCAACAGGTACATGAAAAGGTGTGCAAAATCACTAATCATCAGGGAAATGCAAATAAAAACCACCATGAGATATTACCTCACACATGTTAGGATGGCTATTACAAAAAAGTCACAAGATCACAAGTGTAGGTAAGGATGTGGAGAAAAGAAAACTCTTATATACATTATTGGTGGGAATGTAAACTGGCAGTGCCATTATGGAAAACAGTATGCAGCCTTCTCCAAAAATTAAAAATAGAATAACCATATGATCCAGCAATCCCACTTCTGGGTATATATCCAAAGGACATGAAATCACTATCTTGAAGAGATACCTACACTCCCATGTTCATTGAAGCATTATTCACATTAGTCAAGATATGGAAACAACCCAAGTGTCTGTCAACAGATGAATGGATAAGAAAATTGTTTTATATAGACATATGTAATGAAATATCATTCCATCTTAAATAAGAAAGAAATAAAGAAATCCTGGGGCACATAATGCTAAGTGAAATAAGCCAGATACAAATACTGTATGATCTCACTTATATGTGGAATCTAAAAAAGTCAAACTCATAGAAACAGAGAGAGCTTATCAGGGATTGGGTGGAAATAGGGAGATGTTGCTCAAAGGGTACAAGCTTTCAGTTATAAGAGGGATCAGTTCTAGAGATCTAATATAGTATAGTTAAGAATAATGTATAGTATACTTTAAATTTGTTAAGAGAGTAGATCTTAGGTATTCACATCATACACACAAAAAAGGTAAATATGTGAGGTGACGGATACATTAATTAGCTTGATTATGGTAATCATTTCACAGCATATATGTATATCAAAACATTACATTGTACACCTTAACTATATACAATTTTTATTTGTCAATTATATCTCAGTGAAACTGGGGAAAGAAAGGTAAGGCTGTTGTGATGGTTAATACAGAGTGTCAACTTGATTGGATTGAAGGATACAAAGTGTAGATCCTGGGCGTGTCTGTGAGGGTATTGCTAAAGGAGATTAACATTTGAGTCAGTGGCCTGGGAAAGGCAGACCCACCCTTAATCTGGTTGGGCACAATCTAATCAGCTGCTAGCTAGGCTAGAATATAAGCAGGCAGAAAAATGTGAAAAGAGAGACTGGCCTAGCCTCCCAGACTATCTTTCTCCCATGCTGGATGCTTCCTGCCCTCGAACATTTGACTCCAAATTCTTCAATTTTGAAACTCAGACTGGCTCTCCTTGCTCCTCAGCCTGTAGATGGCCTATTGTGGGACCTTGTGATCGTGTGAACTAATACTTAATAAACTTCCCTTTATATATATTCCATCAGTTCTGTCCCTCTAGAGAACCCTGACTAATACAGTTGTTAATTCCAGAAAGAATTTAAAATGATTTTCTAAATGAAAGGTCATATTAACCAATTACCTTAAGTTAATGCTTAGTATGAATTTAGGATTAATTCACTTTGCATGAAATTATGTAGATGGCAATTATTAAGTCTGTAAATTATTTCAGACACTTCTTCTTCTCCTATACTATGGCAAAACAATCCCAAAGGTATATGCACCTAATAAAAAAGATTCAAATACATGAAGCAAAATCTTTTTAAAAATGAAAGCAAAGCCATATAATAGTTGGAGATTTTAACACAGCACTCTCAATAATTGATAGAATGAGAGTAGAAAAAAATCAGAAAGAATATAAAAGATTGAAAACAACATTCTCAACCAAGTTGATCTCATAGATATCTATAGAACACTATGTAGCCAATAACTGCAGAAAACATTACTTTCCAAGTATACACAGAACATTCACCAAGAAAAGAGTATTCTCTAATCTTTTTCTTTCTTTTTTTCTAAGACAGGATCTCACTCTACAGTGGTGTGATCATAGCTCACTGTAGCCTCCACTTCTCGAGCTCAAGTGATCCTCCCACCTCAACCTCCTGAGTAGCTGAGACTACAGGCATGTGGTACCACACCCAGCTAATTTTTTATTTTTCGTATAGACAAGGTCTCACTATGTTGCCCAGGGTGGTCTCCAACTCCTGGGCTCAGGAAATCCTCCCAACTTGGCCTCCCAAAGTGCTGAGATTACAGGCATGAGCCACCACACCTGGCCCATTCTCTAATCTTAATGCAATTAAATTATATATGAACAACAAGAAATTCTAGAAAATTTCAAATATTTGGAAATTAAAACAAAACAGTTCTAAGTAACCCAGAGGTCAAAGAACTCACAATGTAAATAAAATAGTTTGAACTAAAAGCTATAAAATATAACATCAAATTTTGGAAATGTAAAAGAGCGAAAGAAACTGAAAATAGATAAGAAAATAATAACTATAAGAGCAAAAATTAATAAGCTAGAAAAAAGACAAATTACAGAAAAGAGTACCAAAGCCAAAATTTGGTTCTTTGAAAATATTAATAAAATTGATAAATCCCAAACAAGACTGACCAAGAAAAACAGTGAAAACACAAATTATCAATACCAGAAATGAAAGCATACATCACTACATATTTTATAAATATTAATATTAAACGGCATAACAAGAGAATGTTATGATCAATTTTATGTCAATAAACTGGACCACATGGATATAACATAAATTTCTTAAAGACACAAAATAAAAAACTGAAATAAGGCCAGGCATGGTGGCTCACACCTATAATCCCAGTACTTTGGCAGGCTGAGATTGAAGAATCCCTTGAGCTTAGGAGTTTGAGAACAGCCTAGACAACATAGGAAGATGTAGTCTCTAATAAAAATAAAAATTAAAAATTAATTTGCCCAGCGTGGTGCCTAGCTACTCAGGAGGCTGAGGAGGGAGGATCTCTTGAGCTCAGGAGATTGAGCCTGCAGTGAGATATGATTGGGCCACTGCAGTGCAGCCTGGGCGACAGAGGGAGACCTTGTCTCAAAAAAAAAAAAAAAAAAGAAAACTCCACAAGAAAATAAAATAAAATAAAACAACCATATAGCCCTTTTCTCTTAAGGGAGTTAAATTTTTAATAACAGGTTTTCACAAAGAAAATATCAAGCCTGGCTGGTTTTACTAGTGAAATCTATTCTAAGGAAGAGATAACACCAATCCTAAAATTCTTTTAAAAATAAATAAAGATTCTATTTTGGGAAACCAGAATGCATCTGATACCAAAACTTAGCAAAGACATCATAAGAAGAATATTTACAAATTACAAGAAAAATATTTACAAATTTAAACACAGATGCAAATATCCACAATAAAACATTATCAATTAAGTTAAATACAATAACACATAAAAAAATACATCATGATCACATGGGGTTTATCCTAGAAATATAAGCTTGGTTTGAGGTTGGGCCTGTTGGCTCACGCCTGTAATCCCAGCACTTTGGGAGGCTGAGATGGGTGGATTGCTTGACCCCAGGCATTGGAGACCAGCCTGGGCAACATGACAAAACCCCATCTCTACAAAAAATACAAAAATTAGCCAGGCATGGTGGCACACACCTGCAGTCCCAGCTACTCAGGAGGCTGAGGTGGGAGGATGCTTGAGCCCAGGAGGTTGAGGCTGCAGTGTGCTGTGATCACACCACTGCACTCCAGCCTTGGCAACAGAGCAAGACTCTCTCTCAAAAAAAAAAAAATCTTGGTTTGAGATTGTCAAATCTATCAGGTCACTCAGCATATTAATAGGATAAAGAATAAAAAATACAATCAATACATGTACAAATTATACTCTAGGCCCAATCCAGTGCATTAAGGCAAGAAAATGTAATAAAAGGCATAAAGATTCAAATAGATTGTCTCTATTTCAGGAC
Source organism: Homo sapiens (assembly GCF_000001405.40). Taxonomy (NCBI): domain Eukaryota; kingdom Metazoa; phylum Chordata; class Mammalia; order Primates; family Hominidae; genus Homo; species Homo sapiens. The sequence continues at coordinate 65,238,273 of NC_000005.10, forward strand.
AACATGACTGTTTAACAAAAAAATTCTGAGCATCTGTAAAACAATTAGAATATGGGAATTTAGGCTGGATGTGTAATTCCAACACTTTGGGAGGTCGAGTCATGTGGATCACTTGAGTCCAGGAGTTGGAGACCAACCTGGGCAACATGGTGAAACCCTGTGTCTACAAAAAATACAACTAGCTGGACATGACAGTGTGCGCCTGTAGTCTCAGCTACTCAGGAGGCTGAGGTGGAAGGATCGCTTGAGCCCAGGAGGTGGAGGTTTCAGTGAGCCGAGATTGCGCCACTGCTCTCCAGCCTGGACAACAGAACCAGACCCTGTCTCAAAAAAAAAAAAAGGAATATGGGAATTTAGAAAGGTCACAGAATACAAAGTTAATATACAAATGTCAATGGAATTTTCAAAAGTTTTATTAACAATAGTGTCAAAACCATAAATCACTCAGGAATCGATTTAGTAAAGTACATGCAGGACCTTACACTTAAAGGAAAAACATAGCTGGGAGAAATTAAAGACATAAATAAATTGAGGGATATACCATGTTCAAAAATTGTAAAATTCAATAGGGTTTAATACTCAGTTTTTCCCTCAATTGATCTATAGATTCAACATAACACCATTCATAAGTCCAGCAGGTTTTTCTGCGGACATTAACAACTGATGCAAAAATTTACATGAAAATGCAAATCAGTTAGCATATTGGAAGAACTCTTATAAAAAACATCAAAGTTAATGGAACTTAAACTACCTGTGTTCCCGCATATTCTCACTCATAGGTGGGAATTGAACAATGAGAACACTTGGACACAGGGAGGGGAACATCACACACCGGAGACTGTTGTGGGGTAGGGGGAGGGGGGAGAGATAGCATTAGGAGATATACCTAATGTAAATGGCGAGTCAATGGGTGCAGCACACCAACATGGCACACGTATACATATGTAACAAACCTGTACATTGTGCACATGCACCCTAGAACTTAATGTATAAAAAAAAAAAAAACTGTGTTCATGACTATACTCTAGTTATAGTAATCAAGTCAGTGTAGTACTGGCACAGGACTGACAGATCAACAAAACAAAACAGAAAATCCATAAATATACTACAGATACAAATCATACCAAAAATTATTTTGAGATAGATCATAGATGTAAATGTAAGGACTAAACAATAAGACTTTTGGAAGAAAACATATGAAAATATTTTCTTAAGTTGAGGTAGGCAAAGATTCCTTAGGACACAAAACACAATGACCAGAAAGAAAAATTATTTAAAAATTGGAATTAAAAACAGAAAAATTAAAAGCTTATATGGATAAAAACACCATTTAAAAAGCAATGGGAAAGCCACAGAATGTGACAAAACATTTGTAAAACTTATAAATGACTACCACTTGAGAAGGTAAAACAACCCAATTAAAAATAGGCAAAAGATTTGAATAGACAGTACAAAAGGAGATATATAATGGCCAATAAATATATGAAAACGTGCTTAACATTATCATGAGAAAATGGAAACGGAAATTTCACTGAAATACCACTCTACTCCCACCAGAAGAAGACTGAAAAGACCAAATATTGACAAGGATGCACAACAAATAGAACCCTCAGACATTGTCGGTGAGAGTGAAATACGCTACAATCACTTTGGAAAAACATCTGGCAGTTTCTTTTAAAACTAAACTAAATTCACATGTAATCTATTGCCCAGCAATTCTACTCCTAAGTATTTACTCAAGGAAAATGAAAACATATGCTCACAAAATGATAGTACACAAATGTTCATAGCAGTTTACTCATAACAGCTAAAAACTAGAAACAACCCAGGTGTCCATCACAGCAGAATGGAAAAACTGGTTATTATGATGGAATACTGCTCAGCAATAAAAAAGAATAAACTTTTTTTTTTTTAAGAGAACTCCTAGACCCAAGTGATTCTCCCGCCTCAGCCTCCCAAGTAGCTGGGCTTACAGGTGTCTGCTACTGCGCTTGGCTAGAGTGAACCACTTCTATATACAGCAATGTAGATAGATCTCAAAAACATTAGGCTTAAAGAAGATTTACAATAGAATATGAAGTTCTGGAACAGGCAAAACTAAACTATGGTGAGAAAAAAAGTCAGAATGATGGTTGTCTCTTAGGAGGAGTAGGGAGAGGCAACTATTGACTGCAAAGGACTATAATGACTTTTATGGACTGAATGTTTGTGTCCCCCCAAAACCCGTATGTTGAAATCTTAATCCCCAATTTGAAGATGAGGCCTTTGGAAGGTAACTAGGTCATGACAGTGGAGCCCTCCGAATGGGAATAGTAGCCTTATAAGAAGGATCCCAGAGAGCTCTTTTCCCCACGCTTTCTGCCACATGAGGATACAATGAGAAAACAACAGTTCACAACCCAGAAGAGGGCCCTCACCAGACTCTAACCATGCTGACACTTTGATCTTGGATTTCCAGCCCCCAGTACCGAGAAATAAATTTCTATTTTAAGATCTCCAGTCTATGGTAACTTGTAATTACAGTCCAAACTGACTAAGGCAAAGATTAGAGGAATTTTGGAGGTAAAGCCAATGTTCTGTATCTCAATAGGATTTTTTAAGTATGTGCATTGGTCAAAAACCAGAGAAAGCATAGTTAAAATTTTGCATGTCACTGTACATAATCTTGCCTTAACAGAAAAAAGTAAACAAATAATTGAACTGTGGATAATGTTACCATGCTGAAGTACTTAGAGGAAAGTACATTAATGACTGCAATTTACTTTGAAATACATCAAAAAGTACGATGGATTAATAAATGGATAGGGAGAAGAACAGACATGTATGAAGAAAGTATAGTAAAACGTTAATGGTAGAATCTTGGTGGTAAATATAAAGTTGTCACTATAAAATTCTGTTAATATAAGATACTGGAAAAGCAAGCAAACAGTAAACTTATCTTAAGAGTATATTTCCTTTTTTTTTTTTTTTTTTTTTGAGATGGAGTCTCACTCTGTCGCCTAGGTTGGAGTGCAGTGGCGTGATCTTGGCTCTCTGCAACCTCCGCCTCCTGGGTTCAAGTGATTCTCCTGCCTTAGTCTCCCAAGTAGCTGGGACTACAGGCACATGCCACCATGCCCGGCTAATTTTTGTATTTTTAGTAGAGACGGTGTTTTGCCATGCTGGCCAGGCTAGTCTCGAACTCCTGACCTCAGGTGATCCACCTGCCTCGGCCTCCCAAAGTGCTGGGATTACAGGAATAAGCCACTATGCCTGGCCTCCAAGAGAAATTTTCAGCAAAATGTAATTTATATTTTGGGAGTGTAAAATACTTCTACTTATTGAACAATCAGTGCCTGATACATGCCCAAATTAAAGAGCAAAAATGTTTTCTAACTCTGAAAAAGAATAACAATAATCTTGGCCTTTGACTAAGCAACGACACAGAGTTTCCTGATTTATATTCTTATAACTTGTTTTAGGGTGATAATTGCAAACATTTAAAGATTATAATGTAACTTACATATACCCTAAGGAAGCCTCAAGCAGAACTCAAAAAATACTACATGGTTTTGATGTCTAGATATCCTTTCAAGGAATTTTATACCTTGTTAAACATAATTAGGTTTTAAGAAATGATTTCTGATCATTTGTACTAATATATAAACCTTATTACAGGGCAAATAAACCATGAAGCCTTTATAGTACTATAAGCATTTCCCTGCTTTTGTTGGCAAACACTAATTTTAACTAGTATGTACATGAATGTATGCATGTGTTTGTATATATTTGTATATTCTTTGATATTTGCAAAGTGCTCAAGCATGAATGCTCTGTCAGGTTATACATTACCTCCAGTATAGGGTTTCCAGTTATAATACTTTCCTCGGAAAGGCATATTGTCAAAGTCTGCACACTGTTTCTCTCGAAAATCTCGGGAACCCAAAGGGCATGGCTAAAATAAAATAAAATCATAAATGGTACCATTGTTGGAAAATACCAAAAGCAAGGGACAATGTCCCTAAAATGAACTCCATCAAATTAACTCACTACCTTATTCTGTGGCTATAATTCTGGCATTTGCTTTACTGTTTTACAATCCGTATTCAGATTGAAGTGTGTGAATTATAATCTTAACTATAGAAGATATAACTGAAGTAATTTAAACAAAGCGTTACACAATTTCCCTATAAATTTACAGTTGGATACATGTCATAATCCTCTTTGTAGTCCATCAGGTATCTCCTTATAAAGACACATAAAACCTAGATGAAGAAATTAAAACACAAAATCCTTTGTGTTAACAGTTTTTGAGGTCCAGTTGCCATAGCTACTCCCTGATCTTTATTTTAAAAAATCAAGAAGCAGGTTTGTAACAACATTCAGCACTATTAATTGTGGTTTGGACTCCTACTACTATAGCTATTTACTGTTTAGCCTTGACAAAAACCATACTTTAAATGAGGAATAAAGTAGGCAAAATGCTAGACCTCAAGTATAAACATCTTGAAATTAAAGGGATTTGGACTTATTATGATTTACATTTAATTTATTAACATCACAGAAAATAAAATACAAAATGGCCCAAAACATGTACATTTGTTTGAGGTGTGGAGAGGGATGTTAAGAGGGTGAAAAAAGGATTATCTGTTTTTAAAAGTTGGAAATGTTCCTTCTATTCAGAAATGCTTCTGAAGTTTTTTAAAGAGAAAAATCCTGCCAATCCAGCTAGCTCTAGATTCTATATACCACAGGGTCATCCTAAACTCAACCTTTAAGTTCACAAAGAATTATAAAGCTCATAGTGTTTGAGTGATGTGACTTAATTTGACTTATCTTGTGAAGTTCAACAGCTGTAGTACTTAAAAACTAAAAATATTGATTTTGAAAGACTGACAGAAAATATTCTCCTAAAATATGGAAAAAAAGAATATGTCACTAGAGAAAATTCTGAATTGGGAATAAATAACAAGTATGTTACAGGCACACTCAGAGATTGTTTTGAGGCTTTTTACTACCCTCCCTTAGATCTCTGTGTTTGCTTTATATAGTTTTCTGAGGACAGTACATTGTAAATGGTCACTTTGAAGAATATGCAGTAACAATAGACCACAATGTGCAAATATTTGCATGGTCATCATTACTTCGTATATAATACGGTTCAATTTTCACCACATCAAGTCCAAAGCCTCAGATTCTGAAAATAGTGGCAGCAGGTTCACACTCTGTTATGAGCCCTGCATTTTAAAATGTTTTTAGCACATTAAAATATGACATTCCAATGCCAAATCTAGTGATTAATCTTGTTAAATTACCTTCTTGCTTGCCTTTAAAAAAAATGAAAAATATTTACCATAGGCTAGTAGGTGTATCAGGCTGGAAGGATATGTTTTCAGGGTCTTTTTTTTCCTGGTCTGCTAATCTTTGGATCTTCAGAGTGCTCTAGGTTAAAGGAATCCTTGACTTTTCAAGCTATTTTTAGTGAATCCCACACAAGGACTAAAGTTGTTAGTGACTTTTGTCATGCAGCAGACTACTTTTAAAAGCAAATAACGATTTCAAAAACAAACAAAAAAAACAAACAAATAATTTGAACTCTAGCTATAAGTTTTCACACAGCACTTAAGTATTTATAAAGCACCAGTCACCTAAAGTTCATCCAAGCATGGCTTTCAACTTTGTTGGAAAAACAAGACACAAATGGAAAAACGACCATGAAAAAAGAACCATCTCAAGCAATATATATAGCATATGACAGCATGTTACAGATTGTCTATATGTGCTGGATACAAGTGAAATATAAATGTGTCCTATGATTAGCTAGGGATATATCAGTTAAGAAAAACATCTTCAGCAGGTACCAAAGTATTATAGAAATTGTTCTAGTTAAGAAAGAAAAAGGACTCGTCAGGGAGTGGGAGACTATTAAGAATGAAGCCAAGAAAAGCCATGGGAATAGGAAGGAAAAGTTCACATATTGGGAATGGTTGGAAAAAGGCCAAGCTAGATGAAAGAGATGAACTATATAGAAGCATAAGAGGAAATGATATTTCACATGCATAAGCACTGGTACATTAAAAAGACCTTGAATTAAAAAACTAAGACATCATGAAGGCCGTTCGCTTAAAGGCAAACGAAACAAAAATGCAATTTTTCAGTATCTTCTAACAATTCTCCTAAATGGAAGAAAAATAAAATGTCCAATATGGGGATATTACTATTTAATGAAGCACTTGATAACATTTCATGACATTTTTGATCCACTTTTTTCCTGTGATAACCACTCTCAGGGTGAGCATAATAAAAAGATTAACAATAACAATAGCGAGCTAGTATTTACTAAGTACTTATTATGTGGCACACTGTTCCGGGATCTTTAGATATATTATCTATATACTCCTTCTCAACACTCTTTTGAGGTAGATATAATTAATAATCTCATTTTACAATGAAGTAAACTGGGGTACAGAAAGGTTGCTTAGTAATAGTTTCAGCGTACAAGGATACTTTCACGATAAGTGTGGGAGTCTCCTCTGGACACTCTCCAAATGCTACAATAATAGCATTACAGGTTTTAGCTTCCTTAAAATGTACAAAAACCTAATAGGAACAATTTGGGTTCTAGACTTGGCCCTGTCATTAACCAGATGCAACTTTCTTATCTTTCCAAATTACGTTTTTTCTCACTTGTAAAATGAGAGGGATAAAAGCAAGAGTTTCGGAGTAAGGCAGACCTGGATTATGTCTAATTTGGTCATTAATTTAATTCACGGCCTTGAGAAATTTACTTGTCTAAGCCTCATCTATAAACTGGGGGTAATACTCGTATTTACTTCCTAGGCAACATATTCACACAAACTGTTTAGCTCTGTACCTGGCCTAAGGTAGCACTTAATAATTATTAGCAGCTACGCAGGTGTCCTTACACTCATTCCTTACTCTTCTACTCTGCTCTATATTTTAGGGGAACAAACCCTGAAAGCTCCACTTCCCAGGCTTTTTTGTCAGCTGACTTATGGTTGGGTTCAGGTAATGGGAGGCACTAGTTGGAGAAGCCAGGGTATTTTTCTCCTTTCCTCTGTGCCTTGGGCAGCAACTCAGGCAGAAGAAGAATCTTTTTTGTAGCTCCATCTTCAGGTAACAGTTCCATCCTCCCTACCCTTCTACCCTATGATTCCAGCTTCTGCTGTGTGATTCTAGCCTCTGGGCTCTGACAAAACTACCTCTTATGTATCTTCCTGGAAGGAACTAGTCAGACTCTCATCATCCATGTAATCAATTTCCTGCATTAAATTCCCTCTATTTTAATAGTCAGAGTGGTCTATTATATTATAGCTAAATTTTAATTGATACAACAGTTATCATCATCATCATCATCATGAACTACTTGGAAAACTGAATAAAGATAGGTTTCCACATAATATTTTTTCGCTTTAGGGCAGAAGTTGTCAAACTTTACCTCTAAAGGTCCACATAGTAAATATTTTAGGCTTTGCAGGCCATGTGTCTCTGTTGCAACTACTCAACTGTGCATTATAGTGTGAGAGAAGCCACAGACAATATGTAAATAAATGGCCATGGTTGTGTTCCAATAAAAATACTTACAAAAAGAGTTAACCAATAAGATTTGGCCTGAGAGGTACAATTTGTCAACCCCGGTATAGGGTGTTAACATAATATAGATATATTTGTTTGGCAGCATTTCACAGAACCAAACTCAATTATTAATTTCTCAGTCAATATAGAATCATACCTTTTAAGAATTCAGGTTAGAAGTGACATAATCTAATTTGCATAAGATGCTTGGATTTCCTCTATAATTATCTCCAAAGCGGTCATACAATCTATATAAACATCTACAGAAAAAAAGATCAAACACTTTTCAAACAGCTGCAATTATTCGCAGGTTCTTCCTTACTTTCAGTCAAAACCTGCTGTCCTATAACCCAATTATCCTTCTCCTTTCTTCTGGATCCACACTGAACAAATCTTACCCTAAACTGAAAGGTATCTGGACCTTGATGGCTTTCCTACGGGCACATCATAACTTACTGTTAGTCCTCTTAAAACAAGGCAGCAAGGACAGGCCTTAAGTATCTTCTCATTTTAGCAAGTATTAATACAATGCTTAATAGCTGGCAGATATAATCTAGGCTGCAGGGTTACAGAAAAACAAAACCCAAATAGATTAGAGTTCTGCTTTCGTGGAGTTTACTCTAGTTGGAGATGAGAAAGAAGAAAAATAAAGCAAGATAAGGAGATTGACAGTGAGGTGGGAGGGAAGTTTTTTTAAACAGTATGATCAAAGAAATCCTCTCTGATAAGGTGGCATTCAAGTGGAGAGTGAAAAGGAACTGAAGGAATGATTTATGTACATATCTGTGAAAAGAATCTTCCAGAACACAGTAAATCCAAAGGCCCTGAGGCAGGAGTGTATTCAGGGTGTTCACAGAATAGTATAGAGAATGGAAAGGCTTCAGGGAATTGAAGTAGACTTGGGGACTTGATTCCACGCCATTGTTTCTAGAATACATCAGCCAATATTCTGCTTTCCTGATTTCATTCCATCAGGGAATGCTCTGAATTTGCGTTGATTAAAAATAGACTCAGTTGGAATTATATATGCTGGTTTGAAAAAATGAGAGTGAAAGAGGAATTCCTTAAGGAAAAATTACGTAAAACACATTTTTGTTTTGTTTAGGAATAGTAGAGGGTTTAAAGAATAATGCTTTTTAAATTACTTAAGGATAATAAATGCTGACACTATGCAGAAACCATAACAGAAAGCAGTGGGCATAAGCAACAGATATTTAAAGTAAAAGCCTGACAGATTTTCAGCCTTCTAGTGCTAACACTCACCAAGCGTCTTCTCCTTTAAAAAACAAACTAGCAGGGCCCCACATAAATCTGGAGAGCAAAGCTGCAGGTCTCAGCATCTTTAGATCTTAGTATTTTCAAAGAAATAAATTAATAATAGCATCTTTATCACCACTCTCTTTCCCAGAGATCTGTATAAGTTAACAATAGTCTTCCAACTATCTTGTTTAGAAGTATCTCCTTCTGACTAAACTCAATACTTTGTACTGGTAGACAAATCTAAAAAAAGGAATAATTCATTGAGGCCTAAAAGTTGCTACAGAAAGAAATCTAGCTTCTGCTTACAAACTTTTTAGTGGCATTTCTATTACTGGGGTTCTAATCCTGGTTTTGTCCCAAAGAATAGGGTGACGTTGGCAAGTCCCCAATCCTTTTTGTGCCTTTTTTTCATTTGCAAAATATACCCCCAAAACTCTTACCTTCAAGAGAAATACACATCAAAATGTCTTGAAAATGAGGAAAATTCTGAAAATGATGTATCATTTCTTATTGGTAATATGATAAGACAGCCAAGAATGAAAACGCCTTTGTCCCTTTCCCTTTCCTTTCCTCTCCTCCTCTAAAGGAAGATATGCAGGCTGGAAGGATAGAATGACTCCTATGGCCTCAGGGAAAATTGCAAACTGAGCAAAACTGGTCTTCTGTTCATCTGCTTCCTTTCTCTACTCCTTTTGCACCTTCTGCTTCTTCCTTTTGCTTTCATACCAAATTCACTCTTGCGTCATCCCTGTTACACTAGATCAACCTTCAACACTTCCAAAATTTCATTTTCTTCTTCCTCTACAGGAAAACAACATATTCTTAGTAGATTGCCCCCTGTTTGTTGAGGGAGTTTGAAATCCAACCCCTGCCATGCTTAGCAAGTCATGCACTTGACAAGGCACTGTGAAAGGATACATTTTTATGTGTTCACCCAGATGGGCATCTTTTTATAAATTACACAAAGGTACCATATGCGCTAACAAAAGCCTTGCTTCTATACCCTCTTTTAAAAGTTGCAAACAAATTTCCTGACTCCCTAGTTATCAGATAGTACTGATAAAGTAATTCATACTAGGGCATTCAAATACAGTTAAATTTAGTGGTCAATGCCTGTAGTGAAGCATCTCAACCTCAGTTTTTATTCAACTTTCTTCTCTTTTTTCTCCCAAATAGTTTCTGATTTTTTTTCACTATATATTTACTTTTAAAGCAAAAGAAAACAAGGGCAGATAACCCACATTGTCCAGACAAACTTGAATGTAGTGTCATGCTTGATACTATAATCTTCTATGCAGGTTTTAAAAATTAAAGTTACTTGTATATGCCTTAAATAGTCTGAATTTAATTAAAATGCCATCTACCTACAGCAAAACTCTTTCCCTGAGCTTATAAACACATTAAAAAACAGGTCAGGCATAATGGCTCACTCCTGTAATCCCAGCACTTTGAGAAGCCAAGGCAGGGTGGATCGCTCGAGTTCAGGAGTTTGAGACCAGCCTGGACAACATGGCAAAACCCTACAAAAAATACAAAAATTATGGTGGTGCATGCCTGTAGTTCCAGCTACTTGGGAGGTTGAGGTGAGAGGATTGCTTGAGCCTGGGTGGCAGAGGTTGCAGTGAGTCCAGATCATACCACTGCACTCCAGCCTGGGCAACAGAGCCTGACTGTCTCCAAAAAAAGGTTAAGAAACAAAGTTTTACTTTGTAATTTTTAAAAGTATTTTTAAAGCACAAAATAAACAAACAAGCTCTATTTTGTGCTAAAAACCTAGTCCTTATTTCTCAAAACATAATAAATACAATATACCATAAATATATATACAATACATCATAAATATATAAATACACCATAAAATTCATATTAAGAAAGATTACCAAGATATTGTTCCTGTTTTTTGCCGTGTGTGTGTGTGTGCGCGCATGTCTGTCTGTGTGTATGTTACAGGTAGTTAGATAGGCATGAGCAGGGTAGGAAAGGGCTCTCCTCCACCCACTAGGAATGTCAGGTGACAGTTTGGCAATTATTATATTGCCTCTCTAAAAGTGATAAACTGGCAGCTGGTGCCAGGGAGAGGCCATTTCCTGATGGTCCACACCTGTTGCACTAAAGTGTTAACTGAATGCACGTGCTGGGGAGAAGCAACTTCCTGGGCATGCACATTAAGAGACAAAATGGTGGAGTATGACCTTCCAGGGTCACTCCACCAGAAAAAGGAAGAAAAGCTTCAGATGAAAATGCGTACAACTTCCTAAACACATTGGGAATGCTCACCTCCCAAGGGCAGGAGTGTACTGCATATGTGGGCAGCCCACCCTAAGGGAAGAATCATGAGAAAGGGGCCAGCCTATTAAGTTCTAGGATGAAGGTTAAACACTGCACTTGACCTTGGTGCAGTCTCTTCCAAGCATCGTTTCCTTTCTTTCCTGTTCTAAAGCCTTTTAAATAAACTAAATAAACTTCTGCTCCAGCTCTGAAACTTGCCTCAGTCTCTTTTTCTGCCTTATGCCCCTCAGTTGTATTCTTTCTTCTGAGGAGGCAAGAATTGAGGTTGCTGCAGACCCATAGGAATTCACCACTGGTAACTCGCATACCTTCTACCAGTAACATATATAAAGTATGTTTATAAGAATAAAGTGGTTGACACATATTTGTTTTCTAATTATAATTTAAGACATGATTATAACACTGTTCATCAATGGATCAACTCTGTACCTTGTCTTCACTTACCCTGCAACTCTCCCTGAGGGCAAGATGTGTAGTTTCAGAATGTTCTCAGCTATCTGGTTCTCAGCTAGCTATCTGGTGAGGTTAGACTGGAAGTAAGACAATGTCTAAGGTGACCCAATTCTTTCAGAAAAGCTTACCTTGCCACACCCACCTCCCAAGGGCTTCATCTCTTTTAAGAGCACTAGATAGAAATTCCATGCTTTACTGGATCTCTTTCACAGCATTAGCCTGTTGCTAAGCTTTAGTTTCCTCTTTTTAAAAATACTTGTCTTTCCTCTTCAGAAAAGTGATTTGAAGATTTGATGAGGTATTGAATACCAGTTAGGTACTAGGAATAGCACTAGATGTTTTATGTATGTTACTTCTTTTAATTGTCAAACAACTCTGCAAGTTTCATACAGCCTATTTATATAAGAGTCAACAGAAATTTAGAGAGGTTAGGTGATTTGCCAAGGTCAAATAGCAACATGTGTCACAGTCAGGATTCACACTCAAGTTAATTTAACTTCCAACTGCATGCTTTTATTTTCACCACAATCCTACTTCCAAATATATAATTTTCCTGTCTGCCACAACCAAAGCAAAAACACTGTTTAATGATCTTAGGCAATGCATTGAAAAGGAAAAAAATTGCTGAATAATATACTCCTCTAGCAGAGCTGACTGAGAACACACCCAAGTACTACATAACCTATACTTAAATCTTAGAACAGACCACAGATGACCTGGAAAACCCTTTTCCTCCATATATTTTTATAGCTTTTATGCATAAAGAAGGGAAATCAAATGTTTAATATGCAAGAATAATGTGCCTTTCCATCCCAGCCAAAGTGGAGCTTATATGTTTCACCAGAAGTTCTATCATAATCATATTATCAAGTAAACACCAAATCACAAGTAATATGGAATAAGAAAAATACAAAGATCATTTTGTTTTTGGAAAACAACTAAGCACCAGGAAACTCCTTTTAGAAATATGGAAAAGTCCTTTTCATAGTAGCTAATATTTCTTCTTTAGGCTTTGATATGAAATTTGGTTTATAACCTTTATATAGCCATATTTTTACTCTTTACAAAAAGTAAGTTTTCTAGTATTCACAACACTAACCTTTAACTTCTGCTACTTAAAATAGTTACAATATGTACATCAATTTGTATCCTCTTAGAACATTCTGCATGATAGTTTTAGGTCATTTGAATGAAAAATTGTTCAGAAAAACAGAAATGCCTGATTAGTAGTCAGTGTTCTTTAGGCCAGTAAAAAGAAGATTCCATATACATAATAATTAAAAGTATATTTTTGAGCAGCTCCTAAGCAAACATTTTTCAGAAGATTGAGCACAGATCTGGGGTCTTCACTTTTCATAATGGCTCTGCCAGAAAATCATGTTAGTTTCTACCTTTGCATATTTATAAAAACTGTCAGGACCTAATCAACCATTTATCTCTATGTGCAAAAACGAGAACTGTGTCAGTCAATGAACTCTCAAGCATTATGAGTTCCATAAAATTCTGCCCTCCAAACCCAGGTTCCAGAAGGCCATGTCTATTAGATTAGCTCATGATGCCAAAAACTCTATTGTAGTTCCTGGCTTAATAGAAGGACCAAATTTTATCCAGTTCTCCTATATATCTTTAATAAATGCTCCTGGTTTCTCAGTAGCTTCAAGATGAAAAGTGTATTAATTTGTTCCTACTGCAGCTATTGTCTTTACCTGTTATTCCAGCCTGGAGACCATAATGTGTATATCAAAGAAAGGGTCCTTGTGTAGCTGCTTTTGAAGACTTTCTAGGGTGAAAAACAGTGATGCAGGAAACCAACTGCCCATCCAACACATCCTGATGCAACTAATCAGCCTCAGAGTCTAGTAACTGAATACCTTCGGCATCTAGGCTAATTATGTTGCTGTTGAGAGTGGGCAGGACAATTTTACAGCTTGACATCCTTTTCTGATCTATTCTTAAATTCTTAGAATGAAAGTTTTGTCTTCATAAGTTGCTTCTTCTATCTCTGTGGATCTTTTCTTTGAAATCGGGTTAAGAGGGATAGGAGTTAATGGCAACCCTGTTCCCTTTCCACCAAAGAGCTCTCTTCTCTTCCTACCATTTCTATACCTCTTAAGTGTTTGGGGTAGAAATTAAATCAGCATTAGAAAGAAACTGCAGATATACTGTTTTTGTGCTTGCTACTTTTTAAGACTACTTGGCCTATGTTGACTCTAGGTCCTAATTTCTCCATTAACCTAAGCAAAAAAGAGTCCTATAAGCCTTGTATGTTTCAATCTGATTCACCAGTGTAGGGATCCACATAGGAGGAATATCAAAGCTTCAAAATAATAAAGTATTCCTTTTTGGTTGCGGATGTATCTCCTTTTCTCATGACCACAAGACATTATGAATCTTAGAACTGATAACATTTGTCTCTTTACTTGGGTTACTAGGAATTCCGCTCGGAGCAAAATTTGTGACCAATCTTTTTTTTTTCTTTTTTTGAGATGGAGTCGCGCTCTGTTGCCTCAGCCTCCCGAGTAGCTGGGATCACAGGCGCCCGCAACCACGCCCGGCTAATTTTTTGTATTTTTAGTAGAGACGGTGTCCCACCATCTTGGCCAGGCTGGTCTTGAACTCCTGACCTCATGATCCACCTGCCTTGGCCTCCCAAAGTGCTGGGATTACAGGCATGAGCCATTGTGCCTGGCAATTTTATATATATTTTAAATTATATATATTTATATTATTTTCCTTTTCCTCTGATCTTCTAATTTATTATATTTTTTAGTTTTGATTTTAATATAGTGCTATAAGCTAACAACTCTAACCAGAGAGTTATAACTAATAACAATTATTATTATTATATGTAAAACCATGAGAACCATGCAGTAATCCATAGCACCAACTTCTCAACCACAGAAATGAGAGGATCAAGACTACTATATTACATGGGCTATGTAGACTGGGTTGCAAGGTCCTAAAGGAATTCGGGTAAAATCTATTAAACACAGTTGAATCAGCCTAATATTCTGGATTTTCTATTTTCTTTTCTGTTTCTTTTTTTCTATTTTTTATTTGTTGAGACAGGGTCTCTGTCACCCAGGCTGGAGGGTAGTGAGCCTCTCAGCTTACTGTAGCCTCAACCTCCCGGGCTCAGGTGATCCTCCCATTTCAGCCTCCCAAGTAGCTGGGACTACAGGCATGCACCATCATGCCCAGCTACTTTCTGTATTTTTTGTAGAGATGGTCTCTTGCCATGTTGCCCAGGCTTGTCTCAAACTCCCGGGCTCAAGCGATCCACCCGCCTCCGCCTCCCAAAGTGCTGGGATTGATTACAGCTGTGAGCCATGGTACCCAGCCAATTTTCTATTTTCTATTGTAACTTACACTTTGAGCATACATTAGAAAACACACAGCAAGTCTCAAAGATTCATGGCAATAAATAAAGAACTCTCGTTCTCCAGCTTGTTTGGCTATCTGACATTATCTTATTTTTTTGAGCACTGATTAGAAAATTCTTCCAGGATCATTTGAACTTATTCACTGTATTACTTCTAATTAAGTTTCAAGAAAAGTTTTGGGATCGCAAATGACCAAGCCAAAAACGCTTATGGATTGTTATCTAGTCCTTGACTGTCAAATTAATTTTAACTAGTTGGAAAGTTTTCTTTCAAATCTTATTTATAAGACCATTCAATATGCATGATATGCATAGTATTAAATTATGTAAAATATATACTAAGGCAGGAAGCTGGTTTGATAAAAGAAAGGTATATTCTTTTAAATCCTTTAAATTGGGGTGGCTCACACATAACAGACACCTGGGCATCACTGGAAAAAAGAACATTTAAACTATTACACATTTAGAAAAAGCATCAAAGTTAATTTAAAGAACACAGACATAATACCATACTGTTCCAATAGTAACACCTATTCTTTGTTAACTGGAAAATACTAAAGTCTTGCTTACAATATTCAATCTTTTTTTTTTTTTTTTTTTTTTTTTTTTTTTTTGAGACAGGATCTCACTCTGTCATCCAGCCTGGGGTGCAGTGATGCGATCTCGGCTCACTGCAACCTCCGCTTCCTGGGCTCAAGTGATCCTCCCACTCAAGCAATCCTCCCACCTCAGCCTCCCAAGTAGCTAGGACTACAGGCACGCACCACCATGCCCAGCTAATTTTTGTATTTTTTGTAGAGAAGGGGTTTCACCATGTTGCCCAGGCTGGTCTCGAACTCCTGACCTCAAGTGATCTGCTCACCTTGGACTCCCAAAGTGCTGGGATTACAGGAGCGAGCCACCACGCCCGGCCACATTACTCAGTCTTAACTCCAATCACCTCACCTTTTATGATTTATTATTAAATTCCATAGGTTATATAATAGAAGCTGTTAGAATAGATTTTTAAAATGTAGACGCTTCTGCTCTAATATGACACACGCATTCATGAAAAATCTCTTTCCGCAAAATTGCACACTAAAAATAGCAGGCATATGGGAAAAATTGGGTTAGAGGCAGACGATTCAAAGACAGGGCATTAAAACAAAAAGAAAAAATTCTAATAAAATGCTAGCACAATATTTTAAACACATGGCAAATTCCTAGCAAAGAAATACTGGAGTAAATGTAAGATTTTATCTTTTTAAAAACTTGAAAAAATAAGGAAAGCTTATCAGTTGAGACTGTTGAGTTAGAGAAACAGGAGGCCAGTGTAGGAAGAACAGGCAGAAACACATAATAAGGGCTCCTATGATGCTGCACGTGGCCAAACTGAGCAAAAAATAGAATGTGGGGTGAACGGTCATCATGTGCAGTCCAATTTTCCTTTGCTCCTCAGCTATGCTGATGTTGTTTGACTCCCACTGCTATATTATTTAATATCACAAAATAACAATCAAATAGAAGATAATTTGTGTTGCAGAAGCAAGTTTGTAACAGAGCAAACTATACCAAAACTTTATATTATCATAGTTTTTCTAGATTTATGTTGAAAGAATGGAAATATAAAATACTCCACCAAACCAACTCACTACTGACAAGAAGGAGGAGAACTTCTCTCAGTATGGGAAGAGAATATGATTACAATAATATGTTTGGTACATAGTAGTGCTCAGTAAATGTCAGCAGCAGTTGCTCCTACTACTACCACTACATCTGTGGCTACTACTTCTACTAGTAAAGATAGAAATTAAAATAGCTCTGAGGTAGACACCTGTGGCGTACCCACTATCCATTACTCTCTGCTTTCTTGCTAATAGAAGTTCGATATTTTGCTTACGAATCTACCTCTCAGGAGGGGTGACCCTAACCCCATTTTAGGGCAAATCACTATTAATCTAAACCAATTCTGGTAATCTCATTCCTTTTGTCAATGGCTGCTTTAAGGGTGGCCACAGTGACCTCCTGGCAAATAAAACTTGAAGAAATTTTTTTTTAATTTTAATTTTTTTATTTCAATAGGTTTTTGGTGAACAGGTGCTGTTTGGTTACATGCCTAAGTTCTTTAGTGATGATTTCTGAGATTCTGCAGCGGACACTGCACCCAGTGTGTAGTATTTTATCCCTCACTCCCCTTCCACCCTTTCCCCCAAGCCCTCAAAGTCCATTGCATCATTCTTATGCCTTTGCATCCTCATAGCTTAGCTCCCACTTATGGCTGAGAGCATGTGATGTTTGAAAACCTGAAAAAAATTTGCTGAGGAGCAGGGGAGGAGATCCGGGGACAACTTTCGTAATACTTCAGAAACAACACTGGAACAGTTTATCTTTTCTCTTCCTCTCAATATCATCAGGGCAGAAGTACCTTAGGTGCTTGGATGCTCTACTTATCTTTTTATGTTCCCCTCTCTCATAGAATTTGACCTCCTGGCATCCCCTTCATTATTTTGTCAGTTCTTTGCTAATTTTTAAATGATTAAAAAAAAAATCTTACTGAGCAATTAAAAAAAATTTTGTCAGAATAACCTAGTCTATCATGACCAAAAATGGAAGTCTCTCTACATTTATTTATGTATTTATTCATTTTTTAATTTAATTTTAAAAATTTATTTATTTTGAGTCAGGGTCTCACTGTCACCCAGGCTGTAGTGTGGTGGTGTGATCATAGCTCACTGCAGCCTCAGACTCCTGGGTTCAAGTGATACTCCCACCTCAACCTCCTGAGTAATTGGTATTACAGGTGTGAACCCTTTATGAGCTAACAGTGATTTGTTTTGAGAATTTTACACATAAAATTTACAATCTTCTTTATAACGAGAATTTTTCTGTTGCATAGCTAGACTGTCGAGCTCTGTACCGTCCTATATGGTTGCCACCAGCCACATGGGGCTGTTCAAATTAAAACTAATTAAACTTAGAATTTCTGTTCTTCAGCTGCACTAGCAACATTTCAAGTCCTTAATAGCTAATTTGGCTAGTGGCTATCGGGCTGGACAGTGCACACATACAATATTTTCATCACTGAAGAAAGTTCTATTAGACAGTGCTAGTGTAGATTAGGTATTTGGTAAATTTTTATATATTAGATTACATTAAAGCAAGCCCCAGCTTAAACAAAATTACATTCAGACAACTTTATTAACTTGGATAGCATGAAAATACATTTTAGTATGACAGCAGAATTGCCTCAAGTTCTGAGCTAGTAGAGTCAATATTAATGAAGAAAACATAAATATATATGTATCCATAATATAGTTATGTTAACTGTATCTCCTTATAATCTGCTGAAAGATGAAACAGAAGACAAAGACAGTAATAGAAATCTCAACCCACCAATAGTAAGTTCTACAATCTGAACATCTAACATATAACTCATGAATAAAATGCAACAAGCTGAGATGTTTGGCATTTTTTTCCTGTTACCATTATTCACATTACAGTATATAATACATATATCATTAGGGTCTAAATGTACGCCCAACCCTGCAATTATATAATAATGGAATGAGTTGGGAATTGAGAGGTGGGTTTGATTTTTTCTCACTTCTACCTAAAAGTGTGATATATTGTAGATAGGTATTCAGTTCTTCTACCCTTATATAAAACTTCCATTCTTCTGAGATTCACACCGTTCATCCAAATCACTATCTGGCTTCACCCCTATCTGGTTTAATAAATAAGGGTCACTTTTTCTCTCTCTCTCTCTCTCTCTCTCTTTTTTTTTTTTTTTTTTTTTTTTGCTTAAGACAAGTTTTCACCATGTTGCCCAGGATGGTCTTGAACTCCTGGACTCAAGAGATCTGCCTGCCTCAGCCTCCCAAAGTGCAGGGATTACAGGCCTGAGCCACTGTGCCTTGCTTTCTCATTTATTAAGGAGTTTGATAGCCTGTTCACAGTATTACCCTATATTTTAAGTTCCAGTAGCATCCTGAGTGACTTTAATATCCATATGTTAAAGGTCCCCCTCTCAAGACTTAAGTTCTTTGAACTCCTTTACCTCCAGTCAAGTTAGGCACACACTCCCATGGCCACACTCCAGATTTGTCATCATTGAGAATATTCTCACTTGTCATATCTTTAATTCAAATACATTTCATTCTCTGATCTCCTCACCTTCTATCTCTCTCACCCTGTATTTCCTACTATTCTGGTTCTTTGATTTTTATGGCTTTTTAAGTTAGGTCCTTAATTTATTCCCTGTTAGCCCTCTTTGGACTCCACTGTTATTCCTAGCGCAGAGCCCATGGCTCAGCACTTCAATCATTCTTACCAATATCCTTACGTTTTTCTTGATTTATTGTTCTGTTGTAATCTTGTCTTTCACCAATCCATTCTCATCTAAAGCATCAATCTGAGGCTCTTTCAATGGTTTCAAATGTCCCAAGATAAAGATCACACTTCTTAGCCTCTAGGCCTTGCACTTAATTTTCCTTCTAAGATGCTCTCATTTTCACTTTTTTCTGGTCTCCTTAGATTTGCCCTTCATGTCTCTAGCTTCCTGTGGGACAAAGTCCTTAAGTCCCTAATTAGGTTAGGTGCCATTCTATGCACTTCTATAGCATCCCATACTGAATCCCATCATATCACTTACCACTCTGTATTATAATTGTCTGTACCTAAGTGATTTCCCAATAAATTTATAAGCTCTTTGAGGGCAGAGATTGTCTTTCTCACCCAAGCATGGTCTAATATACAATAGGCATTCAATTATTTTTTAAACAAATGAATAAATAATACTGGTAACTCTAAAAGATCATCATAATTGAAGCTACATGTAATTATTCCAAAATACTCCAAAATACAATTTTAATAGAATTAAATATGACAAATCAACTATATAGGTGATAGAAGGGCAGAAAATAGAGTAGGGTAAGGAAGATTAGGAGTCCTAGAGTTGTAGGGAGTGGAGAGGGTTGCAATTTTAAGTTCAGTACTCAGAATGGTCTCATTGAAAAGGTGACAGTTGAGTAAAGGTGAGGCGAGAGAGTTAACCACACAGATATTTTGGGAGAAGAGTACACAAGGCAAAGGGAATAGTCACTGCAAAAGCCCGAAGGTAGGAGCATGTCAGGCATGTTTAAGGAAGGGGACCTATGTTGCTGGAGCAGAGATAACGAGAAAGAAAATAGTAAGAGATGAGTTCAGAGAAGTAATGAAAGCCAGATTGTGTAGACCTTGCAGGCCATTGTAACGACTTTGGATTTAAGTAAAATGGGGAGCCATTGAGGGGTTTTGAGTAAAAGATAATCTGATTCACTCTGCCTCCTATATCGAGGACTGGATAGCAAAGGGGAATCCTCATAAAAGGCTATTAGAGTAATCCTGTGAAAGATAATGGTAACTTAGACCAGAGCAGCAGTAGTGAAGTTAGGCAGCACCTACCATATACTTTGAAGGCAAAACTAATGGGATTTCCTGAGGAATTGGATATAAGCTATGAGACAGAAAAAGGTGTCAAGAAAGACTCCAGGATTTTTGGTGTAAGCCAAATGGAGTTACATCTGAGATGGGAAAAACTGCTGGAAGAACGAGTAGAGAAAATGTTTTGGGGATAACAGTTGGACATGTTAAACATTAGATGTCCATTAAAAGTCTATTTAAATATAAGATATGAACCTGGAATTCATGAAAGAAGTACAGGCTGAAGATATAAATTTTGGGTCAAATGGCAAATAAATGGTACAAAAGCAATGGAACCAGATAAGATCACCAAAGAAAGGAGTATTGGTAGAGCAGAGACACAGGCCACTGACTAACTCTTGGGTACTCTAACATTGAGGTCAGAGTAAAGAGTAGTAGGAGCTGGCCGGGCATGATGGCTCACACCTGTAATCCCAGCACTTTGGGAGGCCGAGGCGGGTGGATCACCTGAGGTCAGGAGTTCGAGACCAGTCTGGCCAATGTGGTGAAACCCCAGTCTCTACTAAAAAGTGTATATATATATATATATAAAATTAGCCAGGTGTGGTGGCACACACCTGTAATACAGCTACTCGGGAGGCCAAGGCAGGAGAATTGCTTGAATCCAGGAGACAGAGGTTACAGTGAGCCAAGATGGCGCCACTGCACTCCAGCCTGGCCTGGCCAACAGAACAAGGCTCTGTCTCAAACAAACAAACAAACAAACAAACAAACAAACAAAAAGAGTAGGAGCCAATGAAGGAGGAAGAGGAGTAAGCATTAATGTAAAAGAACAACTAAAATGTTGTAGTTTCCCGGAAGCCTATTGAAAGTGAAGTAGTAAGCTGAAGACTTAGAATTGACTATTAGATTTAACAGCATGGAAATCACCTGTGACTTAACAAGAGTATTTCCATAGAATGATCAAGGCAAAAACCTGATAGGAGCAATTCTAGAAAAAATAATGTGAAGAGAGGAAATGGATTCAGTAAGTACAGACAAGTCTTTTGAGAAATTTTGTTTCAATGGGAAACAAGGCAATGGGAAAATAACTAGCATGGTTTTTTGGTTTGTTTGTTTACAGATAGGAGAATGTTTGTATGTTTATGAAAAAAATTCAGAAGTGAACAATCATCTGCATATTTATAAAATCACCAAGAATTAAGACAGTAGTAGAGGTGGAAAGCATGAAAATGTTAACAGTCTAATGACATTAATTAAAAGCTGTGGTTTTTAGATAGGGGGAGGAAGAGTGATCTGGAGGAGTAATGAGATATAAACATTGTCAATCCACTTTGAGGCTCAGTCATTCAAGGGCTAAGAGAGAAAACAAAAGCCTACCCAGTTTGAAGACTATAGGAGAAGCAATATCTTCAGAGGAAGAGCTAGTTTCCATTAAAGTAAGAAGGTGAAAGGAAGGAAAATTCAGAGAAGTGAGTATTAGGGGTTTTGAATTCCTGAAAGTACAGAAGAAGTTTCAGTAGTTGGGCAGGGATACAAAACAGAACAGAGGAGGAAATATACAGCATCTTATCTATTGGATGAGGGATAATGTAGGAGTCTGGGGCTTCTTGCAGTGGCAAACATAAAATGGAATAAAGGGCATAATAAGATTAATTCTGTGGAGTCAAGAAAGATAGTGGTGTTGAAGTTGTGAGTGTGTGGGGCAGGGCAGTTCAGGGTGTGTGTGCCTCTCTTGATATCTGTTGGGGAAGAATATACTTGTTCCCAGTACTGGAGCTCCCCCTTGACCCTTATTAATGGAATTGATGGAGCTGAGGCCAGCTCCATTCATTATTAACAATTTAGAAAATTAATGTGACCTTCACACACATGTATTTCTTATCAAATAGTTTAAAATTAAAAAAATTTCCCTACTCTAGGGAAAGAGTAAGCTAATTTTTCATAACAGAGTTTGGTTTTACTTACATCTGTGTTACAGGAGCGATACCGTTTCCTTTCCCCAAGGCAATATTTTCCACCTCCTGAAGGTCTGAAAAAACATTGTGTTTAAAATGTGAATACTAATACATCTGTCCATACAAAGAGTATATATATTACTTGATGAAAACATACTAAAGTTTACTTTCAAAAAATATATCATTTGACATGTTTTAATTATTAAAGTAATCATGCTGGTGATTGTTAGCAATAATTATGGTTGTTGAACATAAAAATTAAGGCAGTTTATTATTAATTTTATTAATAGTACTATTAATTTTGTATTAATTTACTAGTAATTTATAAGATTCTTAATTGTCATGATTTACATTCTCAAGAAAATCAATTGAATCAATATATTTTCTAATTATCATAGTAAAAATCACTTATTTATAATGAAAAGCCATTTAAATCATATTCAACAAAATCCATAATCTGATGCTATATGTTCACCAACTAGGAAATGGAAAGTTTGTTTTTACTCCAGACAGGAAGCAAGGAGACATGAAATAACTCCTTGGAAATAGCTTTCATTCAAAGTGAATAATGCAAAAACAAATTTCCATCTTATTTCAAAATAGTCCATGAAGTTTAAAAATTTAAATCTAAAAATCAGATGGCTTTGCATTATATAAATACTAAATATTTTATATTTCACCAAAATTAATGAAACAGTAAGACGTCAAATATTTGACTAATATAAGTTAATCTTTAAAGGATTTAACATTAGGGAAAACCATTGCTATTATTTGGGCATACTACCATTGAGTGATAAAAACAACTAATTTCTTCTTTTAAAAGAGGTCCAGTTTTTTCCCTTAAGTATCTGGGTATATTATTTATCACAGGGTTTTTTATACTTTGATTAATTTATAGCAGCTTTCAGTTGAACTTACGTTAGTTATTCTGTAATTTTTTTAAAAAGATCAAGTCTAAATTATAATTTTGGCTCACTGGTATCAATGGGATCATTAAAGCTACATTTTGAATATATTTTGAATGCCAGTGAATGCTGACTCTAAGTAAGGAAGGGAAATGGCTCAGCTTGAACCAGCTTGAGAGAAATGGGTTGGTCAGACAAAAACAAGATAGTGGGGATGGTGGTAGCATGACTGGTTTATGAATGGGTAACAGGAAGCTCTGTTTAGCAAGAGAGGAATAATTGATAGGAAGTGGGAGAATGGAAACACAGAACTAACATAAAGCAAAACAAGCTAAAAAGAGTAAAAGAAAAGAAAAAAGACAGTTGGAGACAGGAACCAAAGAGAGGGATCCTGAGTTAAAAATGGAGAAAAACTAAAAAATAAAAATAGACCATCTTTTATTTCAGAATGAGAAAAAAAAAAGGAAAAGCCGTTATCATAACATCATTCTCCATCAAATACTAGCTGGGAAAGAAGGTCCTCAACCAGCGTTCTAGACAAAAATGGGCACTTGACATGCGGCAGCCAAAGAACAGTTTAGTCTCAGGGAGGACAAGAAAGTACAACTAGAGGAACCGTTCACCTGTAATGGGCATGGAGCACTGGTAGGAGGGAGAAGCAACAGAGCTAGCAAAGAATACTGATGGTGCTGGCCTTGTGCCAGGGGGACTCTGGCTGGAGAAAACAGTGGTGGAAGAGGTGCAGTCTGACCTGCATAAAACAGTCATGGGGAGAAAAGTGGTGGCAGCTCCGGAAGATGATTAATGGGGGCATATGAATGGAAACTATTTTAACACATGGGCAGTATTCTTTTCATTGTGATTTGTGATGCGAATCAAGGCATTTCAACCCTTGAAGTGCTCTCATTGGTCCTTTTAATACTGATGTAGCAGTAATAATTTTATGTGACATGTGAAAAGACCTTAGGTTTCCTGGGAATAATAGTAATGTAGCTAAGACCAGATCTGGATTCATCCATAATTCAGTAGTTTTTGGAGGAGGAAATCTGATTATTATTAGATTAAAAGTCTGGCTTATCTGGGACAGATACACAATACTTTCTATTTTTTACATTTTATTTTTGGTTACACAATAAGGGGAAAGGAAGAAGAAGAAAGTCTGTCTAACAAAGCTCCTCCACTTTCCTGTGCCTATGGCTTGTTCTGAAGACAAGTACTTGGCTCACTAGCGAAACGTTTTTACAGATAACATGTGAAACCACAGCTTTGAATCATTTCCAACTGTGTCTTTTTGTTGGCTCCGGCTTACTTTAGCTACTTACGCTGGACTGTCACAGTGTCTTAGGGATGAGGAGACGCCTCCCCCGCAGGTCCTGCTGCACTCTCCCCATAGTGACCAGGGACCCCAGCCCCCATCTATGCTCTGGGGCCAAGTGCCAAAAGGAACACAATCTCCCTGATAACACCACTGCAAGATTTCACAGAAAACACAGAATTAGCTTTTAGGCAGATAGAGCTATCAGGATAGAAATACATAAGGGTCAGGTACTGACCAACTATAGGCATTAGCATTCTCCCAATTGATAACAGACAGATAGTTCTCTAACTGTGTTTAGACACTGGTGAATGTGCATGTGACTTGCGAATTATCTTAGCTAGACCATGATTTATAAGCCTCTAACCTGTATTGGGAGTTCTAAAAAAAAGTCACATTGCTTCTTTTCCCTTGTTTCTATTCCTCTTGACTTTTAGTGTTTCTCATTATAGAGCTAGCTATAGACCTCAAAGTCTTTTTTAGATATTTTAGTATTTTATTTAAAATTTTTCTTTATATTTCACTATTATTAGACTCATGGAATGATAACGCAATATGGAAGGTTCCCCAGTAAGGAATTTTTATGATGGTAATTGCTCTTTCTTAAAAAAAAAAAAAAAAAAGCCGGTTGAGGCTACAATAGTAAAAGAATGTGTTGTGGCATTTCATCTACATGAGCACTGCAGACATAATAAAAGTAATGCCAAGACATTAGGGACTGGGTACAAAAAAACCCTTGTATACACTGACTAGCCATGTGTATGGCCCCCACATGAACATATGTACTGGAATTCTGCTCAGCTCTACTCTCCGTAATAAACCACACATACTGCACCTAAGTAGAAAGCCAGGAATAATTTATTGAGACACAGACATCACAAAATCAACTCATAACTCTAGCATGATAAATCTTATTTGCAGAATATGGCAAAATGAAAGTCTTTTTTAAACCAAGCATTTGTAGACTTTTGTTGATGCATTTTTCAAATTATCAAACTTTGACACACCAAAATAATGCTACTATGAAAGTCATTTGTTTATATGAATAACAATAAGGAACATGGTTATCAGCAAAGTTGAACAAATGTCATCAATGTTAGGTTGTTTAATAAAAATTCAACCTTATATTAAAATGAAAAGGGATCATGATGTGGTACTTAGAAAGTGATCAGTTTATTATACTAATTCTATCACCAAGCTTTGTTGGTTTTATCTCCAGAATATCCCTGGAATTCTTTTACTTTTCACCTTCTTCATCGCTATACTCTAGATCAAACTGGCAAATGGAGTAGCTTCTTACCTGATCATTGTGCTTCTACTTTTTTCTCCTAGAATCTATTTTCCAGAGAGCATTTAGAAAGATCTTTTAAAAACATGCTATCACATTATGCCACCTTTTTGCTTAAAAAAACTCAGTGGTTTCCTATTTCCATAACACTGATCAACAGTAGATTTAGTGATCTAGCCCCTGCCTCCTTCCTCAGCCCCATTCTCTCTCTTACACAGATTACTCCAGACACATTGGATTTCCACCTTCATACACTAATCTTGTTCCTCCTTAGAGCATCTGAATTTACTGGTCCTTCTAGTAATGCTTTGTTCCCAATTCCTTCTACTGCTGTCTTCTCATCTTTCAGTCTCAGGTCAAGTGTCATTTCAACAGAGAGATCTTTCCTTGACCATCCTCATTCTAAAATGATACCTCAATACCCTTTCCTGCTCCCAGACCATGTAACAGTGATTCTGTCCTACTGCTTTAGTTCCCTCTTACCACTTACCACTACTTTAAATTGCCCTGTTTACTTATCAAATTACTTCTTTGTAATGTAAAAGCCTCAAGAGTCACTTGTGGCTATTTAAATTTAAATTAATTGAAGAATTCAGTTCCTCAGACCCACTAGCCACAGGTAGCTAGTGGCTACTATGTTGGACAGAGCAGATGCAGAACATTTGCATCACCACAAAACGTTTTATTGGAAACAATGAATGCCTAGAATAGCACTTGGCATGTAGTGTGTATGTAACAAAAATTTATTAGATTAATTAATTGGCACATAGTATGTATGCAACAAAAATTAATTAGATTAATTAATAAGTAGTTAAATTAAGGAATTGTGTCCTATTTTGGTTATCACATGGCAGGAAGGAACTGGAGATACTGGAGGGTAAAGAAACCAAATTC
Organism: Homo sapiens; assembly: GCF_000001405.40. Lineage (NCBI taxonomy): Eukaryota > Metazoa > Chordata > Mammalia > Primates > Hominidae > Homo > Homo sapiens. The sequence continues at coordinate 65,264,992 of NC_000005.10, forward strand.
ATATTTGTTTCCTAGTAGATGGTACCAAATTGACAATCAATGAGCTGTGCTAGTTGTAACAGCATAACGGACTTTTTAGAGCAGTGCTGAGCAATTATTTGTCTATAAAAAATTAGGCAAGAGGAAGTTAACATTTCCTTGGCTGTAGGGAAGAATATCTGACCCTAAGTCTGATATATATTAAAACAGGATATTAAGAAAGATTATTGAGTTTTGAGCAATAAAAATTATCATGAAGAAAAAAAGATCATCTGTTCAGAATGATGAAGAAGAGGCAGCTGGCTAAACCAATAATATAGTATCAACCCTGTGATCAGGGTTACTGATAATGTATACTTGAGAAGGAGAAAATGTTCCACTTGAAAACTTACGACTTAGCTAGTTGGTCTTGAAGAACAATTTTTATAGTGATATGTTAATTGCATCAGATCTGCACCTATACAAAAGTCACAACATCTGGCCAAATAATCTCCAGTTTTGTGGTTTTCTTACTACAAGTAACTGTGTGTAAAAATATTTATGTTTGCACCCAGTTTTCCTATGCAAATAACTGAGCAGTATAGTCCTGGCCAGCAATTAACTGCTTTTTTTTTTCCCTGTCTGCAATTAATGAGAACTGACACTTTCAGAAACTTCAAATCTTAAAACATGCCTATTTTTTCAAATTGGAAACTTAGCATTATTGATTTCAAATAACATTAAAGCTTGATTTTACATTTATTTTATATAATCACAGAGTTGAATCTAAAGCTCAAAGGAACTTCAGAATTCATAAGGCCTAAGCACTTCAGTTTTTCAGATGAGGACACCAGAACCTAAAGGAATTGACTTGCCCAAGATCACATACTAGTAGAAAAGGGATTATCTGTCTAAAATACGTAAAAAAATTAGTGGTAAAAAAAAATCCATTGGAGGTGTATGATTATGTATTTGAAGACATTAAAGAATAACATGCTTTACTGGATTTTTATAACTACATAAAATACAAAATAATACTAGAGTTTTTTTTTTAAACACAGCTGTAGATACACGTTATTTCAGACCTCTTTGTATATACCTATGATTTGTAGAGAAAAAATAGTCAGGTTTTTTCATTTGTCAGGTGACAAAAGAATTGTGAGAGCTACAAGAATACTTAAAGATGTAGGTTCCAAAGTATTTATTAATATTATTACACATTTCTAGAATGCTCACAAAATGTAGGGCAGTGAGAAAAGTCACATGAACTAAAGTCATTCTTTAGGTAAATGATAAATACAATATTCACTTCGTAAAATGCTGCTCAGTGTTCATCACTAAAGTCTACACAACAGTAGTATTTCATAAATGGTTTGCTAAAAGGCCTTATACTGCATAAATTCATGCTTTGGTTATATCTATTCCATGGAGCTATATCATAATAGGTAATTTTATCAGAAAGTTAAGTAACAAACATTAATGGGTAAATAATTTGTAATATAAGTATCAGTCACCTAGCAGTTGACAAGAGTGTAGTCTCTAATTTAATACTAGTTAACAACTTAGTTAACTAGCTAACAAGTTAACAACTTTGGTCTGTGTAGGACTTTATGTTACAAACTTCAGTTCTAGCAATATCTTTGATCCAAAGCAAGTCACTTTTCTTTCTTCTCTTTTGTTTCCTTAACTATAAAATGGAAACTAATTTTAGTTCTTGATTCCAATATGGTTTAGATTAGGGAAACTTTTAAAATAGTTCAACGCATACATACCTTCAAAAAAGTTAAAAACCTACGGAACAACTTGTTTGATTTTGATCTCTGCAGAAGTGTTCGTGTTTTGTTTTCCTCCTTTGTTATTTATAAAAATGGATCTCTTTATAATTATGGCTACTTTTCTCCTTTGGTAGTAGTAAACATCAATGTAGTATATGATTTTAAGAGAAGAAACTTATTTAATTAACAAAAGGGCTTTAAGAAGCCCATGGGGACTTCATGTGGATCAAGTGATTTGAATGACTCTTCTAGCTGATTGCATTAATCAATATAAATTAAGAGTTTAATGTGTGTAAATAATGAGTAGAATAATTAGATTACACCAAATAAAGCAACTTGGAATATATAAATCTTATAACCACATAATAATGAGATTCTGAGTGTTGTGCCATCTGTTTTTACTCTTTCTTTTACCTGAAGTTACCAAACCTGTAAAAGCTCTATTTACAGAGAGATAGAATTTTACTTTACGTTTTAAACTAGAAAAGTTAAATATGTAGATGCAAACAAGTTTCTAATCTTTATTTTCAAAGGTTATCCAATCTAGTGATTTTGGACTATTCTAAATAACAGTCATGTTACTTTAGTCTAAATTATCCGGATAAATTGGATAAATTTGGCCTTCTTCTTGCTAATTGGGGTATGTTTAACCACATTCATAAAGGTTAAAGAAGTGAAGCCATCATATTTTTTTCCAAGAATAAAATCTTATATTGTTCATTATTGCTTTTCACATTTCTTCTAAATTAAATAAATGTTTTCAACACAATCTAGAAAGATGGTATATTCCAGTCAGGCTTTAAGAGCCTTCTTTAGAAACACTACTTATTATTAAACAACATCTCTTGCTATTATACTACTAAATATTATGATCTACATCAAGGGACTTTAAGAAAGATACATTATAAATCAAATAATTTAACTTTGAAAATTTGTCACATTTCCATGAAGGAAAACTTCAAGATGAGTATATGCAGTATTTAAAAAAAATTTTTTTCTAGATGTGATTATGGTATACCTTTTAATATCCAGTACTGGGTCCAGGCAGCATTTGGAATAAGAGACCTCTAAGGAAATTCTAAGATTTTGCAGGAAGTAATATTAGTGATTCAATACAGAACATTCTTCCCAAGTCAGAAGAGCTGAGTGTTGGAGCACAGCACTATTAAAAGCCTTATCTTTCCACTGTGCAGGTGCAGGAATGCTAAAGCTACATTTCAGCCCAAATTCTAAATCAGAAGTTGTCATCCCATACTATTTAGATTTCTACAGCAATTGGAAGAACTATTCTTTCTTCACTTCCTGTGTTTATAGTTTGGGAACCAGTCAAAACATACTGTATTCTACCCTAAGTAAATTAAGAACTAAGGCTGCAAACGTCCTATTATATATCCAGTGCTTTAGAAGGGCATTTAATAATACTATTCTAATCCAGCCCTGTGTTTCCTATGGAAAGATATTAGGAATCAATGTCACTTACATGTAAACCCAAATACTGGGCTATATCTCTAATTGGGTCTTGTAGAGTCATTAAATCAATCTATTGGCTATAAGCCAGTATTTGAAGCCTTCTTTGTGGTCACCAACAGGGATTACAAGGATTGGGTTTTGATTATCCTTAATATCCTGTTCAGTAACAATGCCAACACTACTATCAAAGTTTTTACAATCTAAATCCTTATTTACTATTTCGTCAATTATGGCATTGCTCTGATTCCTGTCCAAAGGGCTATTGCTGATGCTGTATCCAAGGAAAGCTCTCTGGCTGAAAGTTATATTAATTGATTTGTAGGAGACTGACCCATAGACACACAGTACCAGCGCACCGTCTGGGCTCATCAAATTTCCTCCTTTGGTTAATGCTACTGTCCCTGAGCACATCCATTCAGACCATATGGTTCTTATTCAATCCTTGAATGGCTTATTCAGGCGAACATCCAATGGCTGTAATAGCGATGTCAGACCCCCCAGGACTCACGCAAAGATCAGTTTTTAATTTTTTGGCCATATTTCTTACTCCATCTGTTAAATGTGCATGGAACAGTTCCCATACTTACATGGAACATTTGTGGAACTGCGCCCCTGGGCAGGGATCCCATATCTTTTGCAGCCAGAGTTTGACGAGATCATCATGGATTCAATCCTCTGGATATGTCTATGCTATCACTCGAGCAGTATTTCTACCCCCTCCCTTTTAAAAAAAGATTTATTCAGAAAACTATGAGCAGCTTTGGTTTTATTCTGCTGGCTAGACAGTGTATAGGTTCTTTCCTGTTCCTTCTGGTGAGAGTAGTTTTGAAACTCAGAGTTAAGACCAGAGGTTGTGAATATTTCATCCATTTCTCGGAGACACACAAACTCATGCTTATACTCTCTACTGCCAGCTAAGGCAGTCTGCCAAAGAATTTTCTGCCCACCATCATTTAAGGTTGGCAAATAACAATGAAAAGTATTGATGATACTCTAGTAATATGTTAGCACTTTCCCTCTGAGGAGGCCCGCAAAAAGCTCACTGAAATATTATCTAATTCTATCCTTATATTATCTCTACGAAATATATAGAAATTGGTTGTCTCCCATTTTAGAGATTCATTATTTTACCAATTGTCACACAATCATATATGCTTAGCTCAATGTTCTACTCACATTGCTTTCTTATTGTGATTCCTAAAAGGAAACACTGTTTACAGGTAGAAAAATGAAAAATCTGTTTAGTACTAAAGGGCGAAATACACTGTCACCACCTAGATTAGGCTTAGTGACCCACTTGATTCCCGTGACAATGAAAAATTGCTTTTTTACTTTGCAAAATTTCTCATGTGAAGATAAAGTAAAATTAGAGTCAGCATAGAGAGGCAAAGATTTCAACTCTGAAATTAGAAAGACCTGGGCTGAAATGTCAGCTATGCCATTAAATTACTGTTCAATTTAGGGCTAGTAAGTCTTATTTTTCTCTTCTGTAAAATGGAGTTAAAACTGTACCTACCTCATATGATTTCTCTTAATATTAAACATAAGAATGATTGTAAAGTACTTAGCAACATGTGATGGGCATAGTGTAAGTACTTTTTTTTTTTTTTTTTTTGAGATGGAGTCTTGCTCTGTTGCCCAGGCTGGAGGGCAATGGCGTGCAATCTTGTCTCACTGCAACCTCCGCCTCCTGGGTTCAAGTGATCCTCCTGTCTCAGGCTCCTGAGTAGCTGGGACTACAGGTGCCTGCCACCATGCCCGGCTAATTTTTGTATTTTTAGTAGAGACAGGGTTTCACCATGTTGGCCAGGCTAGTCTTGAACTCCTGACCTAAGGTGATCAGCCCACCTAGGCTTCCCAAAGTGCTGGGATTGTAGGCATAAGCCACCAGGCCCGGCCGTAAGTACTTCTTAAATATTCATCATCTTTGTCATTATTGTTACTGGGATGTCAATTATTTTTAGATGGCAAGTATACAAACTAACCACAGAAAGTTGACCAGATTAATTGAAAATTCCACTTTAATTTTGTCAATAGCTCTTTGCAGGGCTGTTTTGCTCTGGGTCAAAATTCTGAGGTCTGGTTTACTTTCCAAATATTATAGCCCTAAGGGCAAAATCTCCATTTGGCAACAGTAAATATTCTTCCTTCTTAAGGAGAAAAAAATAACAAAAATTAACAACAAAAATTCATACAAGAGGTAACATGGTCAATACAGTTAGTAAAAGATAAAAAATAAAGAAGTGTTTTGCTCACGTGTCTAGTTCTTTTTGTTTGTTTTTTCTTAAAAATGCAGGCTGATTTAGTTTTCTGAAAGCTTCTTCATAAGTTCAAAGTTAATAAGGTTATTCTGAGGACCATCTACTGCTCTATCCTTTTCCTTTCTAGGAATCTGCATTTGTATTTTTTTCATTCATTTATTCATTCTTTTTAAGACTTATTAGTGTCATTCCTAAAACTTTATCTATCTTCCAGGTCTCTGGAAAAACAACAAAGATTTGTTTTGTAGATAAGTTTTAGACAGTGATATCCGCTATATTGGCCTTATGATAGTACACTCTTATGTTGTGAATATAAATGACCCCTTGACATATAAACTTTGCCATATTTACAAGGTTTTTAAATAGTTTTTCATGGAGGCCTTTGGAGGTATGTCAGAAGCTGGCAAAGGTCCAAAGACAGGGTAAAGGGCAGGCAAGAGGCTTTTTAAACCAGAGCATTTCCATTTTTTTCAAATGTATATATATTAGAATTCTATAGACTTCATTTAAAGAAAGGGTTTATGGATCAAAAAGTTGATGATTAACCTAGATTAAGAAGGTGAATCTTTAGAAATCAAATATATTTTGCCCCATTTTATCACTTTCTCTTGTCTGTGATCATTCTTATTTGTGCTTAGAAGTAATTATATTTGGCTGGGCACGGTGGCTCACACCTATAATCCCAGCACTTTGGGAGGCCGAGGTGGGCGGATCACAAGGTCAGGAGATGGAGACCAGCCTGGCCAAAGTGGTGAAACCCCATCTCTACTAAAAATACAAAAATTAGCTGGGCATGGTGGTATGTGCCTGTAATCCCAGCTACTCAGGCAGCAGAATTGCTTAAATCCAGGAGGTGAAGGTTGCAGTGAGCCGAGATAGTGCCACTGCACTCCAGCCTGGTGACAGAGCTATACTCCGTCTAAAAAAAAAAAAAAAAAAAAAACACAAATTACATTTCCTCTCTATTTGCTTATTGAAATTTAAATTCAATACCATTAGCTTTAAAATTGTCTGAGAGTATTTCTAGTTATCCCTCAAATTGTAATTTCCAAGAAATTTATCATCTCTATCATATATACGCACATATATGCTATAAGATATGACATTTGATGGCCCTGCTTTAAGCACAAATGATCAGTATTAAATACGTATTTACAATATAATTTACTGGTGGAGCTGAGCTATGTGTTCTCAGATAGCCACTACTAGTGGTTTACTGTGGACCATGAACTTGATCATGAGAATAATAATAAATCAATGGCAAATAAAGAAACAGATTCTCCCTGTGACTCTCCCTCTTTATGGTTGTGTATTTCTTCTAAGTAGAGACTGAGGTAAATTGACAAGAATTATTGGTTCCAAAGTAAATATGGATTGTTGTTTCAAGAATGCAATTCCTAATATTTTCTATTACTTTAGTGAAAAAAAATAGAAGGAATTTTTGGTAGTGCATGAATTTCTTTGTATTTTTATTGGCTACTTACAATATCTTAAAAAAAAAGATTCTAAATCCTTTTTCAATTACCCTATCAGTTCATATATTTAGCATAATTTACCAACATTTCCAAACTTAGCATGGAAAAGCCATCAACATGGCACTAGGTCATGGGTCCTGAATGAAGCCGTCAGCAAGGATTAATAAACTGTGACAGCTGCCCAAAAGCTTTCATTCTTTTTTACTTAAACATCAGATTGCAAGCTGAAACTCAGCATAATCCTTGTTGAAACTAGCCCAGCTAACATGGAAGAAGTCAGAACTGAGAACAGATGACAGTAATAGTTATTGCAAATTCAGTCTATAGAAATAAATTCTAGAATTTAAATTTACATAAATAGCAATTCCTATAAAATTTTAAGAGTAGTACACAAACTGCTACTATCTGTTTCAACAATTGTTGTTGTTTTTCCTTTTTTTAGAGACAGAGTCTCTCACTTTGTTGCATAGGATGGACTCGAATTTCTAGGCTTGAGTGATCCTCCCACTCGAGCTTCCCACTTAGCTGGGACTACAGGGGCGGGCCACTGTGCCAAGCATGTTTAAATAAGTCTTAATAATTATATTTTTGAAAGCTAGATTGATGAATCTAAAATTATTTGCTCTAATTTCTATGTTCAATAAATTATTTAATTATTATTTTTCTACTAGTCCCTTCTCTCATACTGCAATCTAAAAGTGACTTTAGATGGGGTGTGGTAGCTCATGCCTATAGTCCCAGCACTTTGGGAGGCTGAGGTGGGCAGATCACTTGAGCTCAGGAGTTCGAGACCAGCCCGGGCAACATGGTGAAACCCCGTCTCTACCGAAAAATACAAAAATTAGCTGGGCGTGGTGGTGTGTACCTGTAGTCCCAGCTACTTAGGAGGCTGAGGTGGGAGGATTGCTTGAGCCCCAGAGGTGGAGGTTGCAGTGAGCCAAGATCGTACCCCTGCACTACAGCCTGAGCAACAAAATGAGACCATGAGACCCTGTCTCAAAAAAAAAAAAAAAAGTGACTTTAGTAATACTATAGTTATAAAGTCTACTTCTGGGTTGCATAATTTTCCGGGGAATTATTTACCAGAAAAACTAGACTATGTTATATGAGTAAACAGACTACATTACATAACAAAAAGATTGTTGTTGCATTACTTTTGGTACAAATATAACATACATATACCAAAATAAAGGTGAAACTGACCTAAAATAGACTTACCAACTGTAATTTCCTAAATAATGCATATTTGCAGCTACCAAGGTATGACAATTAACCTATTGTTCTAGGAATTAATTATTTTCAAGTAGATTTTAAATGAATATATAAGACTTCCTGGTGGTTGAATATCAGTACCAGCAATTTATCACTTTTGTATACATGTCAAACAGGTAGTAAATCATTGAGCTTACCCCTTTTTCAATATTCCCAGTTTGACACAGTGTCCCCTCAGCTGCTGGAATACTGTTGGTGACACAGCGGTTGCTTTTGCTGAGACACCAGAGCTCTCTACACACTTCCTAGGAAAGAAGGCAAAAGCAAGTTGATCAGAAATAGAGTCATGTCCAATTCTTCCATAAAATACACTTACAGTCACTCTGCATTACTTTCAAGAGACCCTGGGTACCTTTTGCTGCTGAAGCATCGCAGTTGAGGATTTTGGAGGAGGTTTTTATGAAACATCTTGCAGTATCATTTAACTATTTGTCTTTGCAATTCTTATTTTAGCAGATAAAGTATATCTTAGCTTTTAATATTAGTTAGGATCTTTTTACAATAGTGTATAGAAATTTCATTAATATAGATGAATAGGGAGAAAAAAATGACTATGTAGAAAGGAAATATATGTTTATTACACTCAAGAATATACAATAATACAAACTTACCAATTACTAATAAAGAGATGCCAGGAAAATGACTTCTTAGATCTACCATAATATTCAAATGAAGACAATTTTAAAACAGGAAAATAGACCATGGAATGGATAAGAATTTAATGTATGAATTTTTTAAATTTTGAAGTATATTTTGGAGTAATTTTTAACATTCATATACGCCTAGGCACAATCTAACAACGTTATTTTCAGTACATCAATTTAGCCTACCTCCATGAAAGGAAACTTGGTTTTGAACAAATGCTGCTGTTTATAGAATGCTTTGGGTATGTTGTGTGGAGTTGTCTCCTTTCCTATGATTTTCCATTATCCTACCTCAGCATAGGAAAATTACAACACTTATTCTAATATTGACAATATAAAATACTTTTTTGTTAATACTATATTAACATATCAGATTTTAAAATAAGCCGTTCAATATTATTCCTACATAAAGGGTTTCAACCGCCCCCAAAAAGCTTCCTTTTGAAGAAAATAGTCAAATTTTCAGTTTATTTTTATATATAATCACCAACTAGCATCATTACCAATGTTACAAGTTTTTAACTTAAGCTAGAACTTAGTATAATATATATTTATAATAAAAATGATTATCTGAAATGCAAAAGTAAACTAACATCACATTTAATCCTTTTGCTTTTATTCCTCAACTGATCTTTTAACTCCCAAAACATAAGAACTCACATTACAAACACAATCAGAATTAAGGCAATGAAATATCGATGTCACTGGTTAACTGGTCCTACAAATGGAAGTGCCCCACAGAGTATAAAAAATTGAGGGGATCTCTTTGGGTTCCTCTTTAGGGTGCCTCCTACCAGGCAGAGAGGAGATATATAGTGTCTATTAAGGTTTTTGTTTGTTTGTTTGTTTGTTTTCTGAGACAGAGTCTCACTGTGTCACCTAGGCTGGAGTGCGGTGGCACAATCTCAGCTCACTGCAACCTCCACCTCCTGGGTTCAAGCGACTCTCTTGCCTCAGCCTCCCAAGTAGCTGGGACTACAGGCACCCGCCACCATGCCCAGCTAATTTTTGTATTTTCAGTAGAGACAGGGTTTCACGATGTTGGCCAGGCTGGTCTTGAACTCCTGACCTCGTGATCTGCCCCCACTTGGCCTCCCAAAGTGCTGAGATTACAGGCGTGAGCCACCGTGCCTGGTCCTATTAGGCTTTTAAATACCTAAAAATGTTTAAACTCCATTTGGAGAACTAGTGGCCTAGAGAGACAAAATATTAGAAAAGAAGAGCATGGGCCAGGCGCAGTGGCTGATGCCTGTAATCCCACAGTTTAGGAGGTCGAGGTGGGAAGATCGCTTGAGCCCAAGAGTTAGAAGTTGCAGTGAACTGCACCATTGCACTCCAGCCTGGATGACAGAATGAGGCTCTGTGTCAAAAAAAAAAAAAAAAAAAAAAAAAAAAAGGAAAGAAAGAGAGAGAGAGGTAGGGAGGGAGGGAAAGGAAGGAAGGAAGTTAGGAGGGAAGGGATGGAAAGAAAGAGAGAGAGACAGAGAGAAATGAAGAAAGAAAGAAGAGAAAGAAAGAAAGAAAGAAAGAAAGAAAGAAAGAAAGAAAGAAAGAAAGAAAGAAAGAAAGAAAAGAAAGAAAGAAAGAAAAGAAAAAAGAAAGAGAAAGAAAGAAAGAAAGAGAAAGAAAGGGATCATGTACTGTGGATCATAACATAAACATAAAACGTTCTCATGTTTACGATCCAATATTACAAATTCACTTTTCTTTCAAAGCTTTAGTTTATGTTTTAAGAGGTTATTTATACTACTTTACTCTTTTTCTATAGAAGAAGGTTTTTAAACCTGCAGGTTCTGCACATGTATCCCAGAACTTAAAGTAAAATAAAAACAAATAAATAAGTAAAATAAAAATAAAATAAATAAAAAGATGGTTTTTTAGTTTATATTCCTTAATATATTCTTGTAGTTTAATATTTAAAAAGCAGTAAGAGTAACATTTAAGGGCTTTGAAATATTGCTCCATGTATCAAAAATCTATCCAAATTCAAGGAAAAATGTGTTCATAAAAACAGAGGACCATTAATAGAGATTAATATAAAGATTATGAAAAATTTTCATCCATAGTCCTGGATGATACTCCTGATCTTTTGTGATCTTTATTAGGTTGCATTCTTACTTTAGACAAAGGTAAAAGAAGCCTAAAGTTTACTTTAGACAAAACTAAGCGATGAAAGTTCTATTATTGAAAAAGACGATACTTATTGCATCTATCAGGAAAACACACTATTTAGTCAGGTTACAGAAACTTTATTTTCCAAAAGTGCCTTGAAAATCTCTACCCAAAGTAGCAGGTGCTTAAGATACTTTTTTCAAAACCTTAATCTGAAGATTCACAATAGAGCCCTCTTACCTTTTAGAGAATGATGCATTTTGAAAACTAGATCTCCACTTCTAATGCATTTTGTTACCTTGGTGGGCTCCTGGGGATTCAAATTTTGTTACCATATTAACTTCTCTTTTACAGTAAAATCACTGTTTAAAGTATGGGAGTGGAATTCTATGTTGAGGAACACTCCCAAAATGTAGAACTAGTCATGGAGAAGGCTCTGAAGAGTTTTCAGATAGATCTTGCAATTTGAATCTCAACTTGAATAAGAAAGATACTGGTATCCAATTTCGGAATGTTTCCCAAGACTTTTTTTTCTTTTAAAGGATACTCTCTTGAAAGATAAAAAGAAAATTTCATTTCATACCAAGTAAACAAGAAGTAGACTTCCTAAATGAACTTGAGATCAATTCCACACTTTCAGAAATACACTTCTTTCTCTAAACTGCTAAATCCTAGAACATGGATGATATATTTGCATAGGTATGTCAGTTTCATTTGCACATGCATATTAGTTGCTGAATAAGCAGCCTAACATAGGTTCCAGGCTCTAATAAAGTTAAATGGATGCTGAAATTGTTTGCCTCTTGGGGAATTTGCATGGCAACCATCATAGTAGGCAGATTTCCCTAAATAAAATATAGGAGGTGCTGAAGTATAGTGAGAAAGAATGATTTTCTTTTTTTCTTTTTACTATCCACCAGCTTAGCTCTAGCTCTCTTTCACATACTCATGAATCCTGATAGAAGTTAAGATTTATTAAGATTAGTTTCATAACCTCTGTGAATTAATAAATCAGCACCTGTGTGTTAGAATCCCCTTGATAATCCTAAATTTTGTTTTGGGAAGGCTCTGTAAGGGAAATTTGGGTCTTTGTGCTTGCTCTTGAGTTTAAGGAAGGAGAGAGAAGTTATCCACAGTCCCCACTAAAGGACATTTCTGTTATATGACACTGTAAATTTGAATTGGAATCTCTAATGTTATGGGGTCAACTTCCAATCAGTTAGGAGGAATGCCTGGCAATACAAAAGTAATAGCTTTTTCCCAACTCATTCTAGAATATTTATCAAGAATCTGCTATGCACCAGGCATTATGTTGGTTTTATAAAAAAATAATAATCACTTAGAATTCATGGGCACTTCAGAGGAAAATGTAGGTTATAGTCAGACATGTAGCCCAAATGGCATGGATTGGTATTGCTCTATGATAAAGTTTTTAATGTTCTTTGACAAAATTAGAAGGATGATGTCAATGTGAACAGGTGCTTGCTTTATTTCGTTTTGAGGTCTCACTGCAACCTTGAACTCCTGGGCTCAAGAGATCCTCCTGCCTCGGCCTTCCAAAGTGTTGGGATTACAGGTGTTAGCCACCATACCAAGACTGGACAGTTTTTTTTTTTTCCATAAAACTAATGCTTTTTATTTTAATGGACTGTCCTTATTTGTTAAGTTGTAATTTTTTACTTTATTGGTGTTACAGTAGACTGTAAAATTCCCAAGGGCAGGGTCTGTATGCTTATGGCACGCTTTGCAAAATGTTCCTTTCTGGCAAAATTAAGAATTGAAATCTCTATCCTTGTCTGCTAGTTTTTAGAAGGGAATTTTCCTTGCCTACAAAAGTCTAAAAGTTTCTGAATGACCCGCTGCCCAAGACTTTTTTTTAAATTTTTTATTTCAATAACGTTTGGGGTACAAGTGGTTTTTTGTTACATGGATGAATTATACCGTGGTGAATTTTGAGATTTTAGTGCACCTCTCACCTGAGTAGTGTACACTGTAACTAATATGTAGTTTACCTCTAGACCCCTCCCACCCTCCCCCTTGAGTCTCTAAAGTCCATTATATCACTCTGTATGCCTCGGTATACTCATAGCTTAGCTCCCACTTATAAGTGAGAACATACAATGTTTGGTTTTCCACTCTTGTGTTACTTCACTTAGAATAATGGCCTCCAGCTCCATTCAAGCTGCTGCAAGACATACTTTGATCCCTTTATGGCTGAGTAGTATTCCACAAGGTGTATATACCAGTTTCTTTGTTCACTCATTAGTCGATGGGCACTTAGATTGGTTCCACATCTTTGCAATTGTGAATTGTGCTGCTATAAATATACATATACGTGTGCAAGAGTCTTTTCCATATAATGACTTCTTTTCCTTTGGGTAGATACCCAGTAGTGGGATTGCTAGATCAAAAGGCAGACCTACTTTTAACTCTTTAAGGAATCTCCTTTATGCTTTCCATTGAGGTACTAATTTACATGTCCATCAGCAATGTGTAAGTGTTCCCTTTCCCTCACATCCATGACAACATCTATTGTTTTTTGACTTTTTAATAATGTCAATTCTTGCAGGAGTAAGGTGGTATCTCACTGTGGTTTTAATTTGCATTTCCCTGATGATTAGTGATGTTGAGCATTTTTTCCATTGCCCAAGACTTGATAGTCAATGTTTGTTTAGTTGTATCTGTGTTTACCAGTGCTTTTAATGCCAATTTCTTCTTATATCTTACCACTATCTTCTGAATCCAATTTCTTTCTTTTTGACATACATCCATTAGCAGTTAATTTAGCAAGGGACACTTTTTCATATTTTTCTGAAAATATCTTAATTGTATTCTCATTTTTTAATGATATTTAAATTGAATATACTAGGCTGACATTTATCTTACCTTAGCATTTGAAGGTGTTAAAATTCATCGTCATTTGACTTCTGTGGAGGCTGATGAAAAGTCACTTGTCAGTCTAACTGCTGTTTCTTCTTTACAGTCTTTTTTTTTTTTTTTTTTGAGGCAGGGTCTCACTCTGTAGCCCAGGCTGAAGTGTAGTGGTGTGAACATGGCTCACTGCAGCCTTGACTTCCCAGGCTCAAGTGATCCTCCCACCTCATCCCCCAAAGTAGCTGGGACTACAAGCACATGCCACCACGCTCAGCTAGTTTTTGTATTTTTTGGTAGACACAGAGTTTCACCATGTTGCTCAAGCTGGTCTTGAACTCCTGAGCTCAAGGAATCCTCCTGCCTTGGTCTCTCAAAGCACTGGGATTACAGGCATGAGCCACCGTACCCGACCTTTGTAGTCTTTCTTGTTGCTTCCAATTTTTTTCTCTATCTGCTTTGGGACAATTTCATCACTGTATCTTTTATTTATTTATTTTTTTGTGAGACATAGTCTCGTTCTGTCACCCGGGCTAGAGTGCAATGGTGCCATCTAGGCTCACTGCAACCTCCGCCTCCCGGGTTCAAGCAAATCTCCTGCCTCAGCCTCCTGAGTAGCTGGGATTACAGGCGCCTGCCACCATGCCTGGCTAATTTTTGTATTTTTGGTAGAGACAGGGTTTCACCACATTGGCCAGGCTGTTCTTGAGCTCCTGACCTCAAGTGATCTGCCTGCCTCGGCCTCCCAAAGTGCTGGGATTACAGGCATGAGCCACTCTGCCTGGGCTTCATTACTATATCTAAGTGTTCTTTTTATTTATCTACTTGAGATTCATGCTCTGATTTCTATGTCTTTCTTTGATTCTAAAAAACTATTAGTTATTATCTCTTTTAATGTGTATCTTTCCTATTCTTTCTTCTAAAGCTCCTATTTAACTTAAGTTAGACCTTCTCATTTCAACCACCTATTTCTTAACCTCTCTTAGATATTTCCCTATCTTTTTCTCTTGGATCATTAATCTTCCTATCTGTCAACTTCATGGTGGATTGTTTCCTCGTGTTGTTTGTTATTTTGTATTCAAGCTTATCTTCAGTGAATATTATTTTTTCTTTGCGTATTCTGTGCCTCTTGAATTGTAGAAGTGCACCTTCATTTATTTCTATCACACATCCCAAGGTTTTCACTGAACCAATTTGTCATGTTGATTTATTTGGTCAGCACCATGTAGGCTGTATATGGTTTTACTTTGTTCTTATGTGAGGCACAAGCCTGGGGCTTCAGTTTCTTATGGGAGCCATTTTTTGCCTCATTAAAGCATTTGCACAGTTAAATCTCTGCTGGCATTTGTTCCCAGCATCCCAATCAGCTGATCCTTTGCAGCCTTAATCTCTGTGGTTTGTAATGCTTCCTTCTTAGAGACATTGGCTTTTGAGGACATTTGCCTCCAATAGAAACCTCTTTCATAAAAATTAAGAATTGGATCCAGACTTTAGCTTTATCAATCAACTTTTAAACTATAACACAAATGATACAAAAGATGTGTATCTTCACAGCTTCATCATCTGCCCTCATGGCTGCAATAAAGAGCTTAGTGTTTTGGAAATAAAGCCACTAAGCCAACCACCATGTTGAATTATAAAAAGACCTTTCTTTAGGCCTTTCTAAGAGTCTTTAATGCTATAGACTATATCTTTAAATATGAGAAAGCTTGCCCGATAGCTTCAAATCATTAATATACTAGGAAACATTCACACATGAAAAAAACAAGGCTTGTGCATTATACTGGCATCATTCCTCAACTGTTCCTATGTCCTTTCTGATCACATAAGTACATGTTGTAGCTAAATGAACTAAATTTAGTTGAGTTTATTAGTTTTATTTTATCTAGCATTCTTGTTTTCATACCTGAAGGAATGATTGTGTTTACTATTTGTCCTGTTGTTGAAACTGGAACTATTTTCCTAGAGTTTAGAAAGTCAATTTTATAAATGACTGGGGAAAAAATATGCAGGACAACCTAGAGGAGAAGTCAGTTCAATCAATGCGTAAAAGCAGATTTCAGTTCTATATACAGAAGAATCTTCCAAAAGTCAGAGTGAACCATGATGAACTAAAACTGAATCCCCATCACTGTAGATACTTCAGCACATATTTCATGATCACTTAGGGATCATGTAGGGATGTTGTAGGCAGGAATAAAAGAAAGGAACTAATTTTTTTTCAGGGTATACTATCAACAACTATGCCAGGCATATTCATATTTGTATCTCATTTATTCATCATGGTAATCTCTTTAGAAAATGTGAGAAACTTTAGGTTCAGAATAATTTAGCAATTTGTTTCAGTTCTAACTAGATGTAGATTTGAATCAGCTCTGTTCGATATCAATGTCCCAGATAATCACCACACACCTAAGCTACTTTCCCATTTCTCTTAAATGTATCAGAACTGAAAAATGTCACTGGCCAATTAAGGCTGATTAGTAATGGTTTACTTTTGTATTCCAATAAAATATAAAACCTCACTAAACTTAATACCCTCCTATTTTTTACTTTGATTTTAACGGACAATATCTCCAAATTATAACTATTATATACTAATTTATAACATCTTCACTCAATATATGAGTTTAGGAATCAACTTATGCATTATTATTACTGAACTTCCAAATGTAATATCAACACTTGGGTGTGGATTTTAAAAAGATACTGTTAACATATTTCACAAAAGTGTTTCAAGGTCTTCCAAGAAACAAGACATTTAAAAATACTCCTACTTATTTAAAATTTTAGTATCAATTCACAGATTTTTGGTTTACATGAGTTTTGAAATGAACAACACTATTTGTAAATATTAACAATAATTTAAAATATTAACAAATATAAGTGGGTAATAAAAATATATTTAGAAAACAGTTTTATGGTAATCATCTAATGTAAAATAACTTACCTAATATGCAGAAAATAACCTTGTAAAGAACTAAAATAGGGCTTTTTTGATCAGAATGGAATGATTGTTTCACAAAGAGTATAATTTCTAAAAATTGTTAGAATTACCTTTTCTAATGTTTTCATTATTTTTAAGAAACTATATACGTTAAACCAGACTAAAAAATGGGAAGAGAAACTCTTCTATTTACCGAGGAAAATTAAAATTAGCAGCTTACACAAGGGGAGGAGGTGACATCATGAAAGAATAAAATCATTTTACAATTATTATATCATTAAGGAAAGCAGTATGTGAAGAGAAAATGGTGTCTTTATTGTGTCGGCAAAAAAGTGTCAAACTCTGTAAAATATTTGAAGAGATTTATTCTAGGTCAAATATGAGTCATCAATGGCCCATGACATGGCCCCAGGAGATCCTAAGAACATATGCCCAAGGTGGTCAGGCTACAGCTTGGTTTTATACATTTTAAGGGGTGGGGAGTTCCAGGTCATAGATGGAGTAGAAGATTTTCTGATTGGCAGTTGGTTGAAAGAGTTATTATCTAAAGACCTGGAATCAATAGAAGAGAATGTCTGGGTTAGGATAAGGAATTGTGAAAATCAAGGTTCTTATTATGCAGATGAAGCCTCCAGGTAGCAGGCTTCCCAGAGAGAATAGTTTGTAAATGTTTCTTATTAGACTTAAAAAGGTGCCAGACTCCCAGTTAATTCTCTGCTGGATCAGGGAAAAGACCTGGAAAGGGAAGGGGATTCTCAGCAGAATGTGTCTTCTCCCTACAAGAGACAGCTCTACAGGGCCGCTTCAACATATGCCAAATAAATAGATTTTAGGGTAAAATTTTTCCATTTCTTTCGGGGCCTGCTATCCGTCATGTGATGCTATACGAGAGTCAGGTTGGAATTTGGTATCTTATTGCTACAAAGAGTCTGTTTCATCAATCTTAAGATCTCTGTTTTAATGATAATGTTGGTCAGCTGTACCTTCCAAAGAGAGGACGGTATAATGAGGTATGTCTGACCCCACCTTCCCATCGTGGCCTCAACTAGATTTTCAGGTTTACTTTGGAATAACCTTGGCCAAGAAGGAAGGTGGGGTCTAACGGTTGAGGAGCTTAGGATTTTATTGTTGGTTTACAGCTGCTGGCTGGCTTTAAAATTTTTTTAAAATGAAGTTTAAAGACTAAAAAAGAGACATGCGCACACTTTTGGCCCTTGGGAAACTCTAAATTCTAGGCATGTTGGGTCCTTGATTCTAAATATGAAACATCCTCTTTGTCCACATTAGCCTATCAGTAACACCTCTCAACAGCTGCTTGCAATAAAGGATCCTGAAGGTAAAGAGGGAGAGCAGAGCCCTAAAGGTCAGGAAGGGGCATCAGTGCTTAGAAAGGTTACTTATCATTTGATCACACAAAGGAAAATTGAAAACCAACATATGGTGACCTTATGGCCTAGTTTCAGGTGTTTAGTAGCCATCTGAAGAAAGAGGATAATGTACCCTTATTTTTGCCTTAAATAGTTTAATCCTGTTATGTTACGGGTAATGGGAAATTTAAGTACAACAGATCCTAGAATGGCAAAAAACCAAAAACTAAACTAAAAAAACCCTTAATCCACAAATCCCATTTATATAACTAATCACCAACTTAAAAGTATTCAAAACTGACTAAATGGTTAAAAAAAAGAAAAGAAAAGAAAAAACCTCTAAGAAGCAAATGCAGGGTAAAAACTAGTAATCTTTAAAGATACAAGTGATCATGGACTTATGATTTTAGCTTAGAATTTAAGAAAAAAATCAAATAAACTTCTTGTCAAGTATATGCCTGATAAATATATGTTTGGATTTCAAAAGAATATTGAGGTGCTAAAATAATTACACACCTTTTATTCCCTAAACCTGTATAAAACAACACTGTAGAATATTTATACCACCTTAAAATCTTCAAGGAAAGTGTGATTCTATAATCTTTCTCAGTTTAACATTCCAATATTTAATAACTTGAAATTCTTCCTAATACCTAATCTACAACCTTCCAGCTGTAAAAATTAAGACAACTGTGGGATATTTTATGCTCTTGGTAGGGAAGCAGAACAATTTGTTACCAGCAATCAAACTGTAATAAGTGTTCCAAAACCAGAAAATGGTTTTTGAGGCCAACATTTAGCTTTCTTTTTTACAGGCTACTCAAACTCATTTTCTCATTCCCTTATATGTACTTCTCAGTATTTCCCTGCTATCCTCTCCCAAGTTGTCTGTATCTCTTAAAAAAGTTGTATAGGTGGCCAGTGATATCCCCAAAAGACTCGTACAACTAACATACAATTATATGAAAGAATGATTCTCAATAACAATGCAATAATAACTGAATCTTTTTTAATTGGTGGTGATAAAATAATAAAATAAACAAAAGGGAATAAGCATGAGTCTGAGAGACAAAGCATGTCAGTTTTTATTAAATACTCTCCAGGGAAAGGATACCTTGATCAGAGAACTCAACTATCTTGTCTCTAGCAGTTACCCTGACATCAAAGAGCTATATTCAGGTAGGCACAGCTTGATGGCATTATTATTATAGTTATTAATTAATATATTAAGAAAATAATCTATGCACTACCCCATATTTTTATTCAAGGCTTACTGAATAATTTTTCAATAATAAATTGGCCTACTGGGTAGGTTTGTTTCAGTGAGAAAATATGCAGATTTCAATGGAATTGAATGAATATAAACTATGTGGCTAGATTTCTTACTATAAATTAATAAATCCAAATTTATATCTATATTTACTCTCTTGATCTTCATTTCTAATATTAAATCCTAAAAGTCTCTTATCACTTAAAGTTTGGAACAAATATGGCACTCAACCACTTGTAGATTATTCTATCATTAATCATCTAATTGAGGTAAGTAGAAGAGAAAACTTTCAAGTTTGGTGATCTGTAAGTAAAATATAACAATGGTCACAAATGTATTTCCACTGGAAAGAGTAAAAATTAATGTGAAGTCTTAAAGTTATGTCATATTCTCCTTTTATAAGTTATGTTTCCACTACAACACACTGGGATTCTGCAATCTTAAATCAAAATTATGGAGCCCACACACCTTTACACACAAACACCTCCATTCATCTCATTTCAGAGTTATAAGCACCCTCTAGTATAAAAAGAATAAATTCTATATTTACCTATAAAAGTAAGGACATTGCTACACTGGAGAATCATTAGTGGCAGAGCTGTTTTAGTACTCTGCGTAGGCTGTGTTTGGAGGGCAAGAGAAAAGGGAAAAGAGGACACCACAGATCACTTTATAAAAGCCTTTAATTTTCTAACATGGGTTTTCCAGATTACAGAATTACATTTGTTTCCTAAGACATAATATGCCTTAGACATTATGTTATTTTCTGGCATCTTGCTGCTTTTAAGATAGAAACTTAACGTGGCCTATAAGGTGCAGTTACACTTGGCTTCTACCTTTTTCTCCTGTTTCTTTTGTGTGGTGTTTATTTGAGAGCACTGGGCACAGTGGCTTTCTCTCACCTCTTCAAATACACAGGCTCTCGGTCTTCCCAAAGGTCCTCTCTCCACTCTCTTCACCAGATAACTCTTCTCACTCATCTATTTGTCAAATATTTATTGAGTTCCCATATGCCAGGCATTGAACTAGTCACTACACAAATAGCCATAAACAAGTCAGGTGGAATCCTTCCCCTCATGGCAGTTACACTCCCATTATAATTATCAGCTCATTCATTCAACAAATATTAATTGAGCACCTACCATGAGCCAGGCACTGTTCTAGCCACTGGGGATACAGCTGTGAATCAGACAAAATATCTGCCCCCAAGGAAAATACTTTCTAGGGGGGAAAGTAGTAATAAGCAAGATAAACAAGTAAAATAGATAGTATGTCAGGAAATGATAAATGTTAAGGAAAATGATAGGAAGTGTGTGTGTATGTGTCTGTGTGTGCACGTGGATGTACAATATTAAGTAATGTTGTTAGAAAAGGCCTCATTTACATGATCACACTTAATAAGTAACCAAATAAGCAACATGATTATGGATTTCTAAAAGTGCTATGAAAGTAATAAACAGTATAATGTGAAACAGAGTAACTGAGGAAAGCCTTTTTAATAGCGAATGATCAGACAGAAGGCCTGTCGGAAGAGAAACTGGCATTTGAGCTGAGACTGAAGAGTGAAATTGAGTCAGTATGTGCGCCTTGGAATATCTTAACATGCTCCCCAAAGTACAAAAGGTTCAGATTCTCCTAAAGCAGTACCAGCATTATCAGCTATACCGAAATGTTATCACGGATGACAGAGGTTCATAGAGGAAATGAAAACATTTATTGAATGTCATGTGCCAGGTAAATAAAAGACAATTTGCATGCTTGTCATACCTTTTTGCTGTCTGAAGTTTACAAGAACAACCTGGCTGCTGTTCGCTGAAAAAAGTGCCCAAAACTGAGTAAAATCTATTAATGGTCAATTTTAGGTCATAGTAATAGTTTATGGTGAACAGATTTTTTTTTATTTAAAATATTCTGATAAAAATATGCTGTTCCATCCATCATGACACCATGTATTAGCTCATGTGTTCCCATTTATGGTTCAGGATATATGGCCTACTGATAAAACATTCTTCAGTTCTACATTTAAAATAAGCAGTAACATGTACAACACACTATTATGCATTTATGTGCTAACATTTAAGTCTATGTAAACAGTGACAAACTTCATAGACAATAAAAATTTCCCATAAATAAACAAAGCTATGATGTCTATAAAATTTCTTTGATTTTGTGGTCTTAAATCTACCTGTAGATGAACAATCAGCTCTTAATAATTAACAGTAAATTATGTACTGGATATTGTTAACCTATACTGAACCATTAAGTGTACTGGAAAACAATAATTGAGATTTGATTTAAGTGACAGAATAAAGAAATAAAGAGCTAAAGCTGAGGCTGAGCCTTGAATTAATCTATGCTTTTTGGGAAGCAGTCAAAAGATTACCCACAGCCCCTACATTATATAGGCTCATTAGTGACTTCCTTCCTACGTTTAAACTTATTGTTATTACTGCAGTATGCTTTTTGATAATTCAGTTTTTGTAATTCTTTTCTAATAAAAAAGAGATTAATGGAAAATGGAAGAGACAACAGATTCTCCAGAGTTTTACAGGAAAGAGCTTATTACTCTAAAAAGCCAAAGAAACATTTCTTGGACATACTGATACTGCTGTTTTATTTGCAATGTATTTTCATCCAGGAATCATCCAAGGCCCCTTAGAAACCTACAACAGAGCTAGCAGATATTTTTAGATGATCTGGTAAGAATCTAGCTTTGCAGGTACCTTGAAGACGTCCTATCTTTTTATATAAGGTAAAAGAAAAGAAATTCACTTAAATCCAGGACTCAAGAGTTTCAGACATCTGATAACTTATGACCCTAAAAAATGACTTTAGAGAAGGTCCCCCGACCACCTCTCCCCCAAAAAAGACGGGGACAGGACTTTAGAGAAGATTTTTAGTAACAGACATTACCTGATAAAAATTTAATAACAAGTGTCTTGTAAAACAAAATACATCTGCTACCTGTGTTTCATTAACATAATTACTATTCCTAATAGAAAACAGAACTGACATCAATTAGGACTTTATTTATTTATTTATTTACTTTGGAGTAGGTATATCACATTCTGTATTTTTAGTTTCCTCACCTATAAAATATTATATAATAATTATGATTTGTTTGTTTGTTTTTTGAGATGGAGTTTTGCTCTTGTTGCCCAGGCTGGAGTGCAGTGGCACAATCTCAGCTCACTGCAACCCCCGCCTCCTGGGTTCAAGCCATTTTCCAGCCTCAGCCTCCCGAGTAGCTGGGATTACAGGCATGTGCCACCACGCCTGGCTAATTTTGTATTTTCAGTAGAGACAGGGTTTCTCCACGTTGGTCAGGCTGGTCTCGAACTCCCAACCTCAGGTGATCCACCTGCCTTGGGTTCCCAAAGTGCTGGGATTACAGGCGTGAGCCACCGTGCCTGGCCAATAATTATGATTTTTATCAACTCAATCTGAAGTAGCTCAGAAAAAAAGTCACTACATAAATACCAGAAACTATATATCATTTATAGAATACTGCATTATACAACTATATTACTCTGTATATTGTACTGTACTGTTTTGTTCTTTGTATTTACAGCCATTACAACCTCCTCACAACTTCTATAGGAATTTAAGAACACTTGAAAAATAAGAAAAGATGATATGCAAGAATAATAGTGAAAAATGTTGCCCTGAGTAAAATAAAACAGAAAAATTTTCATGTAAATTTCCAAACATAACTAACATGTATATTAATGAACCTACTCACTAAGAATTCAGGCAAGATTTTTCATAACTACAGATGTAATCATTGGTAACCCAGCAATGACTACTTTATGGCCAAGTGGAAGAGATGGAAAGCTGATCACTTCTGCAGTATAGATCCTTCGGTAGTTCTTTTTTTTTCTTTTTTCTTTTTTTCTTTTCTTTTCTTTTTTTTTTTTTTAAGATGGAGTCTCCCTCTGTAGCCCAGGCTGGACTGGAGTGCAGTGGCACTATCTCGGCTCACTGCAACCTCCGCTTCCCGGGTTCAAGTGATTCTCCTGCCTCAGACTCCTGAGTAGCTGGGACTACAGGCGTGCACCACCACGCCCAGCTAATTTTTGTATTTTTAGTAGAGATGAGGTTTCACCATGTTAGCCAGGATGGTCTTGATCTCCTAACCTCTTGATCCACCCACCTCGGCCTCCCAAAGTGGTGGGATTACAGGCGTGAGCCACCACACCTGGCCCATTCTGTAGTTCTTTAAAATCTTTCCTGACATCATGAGAGACCTGCTAGTTGAAAGAGGAATCATTTCATGATTTTTCAACACCAGATGTATCTCCTCTCAAAAATTCTAAAATATTCTCCTAAGTCTACAGCAACTGTATTTAGTGTTCATTTCAGCATGCTACACTTAGACAGCTACCTAAATCAGGGCTGGTTTGTTTTTCCCTTCAGCTGCCATCTGAAGTATGATTTGCTTACCCACTGGACTCTGACCTTTGAAGCCACTATTGTTTTCCAAAGTAGTATTTAGAATTGTTTAAAACCTTAGGGATTCACCAGATATAAACCAGCGTAGATTTGTGTAAACCGACACAAGTTCAGAGGTGGGAGTGATTGTAAAGAATCAATTATGACTCAATACACTTTGTTAGTAACATATTGCACTTAAACAAATAACACAAGCATTTTCATATAGTATATGAATCTAGGGAAACCATTATTTTGCTACAAATCAAAGTGAAAAGGATTCACGATAAAATACTTAAAACTGTGTAGGTCTGTAAGATACTAATGTCTTTCTCAAAGTTTTCCAATTTTAGTTTGTATCTATTACAGAAGTCTTTATAAACAAAACATATTAAGAATATAAAGGCAAGCCACGCATGGTGGCTCACACCTGTAATCCCAACACTTTGGGAGGCCGAGGCGGGCTGATCACTTGAGGTCAGGAGTTCAAGACCAGCTTGGCCAACATGGTGAAACCCCATCTCTACCAAAAATACAAAACAGCCAGATGTGGTGGTGAGCGCCTGTAATCCCAGCTACTCAGAGGCTGAGGTGAGAGAATAACCTAGGAGGTGGAGGTTGTAGTGAGCCAAAACTGTGCCACTGCACTCCAGCCTGGGTGACAGAGCAAAACTCCATCTCAAATAAAAAGAATATAAAAGCAGAATATCAGGAACATAAAGTAAAAATATATAATTTTGTATTCTTTATCTCATTTCAAATCAATTAGTCTGAACTGAATTAGATATATAGATATAGCAAGAAGAATTAAGTCAAATTTTTATTAATTTATTTGAGAGAGAAAAAGACTATATCGTGTAGCCATAGATTCTATAAAACTGAATAAATTATCTAATGTAGAAATTTGCATGTAGAGTTAAAATCCAGTTTCCAATAGAAAACAAAAATATAGATTATTTCACTTGCTAACAAAGAAATGAGAGACATAGATATGAATAATCTAACAGAAATTTTCTAAGTTCATTTGATCATGAATTTCAATGTATTAATCCGTAAGTATATATAGAAAGACTATGATTAAAGTTCGACTGACTTTTATTGAAACATAAACAACCTAAGAACAAAAGAAACTAGAACCATACAAAATAAGATTAAGGATAAGCCAAAGTTTTACACAAGGTTCTACATATCATATAATCACACACAATCTTTCAAGCTAGTGCACAAATGTGCTGCTAAAGCCTAACAAGAATAATAATAATATACTTGTCACCAAAGAGATATTTAAGAAAACACTTCCTTTTATTCTGTACCTAAAGAGGATACATACAGTGCAATGATACAGTACAATACTACCTTAACCCTTAATTATTATTATTTCTAAAAGAGGATTTAAAAGACTATTTGCATAGAAATAGAAATCAGGCCAGGCGCAGTGGCTCACACCTGTAATCCTAGCTCTTTGGGAGGCCAAGGTGGGCAGATCACTTGAGGCCAGGAGTTCGAGACCAGCCTGGCCAACATGGCAAAACCCCGTCTCTACTAAAAATACAAAAATCAGCCGGGCATGATGGTGCACGCCTGTATTCCCAGCTACTCAGGAGACTGAGGCAGGAGAATTGCTTGAACCCAGGAGACAGAGGTTGCAGTGAGCCAAGATTGCACCACTGCACTCCAGCCTGGGCGACAGAGCGAGACTCTGTCTCAAAAAAAAGAAAAAGAAAAAAAAATCAAGGCTCTCAACTTATTTTTTAAATCTGAATTTTTTTGGTAAGCAATTTGACATATTAAAAACCAATTTTTTCATTCACTATGCTTATATTGTGTTCTTAATAAGAACATGTCCACTAAAATCTTGCTCTATGAAACTTAAAAAGAATTTTATTCATTTTCTGATGTAGACACTGTGACTTTTTTTTAAGGCAGACATGCAGAATAAATTATGATGCCTACATTTTTTTTTCTTTCATAGCAATTTTCCTTGTTTCACTACTTGAGCTAATGTCATCTTGTTCCTGCTTGGTTGTGGTGCTGGAATGTGGGCAGTGGATGAAGCAACATGAAGTGACTTAGCACTATCAAGTAGGAATAAAAGTAAAGCTGTCTAGCTAATGTAAAAATGCCCTTTAGCTCAATTATAAGAGTATCAGAAAAGTGGCAGAGGGATTTTAAAGCCATAACATTTCAAAAGACGAAATAAAGTTGGCATCATAAATTCAAGATTTAAAGAAAAAATATATTAAGAATTACTAAAATTCTACCTGCATCCCTCACAAGAAATCTGTAATGTGCTTAACTTAGGATTATTGAAACATTTAGAAAAAATATTGTACATATGATGTCAGAAAAACTGCAGTGTCAAAAGCCATATTTAAATTAAAGATATTACTAGAGGGAACCGACATTCATCGTAATTCCATCTTAACATCTGTGTCATGGAAGAACACGTATAAATGACGAAACATAAGGATGAAGACTTCTTACCCCATATTTACATTGGCGGGAGGTTGCTCCATACTGGAAACGACATTGCTCATCAGCATCATACACCTGACCTGGGGCCACAGCTGGATAAAGAAAGTCACGCTTGGGAGGCTCATTATCAAGGCAAGTACCACGGCCTGAACTGTTCAACATAAAGGATCAAAGGAAATTAGGTATTCTATGGGCTATTTTAGTCACAATTATGAAACCACGTGTTGAGCTTTGTTTTAATAACTTGACGCATGAAAAACAATACATTCT
The DNA here is from genome assembly GCF_000001405.40 of Homo sapiens. Taxonomy (NCBI): domain Eukaryota; kingdom Metazoa; phylum Chordata; class Mammalia; order Primates; family Hominidae; genus Homo; species Homo sapiens. Next base: position 65,291,590 of record NC_000005.10, read on the forward strand.
CCCAATAAATAATCACATGGCAGAACAGAATAGCTTTACTGAAACCTGAATAAGAGCTCCAAATAATTCATTTTAGCACCAAGACACAATAAAATCATTTCAGACAACAATATGAAAATGTCACGTTGGCCTTGATTTAAGCTAATTTCTCAAGGAATCAAAACAGAATTTCATATTGCTCTAAGCTTCTTGTTTGTTTTTATTGAAAATATAACCACATCTGGTAGTAGAATTAAAAACATGAAATGCAGAAAATTAAAAAAAAAATAATTATGGTTATAATCCTTAAAGACCTAATTTATATAGTTCCACCTTGGGCAGAACAATAGATGTTGTGTTAAGGCATGTCCATAGGTTCTTGAAATATTTCACTAATAAATGGGTTGAATGACAGATGAGGCCAACGACCAAAGTTTTCCTCTCAAATATATTAGAAGTGTTTAGTCTCTCAAAAATTTCATATTTCATCTAGAATCATCAGAATTGGAAAAGAGAATGTTCTCTTCTTTGTATAATTTCTGCGTTTCAAGCTATGCCTGCACTCAAACATAATATTTTAATTCAGTAGAACAAATAACATAAAGGTCGCCAAAACCCAGACAAAATACCTTAGTTTAAAGAGCTTTAAACTTTGCTAAATATAATTGTTCATTTTTATTTAGTCAGTGTGCATAAAATAGGACAGATGCTTTTTTACTTTCATTTCACATGTGAGTAAGTTAGAATTTTTAAAGAATTCCTATGCCAACATTTAAAAATTTTTTCCAACATTCCTGTCCATTGTGCCAGCACTTGTGTTTTTTTTTTTTTTTTCCAAATCTTTTCCATCCACTTTGCCAAAGGAAAATAATTTCACAAGTAGAAGTTCCTCAACTGTTATTTAGGACAGTACAATTTTTCATTTATAGATAACTAAGAAAGAACTATGCATAACAATGACTTTGCTATTCACTTAAAAGTTTCTCATATTCTTAACATGTCAAAGTCAATGTGTTCTATAAAAAGGTATGTTCACACACAGCAGCAAATTAATACCTTTTAAAAACTGAACCATACTATTCCTACGGTGATATAGAGTTAAAGACCAAAGAGACAGACTACTGTCTTCTTTATATCCTTCTCCTTTCTTTCATGCCCTCCTGATTTTTTAATCAATAAGAAATATTTAAAAGGAATATTAAGTATGGTACTAATACAGATGGATTTTACCACTGGCTACTACAATCATTTCATTTGTCACTGCTCAAGGTATCTAACTAACTAACTAACTAACAAAGAACAAACTTTTTTCACCCAGCTATCCAGTTTTCATAACAGAACACTTTTTTATTTCCTTTTTATTATACTTTTAGAAATTGACATGTACCTCAGCAAGAAAAATTACCTCTAGATGAATTTTTTAAATAATGCTTTTTTGGCTTTATTACGTAAAATATCTTTAATTTATAAGGATATGCAAACTTTAGGCAAATGTAATGCTACTAGTAAATCTTAAATTATATATTAAGGTTAATGACAAAGAGGTCATATTTGAATAGTACAATGGAAAAAGAACCATTTTGATTAGGATATTGGTGAGATAACTGAATTAGTAGTTTAATTCCCCAATTTTCTTCTAAAATATCTGTTTCATTTCTACTGACAATAAAATTATAAATATCTTTATGAAAGGAATTAAATATGTAATAAAAATAAAATAACAAGTTAAGTACTACTATAAATCTTTTTTATGGAAAATATTTATTTTAAATTGTGTACTGAAGTAGGTATCCAATAGGCAAAAAATATTTACAATGGCATAACCAAAAAAGTGCAGGATATATTCACCTAAGTGACACCAGCTTTTGGTGACACCAACTTATTTTATTTAAATTTTAAAATAATTACTTTTAGTAATACATAAAATTAACCCAGAATCAGAGGAAGAACTGTGTAGATCCCAAAGAAGAATTTAAGAATAGATATCCTGAGGAAAAAATTCTTTTCTGATGGCAAATTGGAAACTGACTTAACCCAGAAGGAAGCAAGAATAATTGCTTCATCTAAAATTATTGTTTCAATATATTAATATTAGTGGTTTTCTAATCATGGTTCATGTTCTTTAAAAAATACCAAACCAGAGGACAACTGCAATGGCCTTCACCCCACCAAGAATGCCATGAACTGCAGGCACCTGTGGTCAAAACTCTTCTAAGAAAGTTTATCCCAAAAGTGTATTTTTGTTTTAGTTCTCTGGAAGCACCTATTGCTTTGTATTAATGTAGTCTAGACAAGTCTTGTTCTCCTTTTCCAGTACATTTTTACAGAAGAATAAAACACCATATGAAATAAAATATAAAGGAAAACCATATGGATCTTTAAAAATGAACCAGCATTTAGAAACATGGAATAAACAAAGGACTTTTGAAATGGATTTGGCTATATTTGTACAAATTAGCAAGGCTTACAAGTCAAGTGTCTTCCAGTAAAGCAAATGTGGGGATGTATCTGCAAGGTGGATTTAAATTGGTTGTACATTTCTACACGTTTACTACATGTGTAGTACATTTTCCTTCTAGTAACCATATCTGGTATATACAGTAAAACCTTGATTTAAATATTTGAGGGATGGGATAGTTTTCCTGTTTTAATTCTTTTGTTTTTGTTTTAAGATGGGATCTCGCTTTGTCACCCAGGCTGGAGTGAAGTGGCATGATCACAGCTAACCGCAGCCTTGAACTACTGGGCTCAAGTGATCCTCCCACCTCAGCCTCCGGAGGAGCTGGGACCAGAGGCATGCCTGGCTAATTTTTGTATCTTTTGTAGATACTGAGTCTCACCATCTTGCCCAGGCTGGTCTAGAACTCCTGGTCTCAAGAGATCTTCCTGCCTTGGCCTCCCAAAGTGCTGGGATTATAGGCATGAACCACTGCATCTGGCCTATATTTTAATTCTTAACTAAGGGTTAAGCAAGAAAAATGCTTTTTGAACTATGTTAACCAAAATTTGTCTGCTACTTTCCTGCTATGTTCAAGTAACTAAAGCCTATAGATGATAATTATTAGTTACTAATTAATTCTTAAAATAATTCTGGATATTTTCATGCCTCTGAGTCATCAATTACCATTATGAAATATTACAGATATAGATACAGAGGTAGAAGACATAAATGTGAGCAATGTATATTTAACCCTGGGAGTGCTTTTCCTTACTTTTTTTCTATGAAAATTCTCAAGTGCTTTATTCCAGTAATATCCCTCATTTCCCCCCACCCCCAAAGGTAACTACTATCCTAACTTTTTATAATAATAATTTCCTTGTTTTGCTTAATAATTTTACTGTCTAATTATTCATCTGCCAGTTTTGAGACTTTATATAAAAGTAGTCATACTGTGGGTAGTCTTTTGTAACTTTATTCTTTTGCTCAACATTGTGAATATGAGCTACTTCTATGTTGATGTGTGTAAATCTAATTGTAGCCTGTTCATTTTTATTGTTCTTTAATATTCCATTTATAAGTATGTCACAGTTATTTATAATTCCTCTACTAATAAACATCTGGATTATTTCCAATTTCTAAGAATTGCAAATTATGCTGATATGAACACTTTTTGTATGTCTCCTGGTATAAATGTGTAAATCTATTAGGTCGGTGCAAAAGTAATTGTGTGTTTGCAATTACTTTAATGGCAAAAACCACAATTACCTTTGTGCCAACCTAATATTTCCTTTCATAAAATATTAGATATAAGTTGTCTTATAGCTAATTGAGATAAAACTATACAATTCTTACATGTCCAGTGTTATTTATGCTACTATCAAAATTATAATAGCACTGTAGTGATATTATATACAAATCTTCTCATCAAATAATAATTTTAAACATAGATGGTTTGTATGTTGGTGTAATACGCAAATTTGTCCACTCAGAAAACATGAACCTCACTCATTATTAAATGTAGAATAGTGTTAGTCTCCATCTATGTTATGTAGTTACAATTTATTATTAAACATATACTTGTCAGATCAAAATTGTACATATAAAAAGTAGACCTGTGATTATTTCCCTAGCAGCATATAATCACAACTAAAAACCCAAACCCTAGTTAATATCGACAGCAACACAGATAATTATTGAATTCCTAGACTCTATTTTTGTTTACGCTTCTAAGACTAAGCAAAAAAATACATTAGTTTTAGAATATACTTCTCCCTTGATTATGAAATTCACAGTAAATCAAAGTATATTTACATTTCTCAAAATGTTTGCAGTATGATGAGAAAGTCATATTTTATGAATTCTACTTCTAATTTAGAGAGGTCTTATTTACATAATCCAAAAATTAGCCTTGAATATAGGAATATGAGTTACAGTTCGGTCATCAGCAAAAATTTACAGATCCCTATGTAAAATATGCACTCATGGCTTTGTTTCCAGAACACATTAGGATATACTCTTAATTGTGATTTTAGATGTATTTTCACTATAACAGTTATACCATAAAATATGAATTTTAGTCTACAATACAGTGGGTCAATCTAAAAAAGAAATCTTTCTATATAACCCTGTATATATCTTAACAGTCTCTTAACAACAACAACAAAAAGTTAACACTTAATGCCACCTCCTATTTTTATTCCACTAAGTTGGGCTGATTCACATAAATTAAGCAAAATAGAATTGGGTTGATATCATCTACAGTAAGTCAACTGTCTTACGTACTATAGTCTCATAAACTGCTTTGTCAGTCTTCTCAATGAAGCTAACAATGTACTGCCTTCTAAGGCAAATCTTTTTCTCTCACCCTTAATATAACTGAGCTTGAAGCTTTCAAGACACAAATACTGTATTGAGAATGGTTTACCCTTTTCCCCCTATATGTAATTATGACTTATCAAAGTTATTATGGTTAGAGTAAGGTTACCCAAATGTATCAGATAAACAGAAGGAGGAGAAACCTGTTTTGCCAAGCTCTTAGATTCTACATTTTTTTAAAAAGGTCCCATCTATAAAGATTGTTTTTTATATAATAGTCTGATGTTGACCTTTGAAGGTCATTGCTAGAGAGGAAATGTAAGTGCTTTGGTCATCTTGCTCATCTTATATCAGTTCTCTTGTAGATCTACAATCACCTTTCTTCCTAGGTCAACTCCGACTGTAACATTGCTTCTCTTAATACGTTCAGCTTCCATTCTTTCTGTGAAAATGTCTACTCTGTATTTAATTTGGAACTGTAGGAAATTTTGCTATGGATCTTTGACAGTTCAAAAAAGTTAACAGACTTTAATTTTAACAGAGCAAGAGTTGATTCACAGAGCCCCCATAATTTTTGAAACCTTTATGAAATTATTCTGTATTATTGCTAAGTGGTGGAAAATGTATGAAAAACTGGCTTAAATTACTTCTGGCTGTCTTCCACTGCCTGGTAAATTGGTCCATAGTCATCAATGAGTGTGAGCCATAATACCAGGTTCACCTTTCTCTATAGTCTAAATAAATAAATAAATCAGTCCCGCAGGCAGATAGGAAAGACACTACCTGCAAAGCCGTCGCCGGAAAACATCAGAAGCTGGCATAACACGTCCATTTTAACGGAAATGGGTTCTTTATTATTTAATCAGGACGGCTTCTGGGCGATTCATGAACCACTTATTGAATCACCGAGTTTAAGAAATCTGAAAAAAAATATTGGGAGTTGGTAAACACCATCTCCTGATTGATCAATAGCATCTAGTGTTTTAGAATGACACGAGAGACTTTGTATTCTATTGGCCATGGAATAGTTTTCAGTTGAACATAGTGAATTGTGAATCTCTATAAATCATAGAAAGCTCATTGTTAAAATCCACCATCATCTTTGGCCTATACAGCTACTAAGTAGAGAAAGGTATGCGTTTTGTTGGCTGGGCTGCAGTTCCTAAACAATTCATCTTTCAAGATTCTTTTTCTTGAGAAGAGAAGCTAAAATAAAATGTTATGAGCCTTTTCTAGCCAACTATAAAACATAAATGTAACCTCAATCCCTGATCAAAATAGCACTGGATTTTAAAAAATATCACGCATAGCTGTTAAAGCAATTAAGTTCACTGCATTAATAAAAAGGAACAAAGAAATTCAAGAAAGTTACTGTTATGTCTTTGTGCTCCGGTGAACTGACCTTTTTAAAGAGCTTTGTGTTTAAAAACCCTTTATTGCTTGGTCAGATTATAATCAGATTTGTTTAGTTTTATTATTAAAGAGGAGGGAAAGCCAAGTTTTCCCCAAGTCTCTACCCATTGTGCTTCACATCTATCTTTCATTAATAGTTTTAACTTTGTGAGCATTCCCATGAGGATGCACATGAGAAATATTTTTATAAAATACAGGACAAATAAGCCCATTAGAACACTGTCAACACTAATCATGCTTACACATACATGCTATAAAGCTTAAATAATGCTTTTTGGATCAATTATTTTAATTAATTCAATGGAACACTTTATTGAAACTAGTAATACTTTTATGTCCCTCACCAAACCAGTGGGTGATTTTTAAACTGCATTTTACCAGCAATTTAGGGATTCCCTTTTGGAGTGTCTTAGCCTCAGTATGCTTTCAAGTAGACAAGATCTGGTAGAAGATCACAACTGGTCCTTGTATTTAGTATACAGAGATGGTACTAGCAAATGAGCTGTGCAATATAGCCAATGGGACAGACACAAGATAAAAGAGAAAAGAAAATGGTACAAAAACAAAACAAAACAAAAAAACAAACAAACAAAAAAGATAAGAGCAACCATCAGAAATGCACAGGAATCTTGAGCATGTTATACAGTTTGTCTTTCTGGTGATGGACATTAAGACTCCATTATAAAAACATAAGCCAAGTCAAGGGAGAAATTCCAGATCTGACTTGATGTCTAGGGAGAGCGGATCTTCAAAAATGTTTAAAATTTAGGTAAATGATCTCATTAAAACCATCTTAGAAAATGATATTGCTAGTGCTTTGTATTAAGAACGACCAAAAGATATCTTACAAATGCTCTGTGGTCTACCTTTATAGCACTTCAATCAGTTTTCACTGTAGGCAAGTATAATCTTATAATTTTCTGTTACTAAGATTAAAAATTATTAGGTTATAATATGGTTATCAGAAGAACTACCTTCTGAAATAAATTTCAAATTCCTTCAACTTTATTATTACATTAAAAGAGCTCATTTTAAACATTTATCTTTTGATTTGTTTTTTAATAAAGCATTGTGCTAGGTAATTTAAAGTCTCTTGTTTGTGACCTTTTAAAAATATCTAATCATAGTTTTCAAAATATATGCTCTGGCTATTAGTAGATATGAAGGAAATTTTAATAAATAATGTTACCCTATGTAACTTGTTTGAATTTTTAAAATTTTACAATATAATCATTTTAATATAAACTTTGAACAGAGCCAATTTTTAAGAAGAATTTCCATTGCTGGCCTGTGCTTTATGTATACCTTACTTTTTCACAGAGTATTTAATTTCTCCTCCCTAAAGAAAAAAATGGCACAAAACAGTTAAAAATAATGGTAAAGCAATAAAGCACTGAAATCTTGATATTATTTAAAATAATATTTACCATTTAAAGAATGTCTGTTATGTATTTTATATACATTATAGCATGACATATAATCACATATATAACACCTGATGACATAAACAGTATGACTTAAATTCATTTAACAACTTAGGACACTGAAGATTAGAAAAGTTAAGGAACACGCACTTAGAAAGTGAGACCCAAGTCTATCAGTTTCCAAAGTACAATCCTGAAGCCCTATGCAAGTGAGATGTGGAAGAACATCTGATTTTCTTAACATAGTTATACCTGAGCTAATTTGTATTCTTCACATTTAAATAACCAGACTCTTGGAATATACATTAAAGGACCAAAAAGTTCTCAAACTGTAGAAAAATGGATCGCTTAATACACTTTCAAAAACAAATCTTTTTCTCAAAGTGTTCATTTCCTTGGTGTTTGGTTTTTTTTTGTTGTTGTTGTTGTTTGTTACTATTAGATACTTTGGCTTTCCTATAGAACTCAGTTTTTTCACTGACAAAATAAAATATGTAATCACTGAACTCAAATTTGGCCTATGTGCTATTAAATCATGCAAATCTGAATGCTTTCTGAAATTGTCTCCCATTTATTAAACAATTGTAACACTCACACCATCAGTCCCACTTACATCCTTACTCCACTTCCTCTATTCTATAAATTCTATATGAAGAAAAAAAAATTGCCACAATGATATATTAAAGTATTTAGGAAAAAGTTGAAACATCAGTAGGCCCTATAAAACTTACTCATTATGCAAAGTTGAAAGCACTACATGTTAGGCTTCTACCAGTGGCTTACTTCTGGAGCTATTTATCATCACTCTCCAGAGATTACTTACTCTAGAAAGCTGGTGATGTAGTCTCGACTGCAAGCAGACCAGGAAAAAGGATTGGTATTCGCAGTAATGTGAGCTGCCATAAGTTTTGCTGCTTCATGACCTTTCGTCCCACAAGAATTTCCAATTCCATCATGGTTCATACCAAAACTGTTTTAATGAGGAAGAAACATAGAATAAATAAATAAGAAAAAAACCCCAACACATCCCTTATTTCCTTATTTGGCCATTTATTAGCCTTATCAACATATGCCTTCCATCAGGATAGGCCAGATCCTCTAAAGAAATTTAGGATTAAAATTAAAGAGACTAAGGAATAAGGAATACTTCAGTGATACAATACATGTCTAAATCTCTTTAAATGTAATCACATACTCTCACCTGTTATCGCACGTTTCAATTTCTCTTTGAGCCGAATATATTGTATATCAGTCCTTACTTTATAAATTAGAAAACAGATTTAGCAAAGATAAACGACCTGCTAAAGATCACACAGTTTGTCAGTGTTGGAATTGTTAGCAGAACCTGCCTTTTAACATGTTAGTGTTCATCCTACCTCACTATGCTGAATCCAAAAGAGAACTACAAGAAGATAGCTATGATCAGTTGAGTTTTAGGATATAGGCCAAATACATAAGTCCTTTTTCTTTTTCTTTCTTTTTTTTTTTGAGACGCAGTCTTGCTCTGTCGTCCAGGCTGGAGTGCAGTGGCGCGAACTCGGCTCACTGCAAGCTCAGCCTCCCGGGTTCACGCCATTGTCCTGCCTCATCCTCCCGAGTAGCTGGGACTACAGGCACCTGTCACCCCGCCTGGCTAATTTTTTGTATTTTTAGTAGAGACGGGGTTTCACCATGTTAGCCAGGATGGTCTCGATCTCCTGACCTCGTGATCTGCCTGCCTCAGCCTCCCAAAGTGCTGGGATTAAAGGCGGGAGCCACCGCGCCCGGCCGTAAGTCCTTTTTCTCATTAATATTAATAAAAGAGAATTTAACACACATGTAATTTGTGGTCGTTTGTATGTGTGTTTCAAAACACCTTTTGAAAACCATTGATATACTTAAGGATTTTGGTTTTTATCGTAGCCTCCTTCATTTTTAAAATATTTTGTTTGTCATTTTTTTCCTGTGTTATATAGCCATGCTTAGTGCTAACAATGTGATCTAAAAAAACATTTTAACAATAAAAATGTTTTTCTGAAAAGGATATACCCACTACATACCATATATATGTGTATGTGTTTATACAATGTATGTGTATAAACAGATTACATATACATTTTAACGTTTCTTCACAAGTAACCAGAAGTTTTGGTTGAATATTACTAAGAAAATAAATTTATGTGTCTGTTACGACATATATTCTAATAAGTGCACCATGATACGTGTTCAAGAAAATGTCACTAGAGTGTAAAATAGATGAGGATAGTTGCTGGAGAAAAAGTCTGGAAAGGTAGTTGGGAATAGGTAAGTACAAGATAATTAATAAAAGTAAATATTAATATGAGTCCTCTTGGCAGCATAGAAACAGGGAAGACTTGTAAGTAAGAGCAATGGAAGATTTCTGAGTCAGGGAATATGGAATTGATCTGTCTATTAGACAAGTAATTATAGTAACTCCATGGTGGAGATCCTGAAGTAGGAAGAGAATGGAACCAGGGGAGTAGTCAGAAAATCATTACCAACTGAGAACTGATATTGGTCTGAACGAGGGTGCCGGATAAACAGGTAGAATTAGATTTGAGACATGCTTAGGAAGCACAATGAACTGACTTTCATAAGTACAATATAAAAAGAGCTATAATAAAGACATATAATATGTCCTCATAGGCCGGGCCGGGTGGCTCACACCTGTAATCCCAGCGCTTTGCGAGGCTGGGGCGGGAGGATCACCTGAGGTCAGGAGCTCGAGACTAGCCTAGCCAACATGGTGAAACCCTGTCTCTACTAAAGATACAGAAAAAATTAGCCGGGGGTGGTGGTGTGCTCCTGTAGTTCCAGCTACTCAGGAGGCTGAGACATGAGAATCACTTGAACTCAGGAGGCAGAAGTTGCAGTAAGCTGAGACCATACCACTATACTATAGCTAGGGTAACAGAGCAAGGCTCTGTCTCCAAAAAAAAAAAAAAAATATATATATATATATATATATGCACATATAATATATATTTACATATAATATATATTTATATGATATTATACATATATTATATATTTATATGATATTATACATATATTATATACTTATACATATAATTATTATATACATATACATTATTATATATTAATATCTAAATTATATATAAAATATTAATATATAATATATAATTATTATATACATATACATGTATATATTATATACATATAATATGTGTATTATATGTTATATGTAAATATATATTATACATAAATATATATATTTTTCTCCCAGCCCCATATATGTGCATATACACATATTAGGAAGAGCTAGTAATTCAGGTGGAGGAACAAAAATAAGCAAAGAAAGAGAAATGTATGAGAGTATCCAGAGCCCTAAATTAAAACATCAAATAACCTTCCAAGAACACCAATATTTGGTATTCTAGTCTGACCTCAACACAGTGGAGTAAGTCTCTTTGAATGGTCTTCAAGGAATGTGAAGGTGAAGTTTCAAGTGTGTCAAATCAAACATATATTCTGTCAAAATAATCAACTATGGATTCACATAAAGACCTCAGTAGTGTAAATGTGTAATGTTTCTTATTTCTCTGAAAGGTTGATGCTACTGTGTTAACACTATGATTCTTTTCAAGTAACGATAGCTTTAAAAATACTATTTCCTTTTAGTGGCAATTTTATACGTATCCCTGTTTCATGTTAAGATAGGTGTGTAGACAGGCTCAGATGGCTTTAAGAGAATCAATTTTGAGATTCTCGACTCCTTATGCACTCTTTTCTAAAAAAAATCAAGCTTCTACTTTTAAAATCCTATCTCCTGTCTTACAAAGAAAGGCATATCTTTCACCCATCTATAATTTTATAATAGTGCATTGCCTTGGAATATAAAAACATGGTGCCAAGAAAAGAGGCAATTGAACATTTGTGTCAATGTTAAGAGAATAACTTTTGATGGTTGATTTTAATTAAACCATATCAGGTAGTTTCCAGTTCCTCACTTTTACCAGGTTTGCAGGAGCATATAATCAAATAACCAGCTGATCAATGGTTAAAACTATTCTTTGATGATAGATTCCCATGGTTATATTTTGACAAATAATTCAAAAGGAGTTCAAAGAGTTGAGTGGTATTTCTATAATAAACTCCTTTTATCCCTGTCTACTTCTTATGTGAACAAATTTTCTCAGCATTCACATCTATAGAAATTGAATTGATGCTGAAATCCTGCCTCATTATAGCAATACAGAGATAAATGCAATAATTGAAAAAATACATCCAATTAATGATATGTCTTCTAATAAAAACTTTACTTATGTATTTATTTATCAAAATTTGTAATATGTATATATTCTTCCAATCAGTCACTGAAACTAATAATTATTGTAATGTAACGAACATTAAATCCAGAAGAAAATTTTCTTTCTGATCATAGAAACAAATTAATAAACTTTCATATACATGTTTTTGCTGTAGAGATATATAATACAGTATATAATTTAAAAATACTCTTAAGCATAAAATATCTTTTAAAATATATTAGGATATATTAAAATATACATTAAGATAAAGTTCTAAAGGGGAATGAGCACATTGAATTAAAAGAGGGGAAAATGATATAAATTTTGACTATAGAGCCAGTTCATGTATTTTTTAAATGCATAATGGTAGTTACCTAATTGCTATGGCATTTAGATTAAACTGCATATACTTAAGAGAGGGATATATCAATTCTATTTTTAAATAACAATATCTGCAACACTGGAAATTCTATCCTTTGCAATTACTTAGTCATAAAAAGAAAAATTTTGGACATCAACTGAAAAATACACAATAAGGTACATGATTTTTAAAAAATCAGATGTATGTAAGCCAACAGATTTTAAAACCAATGAACTCAAGTACTGAAGGAGAAAATCCTGAGTTTTATTTCAATTAACAATCTTTATAGTTTAGGTGTCAGATGCAGATAGTTATCTCAAGGATTTAGATGCAGATAGTTGTCTCAAGGATTTAGGTTTTAGTCATCTAAGAGAATATATACTTCTGTAATCTACATTTCAAACATAAGAAATCCCAGAAATGATCTGGCAATGTCAAATAGTTCACTTACAGTGACACAAAGTACAATGTTAAGTTTACAACTGACATTCATGACATCAGCTTCAAAAGATCCCTGTAATAGGACGTTCAGGCTGGAGTATAAAATACATTTCTTTTTTGGCAGATGTATACTGTGGAATACTAAGCAGAAGTTAGAAGCAACAAACAAGATAGATGTCTACACATTAATATGAGTGGATCTTTTTTGGTGCAAGGGGGCCAGGGTCTGGCTCTGTCACCAAGGCTGGAGTGCAGTGGCGCAATCATGGCTCACTGCAGCCTCGACCTCCTGTGCTCAAGCAGTCCTCCCACTTCATTCTCCCAAGTCGCTGGGACCACAGGTCTGCAACACCAAACCTGGAAAATTTTTAAATTTTCATAAAGACGGGATCTCTCTATGTTACCCAGGCTGATCTCAAACTCTGGGCTCAAGTGATCCTCCCATCTTGGCCTCCCAAAGTGCTGGAATTGCAGGCGTGAGCCCCCATATCTGGCCTATATGAGTGGATCTTAAAAACAGCAAAAAAAAATTAAGAAAGGGAACAAGATCTTTAGCACTACACCACATAAGTAAACAAAAGTTACATACAGAATCTTGAATAACAAAAAAGTCTGAAGAATTATTCCAGATTAAATACTCAAAAGATAACAAGTAAATGCAATGGAAACTGGATTAGGGAGAAAAAAAATGCTACAGAAAACAAACATTGCTGGGGACAATAAATGAAATTGGAGTATGAACTGTATACTAGATAACAGTAGTGTATCAATGTCAAACTTTCTAATTAGACCATTGTATGACAGCTATATAAGACAATATATTTTGTTCTTAGGAAATACATGCTGAAATGTTTAGGAATAAAGGATATAATGTCTACAACTTACTCTCAAAGAGATCAGAAAAATATTATGGACATATAAATAGAGAAAGATAAAACAAGGGTTGCAAAATCTTTACTATTTTTGAATCTGGGTAATGAACACATGGTTAATCTTTCTACTATAGCAATATTTCTGTAAATGTGAAATCATTTCAAACTTAAAAAGTAAAAAGTAAACACACATGCAAAACAACCTGCAATATTTTACGAGGATACATAGGGATTCAAATATACATATCAAATTTATCTGAGTAGCTGTCTATGAGAGGGGATAAGTGGGACTATAGAAATATAAAAACTAATAACAGGTATTAAACAAGAAGGGTCCCTGCTTGAACTGATACTGATAATGATGCTGTGCCTTGAACTAAGTATAGATAAATAGAGAGAAAAGAAAACTAATTCAACTCTCTGCTGTTGAGTTTCAAAAATAATAATTTAAAAAAAGAAGAACAAAAACAAGAACAAAGGAGTGTTGGCAAACCTCGGGCCCACCCCAATGGATGAACAGTGGGTAACAAGAGAATATCTTCATTGCCAGTTTTATGTGTTTAGTAAACATTTCAGATTACCTTGAGTTAATGATTCTCATTTGTGGAGGGTTTTAGGAACACGAACACAGAGACAGAGAAAAAGTCAGAGGGACACACACACACATATGCACACATGGAGACAGACACACACATATGCACACATGGACACACACACACACAGGCACACATGGAGACAGATACATATTGGGAGAGACAGTCGTCCTTGGGCCTTTTGTGATCCTCCACATCTTGCTGCAGGTGCCTGATCACTTGTTCTTTTACTCAGGCCATTTGTCCGGGTAATTTTCAGAGATGAGGTAACATCTCTCCTCTTGGACAACGAACAGGTTAACTTATTACTTGCCATAAAAGTGGTAGATTCCTTAAGCTCTGTGTTTCTCAGTTGCAATGCAAACTCACTGCGTGTGCAGCATTTATATGGCCCATATTGTGTCACCCTTGTGGAATTTGGGGCCAAGGGGAACCAATGTAAATATGTTGATGCTTATGATGCTTGCTGTACTGTAATAACATCTTTTGCCTCTGACCCAGAAATATCATGTAGCCAGCATTCATGCAGCAGTAATGAGTAACATAGACTATTAAGAAGACATGAACTCAAAGGTTGTGATTTAATAAAACTAATAATTTTGCTGCTTCATCAAGGACACTCTTAAGTGAAAATGGCATGGGTTTTATTGTGAGTGTATGGGAGTTACAAACACACTGAATACTGGCATGGCTGTCTTGATTCATGCTAAGGTGTCAGCATTTATTCCCGCAATTGCTTTTGCACAATCAGTGCAAATATCAATATAATTTTTTTTTAAGGCAAATGAGGTGTTAGTACTATTGTGAAACTAGCTTTGATCTGAAAATGCCTCAGACATCCCAGGGATCACTGCTCTAGGATAGATGTGCAAAATAGATTTTTGGGTCATAAGTTGTGTAACATTTCAAATTTACTAGACAATGCCAAACAGCTTGTCAAAGTGATTGCACCAATTTACATTCTCACCTGTAGTGTGTAAGAATCCTATCTGCACCACATCTTCACCAATATTTAGTATTTTCAGATTTCTTAATTTGTGCCAAACATAGTAGGTATAATTTGCCTTTATCTGAATATTAATTAGGTTGAACATCTTTTTATACGCTTATTGACATCTCAGATGCCTTCTTTTGTAAAGTGTTCAACTATTTGCATATTTTCTATTGGAGTATTTGATTTTATTAATTTGTAGTTCTTTATATATTCTTGAAACTGGACTGTGTCAGTTAAATGTGTTTGACTGTAACACAGTAGCAAATATCTTTTCCTCCACTGTGCTGTTTGTTTTATGGTATCTTTTGATTAAACTCTTCATTTTAATGTGGTTGAACTGGTTAATTACACATTTCATGTTCCTTATGTCTTATTTAAAAAATCCTTCTTTACCCTAAGGTCATGGGGATTTACTTCCATATTATCTTCTGAAATCGTTAATAGTTTGATTTCCACATTTAAGTATTGCTGGATCCTATGTTACAAGTATGCTTAGTTTTATAAGAAACTGCCAAAGTGTCTTCCAAAGTGGCTGTTAATAATAAATTTTTAAGCCTATGTGTATAGCTTGACACTGAATTCCATTTTTACTAGTCATCCCACTGAGCAAAAAGTATGTTTTATATTTCATTTTATTCACTGTACCTAGCATATAAACAGTCTAACAATTGGTGATGAAGGCTTAGAGGTTTAGTGAAGTGAACTGAATCTCAGTGGAGGTCGATTTATTTCATTTGGATAAACTGAGGAGACTCACGAGGTTAAAATGCAGACCTAATCAACAGTCTCTTATAAAACGTAGGATCCAGAGGATCTGCCATGAATTCCATTTTCACTATGATGAACTTTGCCCTTTTTTCTGCCCGTTTGTTCCTGCAATTACCATACTGAAGTTATACAATTCACATATACAGCAAGGCTCCACTCTGCTCATGGGATCAGGGACCAATTTCATTCATTGTTAGAGAGAATTTAAAGGGATGGAGGTCATTAGCTTTGTAGAGCAGCATTAAAATATGGCATGTTGTCGGTCCAGTTCTATTCCAGTTTTCAAGTGAATTCTAGTAGTTAGGCTCTGGTCCTGTTTCTTGTGAACAAGACACTCTTTTATATCCCAGTCTGAGAAACTAAACCACTTGTCTAGTTCCCTTGCTCCTGAGACTCTGAGGTCCTGGCCAGTACTTCATTTCTTTTTAAGCAAGGATCCCATTTGACTTTGGGGTATTAAAGTCGCAGCCTCCCTTGTTCTCCAACCTCTGGGACATACACTTACAGCAATCCACAGGACTTCCATGATGTTGACAATTTCCTGACTGAATCTTTATCTAAGCTCTGATGCCAGACCAAACTAGTAAAGTTCTCATAATGTGAATTGGATATAATGTGCTTAGTTCATTAGTTAACATAATTTGCTTTAACTAGACCCCTGTTGGTTATACAGCAGGGGGTACTGGGAACTAGACCAACTTCGAAGAAAAAAATAAAAAGCCTATGTCTGTAGCATAGGAACACATGGTTGCTTTAGTCTAGGTACTTCACTGGAGTGTTATTTGGTTATGTGTGCTTTTGTTAAGAACTACTGGTGCCTATGCATTGTGCTCCATGTAAAAATGCCAGGTCAAGGCCAAAGAAATAGAGAAGACAGTGCTAGCGGAGTGTGACTTATAAGGAAAAAATGATGCAATTATGTTTGTTCTGTTAGGTTTGATCGAAACCTTTAATCATTTAATTTCTGTAGGAAAACTAACTATAAAATTGTGAACTGGAAACTGGCTGGTAATCAATTTTTTTCATATGCAAGTAATACTTTTAAACATAATTTTAAATAACATAGGATCTTAAGAATTGCAGCTATTCCACTATAAGGGAAAAAAAGACATTCTATTTATTTGGCCTTATCTCATCACCTGTCCTATCCAAAGGTTTCTCTCTTCTCTGGAGCATAACTCTCCCTGGATGGCCCTACCTAGGTTTTTACATTACCTTATATAAGAACAGGTCTTCATTCAGTGCATGAGAAAACACTTAGGAATCATGTAAATTTCCTGCAAACCCATCATCAAGGCTGAATGAATAAGCAGCTTAATTAAAATTCTATCAGTTTTTTAAATAGAAACTGACACTAAGATTCCAAAATTAATATAGGAAAGTAAAGAGTCAGAAAGGGCCAAAATCATTTTGAAGAAGGAGGGGAGAACTTCAATACCTATTATAAAACTATGGTAATTAAAAGCAATATGATATTGGCAACCTTTTCAAGGAACAACAATAAAAGCCCCAAAACAGCAACGGGACAATATTAATGTTTGTTAAATCTGAATGGTGGACACATGGATGTGTGATATAACAGTGGTCCCCATCCTTTTTGGCACCAGGGACCAGTTTCATGGGAAGACAACTTTTCCACAGACCAGGGTGGGGTTGGTGGCGGGGGGGTGGTGGTTTCAGGGTGATTGAAGCACATTGCATTTATTGTGCACTTTATTTCTATTATTATTACATTGTAAGATATAATGAATTAATTATACAACTCACTACAATGTAGAATCAGTAGGAGCTCTGAGCTTGTTTTCCTGCATTTAGACAGTCCCATCTAGGGGTGATGGGAGACAGTGACAGATCATCAGGCATTAGATTCTCAGAAAGAGTGGGCAATTAAGAACCCTCGCATAAGAAGTTCACAAAAGGGCTCTCGCTCCTATGAGAATGTAATCCCTGTTGATCTGACAGGAGGTGGAGCTCAGGCAGTAATGTGGGCAATGTGGCAGTGGGGGGGTGGGGAGGGGGCAAAGGGGGCAGCTGTAAATACAAATGAAGCTTCCCTTGCTTACCTGCAGCTGACTTCCCACTGTGCGGCCCAGTTCCTAACAGGCCATGGTTGGGGACCCCTGTTATAATACACACACACACACACACACACACACAGAATATTTTAAAAGAAAGTTTCTATATAGTTAAATATACATACCCGAATATATACAGAATACTTTGTTCTACAATTTGGCAACTGATTTCTCCTCTCAGATTAACTACACAAGACAGCAGACTTGGCTTTGTAAATTGATTTGGTTCTCAAGTTTTGAAGCTCATTCTTGGAACCCTGAAAAAATTTGCTCTAAAAATAATGGTATAGCTGGGCACCGTGACTCATGCCTATAATCCCAGCACTCTGGGAGACTGAGGTGGGAGGATCACTTGAGTCCATGAATTCCAGACCAGCCTGGGCAACTGATATGGTTTGGATCTGTGTCCCTGCTCAGATTTCATGTCAAATTGTAATCCCCAGTGTTGCAGGTGGGGTGTGTTGGGAGGTGACTGGATCATGGAGGCAGTTTGGTACCACCCCCACTTGGTACTGTCTTTGGGACAGTGAGTGAGTTCTTGTGAGATCTGGTCTTTTAAAAGTGTGTGGCACCTCCTCCCTCTCTCTCTTGCTCCTGCTCCCGCCATGCGAGATACCTCACTTCCCCTTTGCCTTCCTCCACGATTTTAAGTTCCTGGAGGCCTCCCCAGAAGCCAAGCAGATGCCAGCATCATGCTTTCTGTACAGCCTGAAGAACCGTGAGCCAATTAAGTTTCTTTTATTTAGAAATTACCCAGTCTCAGGTATTTCTTTACAGAAATGCAAGAGTGGATGAATACAGCAACAAAGTGAGACCCTGTCTCTACAAAAAATCAAAAAGTTAGCCAGGTATGGTAGCACATGCCTATGGTCCCAGCTACATGGGAGGCTGAGGCAGAAGGATCACTTGAGCCCAGGAGGTTGAGGCGAAGTTAGCTGTGTTCATGCCACTGCACTCTAGCCTGGGTGATAGAATGACACTGTGTCTCAAAAAAAGTTAGATTGAATTGAATTAAAATAATGGTATAAATTGTTATTTTATCTCTGAGAATGGCTCAAATAAGCCTATTTAACCTATTTTGCACACTAAATCATTGTCTGTGAAATGAAGAATAGTATATGACAATACTGTTGGCATTAGCAATTTAGCAGAATGAAACATATTTTAAAGTTTTCTATAGAACTAGTGGTATTTAAAGAAAAGCAGATTTAACAAGGAAAAGGTAAATGAAAATAACTGAAGAAGTTCTAAAGGGGACTTTTAAGTATTATCAAAAAGTTCTATAGGTAAATGACTCTGATTTTATTTTATGTTCAAACTTAAAATTGTGTGTTACTTTTCTTCATAACACTACACATCCCTAGCCTAGTAATTTTGCTTTTTGTTTTGGCTCATGAATGCAAGCGGGTTAGAGGAAGTTGCTCTTGAAGTAACTGATCAAGAGTTGGAGTAAGAAAAAGAGAAAAGTGAAAAAAAAAAGATGTTCTTCCAGGATAAGACTTTTGTTTTCATCATCACTATATCCACAATGCACAGTATCCCTTGTAATCATCTCAGTAAATCTCTGGAATTAGGTGCTCAGCAAATCTCTGAATCCAAATAAATTGTGCATCAATGGGAGACTATCTGCTGACTAACTGTAAACCATGAGAGGCAGAATTTTGGAAGCATCATATGTGTACATACCTCCCTTAATGGTGGATAATGTAATAAAATATATAATACTATATAATAAGTAATAAAAGGGTAAAAGGGGAGAGTTTTTGGTCAAAACAAGTGGCATCATCAGTCAGAGACAAAGTGGTTACTATACAGAGACTGAGAGAAATTGTGCCATAAAGGTTATTCATTAAATTAAGCTTCTGTAACTCAGCATGTATCAGTCTATTGACATGCATGCTTTTCTGAAATATTTTAAACATTAAAGCAGATCATTTTTTATGCAAATGATATTTTCCTTTGAAATGTCATTTAACAAAACAAAATTTCCTTACATAGGGTAAAAGCATGCTATTATAAACGACAGAATTTATCATACCTTTTCATTTTTTAAGATATATGAGGCAGCCCATTTGTGATCATATTTTGTGTCATTTCCTCCTATATTATATGATCCCCCCTAACACTGTGAAAATAACATAATGCATTTTGTACCACAAAATAATAGCTTACTCTTGATTTAGGTACACAATTCTTATTGGTTCTGTTGGGAGATTTGTAAGAATGGAAAGAGCAAACATAGCCTACTGAGTGTAAATTTAATTTGCATTTAGTCTGGAGATTCTTTTTAAAATCATAACAGATGTTTTCAAACCAAACAGAAGATCTGTATAGCGAAGGAAAATCTTAAAATGCCTCGTTAAATTTTTCTGTCTAAGCAATCTTAATTTTTAAACTGAAGATAATCATGTTGCTAATATATCAACATCATTGTTTTTGTTAGATAATCATAGTACTTTAAACTCTGTCAAGCATTTTGTTAAACAATCACTAGTACATAGAACATGTACTTTTAAAGTCTGCCTCCAAAGGAAAAAATAAATAGATGATCAGTCAGTTCTTCAAAGAGATAACACACATAAAATTACCAGATTAAAGAACAGTTTCCTCATGCTGTTTAATATGATTAATTTTTTCTTTAAGAAGCAACTTTTTAAAATGATGAGACAATGATAGTCTAAACTGTGCCACTGTAAAAATCTCAAAGTTAAGCTTTCCCATTGGAGCAAAAAAAGAAAGAAAAGAAAAAAAACCAAGGGAATAAAAGGACATTCTTAATTTAGAATGATTTTCCATTAGAGAACTGTTCTTATACATAACTGAGCTTGACTATGAATCACTTGTTATAGTAAAGAAAAGACAGAATTTAAGGGATGTACTCAGTCAGAACCTTCTATACCCACATCTGGCAAACATTTTTAGATTTAGTATTTACCCAATAGGATAATTATTACAATTTGCTCATGTGTTTTCTAAAACAGAGTTTGGAATTTAATTCTACTTTTGAACTTTATATGCAATCTACTTTAAAAAGTGAATTCAAGATACTGAACTTAGGTAGGAATGTATTTAATAAGGGTGGTGCCTAGCAGAATCTAGGACCTAGACTCTCCCCATACCATACACAATAATGATCACATTTGGTATAAGCACTTCTGAGTTGAAGGTTAAGTTTCCAATAGTCAAAGAAAGTACCATAATTTATTTATATCTTTTCTGCTACTACTTTACACATTTTTCTTTTCATGTCACTGTAAAGATGCCAGGTACCGGAGGAAGCTAGCTATTAGAGATATACTAACATGTTGGGGTGTATGTATGTGTGTGGGGGTATATATAATAGTCATTGCAAAGATAGGGAAGGTAGCTGGAACAAGGAAACTTTGGCCATTGTAGTCTTCTTTAGTACTATGAGAAAAATGTTGCTGAATTAGTTAATGATAGCTAAAACTCTTACCAGTCAATTAGGACAATGGTGTCTGCCTACAAATTAACTTCTTTATTTTTCCAGCAAAATGAAGAAAAATCTCTCATCAAAGTTCCCAAGTTTGAGAGTGACAAAATCTATTTCAGTAGTTTTATTATTTCTGCAACACACACACACACACACACACACACACACACACACACACACACACACACAGAGTTTATTCTGAAATTCCAGATACTTAATGCAGTAACCAGCAGACTGGACTTACCTATTTTTTGGCATTAGTCCATACTATGGCAAAAGCCTAATTATTGAAATAATTTAATTGTTAGACTTTATTTTAATAACTTTTCTAAAGAATGTCTTTACGTTATTGTTTTAGCTATGTTTTAGCTACTATGTGAATATGTCCACATTATGTGAATGTCTACAGATGAAAATTTACATATATTGTATATATAATATGTATGTGTGTATATGTATGTGCATTTATTTATGTGTGTGAATTCATAGATAGCATAATTGTGGCATCTTACTGGCCCTGACCAAAATTTAGTATTTATGAAAAGACAATATGGAGTACTACTTTAATAATAATAGCAATATGTTCTAATCTGAAAAATCTAAAAATTTTAAAGTGATTAAAACTTATAACGTAAATGTGGAGACATAAGAAAATAATATTATTAAGCATGATTTTACAAGTTTGGATAAAAAACTATGGCACTATATAGCTTTGAAACTTAATCAACTGACAGAGTAAAATGCTTCAGTCATGCTACATTAACTGAAAATGTTTCCATACCAGAAAAAACTGAGTCCATTTGGTTCTTCCAAATAGTATAAAGACTTAAAGGAGCCACAAGTTTCATTTTAGAGTTACACTTTACAACGCAAACATGCATCATTCATTAGCAATTATTGACAGAATACCTACTACCACACATTAAACGACTGTTTACCTCAGTTCCCATTACCCAATACATCATGTCTAGCTTTCAGTTAAAAAAAATATATATAAGACATACTGAAACATGGGCAAAAAAGATAAAACAACCATCAGAGCTAGATTAAATATGACACAGATTTTGGAATAAACAGACAGGGAATTTAAAATAACTATGATTAATATGTTAACAGCTTTAAAGGAAAAAGTAAACAACATGCAAGAAGAGATAGATAATTAATGTGTGCAGAGTGATGAAAACTCTTAAGAAAAAAGCTTTTTAATGCTAGATATCTGAAATGATGAATGTCTGAACATGCTAAGGACTGAACATGCGAAGGAAAGAACCAGTGAACTTGATAATAGGGTGAATAGAAACTTCCCAAACTGAAATACAGAGAGAAAAAAGAATCACGCACATACACACATACGCGCACACATCCACACCCACACCCCAGAATACACCATCCAGGAATTTTGAGACAATATCTGAAGGTGTGACTTCCATGTACATGTAATTGACATACTAGAAGGAGAAGAAAAAGAGAAGGGAGCAGAAAAGTATTTGAAGTAATAATGGCTAAGAATTTTTCAACATCAATGACAGATACCCAACTACAGATCCAGGAAGGGAAGTTCAGAAATACCAAATAGGTAAATACCAAAAAATCTGCATGTATGCATATCATATTCAAATTGCAGAAAATAAAAGACACAGAGAAAATCTTGAAAGAATACAGAGAAAAAATACACCTTACTCCTGGAGAAACAAGAATAGAAATTTCAGCTATTTCTATCAGAAACCATGTAAATTCTGTGTCCAGTGAAATTATCTTTCAAAGATTAAAGAGAAATAGAGTTTCTAAGATAAACCTAAACTAAGAGAATTCATTATCGGCAGACCTGCACTGCAAGAAATATTTTTTTAAAGCTCTTCAGGAAAAGGGAAAATGACATCGCTCAGGAACTTAGGTCTATATACAGAAAGGAAGGACATCAAAAAAAGAATATCCCAATCACCCACATTTGATCATACACCTTGTATCCTTGTATCAAAATATCACACATACCCCATAAATGCATACAACTATTATGTATCTATAAAAACTAAAAATTAAAAAACACTAAGGCTAAAATAAATTTTTCTTATTCTTAATTGATATAAAAGATAACTATTTAAAGTAATAATAGTAACAATGTATTAGTTATTACAGTAAGTGGATAAATAAAATGAAGGACAGCAATGTCATAAGGAACAGGAATGAAGAACTGGACATACATTCTTTAAATGAGCCTACATTACACATGAGGCAATTTAGTGCTATTTGAAGGCAGACTTAGATTAGTTAGAAATTTATATATATGTACACATTAAATATATTTTGTATATAAAATTATTATATTACAAACTCAAGAGCAGCAACTAAAATATTTTAAAGGAAGTATAATTGATATGCTAAGAGAAGAGATAAAATGGAATCATAAAATGCTCAGTTAAAACAAGAAAAGGCAGAAAAAGATAAAAAGAAACAAAATACAATAAATAGAAAAGTTACACACATGACAGATATTAATTCAATTGTCTCAATGATCACTTTAAATATGAAAGTTTTAAATATGCCAATTAAAAGCCCAAGATTGTCAGAGTGGCGAAAAATATAAGACCCAACTATATGTTGAATACCATAGAGATCTGCCATAAATATAAAGACTCAGCTAGGTTAAAAGTAAGGGATGGAAAAAGATATACCATGCTAACACTAATCTAAAGAAAACTGGGGTAGCTATATTAATGTGAGACACAGCACGCTTCAGATAAAGGAAAATTCTCATGGATAAGAATGACATTACATAATGCTAAAAGCATCAATTCTCTAAGAAGAAGAAAAAAAATTCTTAGTGTGTATGCACCTAACAACCAAGTGTAAAACAAAAGTGAGTCAAAAACTTATAGAACTGCAAAGAGAAATACACAAATCCACTATTATAGTTAGAAACATTTTTTTTTTCCTTTTTGGAGACGGAGTCTCGCTCTGTCGCCCAGGCTGGAGTGCAGTAGCGCAAGCTCAGCTCACTGCAACCTCTGCCTCCCGGGTTCAGGCAATTCTCTTGCCTCAGCCTCCTGAGTAGCTGGGACTACAGGCACCTGCTGTCACACGCTAATTTTTTTGTATTTTTTAGTAGAGACGGGGTTTCACCATGTTGCCCAGGCTGGTTTCGAACTCCTGAGCTCAGGCAATCCGCCCACCTCGGCTTCCCAAAGTGCTAGGATTATAGGCATGAGCCACCACGCCCAGCCTATAGTTAGAAACTTTTACACCCCTTTTCAGTAATTGATAGATCAATCTTAATAAAAAGTCAGTAAGGATATATAGTTAGTTGACCTGAACAGCACCATCAATTAACTTAATCCAAATGACATTTATAGAATACTCCATCCAAAAACTGCAGGATACACATTCTAAAATGAAATATTTTTAAAATATTCAATTAATTGAAAAAGAAAATGGAACCAAAACAAATGAAAAAAGCTAGAAAACAAACAGCAATATTATCAACTAAAACCTAGTTATATCTGTAATTACATTGTATATATAAGTGAAAGAAATGATACAATTGAAAGATGAGTACTGTCAGACTGGATTTAAAAAATGACTAAACAACTATAAGCTGCTTAAAAGAAATTCACTTTAAATATAAAGATGTATGAAAGTTACAAACAGAAGAATTACAAAAGTTGTAACATGCAAACAATAAAGTGAAAGCTGGGGCCACTATATTAACAAGACAAAGAAGATTTCAGAATAACTAATATTATTAAGGATAAAAATAAACATTTCCTTTTTCCTTTTTATAATGATAAAGAGGTTGATTCATCAAGAAGACATAATAATCATTTTTTTTTTTGAGACGGAGTCTTGCTCTGTTGCCCAGGCTGGAGTGCAATATCGCAATCTTGGCTCACTGCAACCTCTGCCTCCTGGGTTCAAGCCATTCTCCTGTCTCAGCCTCCCAGGTAGCTGAGACTACAAGCGTGCGCCATCAAGCCGGCTAATTTTTGTTATTTTTTAGAAGAGATGGGGTTTCACCATGTTGGCCAGGCTGGTCTCGAACTCCTGACCTCAAGTAATCTACCTGCCTTGGCCTCCCAAAGTTCTGGGATTACAGGTGTGAGCCACTGCGCCTGGCTGACATAAAAATCTTAAATGTGAATGCACTTAATTTAGAAACTTAAAATACTTGAAGCAAAAACTGACGGAGTGAAAAGGAGAAGTAGACAAATCTACATATGCATTTGGAGTTGTCAACACTCCTCCCTTAGTAATTGATTGATCAACTATAAAGAAAAGGTATAATACCAAACACTTGAAAAACATTATCAACAAAAGGGATCTAATTGACAATGCTAGAATACCAGGCCCAACAAGGGCAGATATACTTTTCAAGGATGAAAGATACACCCTATCTCTCACCATATACAATAATCAAATCAAGATGGATTAAACACTTAATTAAACCTAAGACCCCAAAATATGAAATTATTACAAGAAAACATTAAGGAAAATCTCCAAGACAGTGGTCTGGGCAAAAATTTACTGAGTAATATCCCACAAGCTAGGCAACCAAAGCAAAAAATGGACAAATGGGATCACATCAAGTTAAAAAGCTTCTGCACAGCAAAGGAAACAATCAACAAAGTGAAGAGACAACCCACAGAACGGGAGAAAATATTTTCAAACTATCCATCTGACAAAGGATTAATAACCAGAATATATAAAGAGCTCAAACAACTCTACAGGAAAAAAGTCTAATAACTGGATTAAAAAATAGGCAAAAGATTTGAATAGACATTTCTCAAAAGAAGATATACAAGTGGCAGGCCAGGCGTGGTGGCTCATGCCTGTAATCCCAGCACTTTGGGAGGCCGAGGCGGGTGGATCACGAGGTCAGGAGATCGAGACCATCCTGGCTAACACGGTGAAACCCTGTCTCTACTAAAAATACAAAAAAAATTAGCCGGGTGTGGTGGTGGGCCCCTGTAGTCCCAGCTACTCAGGAGGCTGAGGCAGGAGAATGGCGTGAACCTGGGAGGTGGAGCTTGCACTGAGCCGAGATGGTGGCACTGCACTCCAGCTTGGGTGACAGAGCAAGACTCCATCTCAAAAAAAAAAAAAAAAAAGAAGATATACAAATGGCAAACAGGCATACAAAAAGTTGTTCAATATAATTGATCATCAGAGAAATGCAAATCGAAACTACAATGAGATATCATCTCACCCCAGTTAAAATGGCTTATATCCAAAGGACAGAAAGTAACAAATGCTGGCAAAGATGTAGAGAAAAGGGAATCCTCATACACTGTTGGTGGGAATGTAAATTAGTACAGCCACTATGAAGAACAGTTTGGAGGTTCCTCAAAAACCTAAAAATAGAACTACCATATGATCCAGCAATCCCTCTGCTAGGTATATACCCAAAATAAAAGAAATCATGTTATGGAAGAGATATCTGCACTCCCATGTTTATTGCAGTACTATCCACAGTAGCCAGTTTGGAAGCAACCTAAGTGTCCATCAACAGAAGAATAAATAGAGAAAATCTGGTACATATACATAACAGAGTACTATTCAGCCATAAGAAAGAATGAGATCCTGCCATTTGCAACAACGTGGATGGAACTCGAGATCATTATGCTAAGCGAAATAAGCCAGGCACAGAGAGACAAACTTTGCATGTTTTCACTTATTTGTGGGAGCTAAAAATCAAAACAATTGAACTTATGGACATAGAGAGTAGAAGGATGGTTGCCAGAGGTTGGGAAGGTAGTTGGGGAGGGTGGGGGATGCGGGTAGGCTGGTTAATAGGTACCAAAAAAATAGAATGAACAAAACCTACTACCTGATACCACAGCAGGGTGGCTATAATCAATAATAATTTAATTATACATTTAAAATAACTAAAATAATATAATTGGATTATTTGTAATACAAAGGATACATGCTTGAGGGGTTGGATACCAAAATTCTCCATGATGTGATTATTACACATTGCACACCTGTATCAAAACATCTCATATATCACATAAATATATATATCAACTATGTAAACACAAAAATTAAAAATAAGGATGTGAGACACATTCATCAAGGTAGAACATATGATAGACCATGAGGCATATTTCAATATTAGAAAGATTAAAATCAGAGTATATTATCTAATCACAATCCAAGAAGAAATCACACACGAAAAATTTTTAACTGAAAATAAAAATACAGTATAATAAAATTTGTAAAATGCTGCTAGAGGGCATACAAAGAAATTTATAGCTGTTAAGTGCTAATTTTATGAAAGAAGAGATGTCCAAAATCAATGATTCAAACTTCTCTCTTAAAAACGTTTTTAAATAAAGGACAAATTAAACCCAAAGTAAGAACTAGTAAGGAAATAATAAGGAGTAGACAATGAAATAGAAAATGAGCAAACAGGCTAGGTGTGGTGGCTCGGGCCTGTAATCCCAGCACTTTGGGAGGCTGACGTGGAAGGACTGCTTAAGCTCAGGAGTTGGAGACCAGCCTGGGAAACATGGTGAAACCCCATATCTACCAAAAAAAAAAAAAATTTATATATATATGCAAAAATACAAGAAAACAAAAATTAGCTGGGTGTGGTAGCACAAGGCTGCAGTGAGCCGAGATTGTGCCACTGCACTCCAGCCTGGGGGACAGAGCAAGACTGTCTCAAAAACAAAAAAAAAAGGAAGGGAGGGAGGGAGGGAAGGAAGGAAGGGAGGGAGGGAGGGAGGGAAGGGAGGGAGGGAGGGAGGGAGGGAAGGAAGGAAGGAAGGAAGGAAGGAAGGAAGGAAGGAAGGAAGGAAGAGAGGAAGGAAATGAGCAAACAATAGAGAATATCAATGAAACCAAAAGGTTTTTTTGTTTGTTTGTTTTTCTGAGAAGGAGTTTCACTCTTGTTGCCCAGGCTGGAGTGCAATGTTGTGATCTTGGCTCACTGCAACCTCTGCCTCCTGGGTTCAAGTGATTCTCCTGCCTCAGCCTCCCGAGTAGCTGGGATTACAGGCATGTGCCACCACACCTGGCTTATTTTGTATTTTTAGTAGAGACGGGGTTTCTCCTTGTTGGTAAGGCTGGTCTCGAACTCCCCACCTCAGGAGATCCACCTGCCTCAGCCTCCCAAAGTGCTAGGATTACAGGCGTAAGCCATCGCGCCTGGCCACCAAAAGATGTTTTTTAAAAACAGAACAATAAAATCAATAAACCTATAGCTAGACTGATCAAGAAAAAGGGGAGAAAACAAATTGTACCTATCAGGAATAAATGAGGGAATATAATTATTTACAGGCATTAAAAAACAATAACAGCGTATCACAAATGTTAATAAATTTGGCAATTCAGCTGAAATTGAGTAATACTTGAAAGACATAATTACAAAACAAGGACTCAGAAGATTTAGAAAATGTTATCCTATATCTAATAAAGAAATTAAATTTTTAATTAAAAATCTTCCCACAATAAAAATTCTAGGCTCCAATGACGTCATTGATGAATTCTAAAAATATTTAAAGAAAAAATAACATTAAATATACAAACTATTCCAAAAAATAGAAAAACCATTTTATTTTCTCTCTTTTTTTTTTTTACTTTTAAGTTCAAGGGTACAAGTGAAGGTTTGTTACATAGGTAAATTTGTGTCATGGGGGTCTGTTTTATAGGTTATTTCCCTGACTAATACATCCAGGTTTAAAAAGCCTAGTACCCGTTAGTTGTCTTCCCACTCTCTACCCTCCAAAAGGCCCCAGTGTCTGTTTTCCCCCTTTATGTGTCCATATGTTCTCATAATTTAGCTCCCACTTATAAATGAGAACATGTAGTATTTGGTTTTCTGTTCCTATGTTAGTTTGCTGAGAATAATGGCCTCCAGGTCCATCCAAGTCCCTGCAAAGGACATGATCTCATTCTTTTTTATGGCTGCATAGTATTCCATGGTGTGCATGTACCACATTTTCTTTATCCAGTCTGTTATCGATGGCCATTTAGGTTGATTTCATGTCTTTGCTATTGTGCATAGGGCTGCAATGAACATACATGTGCATTTGTCTTTGTAATGGAGTGATTTATATTCCTTTGGGTATATACCTAGTAATGGGAATGCTGGGTTGAATGGTATTTCTGTCTTTAGATCTTTGAGGAATCACCACACTGTCTTATACAATGGCTGAACTAATTTACACTCTCACCAACAGTGTATAAGCATTCCTTTTTCTCCACAACCTCACCAGCATCGGTTAATTTTGACTTTTTAACAATAGCCATTCTGACTGGTTTGAGGTGTTATCTCACTGTGGTTTTGATTTGGATTTCTCTAATTATCAGTGATGTTGAGCTTTTTTTTCATATATGTATGTATGTATGTCTTGTTTGAAGTGTCTGTTCATGTCCTTTGCCCAATTTTTAATGGGGATTTTTTTTTCTTGTAAATTTGTTTAAGTTCCTTATATAGGCTGTATATTAGACCTTTGTTAGATGCATAGTCTGCAAAAATTTTCTCCCATTCTGTACACTGTCTGTTTGCTCTGTTGGTAGTTTCTTTTGCTGTACAGAAGTTCTTTAGTTTAATTAAATCCCATTAGTCAATTTTTGCTTTTGTTGTAATTGCTTTTGGCATCTTTATCATGAAATCTTTGCACATGTCTATGTCCTGAATTGTATTGCCTAGGTTCTTTCAGGGTTTTATAGTTTTGGGTTTTACATCTAAGTCTTCAATCCATCTTTTTCTTTTCCTTTTTTTTTTTTTTTTTTTTTTTTTGAGACGGAGTCTCGCTCTGTCACCCAGGCTGGAGTGCAATGGCACGATCTCAGCTCACTGCAATCTCTGCCTCCCAGGTTCAAGCAATTCTCCTGCCTCAGCCTCCCAAGTAGCTGGGACTACAGGCATGTGCCACCATGCCTGGCTAATTTTTGTATTTTTAGAAGAGACGGGGTTTTGCCATCTTTGCCAGGCTGGTCTCAAACTCCTGACCTCAGGTGATTCACCCGCCTCAGCCTCCCAAAGTGTTGGGATTACAGGTGTGAGCCACCGTGACTAGCCTTCAATCCATCTTGAGTTAATTTTTGTGTATGGTGTACAGAAGGGGTCCAGTTTCAATCTTCTACATATATGGCTAGCCAGTTATCCTAGCAGCATTTATTGAAAAGGGAATCCTTTCCCCATTGCTTGTTTTCGTCAGGTTTGTTGAAATCAGATAGTTGTACGTGTGCAGCCTTATTTCTGAGTTCTCTATTCTGTTCCATTGGTCTATGTGTCTGTTCTTGTACCAGTACCATGCTGTTTTGGTTACTGTAGCCCTGTAGCACAGTTTGAAGCCAAGTAGCATGATGTCTCTAGCTTTGTTCTTTTTGCTTAGGATTGCCTTGGCTATTTATTCAGGCTCCATTTCGGTTCCATATGAATTTTAAAACTGTTTTTTCTAGTTCTGTGAAGAATATCAATGGTAGCTTAATGGGAAAAGCACTGAATCTGTAAATTTACATGCAGCATGGTCATTTTCTTGTTATTGATTCTTCCTATCCATGATCATGGAATGTTTTTCATTTGTCTGTGTCATCTCTGATTTCTTTGAGCAGTGGTATGTAGTTTTTTTTTTTTTTTTTTGTAGAGATCTTTCACCTCCCTAGTTAGCTGTATTCCTAGGTATTTTATTCATTTTGTGGCAATTGTGAATGAAAGTTCATTCCTGATTTGGCTCTTGGCTTAACTATTGTTGGTCTATAGGAATGCTAGTGACTTTTACACATTGATTTTTTATCCTGAGAGTTTGCTGAAGTTGTTTATCAGCTTAAGAAATGTTTGGGCTGGGATGATGGGGTTTTCTAGATATAGGATCATGTCATCTGCAAACAGGGATAGTTTGACTTCCTCTCTTCCTATTCGAATGCCGTTTATTTCTTTCTCTTGCCTGACTGCCCTGGCCAGAACTTCCAATACTAAGCTAAACAGGAGTGGTGAGAGAGGGCACTTTTGTCTTATGCCAGTTTTTGTGGGGAATGCTTCTAGCTTTAGCCCATTCAGTATAATGTTGATTGTGACTTAACCCATTTTATAAGACAAACTTTATTCTGATACCAAAACTGGACAAAGGCATTAAAAGAAAATTACAAACCAACCAATTTCATTTATTTATTTATTTTTAATTTTATTGTTATTATACTTTAAGTTTTAGGGTACATGTGCACAACATGCAGGTTTGTTACCTATGTATACATGTGCCATGTTGGTGTGCTGCACCCATTAACTCGTCATTTAGCATTAGGTATATCTCCTAATGCTATCCCTCCCCCCTCCCCCCACCCCACAACAGTCACCAGTGTGTGATGTTCCCCTTCCTGTGTCCATGTGTTCTCATTGTTCAGTTCCCACCTATGAGTGAGAACATGGCAGTGTTTGGTTTTTTGTCCTTCCAATAGTTTGCTGAGGATGATGGTTTCCAGCTTCATCCATGTCCCTACAAAGGACATGAAATCATCATTTTTTATGGCTGCATAGTATTCCATGGTGCATATGTGCCACATTTTCTTAATTCAGTCTATCATTGTTGGACATTTGGGTTGGTTCCAAGTCTTTGCTATTGTGAATAATGCCGCTATAAACATACGTGTGCATGTGTCTTTATAGCAGCATGATTTATAATCCTTTGGGTATATACCCAGTAATGGGATGGCTGGGTCAAATGGTATTTCTAGTTCTAGATTCCTGAGGAATCGCCACACCAACTTCCACGATGGTTGAACTAGTTTACAGTCCCACCAACAGTGTAAAAGTGTTCCTATTTCTCCACATCTTCTTCAGCACCTGTTGTTTCCTGACTTTTTAATGATCACCATTCTAACTGGTGTGAGATGGTATCTCATTGTGGTTTTGATTTGCATTTCTCTGATGGCCAGTGATGATGAGCATTTTTTCATGTGTTTTTTGGCTGCGTAAATGTCTTCTTTTGAGAAGCGTCTGTTCATATCCTTTGCCCACTTTTTGATGGGGTTGTTTGTTTTTTTCTTGTAAATTTGTTTGAGTTCATTGTAGATTCTGGATATTAGACCTTTGTCAGATGAGTAGGTTGCAAAAATTTTCTCCCATTCTGTAGGTTGCCTGTTCACTCTGATGGTAGTTTCTTTTGCTGTGCAGAAGCTCTTTAGTTTAATTATATCCCAATTGTCAATTTTGGCTTTTGTTGCCATTGCTTTTGGTGTTTTAGACATGAAGTCCTTGCAAACCAACCAACTTTTTAAAGCAAATTGTGCTGAAGTTACTGGATATTCATATGGAAAAAAGATGAACCTCAACCTATACCTCCTACTATACATAAAAATTAAAATGGAGCATAGATCTAAATATAAAAGCTAGAAGTATAAATCTTCTCCAGGAAAATATCCTCACAATCTTGAAATATGCAAAGCTTTTTTAGGACACAAAAAGCAAACCACAGAAGAAAAATTTTAAGTTACACTTCATCAAAATTTTAAGTTTCTGCTTTTCATAAGGCAACAATTTAAAAAGTAAACAGGAAGCAACAGATGAGAAAATATCATGATATATACACATATATAAACTATATATGTTTTATGTTATATATTACGGATAAATATATATGCTACATGTTATATATATAATGGATAAAAGTCTTTATCATATTTATATGTGTATATATACACACATAATATACACATAAATATGATGAAGACTTTTATCCATAATACAGTTCAATAAGAAAAGAACAACCCAGTTTTTTAAAGTGGGAAAAGGATTTGAACAGACACTTCAAAGAAGATATATGAGTTATGTATATGAAGCACATGAAAAGATGCTCACCATCACTAACTTCATTAAACACCATGCTACCAACCGTATCATCCAAGAGAAATGAAAGCTTACATCAGTACAAATAGTTATGAACAGATGTGCATAATAGTTCTATTCATAATAGCACAAAACTAAAAACAACCAGAAAAGTGATATGTGATATGGATTACTATTCAGAAAAAAAGTGAACTACTGATAGACACAACAACACAGATGGCTCTCCAAAAACCTTATGCTCAGCGGAAATACCTAGACACAAAAGAGTACCCACTGAGTAATTCCACTTAAATGAAACTATAGAAAAGCAAGCCTAATCTATAGTGGTAAAAAGGAGATCCATGGTTGTCTGGGGATGGAGGAGTGGGGAGGAGGGTAGAAATTAACTGTAAAGGGGACTTTTTCAGGTAATAGAAATGTTCATATCTTGATTGTGGTGGTGGGACATGGTTATACACCTTTGCCAACGCTCACTGAACCATATACAGAATGGGTGCATTTTTAATGTATGTAAATTACATCTAAATAATGTTTTAAAATGTACTTATGGGAAAGCAAACTATTCTAGAAAATATTTCCTAATTCATTTTATAAAACTAACATTAAAACTCATCTCCTAACTAATCTACAGAGAGAATTCCTACGGTTGAGACAAGATACTGATATTTACTTCCTAAAGCAAGACCAATATATCCCTATAGCTTTCAATATAGCTTTTTTTTTTTTTTTTAGACAGGGTCTTGGCCTGTCACCCAGAATGGAGTGCGGTGGCATGATCACGATCATGGTTCACTACAGCCTTGATCTTCTGGGCTCAGCTATCCTCCCACCTCAGCCTCTCAAGTAGCTGGGACTACGGTGCATGCCACCACACCTTGCTAATTTCTGTATTTTTTGTAGGGACAGAGTTTGGCCATGTTACCCAGGCTGGTCTCCAATGCCTGGGCTCAAGCAATCCTCCACCTTGGCCTCTCAAAATGCTGGAATTACAGGCATGAGCCACAGTGTCTGACTACAAATTGTAATACTTTAAAAATTCTCTCAATATTAGAGTTAAAGTTCACTCAATCATGATTAATAAATGAGTTAAGCCACACCTAAACAATGTATGATCTTAGAACTCATTTTGTGGAAAAAATCAGACATATACAATAGTAGAAACAGTGGCATAATGAACTGCCATAAACACATCATCAAGATAATAAAATTCAAGATGTTGCTATTCTTGTTTTCTCTTTCTTTTTTTCCTTTCTTTTAAAAGAAAATCCTGGACATCATGTCACTTCAGTCTCACATACTTCAATATGCATTCATAACCAAAAAATGAGTATTTTTAAGACCCCTTGTTAAGATTATTTGTTTTTGTACAGTTTAGATACACTAGATAGCTTTCTCAATATACTAGATGTCTGGCTGAATTCTTGCCACCCCTCTTTGACATTATAATCTTTTCAACTTATAAAATTCATGGCAACTACATAATTAATTTTTAAAATCTTTCAAAGAACATTCTTTCCTATAAGGTTTCATTAAGTGCCTTTGGCTTATAGCCTATATTAAACCTAGACATGTCATTTAAATATAGTATAAACCTCAATTTTTCATTTGACAAGGAAATAAATTTCTTGTTTTCACAAAAGGATGGAGAGGATGGAGAGAAATAAAAGTGGTCACTAAGGCTTAGCCAAAGAAAATGTTATCTCACAGCTATTTTAAATAGATATTATATCCCTACACAAGTAAACACTGGGTGCAAAACCATATTCTACACAATTTAAAGAAAGGGAGAAAATATTCACACAGTCTAGTTACTCAGTAGGGGCTCTTCTCAGTAGTTTATGGTCAAATATTCTTCACTGTAATTAATCTCCTGATATCATCACGTCACTTAACATCCATCTCATAAAGGATACAAGTCACAAAAAATCAGTATACTTCACCTGAAAATATATTGGATATATTTACTATGGCTACTGCTTTGGTTCAGGAAGAATAGAGATCACTGTATTTTAATGATGACATGAATTGTGCCAGAGTTGACCGCTAAGTCCCTAAAGGCTAAACCCTAAGATCTTAAAAGAAAGTAAAGGGATCTTCACATATGAAACAAATTTTCCCTAATTGACCAAATAATAATTTGACATATTGAAAAAAATAGTATGTTGATATAGTTTGGATGTTTGTTCCCTCTAAATCTCATATTGAAATGTGATCCCAAATACTGGAGGTGGGGCCTGGTGGGAGGTATTTGGGTAATGGGGGCAGATCCCTCATAATTGGCTTGGTGCCTTCCTGGGGAGAATGAATGAATTCTTGCTCTATGAGTTCACATGAGAGCTGGTTGTTTAAAAGAGCACAGCATCTCCCTTGCTCCCTCTCTTGCCATGTGGTGCACTGGCTCCTGCTTTGCCTTCCACCACAAGTGGAAGCTTCCTGAGTCCCTCACTAGAAGCAGATGCTGGCATTATGCTTCTCATACAGCCTGTATGCCTGTGAGCCAAATAAACCGCTTTTTAAAATGAGTTACTCAGACTTAGGTATTCCTTTAGAGCAACACAAAACAGACTATATATGCTAAACACATCTGCCCAGTTGTCTGGGGAAGGGGGATAGAAACATGGTGATAAACTGGACATGGGGAAAAACCTATTTTTTTTTTTGTCTGTCAAACAACATTTTTAAATGGAAGCATTTTTCTGGCTCTCAATCCAAGGATTTTGTGGAATTTTTTCCCCATTTTTAACACTCATACTTTCAAACAAGAGTTAACTGTGAAACAAAGTTACTCCAAGATACATAAAACTTCAGAGGTATATTCTATTTCTCTTTCACAATTTTTCTACATAAGGTACAAGCCATTCATTGTAGGAAGAATTGAAAGGATTTACCTATAAGGCCAACAACAACAACAAAATCTAGGAAACCTGGGAAGTTGCCCAATCAGAATCTTTATAAAAGATACAAAGAAAGATAAACCCTTACCTCAGCTATTTAAGTACGTACATACAAGAATGGAATGTGAAATGTGTGTGTTGACATTGACTAACTTGTGACTACATAAGATAATAGTGTTTTCACATACACAGTGTTCACCCACTGTATGTTACTTTTCCTAACCTTCCAATTTAACTGAATCTAACAGAACCTAATAAATTCAGTTTGATTGCATAAGAGTATGACAGTCATTAATTAGCCAGATTTTTAAGTGAATTAAAGATAAACTGCTTGGTTAAGGGGGGGCTTTTCCTTTTATTCACCTGATGTTTATTACAATGGAAAGTAGAATACCAATATTTTAAAGTCTTCATTAAGAGTGTAATACTGACTTTTCCTGTGTCTGAATCAAGCCGGGTTTGAAACTTGCTGTTTATTTAAATTTACACCTAAATCATATCAACTTGATAAAATTTGATTGCAATTTTGAAATAATGCAGCCGACTGACCCAATTTTACTCTCCACTTCAACAACAACAAAAAAGCTGAACTACAGATTTACCTCAGGAATTACCTCTGAGGTAAGTATATAAAAAACATTGATTTTTATTTGTTCTTTTTCCCCTATCTATGACGCCACCAAAAAAAGCAGAATATAAAACTTAAATTCTACAAATGTCAGGAGTTCTTGCAAGTAAGCTGGTTGTTTTAGCTAAAAATGCTTGACTAACATTTTAAAGTTTTCTCTCATTTTTTGTTAGCAGATATAATTAGTCATTTGCTAAACGTCAACTGTTTCTGTTTTAGAAGAGCTTTCCTGCTAAAAAAAAAAAATCCTGTTAGTAAATTGGAAGCTCGTTTGTTTAGTTTTTACCTTTATAAAAGCATCAGAATCAGCTTAGAAATTGACTAATTGAGGCAAGTCATCTTTCAGTCAAATTTCAACACAAATGTTGAAATTTTAAAAAAAAAGTATTATCAAGCTTCTCTTCCTCCACATGAATAGGCTTTCATATTACTACTGCCTGTTGTTTAAAATTTTAAAAATGGTATTTTTTGCATGGGTGGGGGCAGGGTACATAAGATAGTTTTTCCTTTGGCACAGGTTCACTTAAAACAAACATTAAAACCTTCAGGTCCTCCTAGAAAGAAAGGAGGATGGTATTGTGTACTTCTTGCAGTTTTTTTTTTCTTTATCAATGACATACAAATGCACCTGAAAATACAAGTTACATAGCAATGTCTGCACAAACTTTATGCCTGGAAAAGGGATGCTGACAGCTGTATGAAGAGTGAAAACTAAAAATACATTTTATGGTAGTGACGTCAATGATTTTAAAATATATATGCATTGTCACTTGAGGAAAATAAAGATCATTTAAATAACTGGACTTTATAAGGAAACAGGTATTGAGGAGACTGAACAAAAACTTAAATGTGGTGCATTCACCACTGAGGATACTACTCTTTGAATAACAAAGATTATCTAACAAGTCTCCAGTTCTTCAGGTGATTTATCCCAATACCCACAATAATAACATCATCTATTGGAATCAGACAAAAAGGTAGTAAAATAAGGTTCAGCACAGCCTTTCCATACAGTAGTTACAAGTTGCTCAAGAGCAGAGTTCTAAAATTTATTTTGATTTTCTTAAACTCACTCACTTGTGACCAATCTCATGTGCAATGGTAAAAGCTGAACCCAGGCCAATGTCTTCATTAATGCTGCAGCTCCTTTCAGGCTCACACATTCCAGCCACAGAGGCCAAGCCTGAATAAACAGAAAGAGACACAAAGGGTCAAGCCAAGGTGTTTCAGTCTTTAAAAGCCTATATTTATAAATGCCTGGATTCTTTTTAATAACCTCCATGCACAGAAGGAGCCGTTGGCAAAAGGTTAACTTTCTAGTCATTTGCAAAATCACTGGGGGGAATTTCACTTTGCCGGCTAGACATTAATATTTTTTGAACTGCAGTCAGTGCTGGAAAATGTCTAGACTAGGGGTTAGATTTATAAATTTTACTTCTGGTAACTTGGGACCACCTAGTAACTTGAGCCAGAAGAGGGAATTCAAGAAAGCATTTCTATTTTAACATTCTTCAGGCTGTAGAAAGCAAAATATATCCACATTATTTTTCTAAAGAGATCTGTTTAAGTTTAGTGGGTTCATAAAAATATACAAGCAACTTTCTAGTTACCAAAAAAAGGGGGAATCCCAAATTATTTTTTAAGTGATATTTTTATTAAAAAATAAAATGAATGATTCAAAAGATGGAAAGGAGAACTGTTAAAGATGGGAGGTTTTTGCATTTTTTTTAATCTCAAATTAATCCTGACAGTGATGCAACAATTTCTTTTAGTATTTTAATAGGAGGAAAGTCATTCACACATTCAGTGTCGTTTTTCCTCTCTCCTATCCCTTACTTCAATGCATTAGAGTTTTACTAATAAAGCAAATACTATGGTGTTAATTCGCTGATTCCAGTGAAATGTTATGTTACTCAAGGTATTCTCCCCTTGGGGATTTTAGTATGTAGAAGTTTTAATATTTACTTTCAAATGAATATCATGCTGTGTGAAATACTACAGAACTTTAAAGCAGTGCTTAAAAAAAGAATTTTTGTGCAAAAGCAAAAATGTCATCTCTTATAAGGAAACAGATGCCAAATCATATTTCATGCACATAGAAACAAAAAGTTATTTAGAAGTTGAAGGGGAAGTAGGAAAAACATTTTTTATGGTCAGTAGTCTACTATCATCACCCAAACATTAATAATTACTTTCCCACCAAAAGTGATTTCGATTCAATTCAATGAATATTTATTGAATACAGTAAGCAATGTTCTGTGCTAGGTATAATTTCCCAGCTGTACTAATTAGAAACAATAAATGGTATTCAATCCATATTTTTACTGACAAGAAAGCTCTAGAAGTTGTGTTTCTCTGTATTTTCTAATATGAGTATCAACAGCTACATTGGAACAGAGATGAGATTAATGCTGGATTTGCTAATAGATCGTTTGCTTTTCCTACTGTTTTATGCGAGACAGGCAAGAGTTGGGGAGGGAGTTGATTTCTGCCTCACAGAGTTATAAATACTGGTGATACCCCTGGGCTGCCCTTCCATTCATTAGAGGTATTGGGACCTGAAAAAGAGAATGTAAAAAGTGGAGCAGGATAACTTATTTTTTTGTTTCAGTTAATTTTTGGTTAATATTTAATATTTGTTTAAATATTTAAAATATTTTAATGAATGTCATTTCCAATCTCCACTGAGAGAAAGAGACAGACACACACAGTGAATTTTACTTTTATTTTGAGAAAAATAAAATGAGAAGTAGAATAGGAAAATACCTGAAATATTTTTTTAAAAATTGCATTATATTATCTGGCTTTAAGTTATTTGGTTCAATGTGGCCTATTATATGGGAAGAACAAAGCCACTCTGAATACTGTTTCTGTTTTGGCCTTTATGAAATGTATGTTTTTTCAAAAGAAAAGCAGAATTACTAAGAATAATTATTGTTAAATTAATGTTTCTTACATTTCCCAAAATCTATTATTCCATGGGTTAGCTTTTGGGTTTTGTTGTTGTTGTGTCGTTTTTTGGTATGTGCCATGTGGCTGTATTTTCAATTGAGAATTCTCAATGACTCCTCAAGGTGTATTTACAAGCACAGATTTACTTCTGCCATCTTATATAAAATTATTATCTCTGCTAGAACAACAACTTCAGAAAGAATATACTTGGAAAATTCCTACTTATTGAAATATAAAGCTAAATCTTAACTAAAATGAAAGTATTTTAAATGCTAATGTATTTTCACAACCCCCCACAATTTTCTGTATACCTATAAAATTGAGACTGTCAAAATTCTTATGTGTGATTGTGTTAATGGCGATTTGATAACTATTTCGGTCATTTAGGTTTCCTCAGCTTGATGGCCACAGTTTGCACCCTTAAGCCTACTTAGCCATGTTACAATTGGTCATCAGAATTATTAAGCAAAAGACTATGGAAAAATCAGTATAAAAACCAATATGAAAGTGACTAGAATACAACTTAAAAAGTAATCTGCTCAATTCTGTACTGATAATATATTTTCCATAGATGAAGTTAAAACGTGTGTGTGTATATATACATATATATGCAGCTCATTCAGTTTTCACAAGAAGTAGTATAAAAACAATATACAAGTTTATAATTTGAAAAATAACTTATATTGAGCTTGAAAGTGCATTGACACATACCTATTAATGTACTGATTCTATAAATTAATAAACTATCAAAGTTAGAACACATTATTTTGAGAAAAATAAAATGAGAAGTAGCATAGGAAAACACCTCAAATCTTTGCCAATAATGACAATCAAAGTACTAGGCAGTACTCAAAATACTTTATTTCTCAAAATACTTTATTTATCAAAATAAAAGTAAAATTCACTGTATGTGTGTCTTACCAATGTCATTAGGTTGGTGCAAAGTAATTTGCACCAATCTAATACAATGAAGAGCATATGTAAATAACCTACCTTCAAAAAGCAGAATATATATATAGGGAGAGACAGTGAGGGTATATATATATATATATATATATATAGAGAGAGAGAGAGAGAGAGAGAGAGAGTGTATATGTGCAAATGTGTGTATGTGTGTATATACACATTTCTTCAAATATAGATACACTAGAAAAATACTAGCTCTGGCTAATATGTGCACCTGATTTGAGGTCTAGTGTCTATTATATCTAAAATTGACTGAACACTTAATAAATACTTAGAGAATCTGTGAACAGTAAATATGGGGGGTAAGTTTAAAAGAATAGGCAATTTCTACATTAAATAATACCAGTTCATTTTTATAAACCTCTTTACTAAATACATCTACATTTTTTTCCTTAAATGATTTTAACCATGTCCATGTAGCATAAGGGCAGATATTACTCCTACATCATAGATAACAAAATTGAGGAACAAAGAGCTTAAATACACTGTAAAAGTTAATGTACTGAAACTGTCAAAGCCAGTTGTTAGTTCCCAGTTCAGAGTCCCCTCTGTTGGATTATGTTGGTCTTGTTAGCTTAAAACACTACAAAGTAAATCTTTTTGATGTGAGCTCGCTCAGCAAAGAGAGCTCTGTCTCCATTATGCTTTTTAACTAGCAAGCTTCTCCATAGTTAATACTCAGCATTGGCTATTTGAGATTTCTTCTTCAGCCATAAATCCTAAGGGAAATGGGTAGGAGAAGCCTGGGAAGTCAGGTAAAATTATCAAGAGAAATTTTAGTTTCCGAAGAGATATTTCACTGAACTTCCCAGGCAGTTGCATAACACTTTTCCTCCTACAACTACTTTAATTTGATCTTTGCAAAATGCTTGTGAGGTGCATAGGAATCAATTTCATAACTATTGTTTTACAGATAAGAAAATTGAGACTTGTCATAGAGAAACTAGAGAATTCATCTTCAGTTGTTTACCTTCTGAGTCTGTAAAAAGTCTCTATGACCTTAAAAAATTGAGAAAAAAAGCTTCTGTCCTTTAAAATAACTTTAGTTGCTTAATAATTTAGACTACTGGAGAGCTACCTTTTTTGCCCATTTGTATTTGCAGTTAACTATGAAATTATGCTCTGTAACAATGTGTAATTTTTAAAATTCTAGAATACTACAAAAATGCTTTTAAAAAGACAAATGACCCTTAGGGAGCACAAGAAAGATAATCCTGTCCTCTCTTTTCACCTGTGGCTATAATATTTTATAAGATTATTTTTTGTTGTTGTTGTTTGGGTAGTATAAAATTTCCAATACTATCTTAATTTATGGGGCTATACTTTTTCCACAAAATTGTACCAAAAAAAGTATTGTTCTTGGTGCCTCTTCATTAAGTATCCTTAGTTGTGTTTTTTTTTTCTTTCCTTTTCTAGCCTGAAATTTCAAGATGTTGACTGCTTTCATTTACTCTCACAATCTTGGTATTTCTAGAAAATACATTACAGAGATAGATTATATGAACATGAGTGATAACCTCGATTTATAATTCTTTAATGAATTTGAATCATATTCTAAGTTAATTTTAATAATCATTCCAGTTGTCAAAAAAGCCAATGAAATTTATATAATATTTATGATGGTAATAAATATTTGTTTCCTAGTAAATGACATATCCACAAAGGCTGGGTGTAACAGGTTTTAGGATTTCAGATGTACAGAAAGGAAAATGACCAAATTAATAATAAAGATTAAAGTCATTGGTCCAAAAAGACAATCAGAACCATTCTACCTTTATTAAAAAAAAAAAAAAAAAAAAAAAAAAAAACCAAAAAAAACTTACCCAGTGTTCCACAGGGCTTATTTTTATAAGTGCAGATATCATATCTATGGAGAAAACAGAGATGAAATTTGTAATCTGATCAGATTTGTAACATATTTTTCTATATTCATCATACTTCTCTCCTGAAGTTGTCAGACCACAATTAATGCAATTATGAGCAATCAACTGGAGTGTCGGCATTTTCAGCACTCTACAGTGCTGAGGGACACCACAGGCAGCACTACACTCACAGCCTCTGGCTGCAAGCCAATAGAACACCTGCCAGTAAGAAAGAAAGGTTAAAGTGGATTTTTGTAATCGCAAGTTCCATAAAACGATCTGCCATACTGTTTTGAAGCTAGAGTACCTTGTCTGCAGACTGTTACTACTTCTGCAAAACGCAAATAGGTGGCTTCTTATTTCCAATCTCCTTTGAACCTGTGGGAATAGGTTTTGTTACAGACACAGACTGCATTTTATACTTCTGAGCTATAGGCACTATTTGGAGTTGCTTTAACTCTAGCACAGGTTCTT
This sequence comes from Homo sapiens, assembly GCF_000001405.40. NCBI lineage: Eukaryota > Metazoa > Chordata > Mammalia > Primates > Hominidae > Homo > Homo sapiens. Next base: position 65,334,555 of record NC_000005.10, read on the forward strand.
GTTAAAGAAAAAAAGATATTGTAATACAACAATGGGAATAAAATTTATATTACATATTTCTCCTAGTTGTATACCAGCAAATTAGCATGGCTAAAATACAAATATTTTTAAGTGATTTTACAACAGGCTAAATGAATCTGTCAATAGAAACCTTCCCTAATGTTGATCAGATTTATTCTATACCATGCTGCATTATAACTCAATACAAAATATTGAGTCCATAATGTTGCATATTTTAAAAATATTACATTTCGAATCCTGTCAATATTGATATAAACATTTATTTTAAGCATTTTCAGTATATCCTTGTAAACATTTTTAAAACCAAAAGTATTTAAAGTTTCTAAAGTGAGAGTAAAAAATAAATGTAAAAGGCTAAAAATTTTTATTTGCCTCTGTTTTATGCTAGAAGCGAAAAGATTTCAGTTAAAAAGTAAAGCTTCACAAACTACAGGGAAATTCAAGTTGTAAGAGTTCTCTTTTATTATATATAAATAACGATTAGTCAATATTAGTAGGGGAGAGGGTTAGCAAATAATCCCATTCTTACTTATCAATCACCAGACTAAATTGTATATTATAACCAGCCATATCACTGGGTTGTTGAACTCATTAAAATTTCTGGAGATACCCTCTGTCTATCTTTAGAATTTCAAACTCTTCATCCTGCTCATTTTACATTTGAGGAAAGGGATTTTCTTTTCCTCTTGCATAAACTTCTCTTCTGACCATTCACATATTCATCCTCTCTATTTCTTCTTTTGTAATTGGTAAGCCATGGGACTGCAATGCTTGGAACACCCTCGAATGTAAGATATAGAGAGGGTACCAGTGTACTCATCGAAGCACCATAAAGTATATTCTTGGTGTCACAGTCAATTTATCTTGCAACATAGTGTGTTATGCCTATTGTTACATAGCCACAACCTTTTCTAGCAGTCTTCAAGAAAACGTAAAGGAAGACTTTTCATGGTAATGCAGATACAGATGTTTCAATAGAATCTATTTCTAAACCTCCAAGTTCCACAGTGCCCTTCCTAAAACTGGTCTACCAGTTTGCTGAACATTTATCATATGCCCAGGTATAGTGCCATATACTAGGAATAGAAAGATAAATAAGTTACTTTTGGTCTATTTGGGGAAATAAAACACAAGTGATATATTACAGAAAAATGTTGAAAAAAGATTAAATAAAATAAATGTAAAAATAGTTAGAGTTACATTATGCAATCAGTATTTGTTAACTACTATCATGATGATTATTGCCATAACCTACTTAAAAACAAAATATAGAAATACAGACAAAACAGTGAATACACATAGAAAACTAGGAAACAGATTCATATAGGACATACATCTGAAACAGGTTTTAAAGATTAAGCCAGATTAAAAAAAAAGAAAAGTAAAAGCATTCCAAGAAAAGAATAGAGTATTCAAAGGAACAAAGTCTAGAAAGAGTATGGCATATCTGAAGAACGATGAGAATTTCAGAGAGGCTGAAACATTGAATGCTAAACCAGATTTGTTTTTCTTATAGACAAAACCAACTTAGAAAATAGTTTGTATAGTAGAGAAGGATTTTTTCAAACCATGAGTATATATACAGATTGAGTTTATATATAGATATAAATCTGGAAGGATAACAGTGGGTATCTAAGGGAGAGGTGGGAGAGTAGGGAGAATATACATACATATATACATTTCTGTACAACCAACTTTAATCAGAAACTCTTTCAGCTATGCCTGTCTCTGATGATAAACACAAGAGAAACTTGATAATTAGCCAATGAATGTCTAATGAATGTTAAAAATGTGTTTTTCATTGCATTGAAGGAAAAAATTAGTGGTGCTCCAGATCTGTAGATTGGCCAAAATATTTCAGAAGCACTGCCCCACTTTGCATGAACCCATACAAAAACCCCACAAGCTTTGCAGGATGTATACTTAGGTAACACATCTGAGATTTGTCCTGTATGTCCACTCAATGGTTTGGAGTATTAGGGTTCCTGATAACAAATATAAGGGTAATAAATTCTGTCCCCATAATATTTTCATATACAAATTGAGGGCACTCTTCATGCAAAGTATTGTCAGAGCACCTAAATAACAGAGTTGGAATGTCATCAAGCTTATAAAATAAGGAATATGATATTTGTGCCTTCCTGCTTATTTTACAGATATTTATATTTATAATGGAATTTGATCTAAAACTTCCCTTCATTATAACTGATAACCTTTATCCACCAAATCCTAAGGTTTTGCCTGAACATACTAGCTTAGCTCAGTTTGCAACAATAAAAATTCCAGATTGATAAATGGAAGGCATGACAAGGTAATAAAAAAAAATTTATATGTGGCTATATCTACCATGATACCTACTTCTAATAGATTTATCTTCTTTAGGCCATTCTTATAATTGCCTTCCCTGAATATGTATCATGGAATAGCAGAAACAGACTGTGGGCAGAAGAAAGACTTCAGTCATGGATTAAAAAGTACACCATCTTATCCATGAATTATATAATATAGAATCAAGTTGTATTTATACTATAAATTGGGAATAATAAATCTGAAACATTAAAGTTTCTATTGAAGGTAAACTTCACTATACTTAATTTCCATTCAAATATAGAATTGATGAATATGAATATTTTTCCATACTTTGTGTATACTCACTCAATATCATGTTACCTGCACATAACAAAATGTTCAGCAGAAGTGCAAGGTAATCATTTGAGACATTTTTTAAAACTCAAAATTGCTTTTAGTTTATTATTTACATATTTTATAAACTTACTATTATCTCATATTTTACCTTTTTCAATTTCTTTTTTGTGGGATATTTCTTACTCTATTCATTCTCTTATTCCTATTTTCCTTCTTCTTCATGTATAAATTCCTGATTCTTTCCTTTCCCACAAACTATTCTCTGTGCTGTCAGCCCCATATTTCTTACAAATGTAAAAATCTTGAGAAATCATTTAATTCAAGCTCTACTACACTTAAGCCAATGTCTCTTAAAGTAGGCCAAATATGAACCAGCTTATTTCAGTTCCTCGATATAACTCTCAGTCGTCTCCCATCTTATATTTAAATATCATTTTTAAATTTTATGCTATAATAATAATCTTCACTAACTTCACACCCTCTTTCTTTCTTTTACCTAACTTTCTCATTTTTACTTTGCATCATATTCACTCTACATCCCATCAACTCTTCTCTGCCATACTGTGGGTTTACCTTATTTTCCTCCAGATCCAAGCCACTTCAGGAAAAATTACAAAGAAAAATAATGCAAGGAGTCTCGCTTTATCCCAAATATATAATTGGTATACTTTTAGGACTTTTATTGCAGCAGTACAAATTGAAGAAAGAAGAGATTGAGGAAAAGGAATTCTAATTGCTTACTCTCAACACCCTTTACAAAAATCAGTCACTACTAAATCCTTACCAACCCACAGGTGGCAGAAGCCCCCAAACTTAGGCCTGTGATCCTAACTTCAGACTAGGCTAAGAAGTACACTGGAATGCTAAGAATTAAAAGAAAAGCTGAAATAAAATTGGAAAATGTTCTTTATTCTGAATTTGGATAGAAAAATAGCACCTTATCCCTATGGTACTTTTTTGGTTTTCTTTTCGTGAAAGTGTAATAACGGCTTCAGATGAAAAAGAATTAAGAAAGTTGGTCATAGGGAATCTACATAAAGCCCAGTACTTTAGGGAAATCAGGGTTCCACTTTTGAGTGAGTAGATGAATGCATATGTTGCCATTCTTTTACCCTAAATTCATAATGACGTTGGACAATTGAGCAAGATCAAAACTAGAGAATTTGGTTGAGACTGTAACGTTGGTATACTTTTTGGGTATGGATACTTTCAACTCTTTAATCTTCTAGTCACTTTTGCCTAGGCATGGCTATCAGAAGAAACTGACCAAAACACATGATTAAGTTGCATTTTAAGATCTCCAAAATATAGCGTTACCTTCCACCACCAGCAGACATGCCCCCAGGGCAGCCAAGCAGCCTTTTGTCTGAATCCCAAGCCTGAGAAGCAGCCCCATGGGCTGCCCCTGAAAGACACACCCTCCCAGCCAGCCAAGCAGCTGTGTGCCTGAGCCCAGAGCCAGGAATATAGCCCCATGGGCCACCTGCAGCAGACACCCACCCAGGCCAGCCAAGAAGTCATGTGACCACATCCCAGGCCTAAGAAACAGCCGTGTGGGCCACCACTGGCAAACACGCCCTAGGCTAACCAAGGAGCTGTGCAGCTGTGTCCTAGGCAAGATAAACAGCCTGCCCCCAGCAGACTTGCCACCAAGCCAGCTGAACATCCTTATGCCTGCATTACAGGCCTGAGAAATAGCCCTGTGGGCCAACCCTGGCAGACACATCCCCATGCCAGCCAAGCAGCTGTGCACTCATGTCCTGGACCTGAGAAATAGCCCTCCAAGCCACTCTTGGCAGGCACACCCCCAGGCTGTCTAAGTAACTGCATGCCTGTGTTTCCAATCAGAGTAATAGCACGATGGCCCTAAACCTAGTGAGTCAGACTGCAAGCTAGCCAACCCACCATGTGCATACATTTCTGACCTGAGAAATAGCCCAGCAAGCCCACCCCGGCAAAGCTATGCCACCATCAAAACAAACTCTCTCAGCCAAGGTCACTGAGAAATTCACAAACACCACTAATGTGAATTACAGCTGAAGAAACTATACACAGACAATACTACTGTGTCTATCTAGAACCAAGGCTAACAGACCCCACCAAACTGACACCCCAAGACCTATTTATATGGATTAATCTTTCCCTATGAAACCTACTCCATAAAATTAGAAGAGGTAGCTTTTCTACCAGTTGCACAGAAATCAATATGGGAACATGTCAATCATAAAAAAAGCAAAAAAAAAAAAAATGCAACCCACAAAGAAAAACAATAATTCTTCAGTAACAGAAACCAAATCATAAGGAAATATATGAAATGCCAGAAAAAGAATTCAAAAAAATAATCTTAAGGAAAGTGAGATATAATATAGATAGACAATTTAATGAAATCAGAACAATTAACGATTTGAATGAGAAATTCAATAGAGATAAATATGAAATAAAAAATAGAAGAAAAGAGAAATACTAGAATAGAAGAATTAAATGAAGGAAATAAATACAATCAAGAGTTTCAACAACAGACTAGATCAGGCAGAAGAAAGAACTTCCAAACAGAAAGACAAGTATTTTGAAATAACACAGGCAGAAAAAGTAAAGAAAGAAAAAGGAACAAAAAAGAATGAAGAAAGCCTATAGGATTTATGGAACACTAATAAGTTAACAAAAGTTTGTATTATGAGCTTCCAGAAGGAGAAAAGAAGGAAAAAAGTGAGGAAACCATATTTTATGAAATAATAACAGAAAACTTCCAAAGACTTGGGAAAGAGATGGACTTCCAAAGTCTTAGGAGAGAGTCCAGAAAGCTCGAATAACTCTAAATGGATTTACTCCAAACAAGTCCTCTCCAAGGCACACATAGTCAAATTGTCAAAAGTCAAAGCAAAGAATTTTAAAAGCAATGAGAGAAAAGTGTCAAGTCATATATAAACAAATCACCATTAGACTAACAGCTAATTTCTCAGCAGAAATCTTATAGGCCAGGAGAGAATGAGAAGGTGTATTTAAAGCACTGAAAGAAAAAAAAAATATGCCACCAAAGAATAGTATACCCAGCAAAGCTATCCTTCAGAAATTTAAAAAAATATATTATTTCACAGACAAGCAAAACCTAAGGAACTTTCGTAACACTAGCCTGGCCTTACAAGACATGCTCAGGGAAATCTCACATCTGGAAATCAAAAAATAATAACCATCATCATGAAAACATGTAGAATTATAAAACTCACTGGTCAAGCAAATACACAAAGAATAAAGACAAAGGAATCAAACCTCAGCATTACAGAAAACCACCCAATGGTAAAAGTAAACAATAAGAGAGGAAGGAAGGAGCAAATGATAAACCAAATAACTGGAAAATGATCGATAAAATTACAGGAATAAATTCTTATCTATTAATAGTAACCTTGAATGTAAATGGATTAAATTCCCCATTGAAAAGATATAAACTGGCTAAATAGATTTAAAAAAAAAAGGACCCAATATAAATTGTCTGCAAGAAACACACTTCACCTGTAAAGAGATAAAAACAGGTATTCCATGCAAACCGAAACCAAAAGAGAGCAGGTATACCTCTATTTATATCAGATAAAACAAACTTGAAATTAAAAGCTGTAAAAAGAGACAAAGTATTATTTAAAAAATAATAAAGGGATCAATTCGGCAAGAGAATATAACAATTGTAAATATATATAAACCCTACACAGGAACACCCAGATACATAGAGCAAATATTATCAGATCTAAAGAGAGAGATAGGCTGCAATAATATGTCACTCTCAGCATTGGACAGATCATCTAGACAGAAAATCAACAAGGAAACATCAGATGTTCAAGAAGAACACTCAAAACTATACAAACGTATGAAATTAAACAACATGCTCCTGAATAACAAATGGATGAAGGAATAAATTAAGAATAAAATTTTAAAATTTCTTGAAACAAATAAAAATAGAAACACAACATACCAAAACCTATAGGACATAGCAAAAGCAATATAAGAGGAAAGCTTATAGCAATAAATGCATAAATCAAAAAACTAAAATGATTTCAAATAAACAACTTAACAATGCATCTCAAGAAACTAGAAAAATAAGAAAAACCCAAACCCCAAATTTGTAGAAGAAATAACAAAATCAGAGCAACAATAAATGAAAATGAAACTAAAAAATATGAAAGATCGATAAAACAAAAAGGTGGTTTTTTGAAAAGATAACGAAAACTGACAAGCCATTTGCTAGACTAAGAAGAAAAGAGAGACGACTCAAATGAATAATATCTCAGAAATAAAAAAAAGTGATGCCACAACAGACACCACAGAAACATAAAGGGTCATTAGAGACTACTATGAACAACTATATTCCAATAAATGTGAAAACCTAGAAGAAATGGATAAATTCCTGGACACATGCAACTTACTAAGGTTGACCAAAAAGAAATAGAAAACCTGAACAGACCAATTATAAGAGACTGAATCAATAATAAAAAGACTTCTAAGAAAGAAAAGTCCAAGACCAGGTGACTTCACCACTGATTTCTAACAAATCTTCTAAGAAGGGTAAGTACCAATTCTTCTCAAACTACTCCAAAAAAGTGAAGCAGAGAGAAATCTTTCCTAACTCATTCTATGAGGCCACCATAACTCTGATACTACCAGACAAGGAGACAAGAAGAAAAGAAAACTCCAGGCCAATATCCCTGATAAATGTAGACACAAAAATCTTCAATAAAATAGTGGCAAACCAAATACAACAGCACATCAAAAAGATAATACACCATGATCAAATGAGATTTATCACAGGAATGCAAGGATAGTTCAACATATGCAAATCAATAAATGTCATATATCACATGAATAGAATGAAGGACAAAACCCACATAATCATCTCAATAGATGCAGAAAAAGCATTTGATAAAATTCAATATTGTTTAATGATAAAAACTCTTAATAAATTAGGTATAGAAGGTGTATTAGTCCATTTTCACACTGCTGACACAGACATACCCTAGACTGGGCAATTTACAAAAAAAAAGAGGTTTAATGGACTCACAGTTCCATGTGGCTGGGGAGGCCTCACAATCATGGTGGAAGGTGAAAGGCATGTCTCACATGGTGGCAGACAAGAGAAGAAGGCTTGTGTAGGGAAACTCCCCTTTATGAAACCATTAGATCTCATGAGACTTATTCACTATCATGAGAATAGCATGGGAAAGACCCACCCCCATGATTCAGTTACCTCCCACCGGGTCCCTCCCACAACATGTGGGAATTGTGGGAGCTAAAATTCAAGATGAGATTTGGGTGGGGACACAGCTAAACCATAACAGAAGGAAAGTACCTCAACATAATAAAGGCCCTATGTGACAAACCCACAGCCAAAATCATATTTAACAGAGAAAAGAAGCTTTTCCTCTAAAATCTGAAACAAGACAAGCATGCATATTCTCACCACTCTTGCTCAACATAGTACTAGAAGTCCTAGCCAGAACAATAAAGCAAGAAAGGGAAAGTTGAAGAGCATCCAAATTGGAAAGAGGATGTCAACTTGTCCCTGTTTGCAGATGACATAATCTTATATATAGAAAACTTAAAGACTCTATCAAAAAACCTCTTAGATCTGATATACAAATTCAGTAAAGTTACAGAATACAAAATTAATGTACAAAAATCAGTAGCATTTCTATACATAAATGAACTAGTTGAAAAAAATCCAGAAGACAATCCCATTTACAATAGCTACAAATAAAGTAAAATACTTGGGAATAAATTTAACCGAGGAGGTGAAAAACCTCTACAAGGACAACTACAAAACACTGATGAAAGAAACTGAAGAGGACACAAACCAATGGAAAGATATCCCATGGTTATGAATCAGAAGAATTAATACTGTTAAAATGACCATACTACCCAAATCAATGTACGGATTTAATGTAATTCCTTAAAAAATACCAACAACATTCTTCACAGAAAACAAAAACCCTAAAATGTGTAAGAAACCACAAAAGACCCCGAATAGACACGGCAATCATAAGCAAAAAGAACAAAGATGGAGGCACCATACTACCAGAACTCAAAATACATTACGAAGCTGCAGTAACCAAAACAACATGGTACTGGCATTAAAAACAGATGTATAGACCAATAGAACAGAACAGAGAACACAAAATTAATCCACGTATATACGGCCAATTGATTTTTGACAAAGGTGCCAAGAACACTCATTGGGCAAAGGACAGTATCTTCAATAAATGGTGCTGGGGAAACCAGATAACCATATGCAAAAGAATGAAACCAGACCCCCACTTCTCACTCTATACAAAACTCAATTCAAAATTGATCAAAGACCTAAATGTAATATCTGAAACATTAAAACTACTAGAAGAAAACGTAGGGGAAATGCTTCAGGACATTGGTCTGAGAAAAGAACTTTTATAAATAAAACCTCAAAAGCACAGGCCACAAAAGCAAAAATAAACAAATGGAACTATATGAAACTAAAAAGCTTCTGCAGAGCAAAATAAGCAATCAACAGAATACAATGCCAACCTACACAATGGGAGAAAATATTTGCAAACTGCTCATCTGACAGGAGATTAACATCATACCTAGAATATATAAGGAATTAAAACATCTCAACAGCAAAAGTACAAACAATCCATTTAAGGAATGGGCAAATAATCTGAACAGACATTTCTCAAAAAAAGACATTCGAATGGCCAACACATACATTTTTAAAATGCTCAACATCACTAATCGTCATGCTTTTGCTGATAGCATGAATTAAAGATTTACCATTTGTAAAATATCTCCCTGGCTAGTCACATCATAATTTGAGTTTTACATTCATTCTAATATAGGGTATTTTTTATTGGAAAGCATAGAGATAGCCAGAAATGTCTTTTGCCCTGGCAAAACTGTCCCCACACCATTTTAAAATATTGATTTAGCTAACAAGAGCTCAGTTACAAAAGCCTATGAATAGAGAGTTTTCACTTCTTTGCCATCATCAATAACCCCAATTCAACAGATTATAACATCTGTCCTCTGGGCCTTTCTTCATTACTATTCCAACCCTTTTCCTTCTCCTGGATAACAAAATAACTTTCTCTTTCATTGTTCTGTCACTAAATTATGTTACATATTTATTTACAATAAATAAGTTATTACTATATTTCTATACATCCACAAAAATGGGATATTACATCATTTGCATCCTGATTTTTAGTTACCAACATATTTTGAAAATCTTTCTAAGTCAGGAAAGATATATGGATATCATTTTAATGGCTTTATCATATTTTACCGTATGGATGTAGAAAAGTGTAATTGAAGAATTCTCTATTGTTGAAAATTTTTGTTTCCAAGTTTTCACTGATACAAAATTAATCACAATGAACATCACTATATTTTTATATATTTGTCTGATTTTTCCATTATAAATTCCAAGGAGTGAAACATATTTAAGGATTATCATTTATATTGTCATGATCTGACTCCTATCCAATTCTGTTGCCTTATGTCCACTCTGTCCTCTCTTTTCAGTCTCAAGACATATTCGTCTTATTTTCGTTTCCCAAACAAAAATGCTTTGTTCTATTTTATGTCATCTGACTATGCTATTCATGCTATCTGGCTCACTTTTCTACTGACTAAACTTTCTTCGGCTAGGTTATTCCTACTAATTCTTCGGATTCTTTTCAATGGATTTCCTGAAGGAAATGTTTCCTAACTGAGATTCCCCTAATAAAATTTAGCTCCTTAAATTTTTCTTACATATCTCTCATCAAACTGGTAATTTTTACATATGCGTTTTTCTACACTAGACTCAAATTCTCTGAGATTAGGGAGTGGTCTCTGTTGCTCTCGATTGTATCCCAGCATCTAAAAAAATTCCTGGAGCATAGTAAGTGTTTATAATGTTTATAGAGTTAAAGCCCTCTAGAAAGATTATATCAGCTTAGGATTACACAAATCCATTCTCAATATCCTTAATTTCCAGTAATCTAATAACCTTCCAATTTCCACTCCCTATTTCCATTTCCCAATTCACAGAAAACGAAAACCCTAAAATGTGTAAGAAACCACAAAAGATAAGAAAAAATAAGAAAAAAATTATTTTTGAAGTATCAAAATACAGATCATGAAGTTGCTGTATGTTTGTAAGGGAATCAAAACAATTTAAAAGGTATATTTAATATAGTATTGCCTTGGTAAATAGATAATGGAATATGTTTGATTCACATAAAAATTCACCTAATAAGATATTCTTTCATGATTAGTGAATCAAAAAAATTAAACCACTTTTTCAACAAATACCAGAGCTTACCAGGTATCAGGGAAAGAAAAAGCACATAAGACTGACATAATCTCTCAACTTAGAAAATTTAGAAACTTTTCTATAATCAGGAAAGGTTTGATTATACGTTACCAGAATAAGAAAGTGTTTTCATTCTTTTACACCATTGGAGTACAATTTATTAGACTGAACTTTGGTCACTTTGAAGTCACTTTTGAGTCTTCCCTTTCCTTTCTTCTTTCATACGAATGAAAAATCTTTCTCAGTGTAGCTGTATTTGTCCTTTCAGTTCTGACCCTATTTACAAATCCCTAATTTATACCTTTAACTGTGTTAGGATTAATGCAAATATCTTTTATTCAAATCTATCTTATACAGTACATAGCTTATTATTCCTAAAGAAAGCACAGTTGTGCTCATGCCATTCTGGCACTCAAAAACTCAATTGTCCCCAAAATCTAAACACGTTAGCCTGAAGTTCAAAACCCCTAATAATCTAGCTTAAATTTACCTTTATGAAATCTTCTGCTGCATCCAATTTTGACTTATCTAAAAAAGAATTTATACCAATCCTTCTCAAAGTTTTCCAAAAGATTGAAGAAGAGGGACTACTTCCAAATTCATTTTATGAAGCTAGCATTATCATGATATCAAAGCCAGACAAGAACATTACAAGAAAAGAAAATTACAGGCAAATAACACTCATTGATATAGATGCAAAATTCCTCAACAGAAAACCAAATTCAACAGCACCTTAAAGGAATCATTCATCATGATCAAATGGGATTCATTCTGGAGATGCAGGATGGTTCAACATAGATATCAATATGTGATACATCACATTAACAAAATGAAGGACAAAAATCATATGATCATCTCAATGGGTAAAGAAAAAGCATTTGACAAAACTGAATAATCTTTCATGGTAAAAATTCTCAACAAATTAGGTATAAAAGAAATGTATCTCAACACAGTAAAGATCCTATATGACAAACCCACAGCTAACATCATACTGAATAAAAAATAGGTGAAAGTTTTTGTCTCTAAGATTAGAACAGGACAATGATGCCCACTCTTACCACTTCTAGTCAACATAGTACTGGAAGTCCTAGGCAGAGCAATTAGGCAAAAAAGAAAGAAAAAAAGGAAAAAGAACAAGAAAAAAATAAAAGACACAAACATTTGAAAGAAAGACATAAAATCGTCTCTGCTTTCTGGTAATATGATCTAACATATAGAAAACTCTAAAAAACTGTTGGAACTAATACATAAATTCAGTAAATACAGAAATAGACTCTACTAAAAAACTGTTAGAACTAATAACATAAATTCGGTAAATACGGAATACAAAATCAATGTAAAAAGACTAGTAGCATTTCTATACACTAACAATGAACTACCCAAAAAAGAAATCAAGAAAATAATCCCATTTACAATACCATTAAAAAAAAAAACCTTAGGAATACATTTAGCCAAAAAGGTGAAAGATCTGTGCACTGAAAACTATACGACATTGATTAAAAAAATTAAAGAAGACATAAATAAATGGAAAGATAGCCCATGTTCATGGATCAGAAAAATCAATATTGGCAGAGAGTGTCCGCACTTTCCAAAGCAATCTACAGATTCTATATAATCCCTATCAAATTTCCAACGACATTTTTCACAGAAATAGAAAAAAAAAATTCCTAAAATTCATATGGAACCATAGAAGACCTCAAATAGCCACAGCAACCTTCAACAAAAAGAACAAAGCTGGAGGAATTGAACTACCACATTTCGAAAAACAGATACATAGCCCAATGGAACAGAACAGAGAGCCCAGAAATAAATCTGTGCTTTATACTCAATTGATCTTTGATAAAGGTGCCAAGAACGAGTAATGGAGAAAACACAGTTTCTTCAGTAAACAGTGCTGGGAAAACTTGATAGCCACATGCTGAAGAATGAGATTGGACCCTCAACTCACACCGTATACAAAAATCAACTCAAAAAGGATTAAAGGCTTAAACATAAGACCTGCAACCATAAGACTACTAGAAAAAAAACATAGGAGAAAAGCTCCACAACATTGATCTGGGCAATGATTTTCTGGATATGACTTCAAAAGCACAGATTAAAAAAGCAAAAACAGACAAACGGGATTATATCAAATGAAAAAGCTTCTGCACAGCAAAGGAAATTTAACAGTGATAAGACAACCTATAGATTAGGAGAAAATATTTTAAACCGTACATCTCATCAGGGGTTAATGTCCAAAATATATAAACAACTCAATGGCAAGAAAACTAATCACCCTATTAAAAATGTACAAAGAATCTTCTGATCCATAGAACAAAAAGTGGGCAAATGACATGAACAGACATTTCTCAAAAGAAGGCATATAAATGGCCAAGAAACATATGAAAGAATGTTCAACATCAGTAATCATCAGGGAAATGCAAATTAAAACCACAATGAGAAATCATCTCATACTTGTTAGAATGACTATCATCAAAAAGACAAAAGATAACAAGTGTTACAGAAGATGTAGAGAAAGGGAGCCCTGCTACACTGTTAGTGAGAATATAAATTAGTATTATGGAAAACAGTGTGGAGGACCCTCCAAATTTTAAAATTATAACTACCATAGGATCCAGCTATCCCATTTATGAGTACATATCCAAAGTCAGTATGTCAAGGAGCTATCTGCACTCCCATGTTCATTGTGGGGTAATTCACAGTAGCTAAGACATGAAATCAATCTCTGTCTATCTACAACGAATGGATAATGAAAATGTGTTAATATATACACAATGAAATACTATTCAGCCTTAAAAGAGAAGGAAATCCTGTTATTTAAGACAACATAGATGAACCTGTAGGACATTATGGTAAGTGAAATAAGCCAGGCACAGAGGGACAAATACTGTATGGTCTCATATATGGGATCCAAAATATCTCAACTCATAGAAGTAGAGAATTGAATGGTGGTTACCACAGGCTAGGGATGGGAGAGAAGGGAATGGGGAGATATTGATTATAGCATACAAGGTTTCACTTAGGAGGAATAAGTTTTTGAGATCTATTGCACAGCATGGAGACTATAGTTAAGAATGTAATGTATATTTAAAAATTACTAAGGAAGTAGATTTTTAAATGTTTGTACCACAAATAAAAGTATGTGGGGTGATAATTATATTAATTAGCTTAATTTAATCATCCAGTAATGAATATATACATATATCAGAACATAACATTGTACGCCATAAATATATACAATTATTGCCCATTAAAAAAATTTTATAACTTGTCAATATACAATAAAAACAATAAATTTTTTAAATACAAAAAATAAATTTAAAAAGGAATTAAAAACTATACTTGATACCAGCATATAATGAAAATGCTTTATGAACAATAAAAAATTGATCAGTCCATTTAATGTTACTTGTAATATGAAGACGGTTTATACACTTTACTACATCTAAAATTTTTTCTTTCCAAATTTTTACTACAGTATTATTTTAGTTTTACAGAACATGGTAGACCACAACAGCTCTTTGCCTTAAAATAAAGTACACAGCTTATTTTGTCTTCCTCAAAAACCTCAAAACCAAAGAAGCTATTTAAGTCAAGGAAGAAAAAGCATAATATACATGTTACACATTGCTCAATAAAAAGAAAAAATTTCTATTGTTAGTAGGGTCTTTTAAGTCTAGCTTCAAGCAGCCAATAGTCTAATTCTGCTAGGCAGTACCTTGGAAGTTGGTTTGCAAAGTTAAAGAATTTTTATTTACAGTCTGGCAAATTATTCAACAACACTAATTTTGAAAACTGGACTTCATAATAAAAATGCAGATGAAAGAGCTACTCTATAAAAAAAATCACCACAGCACTTTAAAATTTTTAAATATGTATATAAAAATTAAAATCTAGAATTAAAATATATTTAAATTTCAATGTAATCATTTCGCTTTTTTACTGGTATTTATCATCAAACCAACTGATAAGAAACAGCTGTCCTTTGCCTTTTAAAGTTTTGTGTAGTTAAAAGAAAGTGGGCTTAAAAAAGACTTTGAGGCCAGGCATGGTGGCTCACACTTGTAATCCCAGCACTTTGGGAGGCCGAGGTGGGTGGATCAGCTGAGGTCAGGAGTTCGAGACCAGCCTGGCCAATATGGTGAAACCCCATCTCCACTAAAAATACAAAAATTAGCTAGAAATGGTGGTGGGCACCTGTAATCCCAGCTACTTGGGAGGCTGAGACAAGAGAATTGCTTGAACCCAAGAGGCGGAGGTTGCAGTGAGCCGAGATCGTGCCACTACACTCCAGCTGTGCAACAGAGTGAGACTGTCTCAAAAAAAAAAAAAAAGACTTTCAGAGGTCAGATTGTCTATCCTTCTGATTTAATGGAGCAGCACACTACAGTGTCTTATAAACAGAATTCATTGTAACTTTAATTACATTACTTCTATGAAATCAACCACATTTTCCATGGAACTGATCATAAGTCAGAATGTCCAGATCAGCTGTTAATTTTCTTCACTCAGAATTCAAAAATGCTAAAATACGTGTTTACTAATGAGCTACTAGAATGATAAGTGCATCAGATGAATGCCCTTTGAGCTCTTTGATGTTGTCAGTAAGTATCTATAGTGTTGTAAAGGATGTCACACGTTCTATAGTAGCCTATTCTAACATTCTCAGTGTAAAATTTTCCTCATATTTAACTTAAATCCTTCATGCTGCAGGTTAAGTTGATTTCTTTTTTGTCTGACCTTCAGTGAAGATTGAGAACATCTGGCCTCCATCCTTCAGGCATAAGTTAAATACCTCTAAGTCTTCTTTTCTCTGGAACAATAATCCCTGCTACTTTAATTTTTTTCTTTTAGGTTTCTTTTTCAACCCTTTAATTATCTTTGTGGTCCTCTTCCGAACTTTCTCCAACTTTTCCACGTCCTTCTTTAGCGGTAGCACAGAGAACTAGAAACAAAGCTCATGTAAGGGTCTGACCAAGTGAGAAGGACAATGGAAAAATAATCTCGAGTTTCCTACATTTTTTATTCATATTTATGTCACAATGTATTTTGTTTGCTTTAACCACATTATATTGTGAGCTAATGCCAATACTTTACTATTAAGGGAGTTTCTAACATTTTTGGGGGCGTGAGGGGGTGGGGAGGGTGTCTCACTCTGTCACCCAGGCTGCAGTGCAGTGGTGCGATCTCAGCTCACTGCAACCTCTACCTTCTGGGTTCAAGCAATTCTCCTACCTCAGCCTCCTGAGTAGATGGGATTACAGGCTTGCGCAACCAGGCCCGGCCAATTTTTGTAGGAGAGACAGGGTCTCACCATGTTGGCGAAGCTGGTCTCAAACTCCTGACCTCAAATGATCCACCCACCTTGGCCTCCCAAAGTGCTGGGATTACAAGTGTGAGCCACTGAACCCGGCCTCTAACTTTATACATAGTCAGTTACTCATCCTCTGGACTTTATGCTATTTTCCCTCTCTAACCATAATGCTTTATGTTTGTCTCCTACTATATTTCATAATTCTAATTTCAAATCAATATTCTAATTTGCAAAATTACTTTAGTCTAACACTAATCTCTTTTATGATATAAAGCTTTGATGGCGCCATATTTCTTTCCAATTCCAGTTGCCAATAATTTAACATTGGAAATCTAACCATCACATATCTACAAGAGGTGTTTAAGTGTTCTACAAGACTGAGTGCCAGAATTCACAGTCCTCTGGAAAATATATAATTATGAAAGACTTATTAAATTTGCTCCATCACTTTCAAGTGATTGTCTCAAGTGACATTGACTGTCTCAAGGGCTATACAGCATAAAGTATAAATAACCAAAATGTTTTTAAAACTTCACAAAGTCTCAAAGAGTTAAGTTTAAAATTCCCAGAATGCTGACATTTCTTTTGCAGAAAACAATGAAAATCTTGGGGAATCACAATATGTTATAACTCTTTGGGTTACCTTGGTCTACTAGGCATTTGATTCTGTCATTAATTGAATAAATCTGTTTGAATGTTTATGGATAAATATCTAAAAAAGAATTTTTATAATGACCTTATTATATGTGGAGCTATGCCAGATAAAATACCAAGAAAATTAGCCAGGCACAGTGGTACAGTGGTGTGAGCCTGTAGTCCTAGCAACTCAGGAAGCTGAGGTGGGAGGATGGCTTGAGGCCAGGAATTTGAAGCCCCTGTGTGCTATAATCACACCTTTGAATAGCCACTGCACTCCATTCCAGCTCAGGCAACACAGAGAGAATTCGTCTTCTTAAAAAACAAAAAAAAAAGAGAAGAAGAAGAAGGAAAAAACATCAACAACAACAAAATTAAACTGACCTAATTCCCACTGGGTAGAAACTTTGACACATAAATCACTTGCTAACATGGAAGTACACATAGCCAGATAATATCTATCAAGTCACCCACTACTATCACAGATATGAATTATATAGCATACATAGTTCAGAAGTAAATGTACTTAAGAGATGGAAGACAAAGATCAGTACTCAATTGCCATGGTGAAGAAAAGTAATCTCGATGTTCTATGCTCCATCTGAACAACGCTGTTCTAGCCAACTTGTCAAAGTATCTAGCAGGCACTGATACTGCCCTCTACAAAGCATAGATGCAAAGATGTTTATAAGTGATAAAATAAGAAAAAAGGTGAATTTGTTGCTTAAAGTTAAAATGATAACCAAAAGAAGAATTTAAAATGATTAAATATATCAGGAAGATAGGCATAGAGTCCGTTCTTTAAATCAGTGAAATTCTTACCCATAGAGAAGTAAATAAAAAGAATGTCTCAAATTGACAAATCAAAAACTAGTGGTAAAAATCATATTATTTAGAAATATGGCACCAATTTCCAGAAGTAATGGTTTAAAAAATTAACAGCGGTTTTTGGCTAAGCTACTCAACTATGAGTGGGAAGGGACGGGGTAAGAAACTGTTGCTTATCCCCATAATTATATACTATAATACTTCGGTAAAAAAAAATTTTAACAAAGAAAAATCCTGTCCTACACAAGACTAAATAAAATATAATTCATGGCCAAACAAAATTTAGAATAGATCAGATGACTCTAAAATAAATTTAAGGTAAGACACAGTAATATCATAACCATTACTGTTTTTACTTAGCCTAAAAAATGTGCAGGATACCACAGAGCATATATATAACTGCTCATCTCTCATAATCCAGTTGTGTACATACCTATAAGTTCTCTTATCTTGATTTCTCTTCCAATTAAAAAGTAAGATAACACTGCCATCCTCAGTTGAAAAGTACTACATTTCAAATAAACATAATGATATATATATTTACCAATAAATCCACCCTACTTGTCATGGCCTATAAGACCCTAAATGATATGTAAATGATCTAAGAACCTAAACGACATATGAGACCCTCCAGCACTATGTTCCTTCTCATTCACTATTGAGCACAATGGCCTACATTCTTTCCTAAATATGAATAACTTCTTTCTACCTGAGGATTTCTCCTTAGATCTTTATATGAATGAATGAATCTTACCCTATAGGTAAATACGTACATTCCATAATTAATGCTATAATAATAACAGGCTTAACATTATGTTGTTATCTATGAGGTGCATCTTGGCCAGAAACATTGTTAATATTAAAGAAATGATTCAAAACATGTAACATTTCTACAATATGTTAATGGTTCCCCCATAGAAATTATCTCATTTGGATCTCAATAACCTCTGCTGTATAGGAAGCAAAAAGGTTATTTTCATTCTACAATTTCAATCTATGATGAGCAAACTGAGATTTACAGAAGTTAAGTAACTTACCCAACAGCATAGGGCTGGGAAGTAGTAAACTTGGTGGGATTCAAACTCAGTAATTTTGAAAACAGTCTAGTGTTCTTATCATTTGTTGAAGGTAACATAATGAAAACTTTTACTTTTGGAAGAGAGGAAATGTGAAGATTCTTGTCCCTAATATTGAATCACTATGGAATGCTGGGTAAACATTAACTCTCACTATTCTTTAGTTTCTAGTTAAATAAAATTACTGTGATATTTATCAATGATTAACATTTGGAAAAAGCTTAAATGTTCTCAGATTTAAAAACTGTGATGTTACTCACAAATTCTATATATTTATATATTAATTCATTTATTCAACAGATAATTAATGTGAACATAACATGTGCAGGGAGGCACTGTTCTAGATTTTGTGAGTACAGCAGTTAACAAGACACACAAGCTTTCTTTCTTTGGCTCATCTAAAGGGAGTTAGTCTCTTCCAACATGTTTAGGCAATGGAAACTTTAGTGAATATTGACACTATAACAAAAATATATGCAAAAAAACCCAAAGCTTCTCTCTGGAAGACTATTTAAGCCTTTTCTTCAAATAGATTATTAAATTGTTGCAGTAGTAATGACTGACATATTAGTTCATTGTTCTTTTTGGACTGGTATCAAGTGCAGTGTTCATGGTTTCTTCCATACGTGTTATTTTCTTTCCCCATACCTCCTCTACCACCTTTCTATGTAAATATGAGATATCCATGATTCACCTCATCCATGAAGCATTTTATGCCTACTCTTCTGTTGATCTCTTCCTTGAGCTCCAGCTGCTCTTAAATTATGCAATTAATTCTTTATTGCTTTGCATTTTTCATTTTTTTCATTTAATTTTATCTCTCCAACTAATTTGCAATCACAATGAGAGCAGAGGCAATGATTTCTACTGCTTCTGTGTCTTCCATAATAGGGTTCTAAAATGGGTTCTACTTACAGAATTATCTCATCCCTCACCTACTTATGGAACTTCAGTTTTCTTATCTATAAAATGGGGAAAATAATGGCTACTATAGCTCCTTATGATTTCTACAAATAATACAAATAATGTATATATACATTATCTAGATAGACTTAGATAATGTATATAAGCTGTGCATTCATGTAATAAGGCTTAACAAATATTTTTGACATTTTAATTATTGTTGCTTTTGTTAATATGAGTAAATGTTTGTAAGCTAATTTATTAGATATGGCTAATTCAGTCGTTAATAAAATTGTTATTTTGAATTGATATTTGATAATACTACTAACTTTATTCTTCTATTTCTTTACTAAAACCTAATTACAAATTTCAAATTTCGCTCAGTAAACTACTTTAATTTAGGAATAATATCTCTTTTACTAAATATTATGAAGCAGCTAACAATATTCTAATTTCTGTAGATTCTCACTTAATTGAATTAAAAAAAATAGACACTGAAAGATGGTATTTGTGGCATTATAATGTAACTAATATCAAGCCTTGTATTTTATTCCGAATCTTCAACAAGGTTTTCCTTGGAGGTCGCCAACCTAAAAACTTATTAGCCCTAATATAGTTAAGATAAATGAAGTGTCGGGAAAGGTATTGTGGCAACTATGAAGGCATATTTGGCTTGTAAATTTTCTTCATTTGCCAATTCAAATATTCCTCAACCTTTCTTCCAAAAACATTGGTATTCTTTTAGTCTCGTGAGTCCTGTTAAAAATAGTTAACTTTCATTTTTAAAGAAGTTATAAATCAGATTTGAAATCCCTGAAGTACTCTTGTTGTTTGTTGGCCAAATCTAGTATATCTTCTAATTTCTTCCTCTAGTTCCTTAACACTGACACTGCTTCCAATCCTAAACATTTTTCTGATAAAATAGTTAAAAGATGTGATGATAATGGTATGTTAAAACTGTACAAGGACGAGTTTTCCAAGGTGGTGACTTTTTTAGACAAGAAGTGCAAGATTCAATAGCTCAGAATGATCCTCCAAATAACAAATTAGTTGGAAAATTTATCTTCACCTGAGGTTTCAACTTCCATCATCAACTTACTCAATTCCTATGCTATATAGGACATGACTCTCTCACAAAAAAATCATTAGGGCAAAAGGGAAATTGAACTGTGACACCCACATCTGGCATTACTGAAACAAGAGAAATACATTTGACCAAAGTAAAGATAACCTTTCTCTCACTCAAATCACATGCCTTCTCTAAATCCATCTTTAGCCCGTCATGGCACTTAGCCACTTAGATTTCAAAATAATGACTGTTTGAGAGGTAAAACACAAAGCCAATTTGGATAAATAGAATTGGATTTACTCTATCTATGGGAAATAATAAACAAAGGAACTAAAGCATCTTATCTAAAGCATGACCAAGAAGTCTAATCGAGAGCTAAAGCTATTTTAATTATATTAACATTATCAGCTTCATTTTAATTAATTTATTAGAGTTTGTATATTATAATTGGATTAGGAATTTGTATAAAACTAATAATACACACTCTTCAGGCATAAGATTATTTCAGAAAATATGTTCTGGAATTATAATTGCTGTCATAAGGTTGGTTTATCTACTCTAATTGTTTCTTTATTTTTAAAATTGTTTCCTGTTATCCCCTAATTTTATTGTTTCATTCCTGCGCTCCTAGCTCAAACACAAGCACACACATTTATACACTAGAGTAATGCTAAGAAACAATTCATGTTCAGACTTTTTTTTCCTTTTTTTAGTATCAGGGCTCCTGCATTTAGTAGACATATTGTTAGACTACATTTAAATGACTAAAAAAATGTTCCCCATTTTGAATTTTTTCAATGTATTTCATACATTCAATTCATCAATACGGTATTTATTTTGCAAGTTGAGAGCCAGAAAAATGTAAACAATCATAAAAATGTTAGATGAAGACAGACATAATAATCCACTAAAATAATCTCAGGTGCAAATATTTTATCTTAAAAATAAAACATTTTTGTGGGTCTCTTGAAAACTAGCTGTCATCAATAGAAAGATCCCTAATTTTGGCAAACAGGAGAACTCCATCCTGGTTCTGGTTGTGGTGTATCATTGAACCTCTCCACAATTATGTCAAATGACAACTGCTATTCTTTCCCTCTTGTTTATCTCAAAAGCATATTTCATAAGAATGGAAGGCATGCAATATAACAGGAACAGCCAAACAAGAGGACCAGAGAGCAGCTGGCCAGCTCCAAAGAGCCATGCTTTTCAGTTCTTTTCTTGGAAAATATTTTGCACCTTTTCTTGTTTAGCATTTAGTATCTTTTGTTTATATGCATTATCATTACTGCCAAGGATCCCCTCTGCGTATGTCTCTTCAAATTAATTCAAGCCAATAATACCATACTAACATTTATCACTTTGCTCAAACTCTATCTTGCTGGGAAGTTGGACTCTACTGGGGATTTTAAGTTCCAACTAAATATTGATGCAGCTGCTCTCTGAAGTTTTAGGATATCTTAAAATTATGTGTTTCAGAGAATAAGCATTGAAGGTGTTTAGCTTTCTACCTCTACTTTCCTTCTATACCTCAATTCTGTTTTATTTAGCTTCTTATTTTAAATGAAGGTATTTTTCAGGGGTAATAATATTATTAATAAAATATCCTCTAGTGCAGACAGGGAAATGCTAACTGGGTTTGGTAAAGAGTTTGCTGTGAGGTATAATGGGGTGAAGACAAAGGAGGAGAGGAGTGTCAAATAATAAAAGCATAAATAATAGAATTTACTGGACTCAAAAACTGTGTAAAACTACTTCATGTGTATCAATGGTATGAAACTAGAAATAAATAATAGAAAAAAATTGGAAAATTCACAAATATGTGGAAATTAAACAACACACCCCTGAACCACCAATGGGTCAAAAAAGAAATAGAATGCAAAATCAAAAAATATCTTGAGACAAATGAAAATGAAAATACAACATACCTATGGGATGCACATTCTTACATTTGTAAGATGTAATGTGAAAACACAACATACCAAAACTTATGGGATGCACACTCTTACATTTGTAAGAGGAAAGTATATAGCAATAGATACATTAAGAATAAAGAAAAATGTCAATAAAAACCAATTTTGCACCCCAAGGAACTAGAAAAAAAAGAACATATTAAGCCTAGAGTCAGCAAAAGGAAGAAGATCAAAGCAAAATACATGAAATAGAGACTAAAAAAACAATAAAAAAGATCAATGAAATTAGGAGTGGGTCTTTTGAAAAGAAAAACAAATTGAATAAATCGTTAGCTAGACTAAAAAATAAGAAAGTTTCAAAAAAAACATAAACAAAAGAGATGGCAATACAATTGAACCATAGAACTATAAAAGATCCTAAAAGATTACTATGAAAAATTATATGGCAGCAAATTGAATAAGCTAAAAAAATGGACAAATTCTTAGAGATACATAACCTATCATGACTGAATCATGATGAAATACAAACTCTAACAGACAAATAATGTAAAAGGAGATCAAATCAGTAATCAAAAAAACTCCCAGCAATAAAAACTCCAGACTAATGGCTTCACTAGTGAATTATACTAAATATCTAAAGGCTTTACATCAATCCTTCTCAAAATTTCCAAAAGACTGAAAAAGAGGAAATACTTCCAAACTCATTTAATAAGGCAAGTATTATGGTACCAAAGCCAGGGAAGGACACCACAAGAGAAGAAAATTACAGACAAATATCACTGATAAATGCTTAATGTAAAATTTCTCAATAAAATACTACCAAAGCAAATTCAACAGCACATTAAAAGGATCATTCACCATGAGTAAATGGGATTCATCCTGGGGATGCAGGATGGTTCAACAATAAATGTGATACATCACATTAACAGAATAAGGAACTAAAATCAAGTGATCATCTGAATGAGTGCATAAAAAGCATTTGACAAAATCAACAATCTTTCTTGGTAAAACTTCTCAACAAATTAGGTACAGAAGAAATGTACCTAAACACAATAAAGATCCTATATGACAAGCCCACAGGTAACATCATATTGAGTGGGGAAAAGGTGAAGGTTTTTCCTCTAAGATCAGGAACAAGACCAAAATGTGCAATCAATATTGTCAAAATTTCTGTACTCCTCAAAGCAATATACAGATTCTATACAATCCTTACCAAACTTCCAATGACATTTTTCACAGAAATAGAAAAAACAATTCCTAAAATTCATATGGAACCACAAAAGACCTCAAATAGCCACAGCAACCTTGAATAAAAAGAACAAAGCTGAAGGCATCGCACTACCTCATTCAAAATATACTATAAAGCTGTAATAATCAAAACACCATGGTACTGACACAGAAACAGATACATAGCCCAAGGGAACAGAACAGACAGCTCAGAAATAAATTCATGCTTTTGCACTAAATTGATCTTTGACAAAGGTGCCAAGGACAAGTAATGGAGAAAACACAGTTTCTTCAATAAATGGTGCTGGAAAAGTGGACAGCCACAGGCAGAAGAATGAAATTGGACCCTTAACTCACATCATATACAAAAATCAACTCAAAATGGATTAAAGGCTTAAACATAAGACCTGCAACCCTAAAACTACTAGAAAAAAACATATGAGAAAAACTCTACAACACTGGTTTGGGCAATGATTTTCTGGATATGACTTCAAAAGCACAGATTTAAAAAGCAAAAGCAGACAATAGGACAGTATCAAATGAAAAGGCTTCTGCATAGCAAAGGAAACAATTAGCAGAGTGAAAAGACAACTTACAGAATAGGAGAAAATATTTGTAAACCATATATTTCATCGGGGTTAATGTCCAAAATATATAAGCAACTCAAACAATTCAATAGCAAGAAAACCAATCAGCCAATTAAAAATGTACAAAGAATCTTCTGATCCATAGAACAAAAAGTGGGCAAATGATATGAACGACATTTCTCAAAACAAGGTACACAAATGGCCAACAAACATAGGAAGGAATATTCAACATCACTAATCATCAGGGAAATGCAAATTAAAACCACAATGAGAAATCATATCATACCTGTTAGAATGGCTATCATCAAATAGACAAAAGATAATAAGTGTTACAGAGGATGTAGAGAAAGGGAGCCCTGCTACACAGTTAGTGAGAATATAAATTAGTATTATGGAAAACAGTGTGGAGGACCCTCCAAATTTTAAAATTGTAACTACCATAGGATCCAGCAATCCCACTTACAGGTATATGTCCAAAGTCAATTCACTGTGGCATTATTTACAGTAGCAAAAATATGAAATCAGCCTAATTGTCTATCTATGATTAATGGATAATGAAAACATTCTACATAAACACAATGAAATACTATTCAGCCTCAAAACAGAAGGAAATCCTGTGATTTAAGACAACACAGATGAAGCTGGAGGGCATTATATTGAGTGAAATAAGCCAGGCACAGAGAGACAAATACTGATTCGTGTAGAGTCTAAAAAAAAAAGTGAAACTCACAGTAGAGTTGAATAGTGGTTATCACAAGCTAGGGAGAGGTGAAGGGGGAAGTTTTTGATTAAAGGATGTAAAGTTTCAGTTAGGATACATACGTTTTCGAGATCTATTTTACAGCATGGTGACTATAGCTGATAATAATGTATACTTAAAAATTGCTAAGAGAGTATATTTTCAGTGTTCTCTACCACAAATAACTGTATGTATGTATATCAGTCTGCTCTTGCACTGCTATAAAGAAATACCTGAGACTGGGTAATTTATAAAGAAAAGAGGTTGAATTGGCTCATGTTCCACAGGCTGTATAGGAACATGATGCTGGCCATCTGTTTGGTTTCTGAGGAGGCCTTAGGAAACGTACAATAATGGCAGAAGGCAAACGGGGAGTGAGTCACTTCAGATGGCCAGAGCAGGAGGAAGAGAGAGAAGTAGAAGGTGCTACACACTTTTAAACAACTAGATCTCGTGAGAACTCTATCAAGAGAACGGCACTAGGAGAATTGTGTTAAACCACAATAAATCACCCCCAAGATCCAATCACCCACCAGCCGCACCCACCTCCAACAATTGAACATGAGATTTGGGTGGGAATACAGATCCAAATCATATCAGTATGTGAGGTAAAGCATATGTTAATTAGCTTGATGTAATCCTGTCACAATGTATATATATAGCAATACATTGCATTCTACACAGTACATATATACTATTTTTGTTTGTTGATTATACCTTAATAGAGCTGAGGAAAAAACAAGAAACAAGTCAATGTGTTATAATGAAGTGTAAAAAAAAAAAGTAGAAAATGTAGGTAACTGTGTAAAAAATTAATGAAATTGTAGATTGAAGGCAATATTGTATTTGTAATCCAAAATTCAAGACCATTTTTCTTATTTCATTCACACGGTGGGAATTGACCATTACAAAGCAATGTGATCTGATTCTTTAATCCGACACCTAAGAAAAAGAGTGAATGTTATAAGAGTTCAAAAGAAGAAGCAAAATATGTTCTTAAAACAACCCCAAACTTATCTACCTCATGTAAGTTGCTTACTGCTGTATATCTGATAAAACTTTTTACCAATTTTTTTAATAGTTTACCATGCTTTTCTAATGCCCTATAACATGGGCTTTTGGTAGGCACTGATCATATCTTCTCTTTATCACGTCAGGTCTCCTAAGAACTTAGTGAATCCTGTGGATCCTCAATATTATTTGTCAATAAAGATTATAATGGATTTAGTGTAACAGAGTAGCATGAACCTCTCTTAGGACCAGTATGGAAGTGATTTAGCAGGCCAACTGAATATGAACCCCATAGTGAAAAAGAAAAACCTAGCCTTAAACACAAAAATACAGACTACAGAAAGAAATTTTAGTAAGATCAAAATGGTTTAAAATAGTTTAGACAAACATGAAATGAGTTTTGTTTGGATTCTAAATTTACAGTGAATTTACAACCCATCCTGCTCCAAAATTCCACTTTATAAGATGTACAATTATGCCGAGTGTCTCAGTATTCCAAAGACACTCAAATAGCCACCACTACTATCCACCTTTAAAAAAATGTTTTAAATATATACATAAATCTGGTACTCAAAGTTCAGTACCAATACCACTTCATAGAACTAGGCACCTCAGTTTCAACCTACAACTCCCAAATTGTTTCCGCTTCTACACCACCGCAACTAACAATCCTGCCAGACTACACAAAACCATTCAGTGGTTTTGTCTGATGTGGAAAAAAAGTCCATGAGGGACTAGGAGGTGCCACCAAATTCAAGCCAGGATAAAGATCTAAATCAGTTGGGCTAGAAATGGTACCTTAGCTGGGCTAGGAAATAGTAAGTCAATGCATCACCTTATTTAGTCTCTACCTTTTTGGGTGAAAGTTATTTTTACTATGGTGATTTTTTTTCTTTTTCTTTTTCTTTTTTTTTTTGAAACAGGGTTTCACTCTGTCACCCAGGCTGGAGTGCAGTTGCATGATCACGGCTCACTGCAGCCTTGACCTCACAGGCTCAGGCCATCCTTCCACTTCAGCCTCCATTAGTAGCTGGGATGACAGGCATGGGCCATCATGCCAGGCTAATTTTTGTATTTGTTGTAGAGAAAAGGTTTCACCACATTGCCCAGGCTGGTCTCAAACTCCTGGGCTCAAGCAATCTGCCCACCTTGCCCTCCTAAAATGCTGGGATTACAGGCGAGAGCCACTGCAGACGGCCTACCATGGTAATTTTTAATTTATCACTCAAGAAAACTGCTTGGTATTAAGTAGTGGTAGTATACCTGAAGGAATCATTCTGGTAGATTTTTGAAAGGGCTTATCTCTGTAACATCAAAACTTTGCCTTCATAGTGATCCACAGATTATAAAATGAGGCTGTGGTTGGCTGAAAAGAACATGAAGTTAGCCTGTCAGGCGATGTGAATTCTAGTCCTGGTGATACCCAGTCAGTGGTAACTAGCTATATATACCATTTGGCAAGCATCTCATTGTACTGTAATTTTCCCATATCGGCTATCTCAACTTTATAGCATTGCTAGGAAGGCAGGTGAAATCTTCTACATAACAGAAAAGTACTTAAACTTATTAAACAATCTAATCAAAAATCATTTCATTTCATGTTGTCGTTTTGACCAGAGACAATTTTGTCAAAGAATATTGTTTTTCCTCCAAAAAATTATCCAAGGCTAAGTACTTCTCTGAGACTGTTTCTTAAAAAATAAAATTATAAATCTAGAAAAGTAAACACTGCTCATAATCATATTCTATAAATATTTCTATATTAATTCAACAATGGGAAGTAGAGCTTGAAGAGTACTCTACATGTTTCAGATGTAAGTACCATAATGGCAAGAATTATTGGGCTCAATTCTTTCCATCACATATTTTTCTTTTCCCCTGTTAACCTTTTACTGACTTCAGAAGAGATTTCTGCCTTCAGTGGTGCGAGAGACAAATAGAGTTTAGTCTACAATTTTCACTCCAGTAGAGGAATCATTCATAAATGCAATCAAATAGAGCTATCCTATTTCTGTCAAGAAATCTTTTTAAAAAGCAAACTTGAATATCACTGAATAAAAATAATTTGCTTCTTAAATTTCTGCATCAAAGAATATAGCAGGAATATATAACAAACCCCAGTTTATCCAAAATCCAAAAGGTAAAATGAGAACAATTAGCATTTTTCCAAGGTACCATATAATATCTAAAACTCATAAAGATGTACCCCAAGATACAGCAGAAGCCTGTCACGGTTTCACATTCATTGTATATTAAATTATATTCAAAGTAGTGTTTGTATTAAATATTATTGTACTATAGTTCTCTGAGTACATACTAATCCATGGATAAGATATAATTCTCACGTAAATAAAATAGCTAATACTCAACCTTTTGGGAGAAATACTCAGAAAATACTATAGTATGTTACTGATACAATTTCAACATAAGCTGCTTCAAATATGGTTATTTCTATTTTTCTACTTTTAGGTTAATATGATAACATACTAAAATGGTTTAATCTACGACCAGCAAGGTTGTAACAATAGCTTCACACCCCTTTTGTGCTACAAAAATTACACATCCCTTATGCATAGACTGAAAATAATGCTATGCTGGCATTTTAAAATTAGCATTAGAAAAGTAAAAGCAAATGTTATCATTAACATAAATTTGAAAAATCTTTACCTTTTCATCCCAAAATGGTACTTTCTGGTATCAAAGAAAACATTTACTTTTAATTCATTTCAGACCAATATTTATTCTTCTTTTTGGCAACGAGTGTTTCAACATCTTGAAAATGCATTTAAGCTTACTCCTTTCATCAGCTCTAAAATGGGGTTATGCATAATCCACTAAATGCAAATAATTTTTGGAAGCATTGCTTAGTGGACTTCTAGGCTGTGTAACATATTCAATTAAGAATAAGAGACTTTTAAATAATCTTTAGGGAAAACTACCAGCCAAACAACACAATGTTCACGGTAAGAAAATTATCTTTGGGATTTAGAATTTCAAATCAAAATAAATCACCAACTATTCAAAAAGAATGATTTTCTGTATCAAATAGAAATGTTAATGTTGTGAAAAGCTTGTGCCTAACTATAAATCATTTAAAGATAATCCCAGGATATTTAATTTGATCTAAGCCATAACTTAAAATTCTCAGAGCCAACTGAGAACTATCTTCACAATCTATTTTGAATTTAGAAAAACTGAAGCACAAAAATCACATGAAGATTTGATAAGGACTCTAGTGTCCTGAACTCCTGTCACCTGGCCAAACGCAGTTCATCCATCTAAAAAGCCAACTGCTCTGTGTTTGAAGGGGGCAAAACTACCCTCAATTTGACTGCAGGATATGGCTCTCTCTTCAAATATTGATTGAAAGGTTTTTGGCTAAGTACAAGGACTATTTTTCCCTGGAGAAACTGCAGCTGTGACAGTTGACCTCAGCCTTTTAAGACGAAAAGATTCTCTCTGGGAAAATGACTTACTGATTATCAGAGTTAGCCAGAATAAAAGAGCTCAATCTTCAGAGCTCTTTCATTAAACAACTCTCTTTCAATATTCTTAAAATATCATGGAGTATCATCATGTTGCACAACACCAGAGGATAACATAAAGAATACAATATGAGTATGCCCCCTGGAGTTTTGAAACACAGCGCTGGTAACACTATCATCAGTAAAGCTTTCCTGCTGCCTTTTGTTAAGTTATTGACTATGGAATCCTGAATGAATTTCTTTCTTTTTTTTTTTTTTTTTTTTGGGACAGAGCCTTGCTCTGTCGCCCAGGCTGGAGTGCAGTGGCGCAATCTCGGCTCACTGTAAGCTCCGCCTCCTGGGTTCATGCCATTCTTCTGCCTCAGCCTCCTGAGTAGCTGGGACTACAGGCGCCCGTCACTGCGCCCAGCTAATTTTTGGTAGTTTTAGTAGAGACGGGGTTTCATCGTGTTAGCCAGGATGGTCTCGATCTCCTGACCTCGTGATCTGCCCGCCTCAGCCTCCCAAAGTGCTGGGATTACAGGCTTGAGTCACTGCGCCTGGCCTGCCTGATTGAATTTCTTACAGGCTACTTATTATAGATATGATGCTCAAATCAGATCAACTTACGAGGTTATAGATCTTGCCAGACTAATGAAGATCTGCATCATTTATAACCTAACACCACTTATTTCTTTCCTTTTAAAAGAGGTTTTGCTTGCTCAAGGCCCAGGCAGAGAGGAACTACTTAACTTGTACTGAAACCAAAACAACTGATCATCCACAGTAAACAGTATGATGTCATCCACGGTAAACAGTATGATGTGGCAGAAAGACCACTGCAATCAGGAGATCTATCATTTGTTAATTATATACTCCAGATCACTCATCTGGAGTATACAGACAATACCAAGATTAGGGACAATAATATGTCTTAATAATTCCATAGAATTATGCTAATCAAGTAATAAAAAACCAAACTACTCATAAGCTGAAGCATAGTATTCACAAATGATTTTGCAAGTGGGCAAACTTAGAAAATACTTCTCAATATTAACTGAACAGGCTGGGCACAGTGGCTCACACCTGTAATCCAAGCACTTTGGGAGGCCAAGGCAGGCAGATCACCTGAGGTCAGGAGTTTGAGATCAGCTTGGCCAACATGGTGAAACCCCATCTCTACTAAAAACACAAAAAATTAGCCAGTCATGGTGGCACATGCCTGTAATCTCAGTTACTTGGGAGGCTGAGGCAAGAGAATCACTTGAACCTGGGAGGCGGAGGTTTCAGTGAGCGGAGATCATGCCATTGCACTCCAGCCTGGGCAACAGAGTGAGACTCTGTTTCAAAAAAAAAAAAAAAAATTAACTGAACAAGGAGCAATATTCAATAAATTATTTGGAACAGAATTTCTAAGGGACTAGGAACCCTGTTATAAGGACCCTATTTAGTATATCTTTTATAGATGGTCACATTTTTATGTAAAATTAGCTCGAATACAAACTATAAAACATCCTATATAAGCTCTTATTTTACAAAGTAAAATGTGTCTTTGCCTGCCAATTGTTTCACTTGAGTACATGCTTTTCAGCACTTTACAGATTTAATACATCTATAGTTCCAGGAAATGAGCATTTATTTCTATATAATCAAATGCTAAGAGATAAGTTTCTGGTTCTGTTTTTGAACTTTATAATCATTAAATAAAACAAAAAAAAAAATCTCTTTTGGTACCATAGGTACAAAGTCATTGAATAAAACCCCCAAAACAAAAATCCATTTGTTCTGGGTTTAAAACCAATCATTGCATCAGATCTCAGAGAAACTTGTTTTTAAAACTAACCTGAAGCAAACACACCTAACCTGATAAATGCAACCTCCTAAGGGACAAAGGAATGTAATAACTTTAGTTTTAGATAAAGGTAGAAGTAAAAATTATGCTTCAGAGAATCCTATATAAAATATTTTAAGTTATTTACTAATGGTAATGGTAAAAAAATGTTGGCAGGTCTTATAAAAGTACTATCTATAACATTTTCATTCCGACAATGTCTTAAAATAGTCAAAGAAAAAGAACAATGGGAAGGAAAAGAAAATATTTAATATAGAATTCTACCAAAATCTACCAATGATATTTGAATCCAACCAAGACCAGAAACACTTGAACCAAGAAGTTAGTCACAATGCCCCTGGTAGCTGAGTAAAATGGTGCTTAAACTGTTACTAATTTTTTTAGCCTTGTAGATTTTCACTCCAAAAATTCTAATTCTACTATATAAGATGTGTGGGACCATCACATAGTGTGTTCATTATAATCTAATTTCATAAAAATCAATGCTCCTAAAGCTATCATCTTGCTGACCCCAGATTCTTACTAACTGTTCATAGATTTAAAGTTCAGATTATTCTAAGTATTAAATCAGTAAAATCTAAATTCAATCCATCTGACTGCTGTTCTTGCAGTAAATACACACTCCAGAGGATACCCTCCCGCCACCACCCCCTGCCATGTTCAGTAGTAGAGCTGCTCTGTTCTATAAATACTGTTGCTTCTGGATGACTTTCAGGGAAAGGCCAAAAGAAAATAAATTTTAGCAGTCTATCCAAGAGGCAAGGAGGCATGGATAACAACCAAGACAGACTCTGTGCTTTCTGAGCTCTCATTCCAAGAAAAAGAATGATGCGGGGGGTGGGGAGACTTTTTAAATAAAAGCCAGTTATTTTATGAGACAGGACAAGGGAATCAAGAATTATGCATTACATCAGAATCCTTAAAAAATTAGAGATAATCATGGAGCTGTACTGAAATGAATATTCCCATGATCAAATTGAATTAAAAACTAAAAAACTGAATAACAGCTCACTATTCCTCTTTAGTATTCGGCATACACAGGATGCTGTTACAAATAAGTGACTGAAACAGAATTAACTTAATATTTTTGGAGGTGGGAGGAGTCTCAAGTGGAGCTTCCATATTAATCTTAAAAGAGCATTCTTTATCCTGAGCTAGAATAAATCATCTTTAATACTCCAACCCTAGAGCCTTGAGAACACATATGGGTACAATATTGCACTTACCATGGGTAATATTCCTAAAAAGTAAGATGTAAAACTAAAATTTATAAGTTAAATCTGATTTTCCCAAGATACAATTAAGTTTGGAGAATTTATTTCTCAACTGCTGTCATCCCTCAGCTATCTAGTCCTCTCTGGGAATTACCCTCAATTGTACAGATTACCTTGCCCAGGATCACACTATCTCCTAGGGGCAATTTGCATCAAATGACTGGTCAATACTGGAGTACAAAGGCTCAGCCTCCTTACTTCAACCTGGAACAACTCCAAACAGCCTTCCCATGCAGCTGGTTGAGGCCTTTCTTCTGACTGCGTCACGATCCAACTTCTCCTTTTGTCCAATCTTGCTTCCATCCCTTTCCCTACAGGTGTAAATCCCAAGAGTTCCCACTTACAAACTTCCTGAATATTAATCTTGTTTCCTGGGGAACAAACTGGCAACTGTTGTATATAAACCAAACAGTACTACATATATATATATCTATATGTATATATATGTGTGTGTATATATATATGTGTATATATATGTGTATATATATGACCAATCACATAAAATTCTATTTGTGATTGTACCATGGCATATTTTACTACAAAAAAATTATCTTTTTTAATTCATTATTTTATTTCACAAAGTAATCAAAGGCTAAAAGTCTACTGTCACTAAGGTCACAAAACTCAGAAGATTTACAGGGCTATATTTTGAAAGGAAAGATTTAATAAAGATAAGACTAAAGGTTACTTAACTTTTAAGAATTGGTCCTAGTGTGTCTGTTTTGCCCTCTTATTCCAATTTCACATTTCCCTGTAGCAAGATGGTTATCAGAAATCAATTTGTCTCTCTACATTTAAGAATAGAAACTCCTTTTGCTTATTTAAATGATCATTTCACCAGCAACAGCATTTCTTTTGGATCCTGATGCTATTCAAAGCACACTTGCCTTTAAAATACAAAAACCAACTCAATTGGCCTACAATTTATTAGTCTTGAATGGCTTACCATTTGTTGCTTCAAAGTGTCCCTCACTTTGCTTTTCAATGCTTTTTTCTGTGCCTTCCTCTACTAAAGAGACATGAAGCTAAAATAGTTAACTGAAATACTCTCAGGGAGAAGCCCCTCAAGATAACTTCCCTTCTTTGTAGGCAATGAGAGGAAGCCTCAAAAGAATGAGGCTTTTAATTCTTCTCTTCTTCCTGCCTGGAAGGTAGATGTAATACCTGGAAATGCGGTGTCCATCTTGGGTCTAAAGCAACACGAAAAAGAATGAAAGCCACAGGCTAAGTATGTCAGAGTAGAAATATAGAAAGAGTCTGGAACATCAATGTTATTGTGAAGCCACTACACCTGCCCTTGGACTGGCTACCTCCAAACTTCTTGGTGCATAAGAAAAACAATGACTTGGCCAGGCTTGGTGGCTCACACCTGTAATCTCAGCACTTTGGGAGGCCGAGGCGGGTGTATTACTTGAGGTGAGGAATTCAAGACCAGTCTGGCCAACATGGTGAAACCCCGTCTATACTAAAAAATACAAAAATTAGCTAGGTATGGTAGCACACACCTGTAGTCCCAGCTACTTGGGAAGCTGAGGCAGGAGAAGCGCTTGAACCCAGGAGGCAGAGTGGGCAGTGGGCTGAGATCAAGGCACTGCACTCCAGCCTGGGTGACAGAGTGAGACTGTCTCTACAAAAAATTTAAAAACTAGCCAGTTTTGGTGATGCATGTCTGTAGTCCCAGCTACCCCAGAGGCTGAGTTGGGAGGATCCCTTGATCCCAGGAGTTTGAAGCTGCAGTGAGCTATGATCACACCACTGCACTCCAGCCTGAGTGAGATCCTCTCTAAAAAGCAAACCCTAATAACAAAAAATAAAAACAGAAATAATTACGCCAAAATTTGTATAAATTGGGTAAGTTTATAGCCCACAAGTTAAAGTTTTATGTAGAGCTGGCTAGGGCAGAGTAGACTATAGACATTATTATTCTAAACCATATAATAGGTTGAACCATAAAAAGTTGTCTATTTGACCTACAAAAGTGGCAATTTCATATAGTTCAAACTAAGAAGTACGGAAACATCAGAAAGAAAAACTATCTTTTTTTTTGGCTGGGCATTCACATCTTTCTTATGTTCTTAGCTAGCTAAACCATTAATCACTGTTACGCTTCATTAAAAAAAAAAACAGTAGAATCTTAATACAGCAAATGTGAACTATAATTACAGCCACCCAGATTTCACAGAAAACAACTAATAAATCAAGAAATTCTAAGCACTCATATAGCCTTATGATATCTCATGAGACAATATTAAAATATTTTGACATCTTATTTAATAGAATTGGCAGTAATAGGGATATTAAGTACTATACATTGGGTATATTATTAGCAACCTATATGAATATGAGCTATCTGGCTTCTTTTTAGCCCTTATATTTTTCCATATTGATACATTTTCTCTTGCTGTGATTAATTCTGCACCAAAACAGCAATTCTAAAAATCATCTGAAGCAACAAAAGTGTAGAGTCACTCAGATTTCACAGCTGATAATAGAACTAACTTCCTAGGGAAGTTATTTTTTTTTCCTTTATTTATTTTCCTTTATTTCCTAGGGAAATAAAGATTACTCATTATCAATATGTTCAAGGGGAGAGTTTTACATGGAAACCAAATGAACAGTATATACTCTTCTGGGAAAAGGAAATATATTTTAAGGTCAGTGAACCTCAAAATGTATGTTTTCATTTAGAAAGAAATAAAAGCGGCCAGGCACGGTGGCTCACGCCTGTAATCCCAGCACTCTGGGAGGCTGAGGCAGGTGGATCATGAGATCTGGAGTTCGAGACCAGCCTGGCCAACATGGTGAAATCCCATCTCTACTAAAAATACAATAATTAGGGGGAGGAGCCAAGATGGCCGAATAGAAACAGCTCCGGTCTATAGCTCCCAGCATGAGCAACGCAGAAGGCGGGTGATTTCTGCATTTCCATCTGAGGTACCGGGTTCATCTCACTAGGGAGTGTCAGACAGCGCGCGCAGGTCAGTGGGTGCGCGCACCATGCGTGAGCCGAAGCAGGGAGAGGCATTGCCTCACCTGGGAAGCGCAAGGGGTCAGGGAGTTCCCTTTCCTAGTCAAAGAAAGGGGTGACAGATGGCACCTGGAAAGTCGGGTCACTCCCACCCAAATACCGCGCTTTTCCGACGGGCTTAAAAAATGGCGCACCACGAGATTATATCCCGCACCTGGATCGGAGGGTCCTACGCCCACGGAGTCTCGCTGATTGCTAGCACAGAAGTCTGAGATCAAACGGCAAAGGGCAGCGAGGCTGGGGGAGGGGCGCCCACCATTGCCCAGGCTTGCTTAGGTAAACAAAGCAGAGGGGAAGCTCCAACTGGGTGGAGCCCACCACAGCTCAAGGAGGCCTGCCTGCCTCTGTAGGCTCCACCTCTGGGGGCAGGGCAAGACAAACAAAAAGACAGCAGTAACCTCTGCAGACTTAAATGTCCCTGTCTGACAGCTTTGAAGAGAGCAGTGATTCTCCCAGCACACAGCTGGAGATCTGAGAACGGGCAGACTGCCTCCTCAAGTTGGTCCCTGACCCCTGACCCCCGAGCAGCCTAACTGGGAGGCACCCCCCAGCAGGGGCACACTGACACCTCACATGGCCGGGTACTCCAACAGACCTGCAGCTGAGTGTCCTGTCTGTTAGAAGGAAAACTAACAAATAGGACATCCACACCAAAAACCAATCTGTACAACACCATCATCAAAGACCAAAAGTAGATAAAACCACAAAGATGGGGAAAAAAACAGAGCAGAAAAACTGGAAACTCTAAAAAGCAGAGCACCTCTCCTCCTCCAAAGGAATGCAGTTCCTCACCAGCAACGGAACAAAGCTGGACGGAGAATGACTTTGACGAGCTGAGAGAAGAAGGCTTCAAACAATCAAATTACTCCGAACTACGGGAGGACATTCAAACCAAAGGCAAAGAAGTTGAAAACTTTAAAAAAAATTTAGAAGAAGGTATAACTAGAATAACCAATACAGAGAAGTGCTTAAAGGAGCTGATGGAGCTGAAAACCAAGGCTCGAGAACTACGTGAAGAATGCAGAAGCCTCAGGAGCCAATGCGATCAACTGGAAGAAAGGGTATCAGCGATGGAAGATGAAGTGAATGAAATGAAGCGAGAAGGGAAGTTTAGAGAAAAAAGAATAAAAAGAAACGAACAAAGCCTCCAAGAAATATGGGACTATGTGAAAAGACCAAATCTACGTCTGATTGGTGTACCTGAAAGTGACGAGGAGAATGGAACCAAGTTGGAAAACACTCTGCAGGATATTATCCAGGAGAACTTCCCCAATCTAGCAAGGCAGGCCAACATTCAGATGCAGGAAATACAGAAAATGCCACAAAGATACTCCTCGAGAAGAGCAACTCCCAAGACACATAATTGTCAGATTCACCAAAGTTTAAATGAAGGAAAAAATGTTAAGGGCAGCCAGAGAGAAAGGTCAGGTTACCCTCAAAGGGAAGCCCATCAGACTAACAGTGGACCTCTCGGCAGAAACTCTACAAGCCAGAAGAGAGTGGGCGCCAATATTCAACATTCTTAAAGAAAAGAATTTTCAACCCCGAATTTCATATCCAGCCAAATTAAGCTTCATAAGTGAAGGACAAATAAAATACTTTATAGACAAGCAAATGCTGAGAGATTTTGTCACCACCACGCCTGCCCTAAAAGAGCTCCTGAAGGAAGCGCTAAACATGGAAAGGAACAACCGGTACCAGCCACTGCAAAATCATGCCAAAATGTAAAGACCATCTGCATCAACTACCGAGCAAAATAACCAGCTAACATCATAATGACAAGATCAAATTCACACATAACAATATTAACTTTAAATGTAAATGGACTAAATGCTCCAATTAAAAGACACAGACTGGCAAATTGGATAAAGAGTCAAGACCCATCAGTGTGCTGTATTCAGGAAACCCATCTCACGTGCAGAGGCACACATAGGCTCAAAATAAAAGGATGGAGGAAGATCTACCAAGCAAATGGAAAACAAAAAAAGGCAGGGGTTGCAATCCTAGTCTCTGATAAAACAGACTTTAAACCAACAAAGATCAAAAGAGACAAAGAAGGCCATTACGTAATGGTAAAGGGATCAATTCAACAAGAAGAGCTAACTATCCTAAATATATATGCACCCAATACAGGAGCACCCAGATTCATAAAGCAAGTCCTGAGTGACCTACAAAGAGACTTAGACTCCCACGCATTAATAATGGGAGACTTTAACACCCCACTGTCAACATTAGACAGATCAATGAGACAGAAAGTCAATAAGGATACCCAGGAATTGAACTCAGCTCTGCACCAAGCAGACCTAATAGACATCTACAGAACTCTCCACCCCAAATCAACAGAATATACATTTTTCTTAGCACCACACCACACCTATTCCAAAATTGACCACATAGTTGGAAGTAAAGCTCTCCTCAGCAAATGTAAAAGAACAGAAATTATAACAAACTATCTCTCAGACCACAGTGCAATCAAACTAGAACTCAGGATTAAGAATCTCACTCAAAACCACTCAACTACATGGAAACTGAACAAGCTTCTCCTGAATGACTACTGGGTACGTAACAAAATGAAGGCAGAAACAAAGATGTTCTTTGAAACCAATGAGAACAAAGACACAACATACCAGAATCTCTGGGACGTATTCAAAGCAGTGTGTAGAGGGAAATTTATAGCACTAAATGCCCACAAGAGAAAGCAGGAAAGATCCAAAATTGACACCCTAACATCACAATTAAAAGAACTAGAAAAGCAAGAGCAAACACATTCAAAAGCTAGCAGAAGGCAAGAAATAACTAAAATCAGAGCAGAACTGAAGGAAATAGAGACACAAAAAGCCCTTCAAAAAATCAATGAATCCAGGAGCTGGTTTTTTGAAAGGATCAACAAAATTGATAAACAGCTAGCAAGACTAATAAAGAAAAAAAGAGAGAAGAATCAAATAGACGCAATAAAAAATGATAAAGGGGATATCACCACCGATCCCACAGAAATACAAACTACCATCAGAGAATACTACAAACACCTCTACGCAAATAAACTAGAAAATCTAGAAGAAATGGATAAATTCCTCGACACATACACTCTCCCAAGACTAAACCAGGAAGAAGTTGAATCTCTGAATAGACCAATAACAGGATTTGAAATTGTGGCAATAATCAATAGCTTACCAACCAAAAAGAGTCCAGGACCAGATGGATTCACAGCCGAATTCTACCAGAGGTACAAGGAGAAACTGGTACCATTCCTTCTGAAACTATTCCAATCAATAGAAATAGAGGGAATCCTCCGTAACTCATTTTATGAGGCCAGCATCATCCTGATACCAAAGCCGGGCAGAGACACAACCAAAAAAGAGAATTTTAGACCAATATCCTTGATGAACATTGATGCAAAAATCCTCAATAAAATACTGGCAAACCGAATCCAGCAGCACATCAAAAAGCTTATCTGCCATGATCAAGTGGGCTTCATCCCTGGGATGCAAGGCTGGTTCAATATACGCAAATCAGTACATGTAATCCAGCATATAAACAGAACCAAAGAGAAAAACCACATGATTATCTCAATAGATGCAGAAAAGTCCTTTGACAAAATTCAACAACCCTTCATGCTAAAAAGTCTCAATAAATTAGGTATTGATGGGACATATTTCAAAATAATAAGAGCTATCTATGACAAACCCACAGCCAATATCATACTGAATGGGCAAAAACTGGAAGCATTCCCTTAGAAAACTGGCACAAGACAGGGATGGCCTCTCTCACCACTCCTATTCAACATAGTGTTGGAAGTTCTGGCCAGGGCAATTAGGCAGGAGAAGGAAATAAAGGATATTCAATTAGGAAAAGAGGAAGTCAAATTGTCCCTGTTTGCAGACGACATGATTGTATATCTAGAAAACCCCACTGTCTCAGCCCAAAATCTCCTTAAGCTGATAAGCAACTTCAGCAAAGTCTCAGGATACAAAATCAATGTACAAAAATCACAAGCATTCTTATACACCAACAACAGACAAACAGAGAGCCAAATCATGAGTGAACTCCCATTCACAATTGCTTCAAAGAGAATAAAATACCTAGGAATCCAACTTACAAGGGATGTGAAAGACCTCTTCAAGGAGAACTACAAACCACTGCTCAAGGAAATAAAAGAGGATACAAACAAATGGAAGAACATTGCATGCTCATGGGTAGGAAGAATCAATGTCGTGAAAATGGCCATACTGCCCAACGTAATTTACAGATTCAATGCCATCCCCATCAAGCTACCAATGACTTTCTTCACAGAAATGGAATAAACTACTTTAAAGTTCATGTGGAATCAAAAAAGAGCCTGCATCGCCATGTCAATCCTAAGCCAAAAGAACAAAGCTGGAGGCATCACACTACCTGACTTCAAACTATACTACAAGGCTACAGTAACCAACACAGCATGGCACTGGTACCAAAACAGAGATATAGATCAATGGAACAGAACAGAGCCCTCAGAAATAATGCCACATATCTACAACTATCTGATCTTTGACAAACCTTAGAAAAACAAGCAATGGGGAAAGGATTCCCTATTTAATAAATGGTGCTGGGAAAACTGGCTAGCCATATGTAGAAAGCTGAAACTGGATCCCTTCCTTACACCTTATTCAAAAATCAATTCAAGATGGATTAAAGATTTAAACGTTAGACCTAAAACCATAAAAACCCTAGAAGAAAACCTAGGCTTTACCATTCAGGACATAGGCATGGGCAAAGGCTTCATGTCTAAAACACCAAAAGGAATGGTAACAAAAGCCAAAATTGACAAATGGGATCTAATTAAACTAAAGAGCTTCTGCACAGCAAAAGAAACTACCATCAGAGTGAACAGGAAACCTACAAAATGGGAGAAAATTTTCACAACCTACTCATCTGACAAAGGGCTAATATCCAGAATCTACAATGAACTCAAACAAATTTACAAGAAAAAAACAAACAACCCCATCAAAAAGTGGGCGAAGGACATGAACAGACACTTCTCAAAAGAAGACATTTATGCAGCCAAAAAACACATGAAAAAATGCTCACCATCACTGGCCATCAGAGAAATACAAATCAAAACCACAATGAGATACCATCTCACATCAGTTAGAATGGCAATCATTAAAAAGTCAGAAAACAACAGGGGCTGAAGAAGATGTGGAGAAATAGGAACACTTTTACACTGTTGGTGGGACTGTAAACTAGTTCAACCATTGTGGAAGTCAGTGTGGCGATTCCTCAGGGATCTAGAACTAGAAATACCATTTGACCCAGCCATCCCATTACTGGATATATACCCAAAGGATTATAAATCATGCTGCTATAAAGGCACATGCACACGTATGTTTATTACGGCATTATTCACAATAGCAAAGACTTGGAACCAACCCAAATGTCCAACAATGATAGGCTGGATTAAGAAAATGTGGCACATATACACCATGGAATACTATGCAGCCGTAAAAAATGATGAGTTCATGTCGTTTGTAGGGACATGGATGAAATTGGAAATCAGCATTCTCAGTAAACTATTGCAAGAACAAAAAAACAAAGACCGCATATTCTCACTCATAGGTGGGAATTGAACAATGAGAACACATGGACACAGGAAGGGGAACATCACACTCTGGGGCCTGTTGTGGGGTGGGGGCAGGGGGGAGGGATAGCATTGGGAGATGTACCTAATGCTAGATGACGAGTTAGTGGGTGCAGCGCACCAGCATGGCACATGTATACATATGTAACTAACCTGCACATTGTGCACATGTACCCTAAAACTTAAAGTAAAATAATAATAAAAAATAAAAACATAAAAATAAAAATACAATAATTAGCCGGACATGGTGGCACGCGCCTGTAGTCCCAGCTACTCGGGAAGTTGAGGCAGAAGAATAGCTTGAACCCAGGAGGTGGAGGTTGCAGTGAGCCAAAATTGCGCCACTGCAGTCCAGCCTGGGAGACAAAGGGAGACTCCATCTCAAAAAAAAAGGAAGGAAAGAAAAGAAATAAAAGCTTATGGCTTAGGCATAGTTAGTTCCCCAAATTCATATATTCACATGCACTTAAAACAGCTTTACAGGCCCGGCATGGTGGCTCATGCCTGTAATCCCAGAACTTTGGGAGGCCAAGGCAGGTGGATCAATTGCCTCAGGAATTCAAGACTATCCTGAGCAATGTGACAAAACCCCATCTCCACAAAAAATACAAAAATTAGCCAGGCATGGTGACATGTACATGTGGCCCCAGCTACTTAGGAGGCTGATGTGGAAGGATCACTTGAGCCTGGGAGGTAGAGGCTGCAGTGAGCCATAACCACCACAGCACTGCACTCAAGCCCAGAAGACAGAGTGGGACCCTGTCTCAAAAAAATTAAAAAGCTAAAAAAAAAAATTAACAAAACAGCTTTACTTTCCAGATTATGTAAAATATTTGGTTTCCAAGTTATGTAAAATGTTTGGTAACCTAATTGACCAATCTCTAAAAGTTGTTGATTTAACAGTCGAAAAAGGGGTGAGAGTATCCCCCCTACCTCATGGAAGACTTATATATATATAAATATACTCAACAAGAAAAACAGATTAAGAAAAGAGGGAACACTTTCTGGAATAGAATATGACTGATCTCATTTCAATCATTAAAAATTTGAAAAAATCAGTAAAGACAACAACATTAATACAAATACTCAAGTGAGAAATTTCTGGTGGGAGTGACAGAGACAAGTACTTCCTTCTCTCTCCATTTTTATATTTCCTCTTACTACAGTGGGTCCTCAAGGCATTCAAGCATATGCCTTTGCCCATGTGCTCTATGACCCATACTGCCTTGCTTACTTTGTGATCCCCATATTCTTCCCATTTCCACATGGCTAAGTTGTCACTTCATTCTGACATCTGATATTCTTGAATAAAAAGTTAGGCAATGGAATTCTAGACTGCCAAACAAGCTGGAGAGACATTACTATCTTTAAATACCTCCTAAAAGGATATGCAGAGCACACACTCCAATGAGCTATCCCTGCACAATCCGGAGAGATGATTTAGCCCCTTTTAAAATCCCATTTAAGAATGATAAAGAGAATAAAATACTAGTAGATACAAAATATTACAAAATGTTAACACATTGTTCACTCTAATTTTGACTCTATGTACCTCATTTGTGTTTTGTATAGTTTTTTGCTTTATTTTGTGTTGATAAATTTTTTCCAGGGAGAAAGTTTCAGTGGGTGGGAGGGATGGTAAGAAAGAAGAATGAAAGAATAGCACCAGCATCGTAGCTTCTCATGTCAGCCATAACAAAGTACCACAAATTGGCTAGCTTAAAATAACACAAAT
The DNA here is from genome assembly GCF_000001405.40 of Homo sapiens. Classification (NCBI taxonomy): domain Eukaryota; kingdom Metazoa; phylum Chordata; class Mammalia; order Primates; family Hominidae; genus Homo; species Homo sapiens. Next base: position 65,377,803 of record NC_000005.10, read on the forward strand.
TTATCATATCACAATTTCTGGAGGGTAGAAGTTTGAAATGAAGGTATCAGCAGGGCCATACTCTCTCTGAAACCTGTAAGGGAGAATCCTTCCTTGCCTTTTCTGGCTACTGTTTTTTGCTGGCAATCATTGGTATTCCTTGACATGCATCATTTCAGTATCTGGTTCTACCATCATGTGGCCATATTCTCCATGTTTGTCTCTGTCTCTGTATGTCTTTTTTTCTTATAAGGACACTAGCCACATCAGAGTAAGGGTCTACCATACTGGAGTAATCTCAGCTACTTACATCTGCAAGACCCTATTTCCAAATAAGGTCACATTCTGAGGGATTGGGAGTTAGGACTTCACCATATCTTTTGGGGGGATACAATCCAACCCATACAGCATCTGACAAATGGACATTTCAAATTAGATGCAGAACTGTTGCTTCAAATATAAAAAGCATTATTTTATTCTACAGATTTTTCTTCCCTTTCATTCTTCTCCCATACCTCTTGGAATAATCTTTAACTTATCCTTCTCTATCTTCTCCCAATATCCAATCAACCATCAATGCCTATCAGTCTTTCTCTTTATTCTCATGGTACTAATTCAGTTTAGTCCTTTGAGTTTCATTTGTTCTCAAAAGTCTCCGAATTGACCTCTCTACTTCCAGGCTCTCCCCATCAAAGGAATCCATTCTATATACACTGCTTTCTTCACTCCTCTCAATATGCGTGAAATTACATAATTCTCTTAAAAACTCCTCCAGTTTCATTTTTGCCCCCCTGCCTTGTCTTATGATGTTACACTCATCTAAAGGGATTTTCATCCCCCTAAAGAAGCAACATCCAAAGCTAACCCCAAACATACTTCTTCTAAATAACCTTTCTTCAACTTAAGAATACCCTGAGTTCTTTCTCTGTTTACTACAGCACCATACTACACACTGAAATCCCTGGATATATATCATTTGCTTGTATCATTCACTGCTATTTCATATAAATTAAGCTTCTAACTCTGAATATATTATAAACTCTTGAAGACAAAGTCATTCTCTGTGCTTCTTTCTGTATTCTCCAGAATAGAAAAGAGAACATAGTAATAAACTTCTGCATACACTGATTAACAATAAAACAACTGGAGATTTTAAAAAGGAATCTCAAGAGAATAAAAAAAAAGTCATGATCTTATTGTAAAATCAAGTCTTCAAAATCTGTTTTTAATAACATTTTTTCATAATTATAAGATACATGTGTTCATTAGAAATATCTGGAAAACACAGGTAATCATTTAAAAATAAAGCCAGTCATCAAACAACCACTTTAAAAAATTGTTTTAATCCTCATTTAATCCTTTGTTTTAGTCGTCATTTACAGCTGTGTAAGAGTAAATACAAATTATTTTCCCAATTTGTAAAGGGCAAAGAGGCCATTTTTTATCCCTCTTCACTTTTGTAGAGTTTTTCCTTGAAGACATGGTGAATCCAAGTCTTTAACCTTTGAATATAGATAAATGTCTCTAGGGATTGAACCCCATCTTTGCTCCATTTTTATAGTAAAGAGATACATGAAAGTTTGTAAGACCAAATAACTTCTACATATGTAAACACATACTGCCAGAATTAGCCCAGGGCTCTCATGAGATGTACAGAGTGTCACAAGGTGATAAAAATTATTGTTCTTTTCTCTGCTTTGCCATATAAATTATGTGAGATCTCATCCTAACTTTGTAGTCTCTAGCAGGCTGCCTGTGTGCATATTCTGTTATGCTTACTTAATAATAAACTGATTTTCTTTCTTTTCTACATTGTCACAGAGAAGACTCTGTTGGTAGCACTTTCATTTCCTCAACACCTGGAAAACAGTGACCCCGCTTTCTCCTCCCAGCCCTCCTAAACACATGCACACACATGTACATAACTTTCATGTCCTCGATACCTGGCAAACAGTGTCCCCGCTTTCTCCTCTCACCCCTCCTAAACACACGCACACACATGTAAATAACCTTGAAACAAAACTGGGATCACACGTATGCATGTGTGTTTATATATAATTATATAAATAATTATATATGGACAATAAATATTTGATACATACATTTGCCTTTTAACTTAAGGTTAAATCAAGAGTAACTTTCATATTTATTTCTCGAATTCCTAATAGATATACATTATACTATTTAACAGTGTGCTGGAGTCAGTTCTTACTGACTCATGACGACTGATTATCCATGTCTCTTTCCATCTCCATTTTCCGTGACAGCATATCAGTAATAAAATAGGCCATGGTGGAATAAGTTACACCAAGAAAATATAAAAATAGTATAAATCAGAACTTTTTTTTCTCCAGACAGCCATTTCACCAGCATACCACTGAGAATGCTGTATAGGTTCTGCATCTTGCTTTTTAAATTTAGTTATATATCTTATAGATTATGCATATCAGTACATACGGAATTAACAACTAGCACTTTATACTATACTACCTTTAAAAATATACTGGGGGCCGGGAGTGGTGGCTTATGCTTGTAATCCCAGCACTTTGGGAGGCCAAGGTAGGCAGATCACTCGAGGTCAGTATTTTGAGGCCGGCCTGGAAAACATGGCAAAACTCCATCTCTACTAAAAAAAAATACAAAAATTAGCAGGGTGTGGTGGCGAGCACCCATTATCCCAGCTACTTGGGAGGCTGAGGCAGGAGAATCACTTGAACTTGGGAGGCAGAGGTTGCAGTGAGACAAGATCATGCCACTGCACTCCAACCTGGGTAAAAAAGTCAGACTCTGTCTCAAAAAGCAAAAACATATTGGGAATATGACTCATCACTTCTGAAATGCCCCTAAATTGATGGACAAAATTTTTAAAATTTATTTTTGCATTTCTTTGTTTGCTGGTGAGATCTAACATTTTTTAATAACTGTATTGGCCACAGATTTTTTGTGTGTATTAAATTATCACCTATGTCTTCCATTTTGCTTCTGGAATGTATAGCTTTCTCTCATTGGTTTGTAAGTTTTTTACTATTGAAGATATTAAACACTTGTCCAATACATATAATATAAACATTTTTACATTTTGACCATCTGTCTTATAATTTTTCTAATAATGACTTATGACATATAAAATTCTATATGCAGTAACAGTTGTATAAGTATTCTGATTTGAAACTGTGGAAATTCTGGCTACTGATTGAGGAAAGCTCAATTAATGTAAATTAAGCAAAAGTACAGAATTCTTAGAAAATTATTTTCTAAATGATAAACATAATTATAACCCTATAAATACAGTAACTGCACTTGAGATAACTCATGTAATTTACAAATGTTAATTTTCTTTCTTTTCAAAAACAATCTAATGAGGCATATACTAAATGATTCTCTCTCTTTGTCTCTCTCTCTTGTTCTCTCTTCCTCACCAAAAGGTCAGCAAAATGAAAATTTTTAAATGGTCAAGTACAGAAAAAAGCAAATGTGCTAGCTTTATTGTGACAGTTAAAAAGGCAAACATTGTATTAAACATTAAATTTGGCTATAAGCTTCTAGGTAACCAAAGCAAAATGGAAACTATGAAGGATTATATCTTTTTTTTTTTTTTTGAGATGGAGTCTCACTCTGTCGCCCAGGCTGGAGTGCAAGGGCACCATCTTGGCTCACTGCAACCTCCACCTCTTGGGTTCAAGCGATTCTCCTGTCTCAGCCTCCAGAGTAGCTGGGATTACAGGCATGGATCACCGTGCCTGGCTAATTTTTTTTTTTTTTTTTTTTTTTTTTTTGTAATTTTAGTAGAGATAGGGTTTCACCATCTTGGACAGGCTGGTCTCAAACTCCTGACCTCAGGTGATCCACCCACCTTGGCCTCCAAAAGTGCGGGGATTACAAGTGTGAGCCACTATGCCTGGCCTCTGGATTATACCATTTTTGTTGCTGATAAAAGAAAACATAGTAATCCTTTGAAAGACACAGACTTTTCCTATAGAGATTCTTCATAGAGTTTAAAAAAATGAAACTAAAGAAAAGTTATAGAAAACTTAATTTGGGTAACACATGATATCTTTAACAATAGTTTTATAGATACAGAGTAAAAGCTCACTTGATAAATGCCATTCTGTGAGGAATTAAGGTTATTTTCAAATTAGTATTTGTGGAATGTGTAAAATGAATCACAATAATATAATTCAAACATGGTAATATATCATAATGCTAAAAACAGACTTTTGTATAACTAGAAGAGTAGATAGCTAGCAGCTCCCTTGGACTATTTTTCTTAAAAATTATTTCAGCTAGACTTTTGCTTTTTGGAACACACACAATTTGAGGTTAACTCTTTGGAAAAAGCTGGGAGCACAAGAGTTCTAAATGAAGGAAACTCCGTAACTCTTGGATTTTCTAATATAATAAAAAGCCAAAATGGTATTGTCACCTCAACAGAAAGTAAGGCATATCTGCAGGCAAAGCTAAGATTTTCCTCAAAGATCAACTTTGGATCCACTGATTAAGATTTCTAATAAATGTTTAGATAAGGTATTAGTCATTACCTGACTTGGCCATATAAGAAGTCTCAATATTACTCCTATGAAATATCTGATTTGAGCCCCACACTCTCCTGAAATACAAGTAATTGAACAAGTTGAACTCCGAAAGTACTCATTTGAAATTGGATACTTATATTTTGGGTCATGATTGTCAAATTCAATTTTAATTTCTATGTATTGATGTTGAGCCATCAGCTTGTATCCTTGCATAAAGCACTTAAGAATTTCAAGATGATGACAAGACAGCATCACACAAAACACAGTGCCTTTCTAAGAATGGGGACCTGGCACTTTATTGATCTTCAACCTCATTTCATACTTCATTTTTGCCTTCCTCCTGCCACAGGGCATATGCTATTTCTAGGCCTGGAGTAGTCTTCTCATTGCCCTTCACAGGTGATGCCTCATCTTTCAGATATTTGCTTAAGTGTCACTCCTAAGAGAGGTCTTTCCTGACCACCATATCTAAGTATGCCCTCTACTGTTCTCTTTTATGTATCTTAGTCCATTCAGTCTGCTATAACAAAATACCTTAAACAGGGTAATTTATAAACAACAGAAATTTATTGCTCACTGTCCCAGAGGCTGGGAAGTCCAAGGTCAAGGCACAAGCAGATTCTACGTCTGGTGAAAGTCCACTTCCTAAATGGCAATTGTTTGCTGTGTTCTCATATGGTGAAAGGAGAAGATAAGCTCCTTTGGATCTGTTTTATAAGGGCACTAATTGCATTCATGAAGACTAAGCTCTCAGGACCTAGTCACCTCCTGAAGGCTCAACATCTTAATATCATCACCTTGAGGGTTAGGTTTTAACATACAAATTTTGGGAGGACATATATATCCATAATATACACTTTTTGCTCCGACCCCACAAAATTCACATCCTTCTCACATACAAAATGCATACATTCCATCCCAATAGTCCCAAAAGTCTTAACTCACCCTAATATCAACTCAAAAGTCTAAAGTCATCAAATATTGGTGAGACTCAAGGTTTGACTCATCCTGAGGCAAACTGCTCTCCAGTTGTGAAATAAAACAAGTTATAAACTTCCAAAATACAATGGTGGGTCAGGCATAGGATAGATGTTCCCAAATCAAAAGAGAGAAATGAGAAGGAAGAAAGGGGTAGCTGGTTCTAAGTTCAAAACCCAACAGGGCAAACAACATTGAATCTTAAGACTAGAGAATAATTGACTCCATGACTCACCTTCCAGACATACTGGGACAGGGATTAGGCCCCCAAGGCTCCAGGCAATCCTACTCTCAAGGCTTTGCTTGGTGAAGCCCACACTGCAGCTCTCACCAATTGTAGTCATGTGCCTGTGGCTCTCCCGGGCTGGAAATGCACTTTGATTCCTCTACTGCTCTGGGGTGTTGGGGGCATTCCCACCCCCACAGCTCCACTGGTCATTGCCCTAGTGGAGACTCTCTCCAAAGCTCCACTAGGCATTGCCCTAGTGGGGGCCCTCTATGGTGACTCCCCTCATAGCAATTCTCTGCCTGAGCCCCAAGGCTCTCTGTGGCATCCTTTGGAATCTAGGTGGAGGTACCCATACCACCACAGTTCATGCTCTCTGCACAGTCATGAAGATGCTACTGCATGAACACCAGCGTGATCTACCACCCATGCCTTTTGGAAAGGCAGCCCGAGGCACAACTAAATCTGTGAAGGAGCACTGCATCAGAACTCGGGGAGTAGAGCCTTAAAACGTTCCACCACCAAGGCCCTGGCGTTCTGACCCTGTGATGGGTGGGGCAACCCCAAAGATTACCAAAATGCCTTTAGGGTCATTCTTTCGTTGTCTTGATGAATAGCATCTGGCTTCATTCTATCCATACTAATCTCCTTATCAAACGTTTGATGGGCCACACCCTTACTGTTCTCCCCCAAACATTTTTCATTCTTTACCATATAGCCAGGCTGAGAATTTTCCAAGTCTTCAAATTCTGCTTTCTTTTTTATTATAAATTCCATCTTTAATTCATTTCTCTCTCACACATTTTACTATAAGGAGTCAAGAGAAACCATGCCACAAGAGAAACCATGCCACATCCTCAACACTTTGCTTAGATATTTCTTCTGCCCAATATCCTATTTCATCACTCAGAAGTTCCATCTTTCACAAAGCAGCAGAACACAAACACAATTCAGCCAAGTTCTTTGTCAATTTATAACAGAGATCATCTTTCCTCTAGTTTCCAATAACATATTCCTCATTTCCATGGGAGACCTCATTAAGATGACCTACTTTATCCGTATTTGTACCAATATTCTGCTCATAACCACTTAAGTAATCTCTAAGAAGATTGAGGCTTTTTCTACAGCTCTCCTCTTCTCCTGAGCACTTGCCAGAATTGTCCTTAAGCCTCCTTTCACAGCTATGTACCACAAAACTTCCAACCTCTACCCATTACTAAGTTCCAAAGTTGCTTCCACATTTTTAGGTATTTGTTATACGGCAACACCCCACTTCTTGATACCATTATCTGTTTCAGTCCATTAAGCTTGCTACAGCAAAATACCTTAGACTGGGTAATTTATAAGCAACAGAAATGTATTGCTCACAGTTCTAGAGGCAGGGAAGAAGATCAAGGGAGCAGCAGATGTGGTGTCTGATAAGGGTTTTCTGCATCATAGATGATACCTTCTTGCTGCATCTTCACATGGTAGAAGGCAAAAGGGGCTAACAAGCTCCCTCAGGCTTCTTTTATAAGGGCACTAATCCCATTCATGAAGGCTCTGCCCTCACTATTCACTTCCTCAAGTCTCCACCTCTTAATACCATCACCTTGGATACTGGGTTTCAAGATGTGAATTTCAGGGGCAGGGAGGGACATACATTCAGATCATAGCACATTGTATCTTGTTTTCTCCTGCACAGAATTCATCAGAATTAGCAAATATGTATTTGTTTACTTGTTTATTGCCTATCTTTCCCCTTTAGAATAGAAATTCCAGTAGTACAGACAGTATGAATTTTTTATTCACAAATGTAGAATCACTTCATTGCACAGTAGCATAAAATAAACACTAACAAATATTCAGACAACAATGACTGCAAACTAAACTCAGAGAGACCCAAGTTTGGACTTCAGCTTTGCGATTTTTTAACTGGGTCTTCATGATCTTGGGTAATCTCCTTTGTACTTCAGTTTTCTCCACTGTGAAGTGAGATTATATTAGTATGAAATCAATTGCTATGTATAAAGGGCTTAGCAGAGGACCGATTCATAGTACCACTTAGTAAAAATTATCATCATTTTTTATTTTATTTATTGTTATATTTTAATTTCTTAAATTATTTACATTTTGAGCCACTCTATATGAAGATCAATTAATTCTGATTCCCAATAAATTTCTAAAGCATGAGGATAGAAAGATGCTTGTAATTCCTTTGCTATGGCATGATCTTATCTCAGATTACAGAGTATTTTATAAAGAAAGGGGCAAATACAGCCAATTTTATAATACATGAGAAGAAGCAATTGTAGGAATTTAAAATTAACATAAGAAATACATTATGTGAAGTATCTCATAAAGTAAAAGCACTGACCAAATGTAAGGTTCAATGTGGTCATTACAATTTACCACTGCTTATTTTGGCTGAGCATTGGAGAAGGGACTAAGAATTAAGAAGCAGTGATGTCTTCTATGGTTAGAGAAAAGATAAGCTGTTCACGGCAACTAAATTTTATCAGAATCCCTCCAGCCTATTATTGAACATTTTAACAATATGGGCTATGTAATTTACTAAATAAGCTATAATTCTACCAGAATTATGAGTCCTCCACAAAGAATACCAATGATTTCTCAACTACATCTTAAATATGTTTTTCTTCTCATTGAATTCCAGGCTATATATTATTATGTCATGTCTAACATTGATAATATTTCACATTTTTCTTTTTTTAAAAAATGTTCCTTTTTAAAGTTGGGTGATGAGTACATCTATCCTATTTTTCATATATTTGAAAATGTATATTTAAACACTCCCCTTTATTGGATATTTAAGTTGCACCTGATTTTTATCTATAATAAATAGTATGGCAATATCCTTGTACACAAATCTTTGATGATACATTTGTTTGTGTCCTTATAAGGCATTTCTAGAAGTGTACCTGATAGATCAAAGGTAAGTTTGAAAAATGTTTAACACCGTTGATTTACATTAACAACAAGATGCAGAAATATTATGCTAATTTATACTACCAAGCACAGGAGATATGAGGAACTATGATACAATACCTTAACTATTAACTTCTTTTTTGGTTGGTTGGTTGTTTTTGAGATGGAGTCTCACTCTGACACCCAGGCCAGAGTGCAGTGGCCTGACCTTGACTCACTGCAACCTCTGCCTCCCACGTCCAAGCAATTCTCCTGCCTCAGCCCCAAGAGTAGCTGGAATTATAGGTGCCCACCACCACACCCACTAATTTTTGTATTTTTAGTAGAGACAGGGTTTCACCATGTTGGCCAGGTTGGTCTCAAACTCCTGACCTCAAGTGATCCATTCGCCTCGGCCTCCCAAAATCCTGGGAATACAGGCATGAGCCACTGCACCCAGCCAAGTATTAACTTCTTTAATCAACATCTTAACAAGCATTGACTGTTCATTTTTTGCCAAAGATAAGCACAAAATGATTATTGAAAAACAAAGATGACTTCACTGTATTTGCTATGGAAAGAAGAACAATAATGCAAGCCAATTTATATTTCAGTCATTTAGAAATGACACAATTTAAAAATTATCTCATGTTGGCCTTCTGTGGTACCTGAAATTCCATGAGTAGAGAGTCATTCTTTGGTTCAAATATAAGGCAGAATTATTGATAACAGCATAAGTGCTAAGAAACAAAACCTACACTATTAGTCTGAAGTTTAATTTGAAAGCTAGAAAACTAACATTATATATACAATTACCCATGAGTGCAAATATATATTCATATTCATATTCACATTTAAAACATATTCAAAATAGGAAATATAATGTACTTCATAGATTAATTATTCCTTTATTCTTCAATCATCAAACTATTGTAGCTAAGTGATTAATATCACATTTTTAAAATTTTGTAATTCTATATCCAGCACAGGACTAGGACTTCACACCTTATATATACTTATAGTGTGCCTTTTAAATTAAAAGTTTAAAATGTCTGACAGGTTGACAGTAAGGTCGTTGTTAACTTCAGATTCATGGTTGGGTCAAATGAGCCTGATGTCTGAAGGATACAACAAGACACTGGATTGCATGAATGAGTTTCTTACTCTCCGAGTAGGTAATAATCAGCGGTTTTACAGTGGTGACATTTATGGTCACAGAGCGTGGTAAAGAAGGAGAGCATCAATAACTCGTTTGATGTTCACCTCATGTGGATTTTCATGGGTCACTCTGAAAATTTCCAGAGTGAGGTTTGTTGGTTAATCTTCTGGCCAAAAAAAAGAAAAAGCAAGTGGGGGGAGATTACTATATACTACCACAAATGAAAGACTATTCAGTGAATTGAAACAACAGTGAACTTAAATACCATAGCATTCTTATGCCTTAGAATACCTATATAAGGTATGAGACTAAAGTAAATAAACAAATAATAGAATTTGTACAATAGGCCGGGCACGGTGGCTCACACCTGTAATCCCAGCACTTTGGGAGGCCAAGGCGGGCCTATCACCTGAGGTCAGGAATTCAAGACCAGCCTGGCCAACGTGGCAAAACCTGTCTCTACCACAAATACAAAAATTAGCCGGGCGTTGTGGCAGGTGCCTGTAATCCCAGCTATTCGGGAGGATGAGACAGGAGAATCGCTTGAACCCAGGAGGCAGAGTTGCGGTGAGCCAAGATCGCGCCATTGCATTCCTGCCTGGGCTACAGAGTGAGACTCCAACCCCCCCAAAAAAAAAGAATTTGTACAATAAATGTTTTCAGATTGTCACACTAAATATATCATGCAATCTGACTGTTACCATTCCTACAACTACCATCCTTCTGTAGTCCACTGCATCTGATGTATGCAGCGGATGAAGTTGTAACACTGAAACTTCTGATGAGGTTCTGATGAGGTACAGGGGATGAAGTTATAACACTGAAACCCTCAGCCTACACTCAGTTGAGCTCCTAAACTTTTAGTTTAGGCAAGTTGTTTTAACAGAAAGAGCATGATTTTTGGAGCTAGAAAAGCACGCGATTAAATGTACTTTCTCACTGCGTGACCTGATGCAAGTTACTAAATTTTCTAGACCTCAATCCCCTCATCTGCAAGATTAGATCTGATAATACAGTGTCACTCATCCTAGGAGTCTATAAAATCTTCCTTTTGATAATTTCTTATTTCATTTAGATTTAAATCTTGATGACGATCTTTTAAAAAATGAACATGAGTATATTCTCATAAAAACAAACATAATGTGAACATGTTACAACAAAATACTGCTACGTAGTGTCAGTGCCTGCTTTGGCATTTGTGTTCTGGGTGGCACTGTCCCCAAATATTACTACTTTAATTGTCATAGCCATATGAGAAATAGATAAATACTTACATAAAGAATGTTTTCGTGTCAAGTGAAGGCTCAAAAAAGTCACAATGCTATAGAAATGAAGGTTTCCAGGCCGGGCGCAGTGGCTCAAGCCTGTAATCCCAGCACTTTGGGAGGCCGAGGTGGGCGGATCACGAGGTCAGGAGATCGAGACCATCCTGGCTAACACGGTGAAACTCTCTACTGAAAATACAAAAAAATTAGCCGGGCGTGGTGGCGGACGCCTGTAGTCCCAGCTACTCGCGAGGCTGAGGCACCAGAATGGCGTGAACCCGGGAGGCGGAGCTTGCAGTGAGCTGAGATCGCGCCACTGCACTCCAGCCTGGGCGACAGAGCGAGACTCCATCTCAAAGAAAAAAAAAAAGAAAGAAAGAAATAAAGGTTTCCAACACTTGGAATAAAGAAAAATGATGGGAGAATAATTATCATACAGTGGTACAGGCATACTAAGCCTCAGAGAAACCTGTGTCATACTCACTTTGAGAAAGCAATTTAGTTTCAGTAATGATTTCTGCCTTCCTAGTATGGAAGAACTTCCTAGTAAGGTGTAACACCTATTGGTTTTGTACTTTTGTCGTTATTAAAATTATAATTTATTATGACTTTATAATTCTGTAAGAGCTATAAGCATAAAAACATTTTGTTTTATATTTGTACATATTTAAACAAAGCAAAAATAATTTAATATTGGAGGATATGAGAGTATATTTTTTTCTTTACAAGGAGTCTGTACATTTCTCTTTTGAAACTGTGATACTAGATACATAGTACCTAGCCAAAGCCAGCTGTTAGTAAAATTTAGTACCCATCCTTTTTTCCCCCCTATACATTTATTATCACATAGCTATCTGGCATTTGGCTGGGCTTATTTGTTTTTTCCAGTTCCTGGTAATAATTGGGAGGTCTAATGGGCAAAATTTGATTTCAGTTTTCAGGCTTTATATGGCAAAATTAATCAATGGGCTTAAAGATAGGCCAATTTAGCAATTACTGCTTATGCAATGTCATTTGAGTGACAATAAAGAGAAACCTTTAATGGCCATTTTTGGAATTTTGTCATTAGAAACGTTTTTCTTTGATTTAATGAAAACAACAGGATGTAGAGTGTTCAAGAGAACTCTCAAAGCCCAAAATCACAGTGTCTTAGAAGTATAAGTAATTAGGGCTTAACAGATTATATAGTAATTCTAGCACTCTTGAACAATTCTGAAAGTAGAAATAAGTCATTGAAAAAAAACTATTTAGTTTTATTCATTTATATATGGCCTGTCACTTTTTCACAATTTGATACAAGCATATTAATATTAATAAGGTCATAAAAATATGACAAATTTTAGTATAGACCAGGTTCACTAAAGTGAGAGATTTCACCTGGTGTTGTGACTTGCTTACTCGAGCATTTTAAAGTGTCTGAATGTGTCAAGATTCCTCCTGCCTAAACAGTTCATAAGAGGAACTTTATCATCCAATCAAAGATGAGAGAAAAAAATAAGTAAAAAAGGCATTGATAGAGTAGGCTGACAGAGATTTCCGTGAGCTGGTAAAAACTAGAGTAGATTAGAGGATTAATGAATCTAATTACAAAGCTTCAGGACAGAAGGGAGCTTTCAAAGCAAGATACAACAGAACGGTTAATATACCAGCAGAGGTCAGGCAACTATTTTCATGAGTAACAGCATAAATTCAGTCATTCAGGCCATTGAAAAGAATGTATGTTATTTCTTCTCTAATTCTGCATATGTTCTAAAAGGAAAGACAATAGTTTAGGTCCTTTTTTCATACTGTACATGTGAATAGTCCAAAATAACAGAAATAATAAATTAGGATATTATCAATAAACTCACTGCTATTTTGTTTCATCTTTACTACAACCTTTCTTTTCTCACATCTTTGGTTATATCAGTTGAAACGTCACAGAGAGAAAGAATTATAGACACCAGAGCTAATTACATCATATTGTTCACTTTGGTGCTCATAAAGAATCTCCTTCATGTCTTTATGTGATATACTTTCAGATGTCTCCAAGTAATGGATCTTCTACTAGTTTATTAAATTATGAAACTGTGCCTTGGGAAGTTGGTTTTGTTTGTTTTTTGAGGGTTTTTTTTTTTTTTGAAAGGTTCTCACTTTGTCACCCTCACCCAGGCTGGAGTGCAGTAGCACGATCTCTGTTCACCCACCTCAGCCCCCCAACTAGTTGAGACTATAGGCACACACCACCACAGCTGGCTAAGTTTTGCATTTTTTGTAGAGTCAGGGTCTCGCCATGTAGGCCAGTCTCGTATCAAACTCCTGGGCCCAAGCGATCTGCTGAACTTGGCCTCCCAAGTGCCAGGATTACAGGTATGAACCACGAAGCCTGGCCTTGTTTGTTTGTTTAATTTCAAAATGAGGTAGGTGTTTTCAGGTTCCTTAAAAAAACTTATTGAAAATAATTTAAATTAAAATAAAGTTGCGAAAATGAAAATAGCACAAGGAATACCCATATTCCTTTTACCCAGACTTATCTATTGATACTGCTAACATTTGCTTTATTATTTGCAGCCATGTTCTCTGTGTCTCTCTACACACACACACACACACACACACACACACACTTTTTTTTCTCAACTATTTGAAATCATGGCCCTTTACCCCTTAATATTTCAGTATGTAAATCCTAAGAAATCCACTTAATGCATACCTTAATGCATAAATTTACATTGCAACACTTTTACCTACTCTACCATCCATATTCCAATTTTGTCTGTCTTTTATAGTATTTATTTTTTCTCTTCTAGTACAGGACCCAGTTTAGGGTTAGACATTATATTTAGCTGTCATATCTCTTTAGTCTCTTTTAACATGGAATATTTCAACAGCCTCTTTGTCTTTTACAACATTAACTTTTTTTTTTTTTTGAGACAGAGTCTTACTGTGTCACCCAGCTGGAATGCAGTAGCATGATCTTGGCTCACTGCAACATCTGCCTCCCGGATTCAAGCAATTCCCATGCCTCAGCCTCCCAAGTAGCTAGGATTACAGGCACCCACCACCACACCAAGCTAATTTTTGTATTTTTAGCAGCGATGGGATTTTGCCACATTGGCCAGGCTGGTCTCAAACTCCTGATCTCAAGTGATCCACCCGTCTCGGCCTCCCAAAGTGCTGAGATTATAGGCATGAACCACCGCACCCAAGCTGACATTAACATTTTTTAAAGGACACCATCTTCCCTTTCTTTTAATAAAAAATTCCTCATTTTGCATTTGTCTGATGTGATTAGTTTGAGGTTATACATTCTTGAGAAGAAAATCACATCTGGAGAAATACCAGATCTATCTGTTCTTCATTCATTGTATAAACTTTTATCACCTGGTCAAGATGTTATCTGATTTCTCCACTACATAAATAGTAGACTTTTTTTCCTTATTGCAATTTAATAAGCAGTCTAACACTTGAAGTTAATCAAATACCCTGCTCCTCATCAAAATCCTCCCCCAAATTTAGCATCCATACATGATCCTTGCCTAATACAATCTTTATCATGGTGATTTTTCAACTCCAGGTCTCTCTATATATTAATACTAGTCAGCCCTCAGTATTTTACTATAAAGAGGAACCTCTCTTCCTCATCTATTTATAGGCCTATCAATTCCTAGTTTTTCAGTGATTTACAAACTATTACTATACTTTATATTTTTGTGCTCAATTGGTCTCAAGTTCGCCAGTGGGAATGCCTCCAGTAGGATCCCTGTGTTCTTGTTATATGACCCCATTGTTTTATTTAGCACTGACCCTAACCTATACTCCTGAAATCAGCCACTTCTCTGAGAAGCCTCCTTTTCTTTGCAAAGTTAAATTATCTTTAAATATTAGAATTTAAAGGTCACTTTCAGAAGGTTCTAACACTTTGGAAAAACCAACATTATAAAACTGCCTGGTGATTTAAAATAAAAAATCTCTTCGATTGTTTAAGAGTTTAAATGTTTTAATTATCCAGCAATCTTACAGCTATCTGAGACATGATAATCATGAAATATTAAAATATTATATTTTACATGTCTTTCTAACTTATCTGGAATCTCAAGATGTGAGTAGTATACTCTAAATACTCCCTGCCAACTCTACCAAATTTTCTCAACATTTGAAGTTAGCAATGCTTTTATTTTTCCTGTTAAAAACTGATTTTCAAAATGTGCTCAGTAGATCTCATTTATAGTCATTCATTGCAAGCCAACTTTGAAAATTAGTTCAAATACTCAAGCCAAAAACATTATTTACCAAAACTATCCTTTCTCCATAGAACACAAAGGTAGGAAGCTAAAAAGAATGTCTTATTACTCTCTAGGCTTAAAATATTACATGTATTGGACATATGGAAAGTTGGCCAGTTGAACAATTGCTTAAAAAAGTGTGTAGGAAAAATGTCATTGCAAACTCCTTTTAAAAATGTGTACCCCTAAAACTGTTTTATTGCAATCATATTTCTTTAACATAATCCTTCCATGAACATATGCCAATTTAAGTATATTAATGCATGTTTGTATCCATACTTGTTATGCAAAAGCTAATGTTTATATCCATAATTTTAACACTATGACCTAGCTCTCATCATTTCTCCAAATGGCTGAATTATCATCTGAAAACTTGTAATTCCTTGAGGTGTATTAGGACATTTCATTATGTAAACAGATCTCTACAATTTTTGAATTTTTTCTTACACAAAGACTCAGCCTATAAAAAATCAGTGCCTTGGGAAATAAAATTAAACATCCTCAATGCCTGTCAGAGTACAAATGATTCTCTGAGCATGAATTTCTGGAGTTTTAATGCAAGTCAGTAGCAATGCTTTTTTTCTATTTAATATGAGCTTTCCAAAACAATATTTAGGAGCCTATCTTTTGTTAAGAAAGTAAGATGTCAAGAAAAATTGCGAGTTTTTCTTTTTCATTGTATGTGTAAAACAATCTTTCCAAAATGATGTTGATTTTAGGTTTAAGAGGATATAAAAAGAGGAGTTCTGTTACTTTTAGTTAGCTTTTATTTCTTTCTTGTTCATTTGTGTCAGGAAAACTGTGTAGCTGCAAAATAAAAGGAAGAATAAATCATTCCATACAGTGGCCCTAGAGAGGTCAGGTAAATAGGGAGCAAAAGCTATATATGAAGTGACAGAGTTAATCATTCATGTGGCAAATTTTTTTTTCCAAAGATGGTCACAATAGCATCTCCCATCCACATATAATGTGACTTTGACATTCTCCTCAAGAGGCAGGATCTATGTTTCTTTCCCTTGATTCTTGGCAGGCTTGTAGTGTCAGAGGCTAAGTCTTACATCACAGTCCAGTTCCCTTGTTTCTCTTGCAACACTGGCCTTTGGAGCCTCCAAGCAAGCAGGCTGGTTGCCCTGAAGCCAGCATGCTGGACAAAAGCCCAAACTAGTCCACTTGGAAAAACCACATTAGGAGAGAAAGATGCCCGGCCATCCCCCAGCTGCTTCAGTCCCCTGCTGTTTCACCTCCAGTAACAGTCTAACTACAACTGCATTAGAGACCTAGCCAGAACTGCCCAGCTGAGCACTTCCCAAACTCCTGACCCAGAGAAACCACGAGCAATAATAAAAATGATTGCTGTTGTGTTAAGCCACCAAGTTTTGGGGCAACTTATCACGAAGCAATAAAAAGCTGGACATGTCAGCATTCCAGATAGTGAATAATGAATAATAACATGGATTGGGTTGAGGAGGATTGCTCAAGTAGGGAATTAAGGTATGGAAGTCATGCTGAATGTTCACTTAATTCTCATTCAAGTTTCCACAGGGCTCTCAGTTTTCTTCAAATTCTCTTCAATGATATGGATCTAATATAAAATCCAAAGGAAAAAATCCATGATGCATGTGTGGTAAATCTAACTTAGGTCTACTAAAAAGAGTTAGCAGCAGCATTAAGTAGAGCTATGTTTCCAGTATTTGACCCTCCAAACTTACAGAGTCTTAGCTTCTGTCTTATCTACTCTAATCTAGTAATAATATTATATATAGTAAGTTTAACACTTGATAATTTCCAAAGTGCTTTCACGTACCTGATTTCATATGATCTTATAAATAATCCTATGAAGTAGCAGAGCGTCATAGAGAAAAAAACTGAGTCTCAGAAAAGTTACAAAAATTGCTCAGGATTAAGGAACTAGGGGAAAAAGTATTTAATTCAAGCAAGTAGAAGACTAGACCTGCTACCCTGATTTGGGAGCCAAGATCTAAGTATGTGTATGGAACACACATGATACATTATACTCTAATCACTGACCATGTGACACAGAGTCTGTGTGTGCCACTCTCTAAGGAACCAAGATTCAGGTGTATATTAAACATTATGCTCCTAAGTGTTACACTATTTTGCTTTTTAAATACCCTCTTCTGAAAATCTTGCATTTTTATTATACTCTGGATAATCACTAAAGACTATCCCAAGGACTAGTCTCAGGAGCCTTGTAATTTTTTAAATGTTAAACAAAGTAGGTGCTATTTCAAAGTCCTTTAAGGTTTGATTTAATGAATGCCAAGCATCTCAAATCCACAGGAAATTTTTTTAACACAACACTGTTGGATATCTTCTGAAAAGGAAAGTTAACATATGCACCAAATGGAATTCTCATTTGGTGAGCTCCAAGATACTGCTTGTCAGACAGAGGAGGTTTCTTGCTGTTGCTGTTGTTTAGTGTGCCCAAACACTGAATATTATTTATACAAAAAAACAAGCTTTTAGAAATTCTATGCCCTGTTCTTTGCCACTAACCATGCCTCCCCAACCATTGGAATAGTTCCATCTCCTTTTAACAACTTCCCATTAAACCTCATGAACCATATCCTGTACTTAATGGGCTGTTAATATTTTAAAGCTTCTGTAGTTCTACTGTAAATCCCTGGTCCCATTTGCAACATTGAAAAGATATACCAAAAAAATCGTCCCAGCCAATGATACAAAGAAACAATATAACTTAAATTTTGACATTCAGCAATAACTTGTACTATTAACAATAGACTCAATCATAACGGTGTAACAGGCACAGTAACTATGACAGCTATATATCTGAAAACACTAAGTAGGGTTGGGAACATACAAACATTTAACTGGCTTCAAGCCACATACTTGTCACATTAGCCCAGCATAAGCCACAATACACTTGCTTAATCACTAACATGGCACTTCAGTTCTTAAAAAATAAATACATAAAATTAAGGTAATATGCCAATAAAGTTTAACCTGATTATTTATTTCATCATAGGAAATTTACAGAAATAAAAAAATGAAGTAAACTAGTTAATTATCTCAAAAAAAGCAAACTAGAACTCTAAATACATTTTGTACAACCTTCCTTTTGGGGAGAAATTGAATAAATAGTCCAAAGGATATCATTTCTTGTTTCTACTCCTGTTTTTATGCATGCATACAACCCTTTTAATAATTATTGCCAAGAATTAGAATGCTGTGACAGTCTTCATCTAAATTCAGAAAGAAACTTTAAAATAAAGTTTATAGGATTTCAAATGTCTTGATTATGCGATAAGAAAGAAAACAACACTACTCTCTGATTGAAACAGACAGATATTTTCTGTCTATGGCCACCCAGTTTCTCTCCTGGTTACTCTTAATCTAACCCATCTCATCTGTGCTGTCAAACCATCACCTCTTTCCCACTCCAACCCTCTGGCTACCTCTCCAGTCACTAGAGATTTAGAAGCAGAAAGCATCTTATCGTCCATCGGATAAGTACTCAGAAAATTCAGTCTTCACTGATTCTGCCTTTAGAAAACACTAAATACATCTTTTAATGGCTAGGACGCTGTTTCATGGCTAGGACATGGTCATGATATGTCATTCTTTTTATACATTGCTGGATTCTATTTGCTAATATTTTGTTAAGAATGTTTGCATCTATGCTCATAAGAGATATTGGTCTGCATAAGACATTTCTTATAATGTCTCTGTCAGTTCAGGTATGAGGGAGATGCTGGCATCATAGGATGGGTTCAAAAGCATTCTGTCTGCTTCTATCTTCTGAGAGATTGTAGAGAATCAGTATAATTTCTTTTGTAAATATTTTGCAGAATTCACCAGTGACTATCTGGGCCTAGTGCTTTCTGTTTGGGAAGATTATTAACTGTTGGTTCCATTTCTTTAATAGCTAAAAGGTCTATTCAGATTGTCTATCTCTTCTTGTGTGAGTTTTAGCAGACTGTGTCTTTCAAGGAATTAGTACATTTCTTCTCTGTTATCAAATGTGAGAGCATAGAGTTGTTCATAGCATTCCATTATAACATTTTTAATGTTCACAGGATCTGTGGATGTTCCCTCTTTCATTTCTAGTATTAGTAATCTGCGTCTTTTTTTTCTTAGGCTGGGTAAAGGCTTATCAATTTTATCTTACCAAATTTTGGTTTTGTTGATTTTCTTTATTGACTTCCTGTTTTCAAATTTATTGATTTCTGCCCTAATTTTTATTATTCATTTTCTTCTGCTTACTTTGAGTTTAATTAGCCCTCCTTTATCTAGTTACCTAAAATGGAAGCTTAGGTTTTTTAAGTCTATTTCCCTTTCTAATATATGCAACCAATGTTATAAATTTCCCTCTATGCACTGCTTTTGCTGCCTCTCATAAATTTTGGTAAGTTATGTTTTCATTTCATTTAGTTCAAAGTATTTTTAATTTCTCTTCAGATTTTTCTTTTGACCCATGTGTTATTTAGAAGTATGTTGTTTATGGCCAGGTGTGGTGGCTCACACCTGTAATCCCAGGATTTTGGTAGGCCCAGGAGACCAGATTGCTTGAGCTCAGGAGTTCAAGGCCAGCCTGTGCAACATGGAGAAACCTCGACTCTACAAAAAAAAGAAAAATCAGCCAGGTGTGGTGGCACATGCTTGTAGTCCCAGCTACTTAGGAGGTTGAGGTGGGAGGATTGCTTGAGCCCAGGAAGCAGAGGATGCAGTGAGCTATGATTTTGCCACTACACTCCAGCCTCAGTGACAGAGTAAGACCCTGTCTTAAAAAAAAAAAAAAAAAAAAAGTATGTTGCTTAATCTCCACATATTGTTTGGGGCTTTCCAGTTATCTTGCTGTGATTGATTTCTAGATTAATTCCATGTGGTTTGAGAACAGATATTGTATGATATCTATTCTTTTAAATTTGTTAAGATGTGTTTAATGGCCCAGAATGTGGTCTGTCTTGGTAGCTGTTCCATGTGAGCTTGAGAAGAATATATATTCTGCTGTTATTGGATAAAGTAGTCTACAGATATCAATCATATCCAGCTGATTGACGGTGTTGTTGAGTTCAACTATGTCCTTACTGATTTTCCAGTTGCTGAATTTGTCCATTTCTGATAGAGGGGTGCTGAAGTCTTCAACTATAACAGTAGATTCATTTATTTCTCCCAACAGTTCTTTCAGTTTTTGCCTCCTATATTTTATTGATCTGTTGTTAGGCAAATATACATTAAAGATTGTTATGTCTCTTGCAGAACTGACTCCTTTATCATTACGTAATACCCTTCTTTATCCTTGATAACTTTCCTTGCTTTGCATTCTGCTCTATCAGAAATTAATACAGCTGGCCGGGTGCGGTGGCTCACGCCTGTAATCCCAACACTTTGGGAGGCCAAGGCAGGCAGATCACTTGAGGTCAGGAGTTCGAGACCGGCCTGGCCAACATGGCAAAACCTTATCTCTACTAAAAATAAAAAAAACTAGCTAGGCATGGCAGCACGTGCCTGTAATCCCAGCTACTCAGGAGGCTGAGGCAGGAGAATCGCTTGAGGTTGCAGTGAGCTGAGATTGCACCACTGCACTCCAGTCTGGATGACAGAGCGAGACTCTGTCAGAAAGAGAGAAAGAGAGAGAGAGAGAAAGAGAGATAAAGAGAGAAAGAGAGAGAGAGAAAGAAGAGAGAGCAAGAAAGAAAGAAAGAAAGAAAGAAAGAAAGAAAGAAAGAAAGAAAGAAAGAAAGAAAGAAAGAAAGAAAAAGAAAGAGAAAGAAAGAAAGAAAGAAAAAGAAGCAAGCTAATTCTGCTTTGTTTTGCTTAGGACTGGCATCCATCCAATTACTTTTAATCTATATGTGTCTTTATATTTAAAGTGGATTTCTTGGCTGGGTGCGGTGGCTCATGCCTGTAATCCCAGCACTTGGGAGGCCGAGGTGGATGGATCGTCCGAGGTCAGGAGTTCGAGATCAGCCTGGCCAACATGGTGAAACCCCGTCTCCAATAAAAGTACAAAAATTAGCTGGGCGCGGTGGTGGGCGCCTGTAATCCCATCTACTTGGGAGGCTGAGGCAGGAGAATTGTTGAACTCGGAAGGCAGAGGTTGCAGTGAGCCGAGATTGCACCACTGCACTCCAGCCTGAGCCACAGAATGAGACTCTGTCTCAAGAAAAAGTGGACTTCTTGTAGACAACATATAGTTTCATTGGGTCTTATTTTTCTTATTCACTCTAACAATCTCTGTCTTCCAATTGGTGCATTTGGAGCATTGATATTCACAATATTTATTAATACAGTTGGATTAATATCTACCGAATTTGTTGCTCTTGTTCTTTGTTCCTATTTTTGTTTTCCACTCTGCCTTTTGTGGTTTTTAACAGAGCATTGTGTATGATTCCACTTTCTCTCTTATTTTCGTGTATCAATTATGCTTCTTTTTTTTTCCTTTTTAAGTGGTTACTCTAGAGTTTGCAATATACATTTACAACTAATGCAAGTTCATTTTCAAATAAAACTATACTGCTTCATAGGTAGTGTAACTTATAATAATGAAATAATCCTAATTCCTTCCTCCTTTCCCTTGTGATATTAGTCATTTATTTCATTTATACATGAGCATATATAGATACAGATACATACATATGATACATAAGCACACATAATCAAATTGTTGCTATTATCATTTTTAACAAACTGTTATCTGTCTGATAGATCAATAATAGTAAAATTGAAGTTTTAATTTTACCTTCACTAATTCCTTCAATGATGCTCTTCAATTATTTACATAGATCCAAGTTTCTCATCTATATTATTTTTCTTCTATCTTTTAACATTTCTTGCAAGGCAGATCTATTGGTAATAAAATTTCCCAGTTTTTGTTCATCTGAGAAAGTCTTTATTTCCCCTTCACTTTTGAAGGATAATTTCACAGGGTACAGAATTCTAAGTTGGTGTTCTTTTCCTCAAACCTTTAAATGTTTCACTCCTCTCACTTCTTGCTTGCATAGTTTCTGTTGAGTAGTTAGATGTAGTTCCTACCTTTGTTCCTCTATAGGTAAGATTTTTTTTTCTCTGTCCTCTTTCAGAATTTTTTCTTCTTTTTAATTTTTAAACGTACATTTTAGTTTATTAGAGATAGGGTCTCACTCTGTGGTCCTGGCTGGCGTACAGTGTCATGATCATAGCTCACTGCAGCCTCAAATTCCTGAGCTCATGAGCTCAAGCAATCCTCCTACCTTTGCCTCCTGAATAGCTGGGACTATAGGTACACACTACTGCATATGGCTTTTTCGTTTTTTGTGTTGTTGTAGAAACCAGGGTGTTGCTTTGTTGCCCAGGCTGGTCTCTAACTCCTTGCTTCAAGCAAGCCTCTTGCATTGGCCTCTCAAAGTGTTGGAATTATAGGCATGAGCCACTGCAGCCAGCTAGGTTTTTTCTTATTCTGTGATTTTCTGTAATTTAAAAGCGACATGCCTAGGAATAGGTTTTCTATGGTTTGGTGTCTGACATTAATTTAGATAAATTCTCGGTCATTATTGTTTCAAATATTTCCATTCCTTTTTCTTTTTGCTTTCTGGTACTCTCATTGCACATGTATTACATCTTTGTAGTTTTCCCACAGCTCTTGGATGTTCTCTTCTTTTTCTTTTTCAGTCTTTGTTCTCTTAGTTTTTGAGATTTAGAGTCTTTTATTAATATATCCTCTAGCTCAGAAATTCTTTCCTCAGTCATGTCCAGTCTACTAATAAGCCCATCAAGGCATTCTTCATTTCCGTTACAGCGTTTTTGATCTCTAGCACTTTCTTTTCGGCTCTTTCTTAGAATTTCCATCTTTCTGCTTACAGTTCTCATCTGTGCTTGCATGCTGTTTACATTCTCCATTAACACTTTTAGCATATTAATCATAGTAGTAAATTCCATCTGATAATTCCACCATCTCAGCCATGTCTGCTTCTGATGCTTGCTCTGTCTCTTCAAACTGTGTTTTTTGCCTCTCAGTATGCCTTGTAATTTTTTCTTGACAGCCAGACATGATATACTGGGTAAAAGCAATAGCTGTAAATAGGCCTTTAGTAATGTGGTGATAAGGTGTGGGGAAAGGGGAAACATTCTATAGTCCTACAATTAGGTCTCAGCCTTTCAGTGCACCTATGCCTCTGAACTCTTGAACAAATATTTTCTAGTCTTTTTTCTCCCCTTTTAGGTGGGACAGGATGACTAGAGTTGAGTATTTCCATTCTCCCAGATCAGTTAGGCTCTGATCAAACCCCACAGATTAGGCTCTGGTTAGCTAGTTTCTCCTGAGGTCAGACCTTATTAAAAAGAACAGAGTGCTCTGGCAAATTCCCAGATAGATCCCTTTCCCCTTCTGCTGCTGGGAACACAAGGGAGTTTTTCTCCAATATTTACTGTGAGAACCTAGTCAAGCTCCTACAGGTACAATTCTCAAGTGTGAGGGTCCATTTAAAACTAGGTCCTCCTGGAGTTTTTAACTCTTACACTTGTCCACACAGAGCCTCCAGAAATTTGTCAATTACAGGTCAGGTTTTCCTATCCCAGCACTGGTTTCCATGGAGGTTTCTGCTCTGATATGTTGTGATTCTCTGTATTTGTCTGTCACTCCAATTTTGGGAGACACTGTTTGTCCTGTGATCTCACTTCTCTTATAGATGTAAGAAGAGTTGTTGATTTTTCAGTTTGTTCAGATTTTTGTGTACTGTTAGGATAGAGTGGCAACTTCAAAGCTCCTTACCTGTAGAAACTGAAATTCTTTGATTTTCTCACTTTTTCCTTCTTCAATCCCTCCTTCTTTCTTTCCCTCCCTTACTGTCTCCACTACCACATGTCGTAACTCTCAATGATTTCAATACCAACTTAAATCATCCTAATACACTGGCCTCTCATTTATTTAACATTGTTATTTCCAGTGGTTGTTTCCTCCTTCTGCCTTAGCTATCTACTTCCGTAATCATATCCAAGACCTTGTCATTACTAATTTCAAGCATTGCACTCTCTACCATCGCTCATCTTCCAAGTTTACCACTTTTCACTGTTCCTCACCGTCTTCACATAATTTTTTTCTCTCTTTACCTGGCTTACACTCCATGGTTAGTCATTCTTACCACCTTCTTGCATCTACTCCTATGTCTCTTTCTCTTCTCTCTCTCCAATGAACTCACTTGCGAAAACATATATCCTAGGGAAATCCAAATCTCTACCTATCCTGCACTTCTACCCAACCAGATGAATGTGACTGAAGACAAAATATAACCATGCTGACTGATTTCACTTTAAAATCAACAAGTGACCTCAAGTAAGACCTTAGCAATACCCAACAATGCTACTACATTTCACTAGGGACTTTCTCCTACTTTCATCAATGATTACTTCATACTTCTTCTCTCTCCTCAAATCTATAACATCACCTTCTTATTATTTACTCTCAGCTAATGACTGCTTTCTATTTCACTGAGAAAATAGAAACAACCAGAAGGAAACTTCCAGATGCTCACACACCAAATCTGACCAATTATATTTTGATGCACATACTCCGCCCTCCTTGCTATCACAATGAATAAATGTCCAGGCTCCTATCCAAGGACACCCCCCCCCATATTTGGCGCTGGATCCCTTCCCTTTAAGTCTTCTTAAGGACACTGTTACTACTGTTTTCCCCCGTCTCTCCTACATCATCAATTTTGGTCTAGCTTTAATAATTCTCACTATCATACAATATATGATCCTAAAAAGCAAAACAAGATGAAATGAAAAAACTTCATGAACTCCATGGACTCTTCAGCCTGACTTCTATGGTCTGCTTTATGACAAAACCCATTGAATAAGTTGTGTATATGCAATGTCTTTACTTCCTTTTCTTCCTTTTTTTTTCATAAACCCATTCCAGTCAATCTTTCTGCTTACCCCTCTGTTAAAATAACTTTTCAAAGTCATCAATAGCTCCATCCCTCCTAATACAATAATGAATTTTAAGGCCTCATTTTACTCAAACTATCACAGTCATCTGATATAGATGATGATGCTTTCCTCCTTGAAACAATTTTTTCACTTGTCTTTCAGAGCAACACTTTCTCGTGATTCTCTTTCTATCTAACTAGCTGCTTTTTCTGTCTGCTTTCTTGATTTTCCCTCTTCTCTCTAATCTTTAAACACTGAAGGAATCCAGACTCCACCTTTGAAACACTTCTTTTCTGAACATACATTTACTTCCTGTATGATCTCATCTAGTCTAATGGCTTTGAATACTATCTATATAATTATGTCTCCCAAAATTTTAACTCCGTTTCTATCTTCCCTTCTGAAATCCAGGCTCATCAACAAGCATCTTAAAATTAGCAAGATCATGATCAAGAATTCTCGATCTTCCCCTATAAACCTGTTCCTCCAGCATGTTTTCCCCTATCTTGTAAGAAGCAATTCCATTCAAATAATTGGCGAGTCTAAAACTTTCACATTTTCATTTATTCCTCTTTCTCTCATACTCTTATACAATAAATTTTGAAAAATCTGTTGGCATTCTATTCCAAGTACATATTTAGAATGAGACAACTAGTTACCATGTAAAATAGCAAGAAAACAAGTTACCATGTAAAATAGCAAGACATCAAGTTACCACGTAAAAAAGTTACATGTAAAATAGCAATTCCCACACACATATACAAATAATATAACTCTCTAGACTCCATTATCTTCATGGATTTATCACTACGTACCTTATTCCATATTTCTTTATCTTTCTTTTCACCTGTGTCCCCTAGTAAAATGTAACCTCTTCAGAAGAGAACAAGAATCTTGTATGTTCACTCCTATATTTCAGTGCATAGAATGCACAGAAAAAAAAGAGTGCCTGATACAAATGAATAACTTCATGAATATTATACTTTCTCCCAATATAAAATCAATGCTTAAGAATCTTTGCCCAAGTTGGCAATGAAATCCAGAGATTATATACCAAATCCTGAAAAAACTCCAATAAACCATGACAAAATTTTAGTATTGTATATCATTAATGCATTAATGAATTAAGAAAATATAATTCACTTAGTTTTTTTTTTATACTTTAAGTTCTAGGGTACATGTGCACAACATGCAGGTTTGTTACATATGTATACAAATGCCATGTTGGTGTGCTGCACCAATCAACTCGTCATTTACATTAGGTATTTCCGCTAATGTTATCCCTGCTCCCTGCCCCTACCCCATGACAGGCCCTGGTGTGTTATATTCCCCATCCTGTGTCCAAGTGTTCTCATGGTTCAATTGCCACCTATGAGTGAGAACATATGGTGTTTGGTCTTCTGTCCTTGCAATAGTTTGCTGAGAATGATGGTTTCCAGCTTCATCCATGTCCCTACAAAGGATATGAACTCATCCTTTTTTATGGCTGCATAATATTCCATGGTGTGTATGTGCCACATTTTCTTAATCCAGTCTATCATTGATGGACATTTGGGTTGGTTCCAAGTCTTTGCTATTGTGAATAATGCCACAATAAACATACATGTGCATGTGTCTTTATAGCAGCATGATTTATAATCCTTTGGGTATATACCCAGTAATGGGATGGCTGGGTCAAATGGTATTTCTAGTCCTAGATCCTTGAGGAATCACCACACTGCCTTCCACAATGGTTGAACTAGTTTACAGTCCCACCAACAGTGTAAAGTGTTCCTATTTCTCCACATCCTCTCCAGCACCTGTTGTTTCCTGACTTTTTAATGATCGCCATTCTAACTGGTGTGAGATGGTATCTCATTGTGGTTTTGATTTGCATTTCTCTGATGGCCAGTGATGATGAGCATTTTTTCACGTGTCTGTTGGCTGCATAAATGTCTTCTTTTGAGAAGTGTCTGTTCATATCCTTTGCCCACTTTTTGATGGGGTTGTTTGTTTTCTTCTTGTAAATTTGTTTGAGTTCATTGTAGATTCTGGATATTAGACCTTTGTCAGATGAGTAGATTGCAAAAATTTTCTCCCATTCTGTAGGCTGCCTGTTCACTCTGATGGTAGTTTCTTTTGCTGTGCAGAAGCTCTTTAGTTTAATTAGATCCCAATTGTCAATTTTGGCTTTTGTTGCCATTGCTTTAGGTGTTTTAGACATGAAGTCCTTGCCTATGCCTATATCCTGAATGGTACTGCCTAGGTTTTCTTCTAGGGTTTTTATGGATTTAGATCTAACATTTCAGTCTTTAATCCATTTTGAATTAATTTTTATATAAGGTGTAAGGAAGGGATCCAGTTTCAGCTTTCTACATATGGCTAGCCAGTTTTCCCAGCACCATTTACTAAATAGGGAATCCTTTCCCCATTGCTTGTTTCTGTCAGGTTTGTCAAAGATCAGATGGTTGTAGATGTGTGGTATTATTTCTAAGGGCTCTGTTCTGTTCCATTGATCTATATCTCTGTTTTGGTACCAGTACCATGCTGTGTTGGTTACTGTAGCCTTGTAGTATAGTTTGAAGTCAGGTAGTGTGATGCCTCCAGCTTTGTTCTTTTGGCTTAGGATTGACTTGGCAATGTGGGCTCTTTTTTGGTTCCATATGAACTTTAAAGTAGTTTTTTCCAATTCTTTGAAGAAAGTCATTGGTAGCTTGATGGGGATGGCATTGAATCTATAAATTATCTTAGGCACTATGGCCATTTTCACGATATTGGCTCTTCCTATCCATGAGCATGGAATGTTCTTCCATTTGTTCGTGTCCTCTTTTATTTCACTGAGCAGTGGTTTGTAGTACTCCTTGAAGAGGTCGTTCACATCCCTTGTAAGTTGGATTCCTAGGTATTTTCTTCTCTCTGAAGCAATTGTGAATGGGAGTTCACTCATGATTTGGCTCTGTGTTAGTCTGTTATTGGTGTATAAGAATGCTTGTGATTTTTACACATTGATTTTGTATCCTGAGACTTTGCTGAAGTTGCTTATTAGCTTAAGGAGATTTTGGGCTGAGACGATGGGGTTTTCTAAATATACAATCATGTCATCTGCAAAAAGGGACAATTTGACTTCCTCTTTTCCTAATTGAATACCCTTTATTTCTTTCTCCTGCCTAATTGCCCTGGCCAGAGCTTCCAACACTATGTTAAATAGGAGTGGTGAGAGAGGGCATCCTTGTCTTGCACCAGTTTTCCAAGGGAATGCTTCCAGTTTTTGCCCATTCAGTATGATATTGGCTGTGGGTTTGTCATAAATAGCTCTTATTATTTTGAGATATGTTCCATCAATACGTAATTTATTCAGAGTTTTTAGCATGAAGGGGTGTTGAATTTTGTCAAAGGCCTTTTCGGCATCTATTGAGATAATCATGTGGTTTTTGTCTTTGGTTCTGTTTATATGATGGATTACGTTTATTGATTTGCGTATGTTAAACAAGCCTTGCATCCCAGGGATGAAGCCCACTTGATCATGGTGGATAAGCTTTTTGATGTGCTGCTGGATTCCGTTTGCCAGTATTTTATTGAGGATTTTTGCATTGATGTTCATCAGGGATATTGGTCTAAAATTCTCTTTTTTTGTTGTGTATTTGCCAGGCTTTGGTATCACGATGATACTGGCCTCATAAAATGAGTTGGGAGGATTGCTTCTTTTCCTGTTGATTGGAATAGTGTCAGAAGGAATGGTACCAGCTCCTCCTTGTACCTCTGGTTAGAATTCAGTATAATATTGGCTGTGGGTTTGTCATAAATAGCTCTTATTATTTTGAGATACGTCCCATCAATACCTAGTTTATTGAGAGTTTTTAGCATGAAGGGCTGTTGAATTTTGTCGAAGATCTTTTCTGCATCTATTGAAGATCACATGAATGAAATGAAGCGAGAAGAGAAGTTTAGAGAAAAAAGAGTAAAAAGAAACAGACAAAGCCTCCAAGAAATATGGGACTATGTGAAAAGACCAAATCTACGTCTGCTTGGTGTACCTGAAAGTGACAGGGAGAATGGAACCAAGTTGGAAAATACTCTTCAGGATATTATCCAGGAGAACCAGCCCAACCTAGCAAGGCAAGCCAACATTCAAATTCAGGAAATACAGAGAATGCCACAAAGATACTCCTTAAGAAGAGCAACTCCAAGACACAAAATTGTCAGATTCACCAAAGTTGAAATGAAGGAAAAAATGTTAAGGGCAGCCAGAGAGAAAGGTCGGGTTACCCACAAAGGGAAGCCCATCAGACTAACAGCAGATCTCTCGGCAGAAACTCTAAAAGCCAGAAGAGAGTGGGGGGCCAATATTCAATGTTCTTTTTTTTTTTATTATACTTTAAGTTTTAGGGTACATGTGCACAACGTGCAGGTTCGTTACATATGTATACATGTGCCATGTTGGTGTGCTGCACCCATTAACTCGTCATTTAGCATTAGGTATATCTCCTAATGCTATCCCTCCTCCCTCCCCCCACCCCACAACAGTCCCCGGTGTGTGATGTTCCCCTTCCTGTGTCCATGTGTTCTCATTGTCCAATTCCCACCTATGAGTGAGAACATGCGGTGTTTGGTTTTTTGTCCTTGCAATAGTTTGCTGAGAATGATGGTTTCCAGCTTCATCCATGTCCCTACAAAGGACATGAACTCATCATTTTTTATGGCTGCACAGTATTCCATGGTGTATATATGCCACATTTTCTCAATCCAGTCTATCATCATTACTGGGTATATACCCAAAGGATTATAAATCATGCTGCTATAAAGACACATGCACACGTATGTTTATTGCGGCACTATTCACAATAGCAAAGACTTGGAATCAACATTATTAAAGAAAAGAATTTTCAAACCAGAATTTCATATCCAGCCAAACTAAGCTTCATAAGTGAAGGAGAAATAAAATCCTTTACAGACAAGCAAATGCTGAGAGATTTTGTCACCACCAGGCCTGCCTTACAAGGGCTTCTGAAAGAAGCACTAAACATGGAAAGGAACAACTGGTACCAGCCACTGAAAAATCATGCCAAAATTGTAAAGACCATCGATGCTAGGAAGAAACTACATAAACTAATGGGCAAAATAACCAGCTAACATCATAATGACAGGATCAAATTCACACATAACAATATTAACCTTAAATGTAAATGGGCTAAATGCTCCAATTAAAAGACACAGACTGGCAAATTGGATAAAGAGTCAAAACCCATCAGTGTGCTGTATTCAGGAAACCCATGTTACGTGCAGAGACACACATAGGCTCAAAATAAAGGGATGGAGGAAGATCTACCAAGCAAATGGAAAACAAAAAAAAGCAGGGGTTGCAATCCTAGTCTCTGATAAAACAGACTTTAAACCAACAAAGATCAAAAGAGACAAAGAAGGCCATCACATAATGGTAAAGGGATCAATTCAACAAGAAGAGCTAACTATCTTAAATATATATGCACCCAATACAGGAACACCCAGATTCATAAAGCAAGTCCTTAGAGCCATACAAAGAGACTTAGACTCCCATACAATAATAATGGGAGACTTTAACACCCCACTGTCAACATTAGACAGATCAACAAGACAGAAAGTTAACAGAGATATCCAGGACTTGAACTCAGCTCTGCACCAAGCAGACCTAATAGACATCTACAGAACTCTCCACCCCAAATCAACAGAAGATACATTCTTCTCAGCAACATATCGCACTTATTCCAAAATTGACCACATAGTTGGAAGTAAAGCATTCCTCAGCAAATGAAAAAGAACAGAAATTATAACAAACTGTCTCTCAGACCACAGTGCAATCAAACTAGAACTCAGGATTAAGAAACTCACTCCAAACTGCTCAACTACATGGAAACTGAACAACCTGCTCCTGAATGACTACTGGGTACATAACGAAATGAAGGCAGAAATAAAGATGTTCTTTGAAACCAATGAGAACAAAGACACAACATACCAGAATCTCTGGGAGACATTTAAAGCAGTGTGTAGAGGGAAATTTATAGCACTAAATGCCCACAAGAGAAAGCAGGAAAGATCTAAAATGGACACCCTAACATCACGATTAAAAGAACTAGAGAAGCAAGAGCAAACACATTCAAAAGCTAGCAGAAGGCAAGAAATAACTAAGATCAGAGCAGAACTGAAGGAGACAGAGACATAAAAAACCCTTCAAAAAATCAATGAATTCAGGAGCTGGTTTTTTTAAAAGATCAACAAAACTGATAGACCGCTAGCAAGACTAATAAAGCAGAAAACAGAGAAGAATCAAATAGACGCAATAAAAAATGA
Organism: Homo sapiens; assembly: GCF_000001405.40. Lineage (NCBI taxonomy): Eukaryota > Metazoa > Chordata > Mammalia > Primates > Hominidae > Homo > Homo sapiens. The sequence continues at coordinate 65,409,308 of NC_000005.10, forward strand.
TAAAGGGGATATCACCACTGATCCCACAGAAATACACTACCATCAGAGAATACTATAAACACCTCTATGCAAATAAACTAGAAAATCTAGAAGAAATCGATAAATTCCTGGACACATACACCCTCCCAAGACTAAATCAGGAAGAAGTTGAATCCCTGAATAGACCAATAACAGGCTCTGAAATTGAGGCAATAATTAATAGCCTACCAACCAAAAAAAGTCCAGGACCAGACAGATTCACAGCCGAATTCTACCAGAGGTACAAGGAGGAGTTGGTACCATTCCTTCTGACAATATTCCAATCAGTAGAAAAAGAAGAAATCCTCCTAACTCATTTTATGAGGCCAGCATCATCCTGATACCAAAGCCTAGCAGAGACACAACAAAAAAAGAGAATTTTAGACCAATATCCCTGATGAACATCGATGCAAAAATCCTCAATAAAATACTGGCAAACTGAATCCAGCAGCACATCAAAAAGTTTATTCACCATGATCAAGTGGGCTTCATCCCTGGGATGCAAGGCTTGTTCAACATATGCAAATCAATAAACGTAATCCATCATATAAACAGAACCAAAGACAAAAACTACATGATTATCTCAATAGATGCAGACTTAGTTTTTTATCATATGCAATATAAGTTACATAAAAGGTTTGACCGCTATTAAAATCACATACTCTAGAAAGAAAAAACACAGTATTTGTAATTTCACAAAATTATTTCCAACTTCATTTGATTGAATTCATCATATTCTTTCCTAAAAACACTTGTGCTTGAGAGAAAAGAAGACGGGCAATACTGAGAGCAGAGAAAATGTGGGAAAACACATCAAAAAGAAAAGTTGGGACTTCCAATGACAAACTTAACTCATGTCACAAATGCTCAAGTACCAGAACTTGCAGATAACCAACTACGCAACAAAAGTCAATGTATTATGAAAAATAACATTTCTTCATGTATAAATTATTGTTAGATAGAAATTCAATCATGTTATACTTAACAGTTTACATTGAGCTACTCATAACTCAATCAGTTGAATAAATTATGGGTAAAAGTTACAGCCAACAAGAGTTAGCATTCTTTCTTTAATTGGCAAGTAAAAATTATATATATTTATAACATACAGCTTGATGTTTTGATATATGTATACATTATGGAACAGCTAAATCAAAATAATATATGCATTACCTCAAATATTTATTTTCCTATGGAAAGAACACTTAAAATCTACTCTCTTTTATACCATTGCAATTTTCAAGTATGCAATATATTAATATTATCATTAACTATAGCCACCATGATGTACAAGAGATCTCATGAATTTATTCCTCCAAATTGAAATTTTGTGTCCTATGATCAACATCTCCTAACCCCCACAACTTCTGGCAACCACCATTTTACTCTCTATTTCTATGACTTTGACTTTTTTATATATACTCTACATATAAGTGAGATCATGCAGTATTTGTCTTTCTATGCCTGGCTTCCTTAATACAATGTCCTCCGGGTTCATTCATGCCATCACAAATGACAGGACTTCCTTTTCTTTTAGGAACTCATTCTGTCACCCAGGCTAGAGGGCAGTGGTGCAATCATAGCTCACTGCAGTCTTGAGCTCCTGAGGTCAAGCAATCCTCCTGCTTCAGGCTCCTGAGTAGCTGGGAGCACAGCCGCACACCACCACGCTCAGCTAATTTTTTGCATTTTTTGTAGAAACGGGTCTTGCCATGTTTCCCAGGCTGGTCTTGAACTCATGGGCTCAAGTGATCCTCCCACCTCAGCCTCCCAAAGTGCTGAAATTACAGGTGTGAGCCACTGAGCCTGGCCTGCTTCTTTTTTAAGGGTAAATAGTGTTCTATTATGTGTATATATCATATTTTTAAAATCTATTTATCCATCGGTCAACAGTGAGTTTGATTTGCTGTGCTGCAGTGAACATGGGAGTGCACGTATCTCTTCAACATACTGATTTCATATCCTTTGGATATGTACCTAGCAGTGGGATTGCTGGAGCCTATGGCAGTTCTATTTTTTATTATTTGAGGAACCTTCATACTGTTTTCCATAGTGCCTATACAGCTTTCTTTCTCTTAATAAATTTTGAATAAAAAGTCTTTATTTAGAAGTGGAAAAGTTTAAGAGCCAAATTTCTATAAATGACTGTAATCCAATGGAATCCTATTATCTCCTTCATCAGCATTTTCCTCCTACTCCAGCTGTCTTCCATTTTTGTGTCAATCCTTCCCCATAGTCTATCTGGTCCCTGTATGTCTCAAACCGGAGTATGAGTGACGTGGGAGTTTGATAGGTTGTCACAGGTAGGGAAAAACATAAGTTAAAACATGCTGCATCTTCTTGCTGATTCAACTTTATTCAAAGATAAGTGTATAAAGGGAAGGAGGAAGAGAGAAAAACAATTTAGTCACTGAAAACATTTATATTAAATAATATTATGTAGTAACATTTAAATATAGGTCTTTGAAAAATTATGCCTTTGTAAAAGGCTGACACAAACTAAACTTCTAGAGTGCTCTTTAGTTCCCTTTACTATATCCTTAAGTATAAAGAAGTAGGGAATTAGAAATGCCATACTATGTATCCCATGAAGTCTTCTACCAAGTCAATTAGTCCCACTACAGTACTAATGTTAATAATAGCTATCATTTATTGAGTCATAATTTAAACCAGGCACCATTCTAAGACATTTACATGAATTATTTCATCTTCACAACCATTACCTAAGGTAGGTTATTATTATACTGTCCATTTTATGGGTAAAGAAATTTAAGTACAAAGTAAAGTAACTTGCCTCAATTTCACACAGTAAAGTGGCAAAATGCAAGAAAAGATCTTTAATGCTATAAATCCTTAATATGTGATATATCCTGGAAGAATATACATTTTTAAAATGAAAATGGGAATGTTAAATACTAAAAGCCCTTAAAAACCAAGAAATTAAATTGTAATAGTAGAATGACTAAGACTAATGCAAAGTCTCACCTGTTCATAGTTAGTCCTCGGAAGAGAGGATTAGGATTACAGCATTATATAGAAGTACTTTTTTAGTGAAAACACATACACACTTGCATACACACATACACACATGCACACAGGCACACAAACACACACACGCACACACACAATACTTGACCAAATACACATGATTTGATACCAAAACAATGCCCTTTAAGTATTTCTAAAGCAGTAATCGTATTACTCTTACCTTGACAGTGTATTATAAGCTATTTTCACATTCATAGGCACACATCACTGATAACATGTCACTACACAAAAAAATTTGGAGAAGATGGCATTTTGCATACATCTGCATTAGCAATAAAATGATCCATATAGGAAATATATGACAATTTGGTTATTAGAAAACTTTGGTCAAAAACAAAATGCTTATGCAAAATACATATTTGATATCAAATAACAACTAAAAACAAAATAAATGATGAAACTAAATTAAAAGTAATAATATAATTGAAAATTAGCAGTTGAAGTAATTGAAAACCATAACTAATTCAAATAATACTGATACCAGAGTTTTTTAATCCAATTATTTGTAGTTGAAAATGTTAATATTACTTTACAATTCTCTAATTATATGCACTTCATTACTCTTTGCTATACTATTTAATCTTATGAATATCAAGATTTAGCAATCCTCTATAGCTTGCTTAATAGTTTGCTAACAAACAGTTCCAACCTACGTATCAAAAATCAAAGTTCATGAAACTGCATTTACTTCTCTGTAACACCAAAGGAAGAACTTGTCTTTTTGATCAATTTCTAGCCTCTCAGAATGGCCTTATAAGACCTAGCAACAGGCCTCCATATCTTAAAGAATCACAGACTAAAACAGGCTCAGCGGGCCACCTTCTCACATGAAAATAGTTTCTGTAAAGGAACTCTGTGGTAAGCCTATGCTTTTCTAAATTTCTTTCCACTTTCAAGAAAGTGAATAAATGAAAACTTGGCATGATACCTACGCAAGATTGCAAACCTTAACATAAGCTGTCAATCACAGTTTTCCCAGGCAATTTTCTTCAGTAGGACAGTGTAATACTCAGATTTTCCAAAAACATTTCTCATAACAAACATGGCAGGGATTTTTTAAGGAAAATTCTTTTAATAATATTGTAAACATCTAATTGTAAAAAGATTCAATATTTAAAATATGACTTAAAATATAAGCAATATTATTAATCACTCCCAACTGGCCAATTAAATTATATAATGCAGCATTCCTCTCTATCCCTGAAGAATGCTTTTATCTAATGTCTGCCATTTCAAATCCCATCAAAAATTGCACTTGTAACCTGATGCCATAATGTTAACGTCATTTTACAATAAAAATATATATCCTGTTCTTACACATTTAGAGCAATTAAATTAATAAAATATAATGTACATTAATAAAATAAAATATACATGTTATATATTCACAGTGGTCACTGAAGATTGCTACTCTACTGGTGTTTTAGACTAAACTTACTCTGTCTCTAAACAATTATAATTTCCTTTTGCCCCCACTACACCAGAAATCTATTAACATAATTAAATCAACAGACATATACTAACTGCTAATGATGGGGTTCAGGACACATTGCTCCAAAATATGATCCTTTGGCATATTGAATATGTTAAACTGAACGAATCTGAGAAACAGCAGGCATGAAGTACTCTCTGACCACTCCCTTTTCCTAGGAAGGAAGTCATAAAACCCTCATGTACAAAGTGCCCTCCCTATATCCAGAGGAAAAAAGCATCCTTATCTCTGAAGAAAGAGGCGGGAATCCATGAGGAATCTGAATGAATAGGCCTTGCTAAGTTTTCCCCAGTTTACTACTACTCTTAGCTCATACCCCTTTGTCTATCACATTTTCTTACAACTTTCCATTCTTTATCAAACCTAGTATAAAAACACTCAGGCTTTTAAAATTATTTTTTATTATTTTCATTGTTTATTTTTTATTTACTTTTGTTATTTCTTTGTGTCTTCATTTCCTTATGAAGACTTCTGTGTGACATAAAACTTAAATAAATTTGTGTGCTTTTCACTTGTTAACATGTCTTATTCCATTTAATTTTCAGACTCAGCTGGGAACTCTAAGAAGGTCAAGGGAAAGATTTTGCCCCCCTACACTAAATGATGAAAACAAATAAAACTATGAACTTTATCTTAGGGAAAAAATGCTAATATATTTACATAAACAGCTATAATATTAGATGGAAAGTGACAAAAGTGCTGTAAGAAGGATATATATAAAGCCATATGAGAGGTAAGATCATTCTTGGTTTCTTGGCAATAAAGGAAAGAAGTTTTAAAGGAATTTCTGGGCATTTGAGCTAGAACATTAAAAAATATAATTTGGTAGTGATTTAGAATAGGGGAAGACTAGCTCAAGTACAGGAACACTTTTAAGTAACAGGACAAATTGTGAAAATGTGTTTTGTATACAGAAGGACAACAAGCACTCTTTGTCTCCATCTCACATCATATGCAAACGTTAATTCAAAACGAACCCAAAGACCTAAATGTAAGGGCTAAAACTACAAAAATCTTAGAAAAAAACATAGGAGTAAATCTTTATGACCTTGTATTAAGCAATGATTTCTGAGATATGACACTAAAGGCACAAGTAATGAAAGAAAAAAACAGGTAAATTGGAATTCATTGAAAATAAAACCTTTCACGCTTCAAAACACACTATCAACAAAGTTAAAAGTCAATATAGAGTATGAGGAAAAATATTTGCGAATCATATATGATAAGTCTAATATTCAAATTTATTTAAAAAACTATTACAAGTGAACAATAAAAAGGCAAATAACTCAATCAAGAAATGAGTAAAGGATCTTAATAGACATTTCTCCAAAGAAGATATACACATGGCCAATAAGCACATAAAAAGATCGTCAACATCATTAGTCATTTGTGAAAATCAAATAAAAACCACAGTAAAATACCACTTCGAACCCACTAGGATGGCTATAACAAAAAAGACACAATAACCTTCTCTGAGAAAATACCAAATGGCGGATGATGCCAGTGCAAGGGTGCATCCCGGGGGCCCAGGGATGGGAAACCGCAGTGGCTTCTGTGGAGGCTTCGGCAGTGGCATCTGAGGCCAAGGTCATGGCCATGGTCAGGGCCAGGGCTGAAGCCACGGAGCTCACAGAGGCAAGGCCTTGGACTAGGAGTGGATGCCTGTCACCAATCTGGGCCAGCTAGTCAAGGACATGAAGATGAAGTCCCTGGAGGAGATCTATCTCTTCTTCCTGCCCATCAAGGAGTCTGAGATCACTGATTTTTTTCGGGGGCTCTCTCAAGGATGAGGTTTTGAAGATTATGTCAGTGCAGAAGCAGACCTACGCTGGCCAGAACACCAGGTTCAAGGCATTTGTTGCCACTGGGGACTATAATGGCCAGGTAGGTCTGGGTGCTAAGTGCTCCAAGGAGGTGGCCACTGCCATACACGAGGCCATCATCCCAGCCAAGCTCTCCATTGTCCCTGTGTGCACAGGCTACTGGGGGAACAAGATCAGCAAGCCCCACACCATCCCTTGCAAGGTGACAGGCCACTGCAGCTCTGTGCTGGTGACCTCATCCCTGTGCCCAGGGGCACTGGGATCATCTCAGCCCCCATGCCCAAGAAGCTGCTGATGACGGCTGGTATCGATGACTGCTACACTTCAGCCAGGGGCTGCATGGCCACCCTGGGCAATTTCGCCAAGGCCAACTTCAATGACATCTCTAAGACCTACAGCCACCTGACCCCTGACCTCCGGAAGGAGACTGTATTCACCAAGTCTCCCTATCAGGAATTCACTGACCACCCCATCAAGACCCACTCCAGAGTCTCCATGCAGAGGACCCAGGCTCCAGCTGTGACTACAATGTAGGGTTTATACAAGAAAAATAAAGTAAATCAAGCCTGTTTTTGTTTTTGTTTTTTTTAAAGACACAATAACAAGTGTTGGTGATGATGTGAAGAAACTGGAACACTTAGACACTGAAGATGGAAATGTAAAATAATGCAGTCACTTTGGAAAATAATTTTTAAGTTCTTCAAAAGGTTAAACATAGAATCACCATATGACCCAGCACTTCCATTCCTAAGTATATATCCATGAGAATTGAAAATATATGTCCACACAAAAACTTGTATGACTATTAATAGCAGCATTATTCATAATGGCCCAAAGGAGGCATCAATCCAAAAATCTGTCAAGGGATGAAGGAATAACTAACATGTGGTATATCCCCAAAAATTAGCCAGGCATGGCAGCAGGCACCTGTAATCTCAGCCTGGTGGGAGGCTGTGGCAAGAGAATCACTTGAGCCCAGGAGGCGGAGGTTGCAGTGAGCGGAGATCACAGAGCTCACACCACTGCACTCCAGCCTGGGCAACAGAGCAAGACTCCATTTAAAAAAAAAAAAAAAAACCAACAACAACAACAAAATAAAATAAAATAAAATAATATAAAATGTGGTATATCCCAATTCTACTGAAATTATTCCAAAAACTCAAGGAGGAGGGACTCCTCCCTAACTCTACAAAGCCAGCATCACTGTAATACCAAAACCTGGTAAAGAAACAACAAAAAAAGAAAACTACAGACCAATATCCCTGATTAACACAGGAGCAAAAATCCTCAACAAAATACTAGAAAACTGAATTCAACAGCATAACAAAAAGTTAATTCACCATGATAAAGGAGGTTTTGTTCTTGGGATGCAAGGTTGGTTCAACATACACAAATCAATAAATGTGATTCACCACATAAACAGAATTAAAAACAAAAACCATATGATTATCTCAATAGACACAGAAAAAGCTTTCTATAAAATCCAACATCCCTTTATGACAAAAACCTTCAGAAAACTAGGCATTGAAGGAATAAATCTCAAAATAATAAGAGCCATCTATGACAAACCCACAGCCAACATCACACTGAATGGGCAAACACTGGAAGCATTCCCCTTGAGAACTGGAATAAGACAAGGATGACCACTCTCACCATTCCTATTCAACATAGTATTGGAAGAGCTAGCCAGAGCAATCAGGCAAGAAAAATAAATAAAAGGCATCCAAATAGCAAAAGAAGAAGGCAAACTATCTCTGCGCATAGGATGATATAATCCTATATTTAGAAAACTCTGAAGACTGCCAAAAGGTTTCTGGAACCGATAAACAATTTCAGTAAAGTTTCAGGATACAAAATCAATATACAAAAACCCCTAGCATTTTTAGACACCAATAACATTCAAGCTGAGAGCCAAATCAACAATGCAATCCCACTTACAATAGCCACATGCACAAAAATAAAATACCTAGGAATACATCTAAACAAGGAGGTAAAAGATCTTTACAAGGACAATTATAAAACACCATTAAATAAATCATAGATGACACAAATGGGAAATATTCCATAATCATAAATTGGAAGAATCAATATTCTTAAAATGGCCATACTGCCCAAAGCAATCTATGGATTCAATGCTATTCCTATCAAACTACCAATGTCATTTTTCACAGAACTAGAAAAAACTATTCTAAAATTCATATGGATCCAAAAAGGGCCCAAATAGCCAAAGCAATGCTAAGCAAAAAGAACAAAGCTGGAGTCATCACATTACCTGGCTTCAAACTATACTATAAGGCTACAGTAACCAAACAGTATGGTACTGGTACAGAAACACCTAGATCAATGGAATAGAATAGAGAACCTAGAAATAAAGCTGCACACCTACAACCACCTGATCGTCAACAAAATCAATGAAAATAAGCAATGGGAAAAGGACTCCCTATTCAATAAATGGTGCTAGGACAGCTGGCTAGCTATATTCAAAATGAAACTGGGCACCCACCTTTTACTATATATAAAAATTAACTCAAGATGGATTAAAATTTTAAATGTAAGACCTCAAATTATAAGAATCCTAGTAGAAAACCTGGGAAACACCATTCTGGACATTGGCCTTGGGAAGTAATTTATGACTAAGTCCTCAGAAGCAATTGCAACAAAAACAAAAATTGTCAGTTAGGACCTAGTTAAACTAATGAGCTTTCAAACAAACAGCAAAAAAAACTATCAACAGATTTAAAACACTCCTCTGCCAAATAGGGGCTTTTTCCCTATTGTTTACAGAGTCAGATGAATTAAAAGATGTGGAAATAGGCAGCTGTAGAACTTAATCTTCCAAGTACCCCATGTACATTTATTGAGCTTAATAATAATTGTCTGGGTTTTTTTTAAACGCAGTACAATAAATAATTTAATAACTTTAAAAAATGGGAGAATGGAAGAAAATATTTGCAAACTATGCATCCAAGACAGGTCTAATATCCAGAATCTACCAGGAACTTAAACAACTCAACAAGAAAATAAATAACAGCATTTTAAAATGGGCAAAAACATGAACAGACACTTCTCAAAAGAGGACATACAAGTGGCCAACAAACATATGAAAAAATGCTAAACATCACTAATCATCAGAAAAATGTAAATCAAAACCACAATGAAATACCATCTCACACTAGTCAGAATGGCTATTATTTAAAAAAACCAAAACAACAAATGCTGGCATGCTGTGGAGAAATGAGAATGCTTCTACTCTGCTGGTGGGAATGTAAATTTGTTCAGCCAGTGTGGAAAGCAGTTCGGAGATTTTTCAAAGAACTTGAAACCGAATTACCATTTGACCCAGCAATCCCACTTATAGGTATATATCCAAAAGAAAACAAACCTTTCTACCAAAAAGACACACGTAATCTCCTGTTCATCACCGCACTATTCACAATAGCAAAGACATGTTATCAACTAGGTGCCCATCAATGGGGACTGGATAAAGAAAATGTGGTAAATATACACTATGGGATACTACATGGCCATAACAAAAAAATAAAATCATGTCCTTTGCAGCAACATGAATGCAACTAGAGGTCAGTATCCTAAGCAAATTAATGCAGGAACACAAAACTAAACACCACATGTTCTCACTTATAGGTGGGAGCTAAATATTGGGTATTTATAGACATAAAGACGGCAACAATAGAAATTGAGAACTACTACAGGACAGAAGGAAGGAGGGGAGAAAGGGTTGAAAAACTAACTATTGGACACTATGTTCACTACTTGGGTGACAGAATCATTTGTACCCCAAACCTCAGCATCACACAATATACTCAGGCAACAAATCTGCACATGCAACTCCTGAATCTAAAATAAATATAGAAAAAATTTTAAAAAGAAAAATATTTTTGAATTAATGAATAAATCAATGAATAAAATAAAATGTGGTATATCCATACAATGGGATATTATTCAGGCATAAAAAGGGATGAAGTACTGATTTATGCTACCATATAAATGAATCTTGAAAACATTATGCTACAAGAAAGAGGTCAAACACAAAAGGCCACATATTGTGTGGTTCCATTTAAAGGAAATGTCCACAATATGCAAATTGATAGAGAAATAATGTAAATTAGTGGTTACCTAGGGCTGGAGAGAATGGAGAATGACAACAAATGGGCACAAGGTTTCTTTTTGGGGTAATGGAAATGTTCTGAAATTTAGATAGTGGTGATGGTTGTACATCTTTGCGAATATACTTACATTAGTCCATTCTCACATTGCTATAAGGAAATACCCAATACTGGGTAATTTATAACGGAAAGAGGTTTAATTGACTCAGAATTCAGCATGGCTGGGGAGGCCTCAGGAAACTTACAATCATGACAGAAGGTGAAGGGAAAGCAAGGTATCTTCTTCTCAAGGCAGCAGGAAGAAGTGCCAAGCAAAGGGTGAAAAGCCCCTTATACGTAATAAAACCATCAGATCTTGTGAGAACTTACTCACTATCATGAGAACAGTATGGGGGAAACCAACCCCATGATTCAATTACCTCCACCTGGTCTCTCCCTTGACACATGGGGATTATGGGGATTACAATTTAAGATGAGACTTGGTTGGGGACACAAAGCCTAACCATATCAATACTGAAACCACTGAATTGTACACTTTTGAAAGGTGAATTTTATGGTATATAAATTCGATCTGAATTTTTTTTTTCAGACGGAGTTTCACTCTTGTTGTCCAGGCTGGAGTACAATAGCACAATCTCAGCTCACCGCAACCTCCGCCCCCTGGGTTCAAGTGATTCTCCTGCCTCAGCCTCACGAGTAGCCTGGGTTACAGGCATGCATCACCACACTAGGCTAATTTTGTATTTTTAGTAGAGACGTGGTTTCTCCATGTTGGTCAGGCTGGTCTGAAACTCCCAACCTCAGGTGATCCATCTGCCTTGGCCTCCCAAAGTGCTGGGATTACAGGCGTGACCACTGCGCCCGGCCTCTGAATTTCTTAAAAAGGAAAAGAAAGAAAAAGGAATGCCCTTTGAAGACAATATAAAGTATTAGATGTAGCTGGAAAAAAAGCTAGAAAGGTAGACTTAGAGTCAAATGGTAAAGTATTTTTGAATTCTAGTCTAAAGTTTGAACATTGTTTAAAGGACAAAAGAGCATACTGACAATAATAGGAGGATGGATAATTATAGGAAGAAAAAAATCAATAGGCCATTTAAAGAAAAAAAAACATGTTCTACTCCTTTACCTCGAGTCTGTAAGAATTCTTACATGTTAAATGAGTCTCTTGAAAAAAGCAGATGTTTGCTTTGTGATTTTTAATCCAGTCTGCCAATGTGTGTATCTTTTAAGTGGAGCATTTAGAACATTTACATTCAATGTTAATATTGAGATATGAGGTACTGTATTAGTCACCACGTTGACTGTTATCAAGATACTTTGTTTTTTTCATTGTGTTATTTTAGAGTCTCTGTGAGTTTTATGCTTTCAAGAGGTTCCATTCTCTTGCATATCAACCTTTTGCTTCAAGATTTAGAACTCCTTTTAGTATTTCTTATATGTCTGATCTAATAGTGACAAATGCCCTCAGCATTTGCTTGTCTGAAAAAGACTTTATTTCTCCTTCATTTATGAAACTTAGTTTTGCTGGATACAAAATTCATGGCTGACAGTTACTCTATTTAATGAGGCTAAAGATAGGACCCCAATCCCTTCTGGCTTGCAAGGTTTCTGCTGAGAAGTCTGCTGTTAGTCTGATAGGTTTTCCTTTATAGGTTACCTTGATGCTTTGGTCTCACTGCTCTTAGAATTTTTTCCTTCACATTTACTTAAGATGGCTTGAATAAAGGCTCTTCAATAAACAAATCTGGAAGCATCATATTACCCAGCTTCAAATTATACTACAAGACTACAGTAACAAAAACAGCATGGTATTGGTATAAAAGTAGATATGTAGACCAATGGAACAGAATAGAGAACCCAGAAATAAAGCCAAATACTTAAAACCAACTGCTCTTCAACAAAGCATATGATAACATAAATGGTGCTTGGAAAACTGGATAGCCACGTGTAGAAGAATGAAACTGGATCCATATCTCTCACTACATAAAAAAATCAACTCAAGATGGATTGAAGACTTAAATCTAAGACTTGAAACTATAAAATTTCTAGAAGAAAACCTAGGAAAAACTCTTATGAAAATTGGCCTAGGCAAATAATTTATGAATAAGACCACAAAAGCTAATGCAACAAAAACAAAAATAAATAAATGGGACCTTGTTAAAAAGATTCTGCACAGCAAAAGAAGCAATTATCAGAGCAAACAGACAACCCACAAAGTGGGAGAAAATATTTGCAAACTGTGCATCCCACAAACAACTAATATCCAGAATCTACAAGGAACTCAAAACAAATCAGCAAGAAAAAAAAATCCCATTAAAAGGTGGGCAAATGACACGAATAGGTAGTTCTCAAAAGAAGATATACAAATGGCCAAAAAATATATGAAAAAACTGCTCAACATCACTAATCAACAGGAAATTGAAGATCAGCAAATTAAAATCACAATGAGATAACACTTTACCCCAGCCAGAATGGCCACTATTAACGAGTCAAGAAACAATAGAGGTTGGTGTGGGTGTGATGAAAAGGGAACACTTTGCCAGGCTTGGCGGCTCACGCCTGTAATCCCAGCACTTTGGGAGTCCAAGGCGGGCGGATCACGAGGTCAGGACCATCCTGGCCAACAGGGTGAAACCCTGTTGCTACTAAAAATACAAAAATTAGTTGGGTGTGGTGGCGCATGCCTGTAATCCCAGCTACTCAGGAGGCTAAGGCAGGAGAATCGCTTGAACCCAGGAGGCGGAGGTTGCAGTGAGCCAATATCATGCCACTGCACTCCAGCCTGGTGACAGAGCGAGACTACGTCTCAAAAAATAAAAATAAATAAAAAAATTAAAAAATTAAAAAAAAACAAGAAAAGGGAACACTTATACATTACTAGTGAGAATGTAAATTACTACAAACTCTATGGAAAGCAGTATGGAAATTTCTCAAATAACTAAAAATAAATTTATTATTTGATCCAGCAATCCCACTACTGGGTATCTACCCAAAGGAAAAGAAGTCATAATATCAAAAATACACCTGCATTCATATGCTTATTGCAGCACAATTCAGAATTGCAAAGATATGGAACAAGCCTAAGTTCTAAGTTCCCATCAAACGATGAATGGATTAAGAAAATGCGATATATACACATACACACACACACACACGCTGGAATACTATTCAGCCATAACAAAGAACAAAATAATGTCTTTTGCAGCAACCTGGATGGAGCTGGAGGCCATTGTTCTAAGTGAAGTAACTCAGGAGTGGAAAACCAAATACTGTATGTTCTGAATTATAAATGGGAGCTAAGCAATGGATATGCAAAGGCATACAAAGTGCTATAATGGATACTGGAGATTCAGAAGGGGGAAGGATAGGAGGAGGGTGAGGAATAAAGAAGTACATATTGGGTGCAATATACACTCTTCAGGTGGTGGGTGCACTAAAATCTCAGACTTCATCCCTATACAGTTCATCCATGTAACCAAAAACCACTTGTACTTCAAAAGCTATTGAAATAAAAGGTATATATAAATTTTAAAAATTCCTCTAAGTAAGTATCAAATAAATTGAGTGACTTACTGGACTAAGAATAAAGTTCAGCTTAGGTTCCCCAATTTTCATTAATAGTAATAAGGTAACAAAATTTGGATAAAACCCAACTAATGTAGTAGATGGTAACTTACTTAATATTAAAAACAATTATTCTATTCCCCTTTAATATCTATAATTTAGCATTTTAGATGTAAATCTTCAATACCATCAGCTGATAATCAATAGCAATTAACAGCAAAAGCCTGTGTAAAAGCTATTAAGATAAAATATTTTCTTCTTTTTTTTAATGCCAGTAAAACTAATCTCAAATTCATACTAGGATGAAAAACATTAAAGAATAAACAAAAGTATGACATGAATGTACTTGAAGTTATATTCTCTTTTTGGATTGCTGTCTAATTTTAATCACAAAATACAGAATGTAAACTATCAACACCATTTTGCCTACTATGCATTTTGCACTTTAATAGCTGCTACTTCAAAAAACAGAACTAAAAGCCCATTCTTTGGAACCATTTCACATTTTACAACTAAGAAGCAATACCAAGAATAAACAAATTCATATAACTCATCAATATGTATTGACTATTTATCTTAATTTTTTTCTTTCTTAAATATCACGATTAAAAAAAACATTGGCAGCATTTATAAGAACTAAGTAGTTATAAGTAGTTCACTAAGAATGACCTCATCACAGGTTTTAGCTGCAACAATATAAAACTAAAGAGGTCAAATTTATTCTCCAGGCTGCGACTACTTTTTCTTTTCTTTTTCCTTGAAGCATAGCTTACTTTGATTTTAACCCTTCCTCACCACCCCTCTTCCTCTAAGTGTAATCAAGCAAGGAAAATTCCACTTTGAAGTACGGATCATGAAAAGAGAACAAATCAAAGCTTTTCTGAAACCCTCTGTTCCCCAAAAGATCTACTACAGAACTCAAGAAGTAGGCAATTAAATGGACAGTTTTAGTTAGAAAATCAAACTTATATATAAAGATTAAGTGTGCTCAAACTCATCCACCTATCAACCAAATGTACTGTTTGTAAATTGGGACTTTAAAAAACTGTTTTATTGTATTGTCAATGGACATTGGAAAATAAGTACACAAAGTTAACAAAGTCTCTTGATCTTACTACATCAAGACTCTTGGAAGTAAATGGATTGTACCTTTAAAGGCTAAATGAGCATAGTTCGGGGTGGCGTCATTTCCATTACTGCTGCATTTCAGATTAAAGCTCTGAGAACATCTCACTAATGATCCTATGACAGTATATTCTGAAACATAGTAATGGATCAAAGAAGCATTAAAGTTGCATCTATAAGGCAAAAATGGTCTGTTTAGAAAAAAAAGTACACACAGACAAAAACCTCAATTCTATTTTAAAAATAATAAAACTTACCATTTCAATAAATTTAGCCATTGTTTCCTGATCTTATTTATCCTGGCTTTTTAATTATGTTGTTTTCCTTGATCAGTGGACTCTACATCAATTTCTAGGACCTAATTTTGATTATATTTCATTCTTAACAGCCTAGGACTTTGTCTTTTCCCTTTTGAATTTAATTCCGCTGTATAATTTTTTACTCCCTTGGTTTCAACTCTCCTTCTCCTAGTGATATACACAGATTTTTTGTTTGTTTGTTTTGTTTTTTTTGAGATGGAGTTTTGCTCTGGTCGCCCAGGCTGGAGTGCAATGGTGCAATCTCAGCTCACTGCAACCTCTACCTCCCAGGTTCAAGCGATTCTCCTGCTTCAACCTCCCAAGTAGCTGGGATTACAGGCGCACGGCACCATGTCCAGCTAATTTTTGTATTTTTAGTGTATTTAAAAATTTCGTATTTTCGTGTATTTAGAGACGGGGTTTTGCCACGTTGGCAAGGCTGGTCTTGAACTCCTGACCTCAGGTGATCCGCCAGCCTCAGCCTCCCAAACTGCTGGGATTACATGCGTGAGCCACTGTGCCCGGCCAATATATAAAGTTTTACTTTTTGAATGACAGACCTGCATTTTTTCCTACCTAATGGATTTTTCTATCCTAACATCCTACCATCACTCTCATATTCTGAAGCCAATAACCTCATCTTTTCCATACCTGTAAATGCAAGAAATCATTCTCATCCTACAAGTTGAAACCCAGTGTTATTTTTGACTACTCCCTCTTGGCTTTCACGTAGAATAGTCCAGACTTGTCTTTGTGATGTTCCTGCTTAACGTAAATTTCCCACTCTCAAATTCTACAGTATGGTATTTATGTCATACTTCCTAACTGGTCTTTCTGTCCTTGGTGCAATTTAGCCATTATTAGTTATACCTTCCTAGGACATTATTATCTTATTATTAAGAACAAATAAACTAAACCTAAAAGAAGAAAGACAAATGTATTGCATGACTTCAAGTAGTGCTGCTTCTTTTTTTTTTTTTTGAGACGGAGTCTCACTCTGTCCCCCAGGCTTGAGTGCAGTGGCGCGATGTCGGCTCACTGCAAGCTCCGCCTCCTGGGTTCACGCCATTCTCCTGCCTCAGCCTCCCGAGTAGCTGGGACTACAGGCGCCCACCACCGCGCCTGGCTAATTTTTTGTATTTTTAGTAGAGACGGGATTTCACCATGGTCTCGATCTCCTGACCTCGTGATCCGCCCGCCTCGGCCTCCCAAAGTGCTGGGATTACAGGCGTGAGCCACCGCACACAGACTTTTTTTTTTTTTGAGACTGAGTTTCGCTCTTGTCTCCCAGGCTAGAGTGCAATGGTGCAATCTTGGCTCACTGCAACTTCCGCCTCCCAAGTTCAAGCAATTCTCCTGCCTCGGCCTCCCAAGTAGCTGGGATTACAGGCACCTGCCACCATGCCTGGCTAATTTTTTTTTTTTTTTTTTAATTTTTAGTAGAGACAGGATTTTGCCATGTTGGCCAGGCTGGTCTCGAACTCCTGACCTCAGGTGATCCACCCACCTTGGCCTCCCAAAGTGCTGGGATTACAGGTGTGAGCCATGGTGCCTGGACTAAGTTGTGCTTCTAAATTAGCCTACTTTTATCACTTCTCAGCCTTTTGGCTAAAATCAAGTTTAGATTTATCTTCTTTTTATTTTACATAGGGGAACTGGACACTTGGGGGAAAAAATGAAAGTAAAAGCAAAATATAAAAAATTTAAAAATACTTAAAATATTTTAAAAGCAAAAAAAATTGTCAAAAATGGATAGGAAGATAAAAACAACACTTTCAAAAAAATGTATAATTTTAAAACAAAAATTTAGTGGAGTTAAGTGGCAGATTAATCACAGCTAAAGAGATACTTAAGAACTTGTAGATATGAAAAAATTACCCAGACTGCTGCATAGAGTGACAAGTAAAGCTTATTAAAAACAAAACAAAACAAAAAGTTTAAGAGAACTGGAGGATAAATGAGAAAGTCAAACATATGTCAAAAGAGACCCAGGAGAAAACAGAAAGAACTGAGAAGTTACATTTGTAAATCTAATGCTGCAAAACATCTAGTATTGATGAAAGATATGAGCCCACAGATAAAGAAGGCACATTATATATTAAACAGGATAAACAGCTCTACACAAGATTACAAAAGCCTACTCAAATACATCAAAAATCACACTAAACAGAAACAGAACAAACTTTACAGCTGAAAGATTGAGGTTGTCAAAAAGGATGAAGAAATAAACCTCCTAGTGATTTGCTATTTAATAGAGGCATGCCTATGATAAATAATAGAAAAGGGTTAGAAGTAAAAGGATAGAAAAAATACCAACACTACCTAAAAGAGACTTGAACTATAAAAATGCCACTTCAAAATATTAGCAACTTGTTACGGTTATATAAATGTACTCAATAGCAACATAATTGAATAAATTTTCTATTTTTCTATTTTTATTTTTATTCTATCATTTGACATCAAATTAGGAAGTTGAATCAATCACTTAATTTTATTTTATTATTATTATTATTTTTTTTTAGAGACTGGGTCTCACTCTGTCACCCAGGCTGGAGTGCCAAGGCATGATCATTACTCATTGCAGCCTCAAACTCCCGGCCTCAAGGGATCCTCCCACCTCAGCCCTCCAAGTGGCTAGGGTTACAAATATATTATTTGGTATACAGATAAACTAAAATTTAGAATAAAAGCAGATAAACAAATTCAGCTAAATGCAGGTATGAGTCAAAATGCCAGTATGGTAATCCCAGCACTTTGGGAGGCCGAGGCAGGCGGATCGTGAGGTCAAGAGATCGAGACCATCGTGGCTAACATGGTGAAACCCCGTCTCTACTAAAAATACAAAAAATAAGCCGGGCGTGGTGGCGGGTGCCTGTAGTCCCAGCTACTTGGGAGGCTGAGGCAGGAGAATGGCCTGAACCCAGGAGGTGGCGCTTGCAGTGAGCCAAGCTCATGCCACTGCACTCCAGCCTGGGCTACAGAGCAAGACTCGGTCTCAAAAAAAAAAAAACAAAAATGCCAGTATGACTCAAAACAGTATTTGAAAAAAATTATTTAATTTAAAGCCAAACTTGTAGAAAAAAAGCTAAGTTTGGAAAGTAAAAAAACATAATCAAAAGTCTAATCATGATTAAGTTAATAAAGAAGGCCAGGCACGGCTCACACCTATAATCCCAGCACTTTGGGAGGCTGAGACAGGTGGATCACCTGAGGTCAGGAGTTCAAGACCAGCCTGGCCAACATGGTGAAAGCCCGTCTCTACTAAAAATACAAAAATTAGCCAGATGTGGTGGTGTGTGCCTATAGTCTCAGCTACTTGAGAGGCTGAGGCAGGAGAATCACTCAAACCTGGGAGGCAGCAGTTGCTGTGAGCCAAGATTGCACTATTGCATTCCAGCCTGCGCAACAGAGTGAGACTCCATCTCAAAAAAAAAAAAAAAAAAAAAAGTTAAAGAAAGTTTTATTACATTTTCCTTGTTTTAAGAAATCATTTGTGAAACAGGACAAATAATACAACAGGTTCACTTTAAAAGCTCAAAAACCATTATTTCAACATGGATTCAATTGTTGCCTCTGTTTCCAACAAAAAAGGTTCACTAAGAAAGTGTTACCATTTTTAGTCTTTTTTTATTTAATAAACATTCAAACTCATGAATATAATCATTATTCTTCTACAACTCTATTGAAAAGTAAAAGTACTTACATGCTGAAGGATCAGATTTAAAAGACTTCAAGGAAAAACCAGGGGGACCTTCAAGAAGTACTTAACTGCCAAGCACCAAAATGGCTCCTCAGTTTACATGCTACACTCAAGTTGCTTACTTTTCTCTGCAAACCATTTAAGAATTTATTTTGCATGTTTGAATTTTCCTGGGGACCCTGATACACAACAAAGTACCTTGCTGTCTGGCAATGATGATGACTTTCTAGAGCGTTTATCTGGGAGAAGACCAAAGGGCATATTCAGTCTGTATTAAGTCAACCCTTGTATGGAAATCAAGGCTTGCTTTCTCACTAGACTTAATTAAGGACCACACAAAAATACTACAGAAAAAAGTTGAGGAAATGAGGAAATGCCATTAGGAGAAAAAGGATCAATAGGAAGAAATAGTCAAACATGAAATTGAAAATAAATTTACATTGATGGGGTTCAGGACATGCTATCCCAAAATACAGTACCTAGGCACACTGAGTATTTTTACTTGAAGGAAATTGAGAAAACTGCAGAAACAGGAAGATCTCTCTGATCTCCTCTCTCCTAAACCAGTCCACAGAAACTAGAAAGAATTTCCCTTGCCCCTTCTCTACTGAAGCAGGTCATAAAACCTAACTGACCTTTCCCTGAAAATCAGCTATTAGACCCTTCTTCCAGAGGGTCCTCCTTATACTCAGAGTAAAGGAATGTCCTTAACTGTGAAGACAGACACAAAGAAGAATCTGGATAAACAGGCCTTGCTGAGTTCCCCCCAGTTTATTACCATTGGATCACTCCCCTTTTGTCCAATCACGTTTCTCCACAATTATCTGCTTCTTCATCAGACTTATCATAAAATGTACAGTTTTCCCTGTTTCTTTGGGTCATCATTTCTGAAGGCTCCAGTGTCGCATAAAACTTATATTAATGATGTGATTAATATGCATTGCCTGTCTGTATCAAAACATCTCATGTACCCCATAAATATATATACCTACTATGTACCTACAAAAATAAAAAATAAATAAAAATTTTAAAAATATATTAAACTTGTATGCTTTCTTTTGTTAATTGGTCTTTTGTTATTAGGGGTGTCAGCCATGAACCCTTAGATGGGTGAGAAAAGAAATCCTTTCTCCCCTATGTTTTGTATATGATATTGTTTACCATCATACTACTGAACATTTAATCAGAAGAAGCCAACACTAAATAACAGTACAGCATTAAAATTAAATTACTAAATTGCAGAAGTTTTAAAAGAAAGTTAATAAAATACAGAGCTAGTAACATATCTGATATAGAAAATATGAACAATAGTTCTATTTGAATAATCAAGAGTTCACAAACAAAATTAGAAAGTATTACATACTATGTACCTCTATCTTTTCTGTTTTATAGGTAGTATTTTAAGAAAGTAGGCATTCTAACAACTATCACTTAACAATTAAGGTGTACCAGAATACACTTCATGAAGTTTTTAAAATTATATTTACTAATCTGTCTTAAATTTAATAAAATTTTGTCTACTCCAATAACATTTTTATCATTTCAGTAGATAATTTCAGTTATCATTATAGTAGCTGATAATTGCAACTATTATTATCAACATTAGTTTTCTATTTCTGAATGAAGGCGAAGTTAATTTAAATAACAATAAAATTATCTTTGTTAAAAAAAAAAAAAGACGGAAAATCAAGAATTAACCACCATTGAAGGGCTGAGATATAAGACTGAAAACAGAGATTGGTTCAAGGCCTATATACAAAAGACTTGGTACCCCTACAAACCTAGACAACTGCTCTCTCTCCCAGCCCTGACCCCAGTTTTATTCTCTGCAAAAACAGAATTAGAGAGGCTCAGTTTCAAGGACACCCAACCCAGTATAAGGCAAAGGTGAAGCCCAAGGCTGAAAACAATGACAATGTGCCTACTTGGAACACTCCCACCCTCCTTTCCCATCTTACTTTCGGAACATTTAAAACCAAGCAGGACACTACTGGATTATTCTTTGGAGAAACTGGATGGTCTCACAGACAAGACCTATAAACTTTTTTGCTCTCTCAGGAAAAAAGTCAACCAATATCCAATCACCCTAATAGAAGCCCTCCATAACCAACCCTACCCAATGTAAATAAAGCTCCCAGTTAGCAGTTTTTCAAAATGAACAGACAGGCAAGGGGGTTCAAAGAATAAGAGAGCCAAAATAAGCAGGGGCAAAAAAGAGCGTGTTTTCAGACTCTTGTAGCAAATATTCTCAAATAAGCCAAGCTCTGTCCCATCTCATTTACACATGTTTTTTTCTTTGCTTAGAACACATGCCATTGTTATTCTTTGTTGACTCCTCATTCTTCAGAATCTTTTAAAAAGTTATCTCAACAGACTTTTCTACTACTTGATGTAGTTACTGTTCCTCTCTACCCCAGATGCATATCACACAGTAAAATTGTGTACTTATTTGTTTACTTATTCATAATCAAGTTTCTCTTGAGTGAAAGTTAAGAGGTGAGATTTTTATCACTTATTCAGTTGTATAATCCCAACAACTTACACGTAGTAAGCACTCAGTAAATGTTTGTTGAGTGTCTCAATGAATGAATAAATGCAGTTTCAAGGTATTTCTTGGAGGAGATAAGTATTTCTACAGCCTCAAAATTATTTTTTAATAATTTCCCTATTACTTTTTCCAGTCTTTCCGCTGCAGCCATATAAACATTATATGTCTCATAGGCTTTGGTTTCTCAATAGCCTTTATAATTGGTAAAAGGAAGGAATAAATGTTTATCTTTCAAGGGAACTTTTGATGCCATATTGTATCATTTTAAGTATGTCTTTCAGGCTCTCCAAACCTATAAGGACACTTAAATAGATAACTCCAGAGAAATATGCTGGTAGGCAGAATCCCCTAAATACTTCATTTCATATGCCTTTTCAAAAACTGTAATTTGTCTTCTTCCATCTTAATTGTACTTTTAAGTATGTGTGTTTTGCTAATTTAGCCCATGCTATGTGTAAACTAACCATAAGACAGGACCAAAGATATGAGACACAAGCAAACAAAAAATACCAATGTAAAACAAGGTAACAGAGGAAATGATTAAATATTCTGTGGGAGCTGAACCTAATATATATTAATTTCCCCATGCCAATTTCCTGATATTAGTTTTCTAACTGAAACCACTTTTGCATTTTTTGTAACAGGCAAACATAATTGCCACATAGAGAAAATCTGAAATGAGAAAAACTGCAGAAACAGCAGGTTTGAGGGAAAAATTGGGAATTTGGTTTTGGACATATTAAGGTTGAGATGCATGGAGATGTCAATTAAGCAAACGGATATACAAATAGAGAATTTAGGGGAGGTCTCAGGGCTAGAGATGTATATTTGGATATAGATAATTCTTAAAGCTGTATATACTTAACTATAGATGGTACTTAAAACCACGAAAATGAATGAGATCACTAAAACTGCATGAAAGTTGAGAAGAGATTTTGCGAGAGGTGGGTAAAATACTCAAATATTGTTTTCTCTTAGTCTAGAAAGACTTTTTAGAATTATTTCTATCAGCATTACTTTAACATTGGCCTATTATTAAGGTGTAGAGAACTTATGAAATAAGAATAAAATTTTTAAAGATGCTAGTTTTTGACAAATTTGTAGTGGGGTAGGGTACAAAAGATAGCTGATTTAGTAGATATCATCTCAAAATAATCCACCATGAAATTTTAACCAAAAAAGAGGAAAAACTTCTAATAAATAAGTTTCTAAATGGAGTTTTCACTCTCTTTATTCCCCAAATCTCCTCTCTACCTCACTCATCAAAGTTCTACCTCACTCATCAAAAACTCCCCATCTCCCAACATCAGAACTCAATAATTTTTGCCTGGCATCCAATTCTTTGGGATAAAAGAAAAAAGAAAGTGAAATGTTAATTCAAATGGCTCTTAAAAGCCTTTCTGAACTAGAAAGAAAAGAGCCATTGAATTTTTTCCACCCATTTTTCACTGCTTTGCATACATTAGCACTTAATCACACACACACACACAAAATCTATTCTCCACACCCCTGCCAGGAACATTTTTCGAATCTGATCATGTCACTTTTCTGTTTAAATTTCTCCAATGCCACCCATTATGTAAAGTAATTAAAAGCTAAATTTCTTTTTTTATTAGTTTTGTTGAGTTTGTTTTAACATAAAAGAAATGTTGTATGATTTATTCTATAACTTTGTTTGCTTGTTTTACTTTATATTATGTCATGTACTGGCCTCTGCAACCTCTCTAACATTATTGCATATCATCCTCCCCTTTGTTCACTACATGTCACTTCTTTTCCTCAAACCCAGTAAGCTCATTCTTTAACTTACTTCATACTGGTACCTAGAAGATAACAGCACCATGACATATTATCAGTTCAATACATATGGGGTGAATGAATGAATCAATTAATGAATTTCTACTGTCCAGTCATATATCCTATAATTCTTTACCCACTCTTTCCCCTCTAAAAATACTGACCATTTAGTTCCCCAAATGAGGCCATTTTCTTTCTCACCTTTTCCATATCATTATACATGCACTGCCTTCTTCTTGAGCAGGCATCTGTCATTTATCCAAATCCCTATTCAACTTTCAGATCCTTGATAAAACATCACACCCTAATGAAGTTATGCTTGGACGCTTCTCCATGAAAAATTGGTTGCTGCTTCTATGATTCCACCATATTTTTTCTTCTCAAAACCTAGTATGTGACTAACACACAGTTAATAATAGCTCCAAATTATTAATATGCCTCCTTACCAGGTGCTTAGCACTGTACCAAAAACCTCACACATCATGTCATAACATTATAATCCAACAAACTCAAAGAGCTTTGGTGTTCAGCCCCAAATACCAACAAACAGACGGCAAGAGCAGGATGCAAGGTTTGCGTGACTACAAAATCCACTTATTTTCCATTATGCAGCATATCTATTGAATAAATACTTGAATAATTAATATAGTCCGAGTGACTACTTGGTTTTTCATAAAGTTGTGTTCATTTTATATAACTTTTTATATAAATGTAATACAAGAAATACAATCTAATCAAGTAAAAGTACCTTACATATTTCTTGAAAAATGATATACAAATAGACAATGAATAAATTTTAAAATGCTCAATATAACTAGCTATCAGTGAGCTGCAAGTCAAAACCACAGTTAGGTATCACATTACTCCTACTAGAAAGATTATAACTAACAAGACATACAATAAAACATGTTGGCCATGACACAGAGAGATTGCTGGTGGCCATGATGTGGAGAAATTTCTGGTGGTAATGTAAAATAGTGCAGCCACTTTGGAAAACAGCCTGGCAGTTTCTCAAAGGTTAACACAGGGTTATCTATGGGCCAGCAATTCTACCCCTAGGTATATACTCAAGAGAAATGAAAACACACATCCACACAAAAACTCCCACATGAATGTCCACCATAGCATTTTCCACAATAGCTGAAAAGGAGAAACAACCCAGTCCATCAACTGATGAATGAACAAATAAAATGTATATCCACATAATAGAATATTATTTGACCATAAAAAGTAATGGAGTACTGACACATGCTACAACATGGATGAACTTTGAAAACAACAAGTAAAAAGAAGCCAGTTACAAAAGATCTCATATTTTATGATTCCATTTATATGAAATGTCCAGAATTTCAGGCAAATCTATACAGACAGAAAATAGGTTTGTGGTTTCCTAGAACTGGGGAAATGGAGGGTGACAACTAATGAGTATAAAGTTTCATTTTGGGGTGAGGAAGATGTTCTAAAATTAATTGTGGTGATGGTTGCGCAAGTCTATGAATAAACTAAAAAACCGTTGGATTATATTCAACTAAAAACCGTTGAATAAACTAAAAACTGTGAATTATACAATTCACTCAGGCTAAATGGGTGAATTGTATGGTGTGTAAATTGTATGGTGTATAAAGCTGTTATAGAAAAAAGAAATATAACTGGAACTACCCTTGATTTTATTCATCTACGACATGAGGAGGGAAAAGTACATTACAATAAGACAGTAAAGCTAGAAGACAATGACAAACTAAGTTCATAACAGATAAATACACAAATTACTTCTCTAAGTCTTCCCTTATTGTTTACTAGTAAAATTTTTAAGATAGTAAAATAACATCAACTTGGGTCCAATAATAATAAAAAAACTAATTGCTACTTATTGACTATTTACAAGGTATTAAGCATTTCAAAGCAAGCTGGGACAAACTGGAACTCTTCTACACTGCTTTGGGGCATGTGAATTGGTAAAATCACATTGTAGAGCACTTAGTCAGTGCTTAGCAGACATAAAATGATTATCCCTTATGACCCATTAGCTCTACTTCTAGGTATTTGCCCTAGAGAACTCCTAAGGAGACAGATACAAAGATGCAGATTGCAGCATCGTTTAAAATTGTTTATAATAATGGAAAAATGATAAATAATCTAAATGCTCATAGGTAAAAGTCTGAATATATATCCATATTATACAGCAACTAAATAGACCTATGTCCATCAGATAGATAAATCTTGAAAGTAAAGATGAATTTAAAAAATCAAATTAGAAAGGATAACTGCAGTTTTTTAGATAGTATAATTAAAAGACAAAATTAAACACAAAGTTAATTTTAAAAATAAAACACAAAATAAAAACATATTCTATGTATTGTTATTCCTTAATCTTTGGGTATATGTGCTAATGGAGCAAAAGAATACAAACGTGGATAGGGAGGATACATACAAATTCAGGATAGTGGTTACCTCAAAGCAAGGAATTAGGGGGAAAATGTTGGGTGCAGGAAAGCTTTCAACTTTATGAGTAATTTTTTATTTTTTCAAATAATTAAAAGCAAATATGATAAAAATGTTTACATCTGCTAAATCTACATGGGTTTCTTATATTTTCTCTGTATTTTCTTTCAGTTTGGAATGTCTTAAGTTACTTAATAATACTATAAGAATGTTAATTTACTGTTCCTGATAACTGCATTATTGTTACATAAGATGTTAATATTAGGAAAGGCAAGATGAGGATCATAAAAGAACTCTGCACCTTTTTTTTTGTAATTCTAAAATTAGTTAAAAATTATATTTTAATTTTTTTTTTTGAGACAGAGTCTTGCTCCATTATTCAGGCTGGAGTACAGTGGCGCGATATCGGCTCACTGCAACCTCCGCCTCCTGGGTTCGAGCGATTCTTCTGCCTCAGCCTCCCGAGTAGCTGCGATTACAGGCACGTGCCATCACCGTACACTAATTTTTGTATTTTTAGCAGAGATGGGATTTCACCATATTGGCCAGGCTGGTCTTGAACTCCAGACCTCAAGTGATCCACCCGCCTCGGCCTTCCAAAGTGCTGGGATTACAGGTGTGAGCCACTGCACCCGGCCTTAAAATTTTTTAAATAAAAACAATGAATATTTTTTAAAATAAAATGCACTTTAGAGGTCAAATAAATGGTGATGGTAGTCCGTATTGTCTATTATTCCTAAAAACCATTATTATTTAAAACATTTTTGCAAACTTTTTCTAAAGCTTAATTAGGGGGCTGGGCACTGCAGCTCACACCTATAATCCCAGCACTTTGGGAGAGGCCGAAGAATTGCTTGAGCTGAAGAGCTCGAGACCAACCTAAGCAACATAACCTAAGCAACATAACCTAAACAACATAGACCCCCATCTCTACACACACACACACGCATGCACACACTCACAAAGCCAGCCATAGTGGCGCGACTGCACTCCTGCCTGGGTGACAGAGTAAGACCTTGTCTCAAAACAACAAAAAAGCCCAATTAAAGGATTGAAGGCCACCGATTTATTTCTTATCAAATTTGCTTCTTCTTCAACAAATTGTGACATTATTTCAAGACATGCTTTATTTTACCTTAGCGTGGAATCATAAAATTAAAAGAACCTTGAAAATTAGTCACTGCTCCCACCTCAAAGCCAGGCTTCATTCAAATCATTTAAGAAAAACAGCTGCAAGCTGCATTCCTTTATTTTAAAAAAAATCTTGGCCGGGCGCAGTGGCTCATGCCTGTAATCCCAATACTTTGGGAGGCCGAGGTGGGTGGATCACCTGAGGTCAGGAGTTCGAGGCCAGCCTGGCCAACATGGTGAAACCTGTCTCTACTAAAAATATTTAAAAAAAACCAAAAAACAAAAAACAACTAGCCAGGTTTGGTGGTGGGCACTTGTAATCCCATCTACTCAGGAGGCTGAGGCAGGAGAATTGCTTGAACCCAGGAGACGGAGATTGCAGTGGGCCAACACAGTGCCACTGCACTCCAGCCTCGATTACAGAGTAAGACTCTGTCTCAAAAAAAAAAAAAAACTTTCAAAATGGAAATACCACTATCTTTATTAACGAGGTGTATTAGTCAATTTTCACGCTGCTGATACAGACATGCCTGAGACTGGGCAATTTACAAAAGAAAGAGGTTTAATCAACTTACAGTTCCACATGGCCGGGGAGGCCTTACAATCATAGCAAAAGGTGAAAGACATGTCTCACATGGCAGCAGACAAGAGAAGAGAGAGCTTGTGCAGGGAAACTCCCATTTTTTTTTTTTTTGAGACAGAGTCTCGCTCTGTTGTCCAGGCTGGAGTGCAGTGGTGCGATCTCGGCTCACTGCAAGCTCCACCTCCCAGGTTCAAGCCATTCTTCTGCCTCAGCCTCCCGAGTAGCTGGGACTACAGGCACCCACCACCACGCCCAGATAATTTTTTGCATTTTTAGTAGAGACAGGGTCTCACCACGTTAGCTAGGATGGTCTCGATATCCTGACCTCGTGATCCACCTACCTCAGCCTCCCAAAGTGCTGGGATTACAGGTGTGAGCCACCACACTCGGCCCCGGAAACTCCCATTTTTAAAACCATCAGATCTCATGAGACTTATTCACTATTACAAGAATAGCAAGGGAAAGACTCACCCCCATGATTCAATTACTTCCCACCAGGCCCCTCCCACAACAGGTGGGAATTGTAGGAGTTACAATTCAAGATGAGGTTTGGGTGGGGACACAGCCAAACCATATCACAAGGTATAGTCATCCTTTGGTATACTCTCAAGATTGGTTCCAGGACTCCTGCACATACTAAAATCCAAAGATGTTCCAGTCTGATATAAAAGAGTATAGTATTTGCATGTGATCAAATAGTGTAGTATTTGTGCATCTTCTTGTATACACTAAATCATCTCTAAATTACCTATAATACCTAGTATAGTGTAAATGTTATGAAAATAATTGTTATATTTTTATTGTTGTATTGTTATTTTTTATTGCGGGTTTTTCCATGGAATATTTTCGATCCACGATTGGTTGAATCTGCAAACATGGAACTTGTGAATCTAAAGGGCCAACTGTATTTCAAACCTCTTATTCAAAAAAGTATTTTTAATATTCAAGTGAATGCTTTCTTACTATAATTTAAATGTTACCCCTTTGATAGAGTGATGTTATTAAAGGGCAAGAATATTTACTCAATTTTCAAAAATAGTTCCTTGACAATTTGAAGACTATTCAGAACTAAATTGGTTTTGTCACCTCCAAAGGTACATAAGCCTAGATGGATTAGCCTCTCAACACAAAACCTATTTCCCAAGGTTTTATTCATTTTGCTATTCACCTCAAACTGATTTTCAAAATGGAATATAATATTTTACCAGAGGCTTCACCAATGCTCAGTATAAAAAAAAGATTCTGGCCAGGCGTGGTGGCTCATGCCTGTAATCCCAGCACTTTGGGAGGCCAAGGCAGGTGGATCACCTGAGGTCAGGAGTTTGAGACCAGCCTGGCCAACATAGCTAAACCCATCTCTACTAAAAACACAAAAAATTAGCCAGCCGTGGTGTCGGGTGCCTGTAATCCCAGCTACTTGGGAGGCTGAGGCATGAGAATCGCTTGAACCAGGAGGCGGAGGGTGCAGTGAGCCAAGATCACGCCACTGCACTCCAGCCTGGGTAACAGAGTGAGATTCCATCTTATACATACATACATACATAAAAAAATAAGAAACAGATTCCTACATCGTACCTATATATTTTAACAGGCAGTGTCAGAAAACTATAGTTGAATCCATCTCCCACACAAGAAAATATCTGCTATTATATCTTGAAATACTTGTTTTTGCTGTTGGCCATCTTCTCCCTTGGACAGTGCTGCAGATATAGTATGTACTTTGGGGTTCACTTAATTTGCCTTTACATTAGCTACTTCCCTTCATTTAATACATTTTTTATTCAGAACATAAAAATATATTTGAAAAGATTTTATAACCATTTATTAGACCAAAGGTCATAAAGATTTGGCAGAAATAAACTATCAAACAAACGAAAACACAAGGTGCGAACTCTAGAATTTCTGTACAAGAAAGATTAAGAGGAGACAATCTATTTCATTTAGCTCCCTCCTCTCTTCCCTATCCTCAGTTTATTGAAGCTATTTACTGGCAGGGTGGTAAAATATAAAGCAGAAGATGGCAGTCTTCTGATTTGAGGAATCAAAGGACAGAATGCTACAGAAATGGGAGGGCTGCTGGAAAGTGACGGAAAATCCCAAAAAGTAGGGAGCCCTAGAAAGGAAACCTCCAAATCTGTATTTTTTTAGAAGTGTGAGTCCATATTTAAAGAAAGAAAGAAAAAAAAAGTAGAATGCCAACTACCTAATATCGAAAGAATAACGAGAGTTAGAATATCATCACTGGATGCCAAAATTGGAGGGTAAAATTTTCATAAGAAAGTAGATCTTTACAGTCTCGAGGTAACTTGCCAAAAATTACTTATTAATTAAAATGGGAAAAATTACAAAGGAGAAACATGGTGGACATTAGATGAACCAAGGGATCAAAATAAACTTTTCCAATATTTGGAAAACCCAGTATCAAATGTCTTATGATACGAAGTATTTAAAAGGACATAATGTATAATCCTAATTTAATCCTGAGGAAACATCAGAAAACCCAAATGAAGATATGTCTCATAAAATAAAAAATTGCTATATACTCTTTTAAAATGTCAAAGTCAAGCGAAAGAAAGGCTGAGGAACTGTTCCAAATCAAAAGAGACTCTTGAACAAGACAAGTAAATAGAACGTGTGATCCTAGGTTAGTTAGTGGCCTGAGGGGGAAAATAGCTATAAAGAATATTATTAAGACAACTGATAAAATTTGAGTATGAACTGAAGATTAAATAATAGTACTGTATCAACACTACATATCTTGATTTTGACAACTGTACTGGGGTTATATAAGAGAATGTCTTTGTCCATTTTTTTGTTTTTTTGAAAGAGTCTCACTTTGTCACCCAGGCTGCAGTGTAGTGGGCATGATTTCGGTTCACTGCAACCTCCACCTCCCGTGTTCAAGCAATTCTTGTGCTTCAGTCTCCCAAGTAGCTGGGACTACAGGCATGCGCCACCATACCCAGCTAAGTTTTCTATTTTTAGTAGTAGAGATGGGGTTTTGCCATGTTACCCAGTGTGGTCTTGAACTCCTGACCTCAAGTGATCCACATGCCTCGGCGTCCCAAAGTGCTGGGATTACAGGCGTGAGCCACCATACCCAGCTGAGAATGTTTTTGTTCTTAGAAAGCACAAACTGAAGTATTTAGGGGTAAAGAAGAATGATGTCTACAATTACTCTCAAAAGTAAGACAGAAATATTAAAATGTTTGCCTGGGACTTCTGCTTCCAGACAAAATGAATTAATAGGGATCAAATTTATCCTGCTTTCTCATACAATGTTTAAAATGAACAAATTATATGAAATATCAATTTGCAATACACTAGACATCAGGAAGCAAAGGACAGTGATCCCTGAGAAATGGGAAAGTAAACAAAGTGAGCCCTAAGATTGCCCCCAGCTTACTACCTTGAGAAATTCAATGCCATGAAACAGAGTGGGGAAAACAAAGTAGAGCCCAGTGGACTCTCTGAGTTGAAGAGACAGAACAGAAAATACAGGAGACAAAGACAGTTAAAATTTACAGGACTAAGTACAGCAGCAGAGGCAGCTACACAAAGAGATAATTGTGGAGATTTGCAAAGGATTCCCCTTAACTATTCAGTTGAGTGTGAATCTGGCTCATATGACGTAAGAGAAGCACTTAAGGCCAGGCAAATTATCACCCAAAAGGATTAGAGGTAATAATGCCTAGCACTTACACAACATTAAATATAGGGCCTAGATCCACCCAGACCAACTGGAAAACCACAAGATTCACAGGGCAATTGGGTAGAGTACCCAGAAGGGACTTGCCTCAGTACTGGGGAATAATTAGCCCTAAACTGAACACTGAATTGGTACTACAAAACAAATTTTAAAAGAAAGAATCAGTTTCCAAGGAACTTAACTGCACCCCAAGGAAAAGCTCAAGAATAATTACAGAAACACAAAAATATCTGACACCCAACAAGGTAAAATAACACAATGTCAGGCACCCAATCAAAGATCACGAAGTATGCAAAGAAGCAATAAAATACAGTACATAATAAAGAAATTGTCAATTGAAACCAATCCAAAACTGACACATATAATAAAGTTAGTAGACAAAATGTTTAAAATAGTTTTTGTATTTTCTAAAGCCTAGAGATCTGAAAGATTTTTTAAAAGACCCAAATTAAACCACTAGAGATGAAAAAAATTATACTACATAAGATGAAAATACATATTAGACCAGACTGATGGATTACTCATTGTAGAAAAAAGTCACCTTGAAGACATAGCAATAGAAACTACCCAAAATTGAATACACAGAGAAGAGAGACTTTAAAATCATAAGCAGACCATACGTGAGTTGCCTTCAAGCAACCAAATATATCTGCAATTAAAGTCACCAAAGCAAGGCAAGAAGGGCAAAACCAAAAAATATATTGAGAAAATATTGGCTAAAATGGTGAAAATCTGATTAAATTAGATCTAAGAAGCTCACTGACCCCAAACATGATGAAAACTACTCCAAAACATATCATAATCAAATTGTTCAACTCAGTAAGGGTAAAGAATAATTAAACACCATGACCACCCAAATTAATCTAATTGATATATATAGAAAATTCGATCCAACAATAGCAGAATGCACATTCTTTTCAAGCGCACCCACCTGGAACATTTACCAAGAAAGACAATATTCTGGGCCATAAAGCAAGTCTCAATAAACTAAAAAGCATTCAAGTCATGCAAACTATATTATCTGACCACAGTGGAACTAAATTAGAAATTAACAACAAAAGAATTTCTGCAGTGGGGGGGAATTTGGAACTAAATAACACAATTCTAAGTAAGCCATGGGTCAAAAAAAAAAAAAAAGAAATACTCTAAAGGAACATTAGAAAGTATTTTGAACTGAATGGAACTGAAACTCAACATATCCAAATTTGTGAGATGCGATAAAGCTATATGTAGGGGGAATTTTCTAACACTAAACACTTATATTAGAAAAGCAGAAAGGTCTCAAATTAATGACACAACTTCCGCCATAAGGAACCACAAACAAAATAAGCCTGAACCAAGTAGACAGACGGAAACAAATCAATGAAACAGAAAACAGAAAAATGAAAAAAAAAAAACGAAACCAAATTTGAGAAGATTATTAAAATGTCTAGCCACAGTGATTAGAAAAAGACAAAAGACAAGAAAAAGACATAAAAGACAAAAGACAAAAACTACCAATACCATAGAGGTGATTTTACTATACATTCTACAGATATTAAAAGGATAATAAGATATTATAAACAATTATGCCAATACACTTCACCACTTGGAAAAAATAAACATATTCCTTGAAATACTCAAACTACCAAAGCTCACTGAATAAGATAACCTAATTAGCCCTATATTATTAAACAATTTTAACTGGTAGTTTAAAAAAATCACTCCACAAAGAAAACTCCTAGTGCAGATGGCTTCTTGTCAATTCTACAAAACATCTGAGGAGGAAATAATATCAATTCTATACAAACTCTTCCAGAAAATTGAAAAGAAGGAACTATCTCATAACTCATTCTGTGAGGGCAACATTACCCTAATACCAAAATCAGGCAAATACAGTCTAAGAAAAAACTACAGAACAACATCCCTCATAAATATAAATCTAAAAAAAAAATACAATTTTGGAAAATGACATCTAACTATATATATATTTTTATTGATTTCCAGGGTACATGTGCAGGATGTGCAGGTTTGTTACATAGGTAGACATGTGCCATGGTGGTTTGTTGCACCTATCAACCCATCAGCTAGGTATTAAGCCCAGCATGCATCAGCTCTTTTCCCAAATGCTCTCCCTCCCCTTCCCCTACCCTCAACAGGCCCCAGTGTGTGTTGTTCCCCTCCCTGTGTCCATGTGTTCTCATTGTTCAACTCCCACTTTTGAGTGAGAACATGCAGTGTCTGGTTTTCTGTTCCTGTGTTAGTCTGCTGAGGATGATGGCTTCCAATTTCATCCATGTCCCTGCAAAAGACATAATCTCGTTCCTTTTTATGGCTGCATAGTATTCCATGGTGTATAGGTACCACATTTTCTTTATCCAGTCTATCATTGATGAGCATTTGGGTTGATTCTATGTCTCTGCTATTGTGAATAGTGCTGCAATGAACATACATGTGCATGTATCTTTATAATAGAATGGTTTATATTCCTTTGGGTATATACCCAGGCCACACCGTCTTCCACAATGCTTGAAATAGAAACAGTTTTACACTGTTGGTGGGAATGTAAATTAGATATCTAACTACATTAAAAGAATAATACATTGATGACCAAATTGAGTTCATCTTAAGAATGAAAGGTTGTTTTGGCCAGGCACAGTGTGGCTCATGCCTGTAATCCCAGCACTTTGGGAGACCAAGGTGGGAGGATCACTTGAGCCCAAGAGTTTGAGACCAGCTTAAGCAATATAGTGAAACTCCATCTCTACAAAATATACAAAAAATTAGCTGGGCATTGTGGTGCACGCCTGTAGTACCAGCTACTTGGGAGGCTGAGGTGGGAGGACTGCTTGAGCCTGGGAGGCAGGGGTTGCAATGAGCTTAAGATCACAACACTGCACTCCAGCCTAGGCAACAGAGTGAGACCCTGTCTCAAAAAAAAAAAAAAAAAAAAAAAAAAAGTTGGTATTCTAAACCAATCATTGCAATTCACTGTATTAATCCACTTTAAAAAAGATAAACTATATGATTATCTCAAACAATTCAGAAAAGGCATTTGGTAATATTCCAACACCCATTCCTGATTTAAAAAAAAAAAAAACTCTCAGCAAACTATGAACACAAGGAAATTTTCTCAACCAGACAAAGCGCATCAACAAAGAAACCTATAGCTAACATCATACTTAATGGTGAAAGACGGAATTCTTTCCTTGCTGAGGTCAGGAACAAAACAAGGATCTCTGCTCTCACCACCTTTATTATACATTGTATTAGAAGTTCTAGACATTCCAATAAGGCAAAAAATAAATAAATAAACAAATAAAAGTCATTCATTATTAAAAGGAAGAAGCATAATGTCTTTCATCTCAGACAACATGATCATCTTTATATATGGAATCTATTAAAAAGCTATTAAAACCAGTCCAGGCTCAGTGGCTCATGCCTGTAATCCCAGCACTTTGGGAGGCCGAGGCAGGCAGAACACCTGAGGTCAGGAGTTCAAGACCAGCCTGGCTAACATGGTGAAACCCCATCTCTACTAAAAATACAAAAATTAGCTGGGTATGGTGGCAGGCACCTGTAATCCCAGCTATTTGGGAGGCGGAGGCAGGAGAATCACAAAGCTGAGATCGTGCCATTGCTCTCCAGCTTGGGAGACAAGAGAGAGACTCTGACACACACACAAAAAGCTATTAAAACCAATAAATGAACTTAGCAAGGTTACAGGATACAAAATCCATATAAATATCTATTGCATTTTTATATACCAGTGAAAAACTATTAATATTGAAAATGAAATTTTAAAAACAGTATCATGGACAATAACATCAAAAAATATGACCAAAGGTATAAAAACACTGAAAACCACAAAACACTGCTGAGAGAAAGTAATGAAAACCTAAATAAATGGAGAGATAGACTTTGTTCATGAGTTGGAAGACTCCATATTGTTAAGATGTCAGTTCGCTAGACCACAGTCCAGAGGAGAAGATTACATAAAGTCATGAATATCAGGAGACAGAGATCACTGAGGGCCATCCTAGAAGTCTGCCTACCACAGGTGCCAACGTTATTAAAGGATACCACATTTTTTTTTTGTTGCATATCCTTATAACTCTTCTAAAAGGACTTTGTAGCAAGACTGCATGGTACAAATCCTAGTTCTACTAATTACTGTGTGACCTTGCCAATCAATTTACTTTCCTGTGCTTCAGCTCTCTCTTCTCCAATATGGAGAAAAACAGCAGTCCTTATCTCATGCAGTTATTTAAGGTTTTAAATGATTGAGTGTCTGTAAAGCACTTAAGTATCTGGTACTTGGTTATATACATACATCAATACATCCATAAAACCAATATAAATACTTAAGTTACTATTCCTTAGAGTTTAGTACAATACATCCTTCTTTAACTGTTTAATGACGCCTACTACAAATAAGGTACACTATTTATTCAAGGTGTGTATAAAGATAATTGATTAAATTTGGGCACTGAGGAAATAGCATCTTCTTGTTTCCATTTTTATTTGAACTTCAACAAACAAACATAGGTAATGCCTGAGATAACCATAATCCTGTTTCACCAGGTCCTAATATGTGCCTGTTTTTCAGACATAACTGTCAATGGCATGCTCTTTCAGTTTTTTTGTGGTTTGTTTTTTGTTTTTTAAGATGGAGTCTCACTCTATTGCCCAGGCTGGAGTGCAGTGGTGCAATCTCAGTTCACTGCAATCTCCGCCTCTCGGGTTCAAGCGATTCTCCTACCTCAGCATCCTGAGTATCTGGGATTACAAGCGCGTGCCACCACGCCCGACTAATGTTTTTGTGTATTTTTAGTAGAGATGGGGTTTCACTATGCTGGCTAGGCTGGTCTTGAACTCCCGACCTCAAGTATTCCTCCCACCTCAGCCTCCCAAAGTGCTGGCATTACAGGCATGACCCATCACACAGAGCCCCCCTCTTTCACTCTTAAAAGTGTCCCAGTGTACACAAGAAATTAGAGTTACTCCAGTTTGTCAGTCTACATTGAAATGGTAACTGATTCAAGATAAACACTTCTGAGTAAGAAACCAACAAGGCACGGATAAAAGGAAAGGAAACTGAAGAGGAGGAATATGGGCAATGGGGGTGGGTAGATAATAGTGGGCAACAGAGTGAGAGACCCTGTCTCAAGAAAAAAAGAAAGAAAGGTTGGTTTAATATTCTAAACCAATCATTGCAATTCACTGTGTTAATACACTTTTAGAAAGATGAACTATATGATCATCTCAAACAATTCAGAAAAAGCAGCGTGGTAAGAGAAAAATAAATGCTTCAAAATGTCCACATACCAAAATTAATTCACCCACAATCTGAATTCACACTTCGTATAAACCAAATATATTCTTTAAAAGCTAGTGAAATAAAATATTTAACTGGTCATAAAAGAGGTAACTGGCATTTCTTTAAAGATTTTTAAAAATCCATAAATGAATACCAAATAAATGTTAATATATCACATTTAACTTCCCTTTTCTCTATCTGTCCTAATACATTACCATGAAACCAATATATAATCCTGATAAACACATTATTTAAAAAATAAGAAAACTTGTTTAAATGCACACACTGCAAGCCAAATTTTAACAATAAACCATTTTTATAGCTATTTTTGTATTCCCAACTGAAAACATTAGGTGACTTTGGAAATTCTAATTCCTTTATAATCCAGCAGCACCAAAGCAAACAGTCATGACCCCTTAAGAGGATAAAATGCCCATTTTAATTAAAGACTAAATTATTTGACTTGGTGTGCAATTTTTGCATCTGTATTTTGAGATGTATTTATAAATCCTGTGCTTTTCATTAATGAAAAACTGTACAAGTATAATAATTGACAAATAGCCTATAGAGGCAGTCTTAAAAGGTGTCTTGAATTCTGAAGAATTTAGGCCAATAAGAGGAATGAAGTACTGATACATGCCACATTATGGATGAACCTTGAAAACACTGTGCTAAGTAAAAGAGGCAAGTCACAAAAGACCACATATTGTATTATTTCATTTGTATGTATGGTCTAGAGTAGGTAAATCTATATAGACAGAAAGTAGATTAGCAGTTGCTTACGACTAGGGTAGGAGTGGGGACTGAGGGGAATGTAGGGAATGGAGGATGACTTCCTTTGGGAGTGATGGAATGTTCTAAAAATTGATGATAATGATGATTGCACAACTCTGTGAATATACTCAAAACCAGTGAATTGTATACTTTAAATGGGTAAATTGTATGGTTTGTGAATTATATCTCAATAAAGCTGTTACCATAAAAAGAACTTGGGCTATAATTTCTACCCTAAATATAAACTGTTACGTATTATTATCTTAAAAATGGAAAAACCTGATTCCAATACTTTATAGGAGAGAAAGCCAAGAAATATATGCATTAGTCTGTTCGTGCTAATTGCTAAACATTGATGCAAATATACTCCATGTCTTTGAATTCCTATTGAATTTCAGACAACAAATAGATTTCTTGAGTATTTTACCACAAAACAGATTTAGATATTGGCTTGACTTTAAACTTGTGGTGGATATTTCCTGACTTCATCTGAAAATTTAATTAAATTAAATAATCTGTCAACTTGCAGGTTTTTATTCCTAAGTAGCTATTAATTTGGTTTATCAATACAAACCTTAATAAAGTATGGGAGGCAACACATATCAAGCCAATGCTAGATTTAGCCATTTTACAATGTTGAGATATATCTAAACATCATTTGTATACCATAAAGACACACAATTTTTGTCAATTTAATAATTTTAAAACAACAAAATACAAAAGCTTAATAAAGACAATTTGCAAGTTTTATAGCAAGTTAACTTTTTAACTATATATGTACAGTTGTATTTTGCCTTCAAAAATTCTGCTTCTAGAGTGTCAAGTAAAGAATATTAATCATTTCTTGACATAGGTATATAATGTCATATTTCACCACTGATACATTGTGAATTTCATTCACTAATTTAGGTGAATATTAATAATCATCAAATAATTCTAACATATCTTAGTCTATGAAAGCAATCAATACCAGTTACTAATACTGATATTTTAACTAAAATTATAGATCACAAAAATGAAAGATCAGTTTTATTATTCTACTATTAATGTATATTTATAATATATGAAATATAATAAACTATAGAAATATTGCCATATTTCCACAAATTTATACATTATAGCACTAACTTTGGTATTCAGAGCTAAGATGTCAGATAGTTAATACAACATAGAGAGGTAATCATCATTTTAGAAAATGGCCTAAAGCTGCTCTTTGGTATAGCATAAAGTTAAGATTTGATAAATCTAGGTAGTGATAACAGTTATTCATTATATTATATATTACTTATTATGAATAATTATATAGAACATAGTATACACATATATGTACATATAAAATACACATGTATAATATATATAAATAATTTAAATATGCTCTTTGGTGTTCATTCAATATTATTGATATCAGATAAAACAACATTCAAAATTCCTTTATTTTCTTCCTGTCTAGTCAGAGTGATCTGATAGCTTTGCGGATCACAGTTCGTTTTAAATGTAAATCAACAAAATAAAACAATAAGATATAATTTGTAAAAGACGGGATAACATTTTGAGTTTTTAAAAGTAACTATTGTTACTTAAGTAACTACAATCTCAAACGGTTTTCTGCATAAACCTTTGAGTCCCTGGGACAAAATTTGGCCTAGTGGAAATAAACATATCCATCATTTTTCCTCTGGCATTCTTTTTTTTTTTTGCTCTCTCTGTCACCCAGGCTGGAGTGCAGTTGTGCGATCTAGGCTCACTGCAAGCTCCACCTCCCGGGTTCATGCCATTCTCCTGCCTCAGCCTCCTGAGTAGCTGGGACTACAGGCGCCCGCAACCACGCCTGGCTAGTTTTTTTTGTATTTTTAGTAGAGACAGGGTTTCACCGTGTTAGCCAGATGGTCTTGATCTCCTGACCTCATGATCCGCCCTCCTCAGCCTCCCAAAGTGCTGGAATTACAGGTGTGAGCCACCGCGCCCGGCCCTGGCATTCTTGATAAACACATTATACATTCTCCCTAGTAAGGTGACATTTCAAGCAAACATGCATCATGATCTTACCCATAAACAGTCAGGTCACACCCCGAACATGTTAATAAGTGAGTTAGATCAACCAATTTTCAATATTAATACAAAATCATCTGTGGAATTCTCAAAAATATTTTTACAAAAATTAGCAGTATGATTTAAACACACGTTGGATTTCAAAATAAAAAATATATAAGAGAGAGTCCAACACTGGTACCTCTCCTCTGATCCTCAAAAAATAACAATTTTTAAATATTAAAGATGATACTCCTCCCATTTTGTTAAGTCACTCTATGGCCCTAGTAATTCAAAC
Source organism: Homo sapiens (assembly GCF_000001405.40). Classification (NCBI taxonomy): domain Eukaryota; kingdom Metazoa; phylum Chordata; class Mammalia; order Primates; family Hominidae; genus Homo; species Homo sapiens. The sequence continues at coordinate 65,449,110 of NC_000005.10, forward strand.
ATAATTATAGACTTTTAAATAGGCTAGAAGTTACTTTGAAACTTTAATAAGAGTTCAAAAAAGAATTCTACACTGCTGCAAAAAGCATTTTTCTAACCTCTGTTACATTAGCCAATCTAAAATAATATGATATGAACTCTTCGAACTACTAATCTTATTAAATCCTGTTATCATTTCTAGTACTAGTCTGATCATTAGCAGACAAGTTTAAAAAGAAAATTTTGGGCCAGGCGCGGTGGCTCACGCCTGTAATCCCCAGCACTTTGGGAGGCCGAGGTGGGCGGATCACGAGGTCAGGAGATGGAGACCATCCTGGCTAACATGGTGAAACCTCGTCTCTACTAAAAATACAAAAAATCAGCTGGGCATGGTGGCACGCACCTGTAATCCCAGCTACTCATGAGGCTGAGGCAGGAGAATCACTTGAACCTAACCTAGGAGGTGGAGGTTGCAGTGAGCCGAGATCACGCCACTGCACTCCAGCCTGGGCGACAGAGCAGGACTCCATCTCAAAAATAAATAAATAAATAAAATAAAAATAAAAAATAAAAATTTATGTTTAAATCTCAAACATCAAAAAGGCACTCGAAGTAGCTTACAAAAGCAAAGAAGAGCCCTGCAGAGAATCGGGAAAATATCAAGGCGAATTCAGAATAAAAAGTTGGACAGCTGAATGTTGTAGCCAGTGCAAAGAAAGGTGGGCTAATTGCCCAGATGTACTCTACTACTTGAATACCTATATATGTGCTTGGTGTAACTTCTGTCATTTGAGGCAAAAGGTAAAAATCCAATGGAGATATAATAATGCAAATGTGAAGTATTGGGAGCCCACTGTGCGTCATATTTGGGAAGACAGGGCTTTACAAATATAAATACAAAAGCCATGTAAATATTTATGATCGTTTTGTTAGCTATATATAACAGATATCTTCTTCTAGTAATTTCATTGACACTAATCAATGTCCATATTTTTTAACAGAAAGGTTTCCACATTCGCACAATTCCTAGTATATTTTTAATTCCTTAAGTATATTTAAGAATATTCCAGACCACAAGACTCTAAGGTGTTGCACATTTTATCAGACTAAAATGTCAACATATATTAATATAGAACCATACGATTTTATTCAGCAAGCATGTCATAAACCAAATTTTCTCACCAATGATGCCAGGTAGATAAAGTCAATTAAAGTAAGTATAACTATTAAAAAAATTCAGAAATTTCACTGTATGACTCAGTTACCCGGGAACTTTTTCTAAAGTTTACATTATCTTACTGGATCTCAAGATTCTAACTCATATACTTTGTATTCCCTCCCTAGAACCTAATGTAGAGTCAATGAACATACCACAGATGAAACGTATGTTAAATACTGCCTTGCAAATTGAAATAACCATCATACCAAAGACTATTTCACCTAGCCAAGAGAGAATAATGCTTCCATTTTGCTTATTGTTTATTGTTACTTTTTATTTTAAAATATTGATAAGAAGTCAAAAGGCACACTTATCTTAAAATAATTTAAGTATAATGTTTCTAACCAATTATAAGTAAGAGTATTAAAAACTATAACAGATAGCATCGTATAATCAAAGACAGGATCACCAGAATCTGAGCCCTATTCTTTCACTTATTAGCTAAGTAATCTTGAGAAACTTACCTATCAGTTCCCTCATTCCTAACATGAGTAACATAATAACACTATCTACAGAATTGTTGCTGGAGAGTAAAGAATAAAATGGATCTCAAAACAGTTTTGTAAAACTGGAAAGCAATATAAGAATTCAATGGGTTATCACCAAATAATAATTTTGCTTGAGAGACAAGCTGTTCAACACATAGTGTAATCAATCTGCTTTTTTATGTTTATATATCTTAAAGTATTTCAAATTAAATAAACATTCAAGTAAGTTGTATAACTGCCAGTCTCCGCCTCCCTTTTAATAAACTTTAACACAACTGAAAGGTAAAAATAGTTAATATATTTTATAACTGATAATGGTCACTTTATTTTTAAGATATGTATTTTCTCATATGTTTTAATCTTGTTTTAGTATGTATTTTGTTCGGTTAACAAATCATCTACATGCTTTTGATTAAATATTATGAATAGAACTTATCAGTAGGAGGAAAGTTATTTATTAAATTTCTAAGTCAAATCTTAATATTTTCTTTTTTCTTATTTGGTTCATTTGATGCAAACACAATAATAGTGTAATACATTCTTTCTCAGTAGTGAAAAATAAATTACCATTTTGCTTTCTCTATACTCATTATCTGAATGAGGCTTTACATAGAACCAAATTTATTACAATAGTGAATAAACACAACAATCAATGGAAAAATACTTGCAACAAACCATACCTAGTAATAAGAACTGCATTATCGTGGTGGGCAATCCCATTTTCTGGAATGGTGTTTCCATCACTTTGGTGGGAGAGAATGGATTTCTGCCATTTACAGAAGCTATCGAGGGACTTGTCTGCATGGTGGTTTATCTCCAAGTTTGGCTGCAATACAACATGCATACCAGAAATGTTCCAAACAAATTACTAAGGTCAGTTGTTAAAACTTTTGAAGACTGAAGTGGGACTATAATTAGAAGCAGTGTTTCTAGGAATAATCTCTTGCCAATTTTTATCTCTGTAATATCTGACCTAGAGCTCATTTGGTATATTATTGAACTGGTATTTTTTTCCAGTTCCAGCTTTAATGATAATGTGAACATATGTGAGATTATCAACACAAAAACTAATGAAAATCATTATTATAAGATATGCCATGCAAATGTTCACCCTTATACTGAAACATAGCTAATCTATATAGCTTTAACATAAAAGGTATATTCTTGTAATGTATTTAAAATTTGCTTAAGATATTAAATGTGTAGAGCTAAAAATCATATCCAACTAGAATTTCCTAATAGAAGCAATAATAAAACATATTATTTAATAATAAGTAATTCTATAGCTCTATAGCCTTCTGTTAACAATCTTAGATATATAAACTAACTCATTCTTACCTGATCTTCTGTGAGAACAATTAAGCGGGCCACTATAATATTCACAACGTTTCCTAGGCTGGAATCACGGTAAAGTTTGGCAACCTGACCTCCAGAAAATAAGAAAAGACACAAAGTCAGACAAAAATTATAGGGTGATAGTTTGGTTTTTTAAGTGCTAAAACAATTTTTTATAAATTTAGCCATTGTATACATTACCCCATATCACTTAGAACTCTACCTTCAAGGTGCCTTGGTAAAAGGTTTTTATACAAGTCTACCTCAATAAATATTTCCTCCTAGACATGAACTACAGCATGGAAATTAGAGGGTGAGCTGATGTTTCAAGTTAAAAAAAAAAAAAAACCCTTAAACAAGATTTAACAATCCACTAAAACTGTCATATTATCTAAAAATGAATGATAAGGTCATCTTTAAATGTATTTTTATGGAACTGAAACATTACTAGACCAATTTTTTACCATTTTAGACAGGTAAATTCTTATCATTATTTACTTCACAGCAAAAATTTATGACCTTAGTCAAAAACACAACAAATATGAAGTAAAATATTATATAGAGGGATCAAACTTACAATATTCATCACACTCAAAATGTAATGTTCAATGTCTTTGCGGCCATGGTAGCCCACCATCATTTTGTCTGCCACTACCAATGTCTCCACAAACCGTTCAATGCTCACTGATCTCTTCTGTCTGTGGTGGATATGTGTGTTGTTAATTGGTAGTGAATAAGAAACAGTGGATGTGTCATTCAGCCACCAAGGTTTGCCACTTCTTGTGAAATCTACAATAAAAGCAGCCAATTCAGATAGGTTCACTAATTAAAAATATTTATTTATAGATCTTTCATGTAGACATGCTTCTCACAAATTCTCTAATATATTAAGATTTTTCAAAGAGAAGAGAATGAGAAAATGCAGTAGTGAGAAAAAAGTCTGTAAATTTTTGAAAATAATCACGTTATCTGAAAAAATTAAACATTCAACTGCTCATGAAAACAAAACAAATCTAAGAAATGAATTAATTAATAAAAATAATTTTCAAATAGTCATTTCATATTATTCCAGTAATTACATCTTAATACATTTAAATTTAGGATATATACTTTAAAGAGCCATTTAAAGTTATTTAAAAAGCATCTAGAGTATGAACTTTTCAATCAGTCTAAGACAGCTCTGATAGCCCTGATTTTGCAAAAATCTATTCCAAAGATACTTTTGATTATTCATTTTAAAATAAGATGCTTTCATCAAGCTATTTTAATTAGAATCAATTCTACTGCTCTAGAAATCTCAATTCTAAAAGGCAACGAATTACTTTTTTCACTTAGGTTGGCAGTCTACAACTCTTTATTCTGACAGAGTACTCAAAATATTTCTTTTCCAAAGCCTAGAGGTAAGAGACATTCAATTATAGTTGAAAGATCACGATTCCAGCATAATTTGCTTTGAACCATATTTAGCATGGATTGCAATGTATCCTTTGTTTTCTAGACATTTGGTTCTTCAGTATAGAAGCAGCCTTTTAGCACTATGGCATTTGTAAACACCTGCCTCACTGATTATCATCTTCATTAAATAAACTTGAGCATGTAGAGGTTCTCTGTATATCTCACTTCCACATCCTTATATTGAACAGGAAATCTTTCTCACCCCCACTTATTAAAAAATTTAGTGAGGAATAATTAGATTAATATATGATACACTTGACAGAAAGTGTAACTATTCTCATTTTTCTAACTTCTTTAGCCTTTCTGTTTTACAAATTGCATTGGTAGGTGCTATGGTTTGAATATCTCCTCCAAAACTCATGTTGAAACTTAATTGCCATTGAAACAGTATTAACAGCTGGGGCCTTTAAGAGGTGATTAAAACTTGAAGTCTCCACCCTCATGAAGGAATGAAAACCATTGTTGTAGGAATGGGTTGGTTATTGTGGGAGTGGGTTCCTGATAAAAATAATGAGTTCAGGCCCAACTTCCTCTCTCTGTTGTGTGCACTCACTTCCTCCTCTTGCCTTCCTCCATGAGACGACCCTCACCAGATGCTGGTGCCATGCTCTTGGACTTCCCAGCATCCAGAACCATATGCTAAGTAAACTTTCATTGTTCTTAAATTATCCAGTCTCAGGTATTCTGTTACAGCAGCAAGAAATGTGCTAAGTCAGTAGGATGGATAAATTTTGAGAAATGAGGTGGAAATGATCATGAGACCCATCAGTTAAATACTCCTGAAACTTCTAAGTTAAATGAGTGTCTTCATCCCTAAAGGTGAAGAGAAGCAAAGACATAAACACCACTTCTTATTTCGATAGAATATCCTCCAGATAGTGTTTCTCTATATCCAATTTTGGCAGACAGACTCTCCAGATGGCCTCCATGACCTCTGTCTCCTAATGTTCACATCCTTTTGTGATTTCCTCCTTTTGAATATGGGTAGGACCTGTGACTTGTTTCTAACTAACAGAATACAGCAAAGATGATGAGATGCATGTGATTTTGAGTATATTAGTACATGATTATGTTACATAATATTGTAGCATTTGTCTAGAGTCTCTCCCTTGCTGACTTAGAGAAAGCAATCAATCATGCTGGTGAACTGACGCTGGCATCTGAAGACAATCATCCAAAAACTAAAGCTACCCATAACCACAAAGAACTGAATGCTGCCACAACTATGGGGGTAGAGAAGTGGATTCTTCCCCAGTCAAGATTCCAGATGAGAATTCAGCCCTGGTTGAGGTTAAGCAGATGACCCATCCATGCACAGACTCCTGACCAACAGAAACTGTGAAATACTAAAAGTATACTGAGTAAGCCACTAGGTTTTATTGGCTAATATTGTTACAAAACAGCTGAAAGCTTTTCCACATCAATATAACTCCAATTTCTCCTGCTCAATCCTCTGTGATCATAAAACCACTCATGTATTCAAGTCATGCCTAGTCTCTTACTCTGGCTAAACAGCTTAAATGTCCAAATATAGGATTTTATTTTCATTCTTTTGATCATTTCCCCTTCTCCGACCCATTCAATTTCTCCTTTTTATTTAAAATATTGTGAAAATAATTAGACATTATTGTGCAATAAACACATAGCAATGGTAGTCCTCATTTAAAATGTATTCAGGTCGAGTGTGATGGCTCACGCCCGTAATCCCAACACTTTGGGAGCCTGAGGCGGGTGGATCACCTGAGGTCAGAGCTTGAGGCCAGCCTGGTCAACATGGTGAAACCTTGTCTCTACTTAAAATACAAAAATTAGCCAGATGTGGTGGCAGGCGCCTGTAATCCCAGCTGCTCAGTAGGCTGAGGCAGGAGAATCACTTGAACCTGAGAGACAGAGGTTGCAGTGAGCCAAGATCACACCACTGCACTCTAGCCTGGGCAACAGGGCGAAACTCCATCTCAAAAACTAAAAAATTAAAAAAGAGAACAGGTTGGTAAAATATTTCAAATATTTTGTCCAGTAAAATATTTCAAATCCTAAATTAATGTTTCTACTAAAAAAAAAAATACAAAAATTAGCTGTGTGGTGGCACACATCTGTAGTCCCAGCTACTAGGAAGGCTGAGGCAGGACAATTGCTTGAACCTGGGAGGCGGAGGTTGCAGTGAGCTGAGATGGCACCACTGCACTCCAGTCTGGGCAACAAGAGCAAAACTCCATCTCAAAAATAATAATAATAAAAAAAACAAAAATGTATTCAGTGTAAGGTAGTTGCTGTTATCATCATCTTTGTTATTGTCAAAATTTTCAACATTTTAGTTTTTAAAAATTTTAGTTTGCTTGGCTATCACTCTAACAAACTACAAATTATTTGAATGTTAAAACTATATATTTTTATTTATGAATATCCATCAAAGGCATTTTATATATATCATATATAATTATATATTCAATATTTTATACATATACACATATACTGAATAAAATCAAGAGAGAGAACATCTTCAGTTTCATTTTAAAAATTAAGTTAATCCAGCATAATTAGCTCATTATAAAACTATACATTCTATAATTGCCAATTGACTTCTTAATGTTAAGCTTAATGATCTGTAACTACTATCTTTCTTAGTCTAAAATAGAAAACAAGATTGACTTGTTTTGTTTCAAAATAAAGATTAGTAGTTCTTCAAATGATACCTGTTACACATGCTTTGCTCAATTTAATTTTGATTAGATTATAGCATGTTAGGAAACATTGCTCATAAACACATACAACACAATAACTTTTTCCCAAAATCAATATATGGATTTCATTGCCATCTGAAATAAGATTTTAACTTTTTGATCAATATCAAAGTGTTTGAATATATACAGCCATTCACCATTATTTCATTGACCTGCTTTATTTTTGTTCATAGTACTTACTACTTCTGGACAGTTGGCCATATATTTATTTGTTTGTTTGTTTATTTAGTTAACTGTCTTTCCTCACTAGAATATAAACTCCATGAGAGCAGGGACTTTTTCTGCTTTATTTATTGCTGCATCCCCAGCACCTAGAATAGCCTTGCATACGGGTACTAAATGAATATTTATTTAATGAATACATAAGTAGATAATGAAGATATAGAGACATAATAATATCTATTTCAATGGACTAGAAGAATACTTAGTTATCTCTGGGTATTGGAATAAGTAATTTTCAGTTTCTTCTTTTCCTTTTTGTCCTGTATTTTCTAAATTTTCTAAAAGGAACATTTATTACTTCTATAAAATGTTTAAAAATTCGTAGTTTGAATCTAATTAGAATAGAAAAAAATAATATCTGAATATAAGATAAATATGTCCTGTGTCAAGGGGGTTTTCATATCTTATATTTTGACATAAACTTGAATTCCAGGTAATAGGCTAACTGGTAGTGTATGCCTATAAATTCACATCTCTCACTTGACCTATGCTGTTGAAACAGTATCACAATTAAGATGTTAGCCAGACATTTCTCAAATTTACTAGTAAACACAAAACGTTTTTTTTCCCCAGTAACACTTGCCCAGAACATAGGGAAATACTATTATATTCCCAGTAATGGGAAGCCAGTGAAGTTTTTCAAGGTGTGTGATACAGCCAGATATAGGGGACAGATTTTACTGAAAATAAGAACACAAACCTGGAGACAAAAAGCATAATTAGAAAGTCAGTATAGTGGTCTCGGCAAGAGATAATGAGGGTCTAAAATAAATAGACTAGAGTTTGGGGTAGTAGAAATGGCAAGTGAATTAAAAACATTGAAATGGAACACTTTAGGAAATTCTCACAGTAATCCAAATAAGAGATGGTAAGAGAATATCTTTCCCCAAAAGTGCAGAATTTTATGATAGCCATAAGAATGGATTGGAGAAGTGCTTGACTAATGCGTAAACCATTAAAAAATAAGGATCTGCCTGAGTTAAAATAATGTGATACATACTTCAAAAAAGAATAATTTAAATATGAAAGGATTAAGAGATAAGCTTTTCAGAATATGATAAAATCTTTAAATATTTTTGCAAAAGGTGATCTTCTTTACAATCATAGAGTGAAGGCTGGCATATTATGGAAAAATGATAGAATAATTACATTATAATAAACAACTGAATATTTGAATCCTAGTTTTTTTCTTTCTTTCTTTTTTTTTTTTTTTTTTTTGAGAAGGAGTTTCGCTCTCGGTGTGATCTTCGCTCACTGCAACCGCTGCATTCAGGGTTCAAGCAATTCTCCTGCCTCAGCCTCCCGAGTAGCTGGGACTACAGGCGCGTGCCACGACGCCTGGCTAATTTTTGTATTTTTAGTAGAGACGGGGTTTCACCATGTTGGCCAGGATGGTCTCGATCTCCTGACCTCGTGATCCGCCTGCCTCAGCTTCCCAAAGTGCTGGGATTATAGGCCTGAGCCACCGTGCCCGGCCTGAATCCTAGTTTTTAAAGAATTTACATATAGTTATACTTACAGTCTAAATGTTGTTAAATATAAGATAAACTTATTTCCATAATGGTTCATTTCATTACTCAATATAAAGACCCAACAAACCTTTTGTTTTAATTATTAACTATGGAATTTAATTTCATGTTTTAAGTAGATTCACTGTAAGTTGTCTTTTTCTGGTACCAACTATTCTTGACCAACAAGGACCTAATTAACAGCCTCAGAGATTACTCAAGAAGAAAGTGTGCAGAATGGGAAAAGTAGATTAAGAAAAGAAGACTTAACACTTAGGAAGAAAACAAGCCTATGAAGAATATGGAGAAGAAACAAAAGGATAATACATATCATACACTAATTCACAAGGCAATCCTTTCTTTTTTTTGTTTTTGAGATGGAGTCTCACTCTGTCACCCTGGCTGGAGTGCAGTGGCACAATCTGTGCTCACTGCAACCTCCACCTCCCGGGTTTAAGCGATTCTTCTGCCTCAGCCTCCCAAGTGGCTGTGACTACAGGCAAGCACCAACACACCCGGCTTATTTTTGTATTTTTAGTAGAGACAGGGTTTCACCATATTGGCCAGGCTGATCTTGAACTCCTGACCTTGTGATCTGCCTGCCTCGGCCTCCCAAAGTGCTGGGATTACAGGCGTGAGCCACTGCACCCGGCCAACCCTTTCTATTTTTCACTAAATCTATTTGTTGGTGACTTTACCTTTGCATTAAGCTGAAATCTCTCTGAAACATTCTGCCCCTGGTTCTAGCTACTGGAACTACATAGAACAAATCTTTAAAAATTTTTGTTAATATAATAACACTTTAGTGTACTAGAAACAGTCATCTTAATGATAGCTACAATTTGATTGGGTAACTAGTATGTGCTAAGATGAGCACTCAGAGAGGTTGGGTAATTCGTCCTATGCTATATCAAAGCGCATGTTCTTTTTGCTGTGCTATGTTATATCCACTGTTTCTCTTCATTTTCGTCTTTTTTTTTTCTTTCTTTTTTTTCCTTTTTCTGGAGAACGGGGTCTCGCTATATTGCCCAGGCAGGTCTCGAACTCCTGGGCTCAAGCTATCCTCCCGCCTCTTGCCTCCCTGAGAGCTGGGATTACAGGTGTGAGCCACCGCGCCCGGCCTGTTTCTCTACATTTTCTCACCTTTAGACTAACATCCTCCTAACTCCTTAGCTCTAGTCTTGCTCTTCTCTAATTCCATCTCCATATTGCTGCAAGAGTAGTCTTTCTAAAACACAAATCTGATTATGTTATTCTTCCTGTTTAAATCCTTTCAGTGGGTTTCTAGTGCACGTAGGATAAACAAACCCCTTAACATGGTTTATAAGCTCTTCATGATGTGGCCTCTGCTAATCTTTCCAGTTTCATCTCTCACAACCACTTCCCCCAACCACTATGAACCTCACCTTTATCCCTCCAGCCCACATTCTAATATCCAGTTACATGAACTGTCTGTCAATTTATAAAACATGTCTTATAAAACAATTATAAGACATTCTCCCTTTTGGTTTAGGAGCTTCATAAACACTATTTCCTCTATGTGAAACACTAATAGCCACTGCTTTCTCCACTTCTACACAGCTACCTTCACTTTTCCCCCAGCCCTCAGCTTAGAAGTCACTTCTTCCATGAAGCTTTCCTTGACCACTGAAGTCTAAGTTTGTTGCCCGTACTACATATTTCTATAGTATCCTCGCTCAGTGCTAACACTACTTTTGAATACTATCTTAAGACTCTTCAAGTCTTATTCAAGTGTCTAGATTCCTGCTACTAGCATAAAAATATCAGGCTAAACGAACACCACAGAGTACTACAGTATAACTGTGCAAAAAAGCTATAGCTATTACCTAAGTAAAATAAAATGGTTATTTTTTTCCCTTCAACCAAAAAAAGAAAATGAATTTTATACAAACTTACAGCTTAAAAACTTCTCAAAGAGCTCCCAAATTGATTTAAAACTACTGGTAGGTGACATCTATTAAAAGGGCTCTGGACATTATAATTGTAGTCAAACTCCTACTTCCTTTTATTGCTAACCTTACTATACTTGCCAGAAGAAAGAAAAAGCAGCAATCCAGTACAATACGCTTTGTAAAAGCTGCACACTCACTCACCCGAAACCCCACAATGAGAGTGATCATACAGATGTCGTTGTTGAAGGGCAGACTTTTTGTAAATAACATGAGGGTGGCCATTTTCATAACTAAAATGCTTGGAATCCTCTGTGGTATTCTTTAAAGGTTCGATAAAATACTCTTCATCTTCTGTAGCAATAACACCATGCTAAAAGAAAAATAAACAAAGAACTTACCAAAGAGAATCATTTTAAATATTAGTTATCATTATTACCAAGAGCTAAAAGTAAATGGACACTTCTCCATTTACAGGGTTAAAACACGTTAATAAAAAAATTAGCGAATTATCTGTACTCAATTAAAACATTATATAAATGTTCCTATTCTTTAAAAAGGACATTTAAATACCTCCATATGCTATGCACTGTACTAAGCATGTCACATACGTGATTTCCTCCAATCTCACAACGACTCTGTGAGGTAACAGATTTTATGTGAACACTAAAACTTATTTCAGTTCCACATTATGCACATAACTATGTCCTCTGTGTTTAGATATAGCTTTGTGATTGAGTTTTGCACAATAAAAATATGGGCAGAGGGTTATGTAACACTTTCAGCCCAACCTCTGAATACCTCTGCAGTGGAATCTTCTACTCTCTTTCCCCACTGAACGAAGAGAACTCCAAATACCTAGGGTAGGTAGAAACCAAAAAAGAAGGAACCTGGGTCCCTGTGTGACCTCTTAGAAAGATGTCTGATGTAGACACAGACATACAGAAGAAATAAGCTTCTATTGTGACAAATCATTGACATTTTGAGGTTTATGTTACATCAATTAATATGTTCTTAATTAACACACATCCCATACATCCCCCATTCTGCAGATGAAGTAACAGGCTCAGAGGACTTGCCCAATATTACATAGAGGTAAGTGAGGGTACTGGAATTCAAAGTTCTGCCCTTACTTACAGTATTATATCACCTTATCCCTATTTACTTAGCCAAGTGCTACTCAGTTATCTCTCCTCTTTAAAAACCTTCTCTAGTCCAAATGGAGTAGCTTCACCCTCCACTGAGCTCCAATAGAGCTAATTCTCAGTATCACTTATTTTCAATTAATCCCACACTGCTTTGTTACATCTCAAGTCGTGAAGTCTTATTTAAAGTTGGTATAAGTTTTCAACTCATATTTTAGCTTCCCAATTAGATAATTTGCTTTTTAAGGCAAAGGGTTATATCTCATATTTCTTCGTATCAGTTAAAACCATAGAAAGTGTCCCACATGTAATAGGTATAAATAGAACTTTGTTGATGAAAAATGAGATGGTAAAAGTTATCTACATCTGAAATAAGAATTTCCACCTTTGTCTAATAGTGTTTTCCTAAGTATGGCACATGTGAGGACTGCTCTTAATCCAACTAATTTACCCTGTAACACCAGATAAAATAAAAACTCTCTGGGTGTATTTCCTCAGCTGGAAAAATGAAAGAGTTGGTCTAAATTAGTGGTTTTAAAACAGCACTCTGGGGAGCCCTAAGGGTTCCATGGAAGTGCCCTCAGGGGATTGCCCCAGACAACAAAGGGAGACCTACATGGCTTGGATTCCTGGGTTTAGGAATCAGCTGTGCTATTTATTAATCTATATATTAAGTTTCCACATAACATTTCATTTGAAAAAGGGGTTTTGCTGCTTTAAAAAGAAAGCTGAAAACCTCTAGTCCAGATAATCTCTAAGGTCCCTTTGAATTCTAAACCTCTATGATTCTGCTTAGGGAAATTCATGTTAAGTACCTCATGCTTGGAAGGAATGATAAGACATAATCAGAGTTGCTCTAATTTATAGATTAAATTGGCAGTCACCTACATGAAATGAGCTGAGGAATGCAAACAAAAAAAGCAGCCCTGAGTCACTTCATATAATTTTCACCATTGTTTGCTTTAATTTAAGGAAAATAGTCCCTATATTAAATGCAAATACTGGCAGAAATAACATAATATGCCATTAACATATTCTAATACCTCAGTATGAAGTACTTTACCAGGTAGATCAACAATGTGCTAAAAAACTGAACACAGTTCCTGCAGAATAAGGGGGAAAGTATAAGTTTTGATAAGAGGGATATGTAGGAAGCAAGGTCTAGGCTACAGTCCAGATAGGCTAGAGACTAAAGTCATGCTGGTCTGTGGGCACAAGAAAATTGAAAGTTACCAGACAAGAGACTTGATTTGCTGGGGAAAAATGAAGTCAGAAGCCTGGTAAGTAAACACAATCTCTAATTTCAAGAATGAAAAGACTCTAGAAGAACAATCCAGAGATTTTATATGTTAGGTACTTTGTAAAATGTTTATAACATTATCTCTTCTTAATAGCTCTTTGACGTACCACTAACTGTTCCACTTTGTAGATGAGAAACTGAGATGGAGCAACGTTAAACAATGAACTCGTGATTGACTTTGGAGCCTGAACTCTTAACCACTACACCATAATTCTCTTATCCTCTAAGGGCTGTTTCTGTATTTATTTATTTTTTCACAAAATATGCTTTCTCAAGTGCCTATCACAAGGCAGATACTATGCTATGTGGTAGGGATACAACAGTGAACCAAAGTTCCAGCTGTATCACGTTGCTTACATTTTGGTGGGAGGAGCTAGAAAAAGCTAATTAGGTTGGCGTGGTGGGTCATACCTGTAATCCCAGCACTTTGGGAGGCTAAGGCAGGTCAATCACGAGGTCAGGAGTTTGAGACTAGCCTGACCAACATGGTGAAACCCCACCCCTACTAAAAATACAAAAATTAGCCAGGCATGGTGGCACACGCCTGTAATCCCAGCTACTCGGGAGGCTGAGGAAGGAGAATCACTCGAACCTGGGAGGCGGAGGTTGCAGTGAGCTGAGATCGTGCCACTGCACTCAGCCTGGGCAACAGAGCAAGACTCCGTCTAAAAAAAAAAAAAAAAGCTAATTGATTATACAAATAAATGATGAAGCAGGTACTGATAAACATTAAGAGGGGAGATAAAAGCAATCAAAAAGGACAGAGAATAATTAGAAGTGAGAGAATTATACAAACTATTGGATAGTTGCAACCATCCTCTCTAATAAGGTGGTATTTGAGCAGAAACCTGAAAAAAATGAGGGAGCAAGCCAAATATATATCTTGGGAAAGGGCAGACCAGATACTGGGAACAACAAATGCAAAGGCAATGAGGTAGGAGCATACTTACAGTATTTCAGAAACAATCAGGAGCTACAGTGACTGAAGGGAGGGAAGGGGAGAGTGATTATGAGATTAGAAAGGGTCTGAAAACCAGATGATGGAGGGCCTGAATTTAGTGGGAGTACCAGAAATCTATGCATGCCTGGCAAAAGCCTTGCTCTCACTTACCTCAGTATCCCCATTCACCTTTACACTATCTGCCTCAGGACTATTAGGGCTAATTTCACCATGCCTCCTCTTTCCTTGAGGTATAAATTCCTTTGAGAAGCCCAAACCTCACCCCCTGAATTCTAATTCTCATATGATTATGTACATCTTGTTTTCTGATCCCATCTCCTACCTCTCCCTATTATTTGAAACACTTCTACTGTGTTCTCTCAAACTCAAGGTCAATCATCAACAAAATCTCCTCTACCACCAGCTTCATCTCTGAATATTCACTTCATCTTGCTCTAACAAAAACCTGAAGCTCCCTAAATGACACTCCTTTCCTGTAGTCCTCTGGAACGGTGGCTGCTTTGTCTTCTACATGCCTCCTATTGGACCTGAAGGTAGGGTCAGATGTTCTTGCAACTCACTGTCATTTCCAAACAATTCTTTCTCCTTCCTCAACAAACAAACACCAGCATTGAACCTCATGCCATGATCTTCTCCCTCCTTTCCCAGTTGCATTTATCTATTGATCCCAAGTCAGTTCCCTCATTCCTTAAAAATAAGAGATTCTAGATCACCGTCATTCTCTGCAACATCATTCCTGAAATAGTTGTTGATTTCAATATCTTCTTACATCACAGGTTCTTAAAATACGTGTATGTGCATGTGCACATACCCTGAATCCCTTTGGAAGTCTAAGGGTGAAACCTAAGGACTCCTCCTCAGAATATTTTAAATGCAGAAAAAATATATAGGATTATAAATAAAACCAATTTAGTAAAATACAGTTATCAAAATATTTTTAAAATATAATACATATAACTTGTGTAACACCTTAAATAAGATATTCAGTGGCTCTAATAACTACCACAATTTCACAATTAGTGATGAATAAAAATATTTTTAAAAGAATGCAAAAACCGTAATGATATGAAAATATCTGTGGTTTCTATTGGAGGCAAAGTCACAGGTACTGCTATCAACATATTGGTTTGTTACCTATATTTAAAATTGAGAGAAATGTTAAATTTCCATTAAGAATTAGTAAAAATAAAGATGTGATATTTGCCCACTTCAGTTCACAATCCCCCTGAATCCCATCCATGGACCTAGTTTAAAAACTAATGACATAGATGGTCTCTTCATTCCCTGCCCTCTCAATTCCTTGACCTCCTCTCCTTCAAATATCTTGTCCCTCACCTTACCTTTTACACCATGCCCACAGTCAATCCCTAGACTTTGAGCATTATCAATATTTGGAGCCTTCTATAATCTTGATTTCAAGTATCCCATTCTTCTATCTTTCTAAAACTGTCCCTCTAATATGCCAACTCCAAGGGATAGTCCTTTTATCCCCATGAGGTCCCATAATCCATTGATCCTATCACCTTTTCACTGTCCTTCACCCACCTCATGTCCTCACTTCCCTCACAACCCAGCTTCAATTCCACCTTCAATTCCCTTACCTCTTTCTCACTTCATGGAATCCAGCTGGCTAAACCACAACCTTGATAAGATTCAACTTTGCTGGGCCTGCACCTTTGCAGCTGCATTTAGCCAGAGAAAAATACAACAAAATGCTGACTGGTCTCACTTTAGATTCATTAATAATTTTAACTGTAACTGTAATGCTTCACAGAAATTATATATTTATCAAGTTCATTCAGTATCCCATTCTCCTGGATAACTATTTCATGTTTTCTCATCTCTACTTAATCCTCTAAAACCTTCATATTCCCCTCCGATAGACATTGCAAAACCTCCTACAAATTCCTACAATCACAAATACCCACCTACCTGCATCTTATGTCCATATAATCTATTTTTCCCTATTATTATGGATGAACTATCTATTCCCCTAGCTAAAGGTAATTATTCTATTTGTGTGGAAAATTCTATCCTTTCTCACCTATCAAGAACTTCATTCCAGCACCCCTCACTCTACCTAATCATTCCCACTTCAAACAAAACAAAACCTCCTGCGACCACACTTCTGCCTGCTACTGAAAATTTTTTTGCTTTTCCAGAAATCCTTGAAATAACTGTCTACATACTCTTTTTCTCTCCTCCCACTCCATTTTAAACCTACTCCAATCATGTCATTGCCTCTTCTTCAAACTCTTCTTCACTGAAACTGCTTTTGTCAGGGTCACCAATAACTTCCTCAATGATAAATTCAATGCAATTTGCAGTGCTACTCTTATTTGGACTCATCAGCAGCACTTTCCTCTTGAAATATTTCCTTCTGGCTTCCAGAACATTTTCCAGATATTCCTTCAGCTTTATTACTCTGTTCTATGTTGTTTCTGCTACATCTCTCTGACCTCCCTGACCTCTTGGAATGCCCAAGGGCTCAGTCCTTAGACCTCTTCTCTATTCTACCTATGCTCCCTTCAAAGCAATTTCATATAATCTCTTGGCTTTAAATGGCATCTATATATTGATGACTCCCAAATTTATAACTTTCTAATTCATATCTCTCTTCTGAACTCCAGACTGACATATCCAATATCCTATACAACATCTCACGTTTAACACCTCCAACTGAACTCATGATATACATCCCCCTACCTACTCCTCGAACAGCTTTTTCATCTCAGTTAATTCCAGAGTCTTTCTCATCTTAGTTGATGGCTGCTAGATTATGTTAGTTGCTCAGGCCTCGAACTTGTAGTTATCATTGATTCTATTTTGTGTCCCCTAAAGCCTTTACATCTGGCTCCCAGTTTCCTTTCTGACCTCAACTTCCATTATTCTCCCTCCCTTTCTCTTGGCTACAGCCACGTGACCTCCATGCTGTTCCTCAAACACTCTAAGATCATATCTTTGTACTTTAAAATTTCTACCTGGAAATCTTATCCCTCAGATGCCAGCATTTCCTTCCTCCTTTCCCTTAGGGTCTTTGCTCAATACTTTTTCCTCCTTGCCATTTATCACTACCCAACGTATTATAGTTTTTATTTATTTATCTTTTTGTGTGTATACCCTACTAGAATACAAGCTATATGATAACAGAGATTTTTATTTTTCACTACTGTAATCCTAGCACCTACAACAGTGCCCATTATATGGAAGGTACTTATAAGTATTAGTGAAATGAATGAATAATGAAAAGGGGAGAATGACAACTATGGACATGACTAAATGAACAGAAAGTCTAATGGGATCATTGAGCTTTTCTAACTAGCTATATGGTCTTTATAATATTCAGAGGGACTGAAGATAATCAGTCTTCATGAAATAAGAACAGAATAGGCCGGGCGCGGTGGCTCACGCCTGTAATCCCAGCACTTTGGGAGGCCGAGGTGGGCGGATCACGAGGTCAGGAGATCGAGACCATCCTGGCTAACACAGTGAAACCCCGTCTCTACTAAAAACACAAAAAATTAGCCGGGCGTAGTGGCGGGAGCCTGTAGTCCCAGCTACTCGGGAGGCTGACGCAGGAGAATGGCGTGGACCCGGGAGGCGGAGCTTGCAGTGAGCCAAGATTGCGCCACTGCACCCAGCCTGGGCGACAGAGCAGACTCCGTCTCAAAAAAAAAAAAAGGACAGAATGTAAGAAAATCCAAGAAAAAGAGAAAGAACTTTTGAAAATTAGAAATATGACTGCTGTAATTTTTTAATCAACTGAAGGAAAAGAAGACGAAATCGGGGAAATCTCATAGAAATTAGAACAAAAAAGAAAACAATGGAAAAAGAGAAAAAGATAAGCGAAGCAGAGAACCAATTCCAGAAAGAGAGTGCAGGGAGGAAGAAAAAATTAAGAAGATAAAATTATTAAGGAAATAATTTTTTTAATTTCTCTAAGCTGAAGGAGGGTCTTTATTAAAAGCACCCATCAAATACCAAGCAGAAATTAGGAAAGAAAACCCATAGTTAGCCATGTTATAAGTTCCTGAAACAGGAAGGATAAAAGGAACATGCTTTCACTGAGGGAAATTTTTTTTAACTAAAAAAAATTTTTAAAGAATAAAAGGACAAGAATCAGACTAGCAGCAGACTTATACCTGTGAATCAATGCTAACTTTTAAGACCTTTAAGTATTTTTCTTTTTTAAAGCTATAAAACCATATAAATAAATTTTATGCCCTATATATTCCCTTTCCCAGTACCACCATCCATCATTCTTAAGGAAGATGATTTTTTGAACCCAGAATTTCACATTCAGCTAAATTATTAATCAAACATGAGGGCTGCATAAGGTCCCTTTCAAATAGACACAGACTCAGAAACTTTACTTTCCAGTCGCTGTTCTGAGGTAATTTTTGAAGATATTCTCCAACAAAACCAGGAATGTAAACTCAGAAAGAGAAAGATGTGGAACTAATTTAGGAAAGAAGTCCCAAAATGAGAGATGTTACAGAAACTAACATCAAGAAATTAGCCCAATAAATTAATTAAATGGCTCCATGAAAAATGCCTCCAAAGAAGAATGGAATGTATTTCAAGCAATAGATAAAAGGACTAAGGAAGTGGAAAATATTAAATCACTTGATAAAGAAACGATATTTTTTTTCGCACTGAGAAAAAGTAAAAGTAAACAGAAACTCCAGAAAAAACAAAACCTGAGTAAGAAACCATGGTCCAAATACACAGCAAATTAAAATATGACATTATATGAAGCTGACAGACTATAATGTTAGGAATTTTGTATTTTGAATGGTGCAAGAGTCCCAGCACTAAAACTATGGGTGAGGAGATACGATTAGAAAACACTAATGATCTCTGCATTAACAACTATTTTATATAGAATGATTAAAAACATAGAATTTATTAAAAGTGGTGGCCTTTGAAAAGTAGAATTTTTTAAAAAACACTTGTTTACATATTCCATTTGATTAAAAATGTAACATCCATAGGAGGTGGAGGTTGCAGTGAGCCAAGATCACGCCACTGCACTCCAGCCTGGGCAAGAGTAAGACCCTGTCTCAAAAAAAAAAAAAAAAAAAGTAACATACAAAATAAGAATGAAGATAAAGTTTACTAAAACTGGTGTGTAAAAGTGTGAAACATCTGCTCACAAATTCCTTACGAACTGCCAAGGGAAAAAATAGTAACTTCAGTGGACAAACCTGGCAGATCACACCTTAATCAAATAATCAAACTTAGTTAACACGGACCATACAGTGTCAATAAGAGACGAAGTAAAATAGGTGTTAACAGAGGGAAAGAGAACAAGAGACAGAAAGTCTCAATAAGGATGAATAGGTGACATTTTGTCATCTCCTTCATTGTAGAAAAGGTTCCATTTTCAACTTTATTCTCACTTTTGAGTCATCAAACAGCATGTTGCACAATTTCATAAAGTCACCTACATTAATGGCTCTGAAGTTACTCGTTTCCAGAATTGAATTCTTTTCTAAACTTCAGAGCTACATTTCTCAAATACCATTAGATATCTTTAACCTTTATTTATTCAGATTCCTCACATTTGCTATATCAAAGGCATGCTCTTCAAATTCCTCTCCAATCCAGCTCTCCTCTGACATTCGTTCTCAACTCATAACATTCATATATACTTTCATCCAAAAGAGATATCTCAGCCATCTTCAATTGCTTTCTCTCCTGTATCTCACAAGTTCAATTCTATTTCAATTTTTTAAAATATTATTAACTACCTACTATGTATTCTCTGTCTTATTACATGTCAGGAAAGAAAAAATTAATAGGATGCAAATATTTTAAATTTTGTCCCTAAATGTGGTTCAAATTCATTCTGTCTTCTTTATTCTCAATGCCATAGTCTTCGAATAGGCCCTTATTGTCTCCTACATGTTCTAAATTATCTTCATATCTACAATCACTCTTCTCTCAAATCCCACAATGGAATTAGTTTTGTTCTTGAATGTGCTCATTTCATCACCCTGTTAAAACTAGCAATGGCATAATTAATGTTAATGCCAAACATAAATAACCTAGTCAATAACTAGGAATAGTATTTTTCTATGATAATGAATAGTGTGCCATTTTAACATATGAAAAGTTTTAGAACACATTTTGGATAATTTTATTTAAAAAAATAAATCTGTTTTATAGAGAAAGTCCTAACACTGCTTATAGAGAAACTAGTAATGAGTATACTCAATTTGTCTATTTGTAGAAATTAAGCCTAAATCTTACAAGCTAAGTAAATATTTTGGTTCATTTTACTTAACAGTGATAGAAAGTAGACAATTGGAGCACATTCCTATATACATCTACAGTGAAATGTTTTCCTCCATTGTGTAGTTCTTGATAGTCCTTTCAAATTTAAAACTTATTTAAACCCAACTCGAATTATAGTTATTTTATATTGAAACAGAAATAAGAATATGGGTATGTTATAATAAAAAAGAAAAAGTTTCTGAAAATGTTCCTTGAGCATCAAAATGTTTTTACCCTTTTCACAGATACAGCTTTAATGGAACAGCTACATTAGCCTGAACAGGGTAAACACAGAAGAGAAAGCATGGAAATTTGCTTTGTTTTGCAATTATTACTATGTGCAACTTTGAACTGTGTATTTACCATTAGACTAGAATGGATTCAAATGCCCAGGATAAACCCTGTAGTCTTGAACCCATTTTCTTTTTTCCATTCTTTCTTAAAAATATATTTTTAGAAATGGGTGCCTCGCCATGCTGCCCAGGCTGGTCTTGATCTCCTAGCCTCAGGTAATCCTCCCATCACGGCCTCCTAAAACACTGGGATTACAGACATGAGCCACCTCACCCAGCCTAGAACCCATTTTCTAACTAAAATAAGATTTATATCAATCTTCATATAAATGTATAAAAAATTATCTCATAGACACTGTATAAAAGATTTTACTTCGAGAACTTATAACTGTAAGTAGGTCATAAGAAATTTTAAGATATGTTACCTACCAAAGAAAGATATTATAAAAAGAATGTCAGTGTTGTGGCTTCCTGCCATAATACACATATACATACAAACATACCCTAAAATTCTTCAAAAATGACTGAGTTTTGTTTATGCATAAAAGATATCTTATTTGAACAGAAAAACATAAGTCTAAAGGGAAATCTGAAGTTTTGTTCATTCCTCTTCTAATAATAGAGTTTTAAAAGCTGCCCTTTGAAAAGTCAATACATTATTAAAAAGAAAATCAAAATCAAAGGCAGCAGAAATAGCAAAAAATTTTAAACTATTACCTTCCTACTTAAACTACCTATATATATATATATTTTTTTTTTAATCTGAGGAAAGACATTTACATTGCAAAATTCTTATTTTCCCATCAGAAGTTTAAAATTATAGCATCTACTTACCAACCCAACACAGTTGCTTAAAGCCACTTTAGTTGTACTACGTTGATCTTGCAAATATCCTGTGTAATGACAGTTGTCTAAAAAATCATGTTTCCACTGGGGTCCATCTTTCCCCCAATATTCTACTGTAAAATGTTTGGACACAAAATCTGTGTTGAGAGTCAAGTTTAGATGAAAGTGCTTGCCATAGGCTGAAAGTTTAAAAAATAACTTAGATACTGCCTGCTGTGGATCAATAGGGTCCATACTCCGTCTTCTCCTTGAGTGTTTATCATTTTTCACAGTAAAGCTGAGAAATGCTCCATTTTGATCAACCCTTATTGGAATAGTTAGCTGGTAGTGTTCAAGATAAGTCAGGAATTCCTCTTTGTAATCACAAGGCAGAGAATCCAGAAAAAAAACACATGGAAGAAAAGAAAATTTAACGGAACAAAGAAGCAGCAATATAAACAACAACTATGTCAATTAAAACTATGAATCATTATATGTGAGGTATGTACAAAAAAAGTTATATTAAACAAAAATGAAAGAATAAAAGTTTAAAATCTGAAGATTAAGTTGCCATCATTTTAATATTACTTGTGAAGGACTATTTTACTTTTTTAATTTTTAAAACATGGATCCTAAGAGCTAAATTCTACAAGAAATATTAAAATTTTACTTTGAAATAAAAAATAATGAGAAGCACACATATGTAAAAGAAAAGAGTTTAGCTCAGAATCTGTTTTTGAAAGTTATCCAAAAAAGAATCTCTATAGCCTTGTAGAAATTATTATTTTTTAAGAAATCATCACACGGTGAAACCCCGCCTCTACTAAAAATACAAAAAAATTATCCGGGCGTTGCGGCACACGCCTGTAGTCTCAGCTACTCTGGATGCTGAGGCAGGAGAATCACTTGAACCTGGGAGGTGGTGGTTGCAGTGAGCCGAGATTGCGCCACTGCACTCCAGCCTGGGCGACAGAGCAAGACTCCGTCTCAAAAAAAAAAACAAAACGAAAAACAAAAACAAAAACACGTCAATGGGAATGTAAAATGCTGTAACCACTTTGAGAAACAGTCTGACAATTCCTCAAAATTTTAAACATGGAGTTAACCATATGATCCAGCAATCCTACTCTCAGGTATATACACAATAGAAATGAAAACACACATTCACATAAAAATTTAGATGTGAATGCTCAGCAATATTCATCATACTCAAAAAGGGGAATTAAACCAAATTTCCATCAATTGATGAATAGACAAACAAAATGTAGTATATCCACACAATGCAATATTATTTTACAATAACAAGGAATGCAGTAGTGATACATGCTATGACATGAATGAACCTTCAGAACAACTGTCTTCATAATCAAAGTTCATTATCTAACATTTAAAACATTAAGTAAAAGAGCAAGTCACAATATGCCACATATCATTGCATTTATATGAAATATCCAGAATAGGGAAATCTCTACAGACAGAAGGTTTAGTTGCCTACAGCTGGAGGTGAAGGCTGGTTTGGAGGGAATTTGGAAGTGACCACTAAGAAGTATAGGCTTCTTTTTGGAGTGATGAAAATGTTCTAAAATTGATTATGTTGGCGATGACACTAGTGCCAAAAAATAAGATGAAATAAAATAAAATAGGTTATTGTGATGGTTGTACAATGCCGAAAATACTAAAAACCACTGAATTTTATACCTTAAATGGGTGAATTCTATGGTATGTGTAGTAATATCTCAATAAAGCTATTTTAAAAACAGCTTGACTAAAATTTCAGAGAACTAAATGAGGAACATATTTTCCTCATTTAGATGTACTAAACATTTTCCATCTACCTTCTTAGCTGTACCTTCTTTCAGCTAGATTTACCACTAAGGTAAACCAAATGTCTGCTTATTTGCCTCAGTGTCTATACATGGAGTTTACACACTAATATAAACTC
Source organism: Homo sapiens (assembly GCF_000001405.40). NCBI lineage: Eukaryota > Metazoa > Chordata > Mammalia > Primates > Hominidae > Homo > Homo sapiens. The sequence goes on from NC_000005.10 coordinate 65,472,711, forward strand.
CTATAAAACCATAACCAAATGTAAATAAATTCAAAGACAGTGTTTATTTCACTTCTTATAAATAATTAGAGTTCATACTAAATGTCATGGCTTCATTGATTTACTTTGACAGCCACACTTTTTAACATGGATTTCTAGATACATACATCAATCTGTAATAGTCTTGAAAATCTGGTTCATCGGCACCAAAAAATTATCTATTACTATGTATTCATGGGAGGGAAATCCAAAAGGTATGCCTCTCAATAATTCTATAAGGACTGGACTGGTCCATGGAAAACAAAATGACATTTACTCCTGGGCCTGCTTTGTTAAGATCATTTCTACGATATAAAGCTCAATTCTATAGATTAAAATTATAAAGATTAGAATGTGAAAAGTTGCACTTCTTACAGTTCTCATTCTTACACTCAGATTCTAGTCTTTAGATCAGAACTCTCAGGTTTGCAAAAGTATTTTTTCACAAAGGGTCCATATTAAAAGGGTCCTGTATCATAATTTATCTGGTTTCTTCTTCCACAGCATAAATGTTTGGATTCTCTTTGAACATGTCCTTGCCCATAAACTCTAGTAATGAACAAGCTTATTAAAGTTTAAGTTTCAGAAGAACAAGGCCTGGGGTCTATCATTTTCCAAGAAAGACCAGTCAACTCTAAAATCCACGGGATGTTAAATACTAGTAGGACAAGTTAAACGACGCATAGCCCTTAACATTTATGAAACTAATACCGAATTGACACAGTAGGCCTCTATTCCTATCACTACATATCCCAAAAAAAACTATCCACCCAAACTAAATATGCAGAATCTTTTCTTGTCCAATTAATAGCAATATTTTTTGTCAGTTTCAAAAGCAAGAATCCTACCTTGAGAACTGTATGAAAGCCTGTGGTCACTATGAAATTCCGATGAAGCCATGATGAGGCTCAAAATCCAGGTCAACGTCTTCCACAAAATTTCCATAATTTAGAAAACTGGATGATTTTTTTGAGGGCTACCTATGTGCTAAAGAGTCAATACCATACCAAAATCGAAGCATAACAATTTTATTTCTTTAAAACTTCTTGCAAATTAGTTATTGGATGTTCCACTGTTTAAGAGCCACTTTTATCCAACATCCTGCACTTTCTTCTATATCTGGATTCATTTTCTCAATCCAAAATGAAAAAAATAATGATGGTAAAAGTTTTCATAAGCAAAGCATTAGGCTGATTAGTTACTAAAGTATGGCCATTTTTTAACCTAGAAAAAAAAAAATTTAAGTTAACTGAAAAATATCCAGAATGGAAAAATCCAAGTCCTATATAGTACTGAATCCTTGCCAAAAGACATAACTACAAAATAATATAGTTAAATTAGACCATTGTTAGTCTTTATAGTCTAAATAAACATTCACAAGATTAGACACAGAATTAGAGACCAAAATGGTTATCAGCATAATGCCAGAGTTACTTAATAATCAAATAAGGAATCTAAAGAGAAATCATAATTCTTTTTTAAAAACTTTGAAGATAACAATGATGGGCAATGAGTTAACTTCCTTTTGATAAAATAAAATCGGCTGACTTCACTACTTCAGTTCATTATATGTGACAAACAATATGTAATCCCATTCCATAACATGCCTTTTAAACACACTCATATCCAGATATTGTTGTGTTGCTTTATAAGGCACCTATCATTTTTTTTTCTGACAAAGTAGATCTACAAATAGTGACATTTAGCAGCCATCTGTGAATACTAAGACAGTATCAGAAGCTAAACTTCTAAAAAGTTGAACTGTATGTACTATAACCCTTGACTTTACTCGGAAGTCTTATGTGACTTATAAGGCAACTCGTGAGTCAATTTCAACTCTCTGAAATGTAACTTAAAAGAAAATTTTAAAACTTCATTTCAAGTATTACAACAGATTTCAAGTCCTAGCTCATGTACTTTACATGCAACTAACAACCTCACTCAGAGTCTCCATTCACACTTGATACAGAATAGTATATTTGGCTGCCTGGTTTCCCCGCATACAGCAGATCAGAAGAAGAAAATAACTAAGAGCTAAAAACTAGCCACAAACAGCCAAACTGTGACCAAAAAAAAAAAAAAAAAAAAGGATAAAAAACGAAAATGTAGTTTTAGAACCCCAAAGTAATATAGTTTGGGGTAGAGGCAAATGGGTCTTACATAGTTTAACAGTTCCTATTGTATGTATAACTGTGTTATATAGTTCAATATCTGATACTCATAACACTATGCCTGAGTCCAAAATAAGAAGATAAATGCGTTTAATAAGGTAAGTTACTGTTAGTAAGTTAGGAAAGTACACAAAAGAGATTAGAAAGATTTTCATTCCAAATCCCTAATATATGAAATTTTCACATAATAAATTCTTACTATATATTTGTTGGTTGAAAAAAATGGATGAGTAAAAGAATGAATAAATGAATAGTGGTTAAAATAAAATCACTTTAGGCATATAAAAAGTATTTGTAGTTAACTGTAAAATTAACTTATGTGAAACACTTCATTCCCTACGGTGATAGAAATATTGGTATATACAACATATAAAACAACAACAGCCATTTAAATCCCTTACATTTGTCTCTACAAGTTATTAAACTGCTAAGCCTTGGAAAAGCTAATTCATTAATCAACAAATATTGTCCTACTATGTTTAAAAGATGATGTTATAACAACATCAGAATACAGAAAAGGATTAAGGGAAACAGAAAAGATTAAGATTCAATCCTTGCCCTTGGAGAGCTCATAATCTAAGTAACAAGGAAAAATGTAAGGCAGACTGACAAATGCCGTAATAAGGTCGTGCAAAGTTGTTGCAGGAGATCAGATGAGGGAGATGACTTCTGGGTCAGAGAAGAATGAATCAAGGAATGTTTATGGAAAAAGCATTTCAGATAGATCCCGGAAGACGAATACAATTTTACAAGTCAAATTGCTGGAGGTAATCATTACAAATAGAAGAAATGCATTCCACAAAGTCTAGATAACCAGAAAAAAATGGGAAATAGTAAACAATATTAGTAATAATAGCAATAGCAAATTTTGTTCCTGTGCAAAAAAACTAACAGGTAATAACCAGAAAGGTAGTTTAAGATCAGACCAAAAATAAAAAACTTTAATACATATTGCTTCTTTTAATCTCCAAAACCATCTTGTGAAGTAAATATACTCTGCCCCTGTGGCAGTGTAGACTCTGATGAGCCCAATAATCTGGCTTCCTCATATCCATTCCCTTGCTCCCCTCCTCTTAATTTGATTCTAACCAATAGAATACCTCAACACTGAGGGGATGTCACTTTCGTTATTACATACAAAAGATTCTGACTTCCATCTGCTAGCCACATCTTTCCCTAATTGGTTTAGATGAAGCAAGCAAGCTGTCATTTGTTGAGGCCCACATTGAAGAAACTGAGAGCAGCCTCTGATATAACTAACAAGGAACTAAGGCCCTCAGTCCAACAGCATGCAAGAAACTAAATCCTGTTCAGTAATAGGTGAGCTTAGAAACAGGTTTTTCCCCAGTCAAGCCTTCTGTAAAGACCCTAGTCCTTGCCAACACTTTGTGGCTCATGAGATACCCTAAAGCTGAGGACATAACCCCTAGATTCCTGACCCAGAGAAACTGTGTGATAATAAATGTGTATTGTTTTAACTCACTAAGTTTGTGGTAATTTGTTACACAGCAATTGATAACTAATACAGCCACCAATTCACAAATAAAGAAGCTGAACTCACTGGTCAGATAGGTATAAAACAATAGAGCCCAGATTCACACAAGGCTGTCTGGTTCTAAAGTCTAAATTCTTTGTATTATATCACACTTCCAGTTTAAGGCACTCAAATTTAAACAGTCAACAGTAGTTAATAACAACCAATGTCAAAGAAGATTTTTTTTTTTTTGAGACTGAGTCTTGCTCTTGTCGCCCATGCTGGAGTGCAGTGGCACGATCTCAGCTCACTGCAACCTCCACCTCCCGGGTTCAAGTGATTCTCCTGCCTCAGCCTCCTGAGTAGCTGGGATTACAGATGCGTGCCACCATGCCCAGCTGATTTTTCTGTATTTTTTTTTAGTAGAGATGGGGTTTCACCGTGTTAGCCAGGATGGTCTCGATCTCCTGACATCCTGATCCGCCAGCCTCAGCCTCCCAAAGTGCTGGGATTCCAGGCGTGAGCCACTGCGCCCAGTCGATATATTTATAAGTGGTATTGGTTAGTTAATGTGAATAGTTTTTAACAACTTCACATACAGTCATTGTTTCTTCTTGAAATTACTTCTACACTAATTTAGGCAAGATAGCAGGCATCCTTTCTCAGGTAAAAATTTATAGAGAGATTAAGTTATACCATTATTCAATAACGGCAATAAGAAGAATTCCATTATCTTGGTTTCCAACCTACTTATATACAGATTCCATACTCTAAACCTTCCCATGTAATATTAAAGTATAATTGTCACCTTTTGAACAACATTCATTTTCATTGTTTTAATTTTTTTAGATCACTGGAGTGTTTTGAGTAATAACATCTGACATTAAATTAGTCCCTCATATACTTTAGATTATAATCTTCCTTTAAAAAACATATACTTAACACATTTGAGTTAATTTTCTAGCAATGGAGATAGATTTGATTGAATCATTCATCCCTTTTTCTCCTATTTTTCTAGGTTTTGAAACTACTGAGAAACTTACAATATAGTTGACTGGATTTAGGGAGCAACTATTTTTCCCTCTTGAGAAATGTCCTGCTCTTTTTGTAAATTGTTACAGTTTCATAACCTTCACTCTTACCTACTCTCCTGTAAATGCTCAAGTTAACTAAGCCAGTAGCATTGAGAAAAAAAAGTAATACCTATTTGGCCAGAAGTAGACTACTATATGATTTAAGGATTTGCAGTAAAAAAGGCATTGGTGCATAGTTGAAAAAGCAGGAGCTTTGAAGTTAAACAAACCAGTTATAGTCTTAGTTCCAACACTAGTTATAATAGCTGGCACATGAGTTTCTTTCTCCTTTATCACTCCCTTGCTCCCTCCCCACATTTTTTTTTTTTTTGGCCTCCAGTGCTCAGTGAAGAAACTTAACATTAAGTAAATGAGTCTAGATAGAATTCAACTAAAACTGGCCAGGCATGGTGGCTCATACCTGTAATCCCAGCACTTTGAGAGGCTGAGATGGGCAGATCACCTGAGGTCAGGAGTTTGAGACCAGCCTGGCCAACATTTCAAAATCTTGTCTCTACTAAAAATACAAAATTAGCCAGGCGTGGTGGTGCGCACCTGTAATCCCAGCTACTCAGGGGGCTGAGGCAAGAGAATCACCTGATCATGGGAGGTGGAGGCTGCAGTGAGCCAAGATCACGCCACTGCACTGCAGCCTGGGTGACAGAGCGAGGCTCCGTCTCAAAAAAAAAACCAAACAAACAAAAAAGGAATTTAACTAAAATCAACACAACTAACAAATCTAACTGCTCTTAGTCACCTACACAATAAAAGTGAATGAGTTAACCCACTTTCTGACACCTGGTGGGGAGGTTAATCTGGACACCATAAATATGTAGAGGCTGTGACTTTTCAGATATAGTTTCCAAAGTTCAGACTAACATTGAAATACCAAACAGTTGTCCAAAAATCACAATGCATTGACCTTTTAAATTGTATAGCAGAAACATCATTATGTTGTGGAAAGCACAAAGGCTTTGAGTCCTGGCCTGACCCCCAGTTACTTAACCTCTCTGCATCTGCTTTCTAATCTATAAAACCATGATATTGATGTCTATCTCACAAAGACTTGTTAAGAGATTAGATTACATATGACGTAAAGTGTCTCTGTACTTTAAGCTAAATAATATTAGCCCTCCTTCCTTCATTATCTAACATCACTTTTCAAAGCCCTTCCTTCAAAAATAGTTTCATGTTCCTCTTTCCCTCAAAAATGTGAAATAATAGATATGATGATGGAGTCAATCAACTAGTTATATTGTCTTTTACAGCAAGGAGTTAAGAACTTTGGTCATGATAATGATACTTATAACTACTTTAAATTTGAAAACAGAACCAAAACGTCCATTTCACTTTGATTTCACATATGCTTTTCTCCCTAACACAAATGCACCAGGCAGTAAAGTTAAGGGATCATTTACCTGCTTCCATGGATCAAAGCTACACTACCTAAGAAGAAAAATGATGAGACAACTTGCACTATAGTGATTTCCTCAGTAGTCTGCCCTGATTGGAGGGTATTACTTGTCTTTTTTCCTCTATCATCTTTACTTCCCACTCAAGTGATCGGGGAGTAGCCAAGGTAATAATTTCCTCTTGTGAACTATTATTATGAAGCTAAAGAATGTGTATAATGTTCTTCTCAACTTCTTTCATCCATCTTAACTCTGGTTATTTATTTAAGGCTGATTTGGTCTCCATGGAAGAAACAACAATACCATGCTCCTTTCAGGTGTTTAATTTTTACATATGAAAATTAACTTCTTTCATTTCCATTTATTCTCTCACATTTATTATCACCTACTGTATGCTAAGGACACAATTAGGCTCTAAGTATAAAGGTTTCTAGATCATTTATAAAATTTGTGAGATTGGTTTCCAAGGAAAGGTGAAACTAAACACATAAATTACCCAAAACATATCTATCAAGCAAATGAGCTAAAAGCAAAAATACAAACCATGATTTATAAAACTCAAGCCCTAAATTACATGTAGTCTCACACTTTTTTCCAGATAGCAAGTAAATACACATTTTCTGTATTATAAATTTTTTCTCTTGAGCTTAGCTTGATAATCAACCATGTTTTTTGGCAGAAGCAAGAGAGCTATCCACCTCTTCCCCTCTTTTTCTCCCCACTACCCCCAACACATATTCCAAATATGCTGTTAACTATCTCTTAATATGGTAACTCCCTTCATTCACTCACTAAAGTCACAAACTTGATAAAATTTGGCATAAAGACCCATCCTAGTTACTACTACTAGTGATTACTAAGGAAAGAAAGAGGAAGTGCTAAGAGTAGACAAGAGTAGGAATTAATCTTACAGGTATTGGGACCAGACATAAGGAGTATTACAGTATTTTCAGTCTTCAGGCTAGAAGTTTTTCTTCTTGGGAATCACAAAAATATTAAGACCACTACACAGACTTCATTTGCAGCTGTGGCAAATGAATGAATTTGATTTGTTTGAAATCAACGTATTTGCCTCTAAATGCTATTCTTCAAAAATTCAAAACACTAACGATCACATTTAAGCACAGAATTAACATAAACCAGACTGCAGTTACCACTTTGCTGCAACACAAGAAAACAATTATCTCCAAAATTAATTTTCTTAATTTCTTTCAACTACACCAATTTTGTGTTACGTTTCTTTTCCTGTCATGAATTCTGAAAACTGTCATCCCCACATCTAAACATTTCAGTCTAATCAACAGAAACTAAAAAGAAAGAAAAAAGAACAGAAAATTAGTCCACGACACTTGAACATAAAAAGAACATGTTGAAAATCACACTCAAGTGTCTCTTTTAAAGTTCCAAGCAATGGTTCAGTTTCCCTTTTTCTCTCTGCTCTGCACACCCTCACCTCCCCCCGCCCCCACCATTCCACTTCGCCCAGACAGAGGGTAACAGTCTGAGCTGCCCTGGTTGAGTTGATCCTAAAGTTAACATTCAGCAGCCCATTTCCAGACAGCAGCGCTAAATCTATTTGGATAAAACGCGTGTGACCCAGACAGTTGGCATCTGGCCCAAACGCGTTGCACCGGCAGCTCAAATAAAAACAAGAGTAAGAAACTCACTCTCTTGTTCCCTCTCAGTGCGCTTTCTCAATCTCTCGCTCACTTTTCCTCTAGTACAGGGAAAGAAAGCATCAAAGACAGGAATTGTAGCACATATTATCAGAAAGAGGCTTCCCAATACCCCATTCCTGCACTCTCACTCTCCCTCCTCAATCCCTGAACTTTGGTCCCATACACCATATATACAGACCTACCCCGATAAACAAGGCTCCGGAGGGTTATGAGTCTAGCACGTCCCAAGTGGCCAAAAGTAAATCAAAAACACACGTTTCCATCTCTTTGATTAGCCTATTAAGAGCTTAACATGTCCTAGAGCATCGGGGCTACAGCTAGCACATTAATGCTACCCTCTGAGCCCAGGCATAAAATATGCACTTGTCTGAAGACTTAACGACACTGACATGAAACTACAAAATGCATAAGACTTTTCTGTAAGAAAACTGGAAATCAATTTAAAACACACACATCATTATTACCTTCCGGATTACTATTTGGTGATCAGTTAAAAGATTACAATAATCATAATCAAGTCCACTTCACAAAACATGTATTGTATATTCATAAAATAAACGTATTTTTTTTGCATCATAAAATAACTGCAAGTCCCAGAATTCTACAACCCCCGACAAGTCTGGAGTTAAAAAGATATCTATTTGTAAAATGAGTTCAGTCAAGCTCACTCATTGCCATTAAAAAAAAAAAAAAAAACACACACACAGAAAAAAAGTTTTCTAAGCGTTATTCGGAAGACAAGCAAAGCACAAGTTGTTGGTTTAAAAAAAAAAAGCTCCATTGAATATTGTTAAGTCTTCCTTACCGTTTTCATCTTCAAATTCTGATAAAAAGTAAGTTTCAGACAATAGAGATTGCACTGGACGACTCACGTACTCCCTCTCCTCTCTAACTTTTTTTAATTTTTTTTATTTTTTTATTTTTTGCCCCCCTTTGCAAAGCCACACCAGCCAGTTATTCTGCAGCCAGAATAAAACCCTATGGTCTGGCTAACCCGGGCTTTAGAGAACTGACTTTCCGATTTGGCAGAATAAGAGATGCCTTCAATACATCTAGGCTATCACTCTGAGATGCTGCCTTTGCAAACCCCCTTTCTCTCCCTCCCCACCCCCCAAAAAAGGAAAGGAAAAGAAAGAAAAGACGGGAAAAAAGACTTATTGGGGGTGGAAGTGGTGCCCTCTCTTCCTGGAAAGCTTAGTGCCTTTGCTATGCAAATAACATGTGCAGAGCATCAAAAGGTATCAGGAGAAAAGAAGACAAGAGGAGCAGGAAGGGCAGCAAAGTTTTGTTGAAGTAGCCCTAGATCTCACTACCGGCCCCCAGCCAACTTGAATTGCAGCAGGAGAAAATTTTGGCAGCTTTTCCTCGGAGGCAGAGCACACTGACGTCAGTCTGCAGATGTGCCTGGGCTGCGTCGGGTGCGCATGTGTCCTGGGTCGTCACGTGGAGGGGGAGGGGAGGTAGAGGTACAATCGGGGTAACCAACTACCAGCCATTCAGAAGGGCTTAGACAATGTCAACTTTTCCACACTGTGAATGAGAGAAATTCTGGCCTCTCTAACCTCTCTGTCCTATCTCATTCCGCCTCTTTTCCTCCTCCTCCTCTAAACTCTCTTAGAAATTCTAGCCTGGTTTGCTATTAGTTGTTTCTTGGAAAAATGAAGGGGGAGGGAGAAGGATGAATGACTTTAGATGGACTAATGTCACTGTTAAGATCTCTGGTGTCATTCTCCGTGTAATTTTATTTTTAAAATCCACACAATCAAAATGTTAAAACTTGCACGCAAACAGTGCCTCTGAGGAAACTTAAAGCTTAGATTCGTGCAGCAGGCACAAGACTCAGTAGCTACAAGTGTACAAAATGCCTGTGTTTTATACATACTTCAGCAAGTAAGGTTAGCACCAAAAGGGAAAGTAAACTAAAGTAAACTAATACCAGCACATTTTCCATTTGATTATCGACTTCAGGTTATGTGGAGCTTTAAAAGAAGAAGAAGAAGAAAAAAAAAAAGTAGGGGAGGAGGGAGCGGGGGAAGGAAGAGAGAAGCTTGCATTATTTCCAGATGAGGGTGAGACTGGATGGTGTTTTAAAGTGCAACCGGGAAAAGCCACAAGTGGAGTGTATTTTTTTAAGTCAGTCCATTGAATGAAACTTCAATGACTGCCCAAATGAAAATAAATCCGAAGTAGGACCCCACCACCAAAAAAAAAAAGGAAGGGAAAAAAACAGGAACCCTGCTGCGATCTCAAGATAAACAAACAAAACCTCAAAACTGGTTCTTCAACCTTCCCAATCCCACCCTCCCTCCCCCCTACACACAAGCTGCCAGTCCAGACTTTAAGGATAAAATACCGCTACAATGTAGCACTTTCACTTTCATTTGCTGAGAATGAAAGCCGCTGGGGAGAAAATGCCCAGTGTTTTCCATGTCCTAAGCAAGCAAACAAAGTCTGGCACATACATCGGAAACAGGAAAAAATGTGAAAATAGCTCAGGACAAATGTTGCCTTTCAACGGTGTAATCTGCTGCATCATTTATCTGTCTCTACCATTGAGTGTAGAATAGGGAGCTGTTTAAGAGTTTCCGAGGTTGGGGGCAGGGGAAAATTGACGCCTTGAAATTCCAGCCCTTAGTTAATGCCAAGTCAATTTCCGATGGTGAGAACCAGAAAGGAGAACTGGACCGGAGGGAAGGGGGTAGGAAGGATGATCTTTCTGAATACCAGCTCTTAAATATCAAGCTTCTGCTAACATTATTGCCCATTTGATTTTTTTTTTTCTTCCTACGCCGGAGGTAGTAGGTGTAATTCTTCTGGTGAATCTATGAATAGTTGGCTAAAAGGAGGCATGAATCAGACTGAGAACGTCCAAGAATACAGTTATTTCAATTCTTCTTCAAGGGTTGAAAGTGGAAAGCATCTGTCCACAGAGTAAATAGTCCTCATCCTGACCTTAATCAGTAGTATCTGGCTAAAAGCCATTTAAAATGTAGAAATCTGTTCAATAGTGGGCATTGAGTTTTAAATAAAGATGATTCATATGTATGTATGTATGTGTGCGTATTTGTATGTGTATATATATGTGTGTACATATATGTGAAATACATGAGGTAGCAAAATATAGCAATAATTGTAAACACCAAAAATAAGAAAAGTAGGCATCAAATGACTATTTAAATAGTGTTGAACCTTAACCTTCCTTAATTTTTCAAGTACTGGCAGTAAATAGGGACAGCCAGCACACACACAAAAAATAAAGGTATGAGCAGTAAACATCTATATAAGCTCTGAAAAGATTTTACCCTCAACTAAGATAAACTGCCCTACAAAGTAGCAGCTTGTAGAGGAGCTTACTTAGTGGGAGTGGACTTTGGCTAATTACTTATTCAAAGAGTGCCATCCTGTGTCTAAACAGAGTAATGAAATTTTTCCAACAGATTCTGTCTCCAAGTTGATTGGGTCAAGAATACTGTGAATAATTGGTGAAAATTGATTAGGGTGGGAAATGGCGAACTGTCAATTTAACTTTATATATGTGTATATATATGTGTTTGTGTAAATGTTTTAACTGCATTGCAGAAAATTTCAAACATATACAAAAGTAAAAAAAAAAACAGTATAATGAACACTCATGTAGCCATCATCCAGTTTCAAGTGTCCAAGTGTGACCAACTTTGTTTCATCTATCATTTCATCAGATATCGTTTCATTATTTCCCTGTATTTCTAAAAGTACTAAAAAAATATACACCACTATTATTCTTAAAACATTAATAACTCATGTCATCAAATATTGTACTCAGATTTCCCAATTGCAAAAAGGGCTTTAAAAAATGCCTTTTTATTAGAATCAAGATCCATACATTGCAATGGCTCCATCTTTTCTTAATAAACTTTTAATTGAAAATATTCATGCAGAAAAATGTATAATTACATAGTTTGATGACAAGTGTCCAGTCTAATGAATTTTCACAAGTCAACTGGCCCATGTAACCGCCATTCTCTTGTCTCTTTTTAAAATTTTTATTATCTATTTACTTATTTAAATTGACTAATAAAAAATACATATATTTTAGCTGGAACTACAGGCATGAACCACCATCCCCAGCTAAGTTTTTATTTTTGTAGAGATAGGGTCTCCCTGTTGCCCAGGCTGGTCACGAACTCAGCCTCAAGTGATCCTCCTGTGTCCGGAATTTGGTGGGTTCTTGGTCTCACTGACTTCCAGAATGAAGCTGCGGACTCTCAGGTGAGTGTTACAGTTCTTAAAGGCAGCGTGTCCGGAGTTTGTTCCTTCTGATGTTCAGATGTGTTCGGCCTTCTGGTGGGTTCGTGGTCTCGCTGGCTCAGGAGTGAAGCTGCAGACCTTCGCTGTGAGTGTTACAGCTCATAAATGCAGTGTGGACCCAAACAGTGAGCAGCAGCAAGATTTACTGCAAAGAGCGAAAGAACAAAGCTTCCACGGTGTGGAACGGGACCCGAGCAGGTTGCCACTGCTGGCCCAGGCAGCCTGCTTTTATTCTCTTATCTGGCCCCACCCACATCCTGCTGATTGGTAGAGCCCAGTGGTCTGTTTTGACAGGGTGCTGATTGGTGCGTTTACAATCCCTGAGCTAGACACAAAGGTTCTCCACCTCCCCACCAGATTAGCTAGATACAGAGTGTCCACATAAAGGTTCTCCAAGGCCCCACCAGAGTAGCTAGATACAGAGTGTCTATTGGTGCATTCACAAACCCTGAGCTAGACACAGGGTGCTGATTGGTGTGTTTACAAACCTTGAGCTAGATACAGAGTGCCCATTGGTGTATTTACAATCCCTTAGCTAGACAAAAAGGTTCTCCAAGTCCCCACCAGACCCAGGAGCCCAGCTGGCTTCACCCAGTGGATCCCGCACCGGGGCTGCAGGTGGAGCTGCCTGCCAGTCTCGCCCCTTGTGCCCGCACTCCTCGGCCCTTGGGTGGTTGACTGGGCGCCCTGGAGCAGCGGGCAGTGCTCGTCGGGGAGGCTCAGGCAGCACAGGAGCCCACGGAGGCCGGGGGGGAGGCTCAGGCGTGGCAGGCTGCAGGCCCCAGCCCTGCCCTGCGGGAAGGCAGCTAAGACCCCGCGAGAAATTGAGCACAGCAGCTGCTGGCCCAGGTGCTAAGCCCCTCACTGCCCGGGGCCAGTGGGGCCGGCGGGCTGCTCCGAGTGCAGGGTCTGCCGAGCCCACGCCCACCCGGAACTCGCACTGGCCTGCAAGCACCGCACGCAGCGCCGGTTCCCGCCTGCACCTCTCCCTCCACACCTCCCCGCAAGCTGAGGGAGCCAGCTCTGGCCTTGGCCAGCCCAGAAAGGGGCTCCCACTGTGCAGCGGCGGGCTGAAGGGCTCCTCAAGTGCCGCCAAAGTGGGAGCCCAGGCAGAGGAGGCGCCCAGATCGAGCAAGGGCTGTGAGGACTGCCAGCAGCTGTCACCTCTCACGCCCACCTCGACCTCCCAAAGTGGTGGATTTTAAGCATCAGCCACTGTACCCAGCCACTAAATCTATTAAATCTTGTTTCCCCTTCTTCTTTTTCTTGCAATATAAATCCTATATAAACAACTTGCCTTTTTTTTTTTTTTTTTTTTGAGGCGGAGTCTCACTGTGTAGCCCAGGCTGAAGTGCAGTGGTGCGATCTCGGCTCACTGCAAGCTCCGCCTCCTGGGTTCATGCCATTCTCCTGCCTCAGCCTCCCGAGTAGCTGGGACTACATGCGCCCGCCACCACGCACGGCTAATTTTTTGTATTTTTAGTAGAGAAGGGGTTTTACAGTGTTAGCCAGGATGGTCTCAATCTCCTGACCTCATGATCCGCCCATCTCGGCCTCCCAAAGTGCTGGGATTACAGGCATATCTTGCCATTTTTAATACCGTATTTAGCACTTCTGTTACCATGGAAATGTATGTACTATAGCCATTCATTTTTTTCTTCATAAACTAAACACTGAATTTTAGTTGCAGTAAAAATTCTTGAAAATTATTACAGAGATCAATTTTTTCTCTTTCAAAACTTTTCACTCCAGCTTTTCTTTTCCTTCTTCGTTTAAGAAATGAAGATTATGGGCAGAATAGAGTTGACAGGAAACTCCTTCGTCACATCTAAAAAAAAAAAAAAAAAAAAGCTAGCAGTCTTTAGAAAACTGATATACTTAAGTGAACCCCATTCAGGAAACCAAAGGTGAAATAAGTGGAAATTGGTGAGGGGAAGAAATTTGTTTACATGTATATATTTCAAAAACCAAAAAATAGAAGCTATATTAGTCAGGGTTATCTAGAGGGACAGAACTAATAGGATAGCTGTATATATGAAGGAGAGTTTATTAAGGAGTATTGACTCACACGATCATAAGGTGAAATTCCACAATAGGCCATCTGCAAGCTGAGAAGCAAGGAAGCCAGTTGAAGTCCCAAAACTTCAAAAGTAGCGAAGCCAACAGTGCAGCCTTCAGCCTTTGACCAAAGGTCCAAGGGCCTCTGGCAAACTACTGGTGTAGGTCCAAGAGTCCAAAAGCTGAAGAACTTGGAGTCTGATGTTTGAGGGCAGGAAGCATCCAGCACAGGAGAAAGATGAGGCTGGAAGACTCAGCCAGTCCAGTACTTCCATGTTCTTCTGCCTGCTTTTATTCTATCCATGCTGGCAGCTGATTAGATTGTGCCCACCCAGCTTGAGGGTGGGTCCTCCTCTCGCAGTCCGCTGACTCAAATGTTAATCTCCTTTGGCAACACCCTCACAACACAGCCAGGAACAATACTTTGCATCCTTCAATCCAATCAAGTTGACACTCAATATTAACCATCAGAAGTCTACCTTTTGTCAACTTGAACGCATATACATCTCCTGAAATCATACATAATCTTCAAATAAAGACAATAATAAGGTCATAATTATGCCTAACATAATACAGCTATCCCTATCCTTTGTAAAGCTGGAAGCACATTAATCCTTAAACTAAATGCTATTACATAAAGTTACCACTTAAATGCTGATATGAAGTCAATAAATTTTATGTCACATGATAAAGGAAAAAGGAAAATGAAGATATTTTCTTAGACAAACTGTATACATGCATAAACATGTTCTTAACGAAATAAGGAGGAAATACTCATGAGAATTACAGTTCTCATTTCTGCAACTGGTAATGGTGGTCATAGTCAGTACTGATGACAACCTTGTTCTACTACCCATTCTGTATTCCCTGTGTCTCTTCAGCAAGCACCTCAGCAGGTTGTGGTTTTGTACCTGGTAGAGTGACCCAAACCTTCATTCCGGAGGGGTATGGGTCATTTTTAGTCCTGCTTGGATTGGGTTGTTGTAGTTTCCCATTGACCTTAATCACTGGGCATGGTAATACTAAGAGAGGCCCTAAAGGATCTCCTGTATTCCATGCATACTCTTCCTTACCTCCATCAGGTAAGGAAGAGTAGACTGATTTCAAGATGAGTAGTAGACTGATTTCATCTTGATAGTCCAAGCCAATCACCCCAGGCAACACTGTAACTCCCTTCTTAGCCTGCTGACTTAAAGGTAGGAGGAGCTCAAAGTGTCCAGGTGGTAATATTAACTTCCAGTTTAATGGAATCATTGTTGTGTGTCCTGGTGGCAGCACTCTCCACTCTGGACCTAAGACTTTTAGGCCAGCAGAACGTAATGTTGCGGGAACAGGAAGCAAAAATTTTTCTAATGGGCCACTAGGGGTGATGGTGAGTGGTGCCACTTCCACTTCCACCCCTTGATTCCTGGACCCGTGAATCCTGGCTATGGGAGAAACTGTACCATATATTGGACACTGATTCAGAGCATACACAGCCTTCTGGAGAACTCTGCGCCAGCCCTGCAAAGTATTGTCACCTAGTTGATGTTGTAATTGTGACTTCAAAAGGCCATTCCACCGTTCTATCAATCCAGCTGCTTCAAAATGATAAGGAGAAGACCAGTGAATTCCAAGAGCATGAACATACTGCTGCACTTCTTTAGCTGTAAAGTATGTGCCTTGGTCAGAGGCAATGCTATGCAGAATACCATGATGGTGGATAAGGCATTCCATGCAGGATAGGCAAACGCATATCTGGAGTAAGTGTCTATTCTGGTGAGGACAAACCGCTGCCCTTTCCATGATGGAAGAGGTCCAATATAATCAACCTGCCACCAAGTAGCTGGCTGATCACCCCAAGGAATGGTGCCATATCAAGGGCTCAGTGTTGGTCTCTGCTGCTGGCAAATCAGGCACTCAGCAGTGGTCATACATAGCCAGGTCAGCCTTGATGAGTGGAAGTCCATGTTACTGAGCCCGTGTGTAACCTCCATCCCTGCCACCATGGCCACTTTGTTCATGGGCCCATTGGGTGATAACAGGGGTGGCTGGGGAAAGACGTTGAGTGGTGTCCACAGAATAAGTCACCCAATCCACTTGATTTTTAAAATCCTCCTCTGCTGAGGTCACCTTTGGTGAGCACTCATAAGAGATACAAATATAGTTTCTGACCACTCAAAAAGAGAGGTCCATCCACATACCTCTTCCCCAAATTTCTTCATCACCAATTTTCCAATCATGCTTGTTCCAAGTTCCTGACCATCCGGCCAAATCATCTGCTACAGCCCATGAATCAGTATATAATCGCATATCTGGCCATTTCTCATTTCATGCAAAGTCCACAACCAGGTGCACTGCTCGAAGTTCTGCCCACTGGGAAGATTTCCCTTCACCACTGTCCATCAGGGATGTTCTAGAAAGCAGCTGTAGTGCTGCAGCTGTCCACTTTTGGGTGGTGCTTGCGTATCATGCAGAACCATCTGTAAACCAGGCCCTTGTCTTCTCTTCCTTTTTCAACTGTTCACAGGGAGCTCCCCATGAGGCCACTGGTGCAGGCTGGGGGAAAGAGAGCTAGATGGCAGGAGCAGGGACCATGGGCATTTGAGCCACTTGCTCACATAACTTACTTGTGCCCTCAGGACTTGCTCAAGCCTGATCACATATATACCACTTCGATTTGATGATGGAATGCCGCTGTGCATGCCCCACTTTATGGCTAGATGGGTCAGAAAGCACGAGTTTATGACAGGCAGTTTAGGTTACATGGTGACTTGATGGCCCATAGTCAAACATTCAGTTTCTACCAAAGCCCAGTAACCAGCCAAGAACTGTCTCTCAAAAGGAGAGTAGTTATCTGCAGAAGATAGGTCCTTGCTCCAAAATCCTAGAGGCCTCTGCTGTGATTCACCTATGGGGGCCTGCTAAAGGCTCCAAATAGCATCCCTATCTGCCACTGACATCTCAAGCACCATTGAATCTGCTAGGTAATATGGCCCAAGTGGCACAGCAGCTTTCACAACAGCCTAGACCTGTTGCAGAGCCTTCTCCTGTTCTGGACCCTACTCAAAACTGGCAGCCTTTTAGGTCACTCGATAAATGGGCTGGAGTAACACACCAGAATGAGGAATGTATTGCCTCCAAAATCCAAATAGACCCACTAGGCGTTGTCCCTCTTTCTTGGTTGTAGGAGGGGGCAAATGCAGCAACTTATCCTTCACCTTAGAAGGAATATCTTGAGAGGCCCCACACCACTGGACCACTAGAAATTTTACTGAGGTAGAAGGTCCCTGAATTTTAGTTAATTTCCCATCCCCTGGCATGCAAATGTCTCATCAATAAGTCCAGTGTGTTGGCTACTTCTTGCTCACTAGATCCGGTCACATACTGTCATCAATGTAATGAACTAATGAACTGGTGTGATATCCTGCGGAAGGGAAAAGTGATCAAGATCTCTGCAAACAAGATTATGACACAAACCCGGAGAGCTGATATACCTCTGAGGTACGACAGTGAAGGTATATTGCTGGTCTTGCCAGCTGAAGGCAAATTGCTTCTGGTGGGTCTTACAAACAGGAATGGGGAAAAAGGCACTTGCCAAATCAATGGCTGCATACCAGGTACCAGGAGATGTATTAATTTGTCCAAACAATGAAACCACATCTGACACAGCAGCTGCAATTGGAGTCACCACTTAGTTAAGCTTACGATAATCCACTGTCATTCTCCAAGATCCATCTCTCTTCTGCACGGGCCAAATAGGAGAGTTCGTCTTTCAAGTCCTTGATGGTGGCACTAATCTCTGCACTCCCTTCAGGGATGCGATATTGGTTTTTGTTGTTGTTTTTTGTTTGTTTTTACAATATTGTTTTTGATTTACTATTTATCTAGGTAGAGGCAGCTCTAATGGCTTCCATTTGGCCTTTCCCACCATAATAGCCTTCATCCTACCAGTCAGGGAGCCAATGTGGGGATTCTGCCAGCTGCTAAGTATGTCTATGCCAATTATGCATTCTGACACTGGGGAAATGACCACAGGATGAGTCCAGGGACCCACTGGACTCACTATAGTGGGACCTGAGCTAAAACTCCATTAAGTACCTGACCTCCATAAGCCCCTACTTTAACTGGAGGACCACAATGATGTTTTGGGTCCCCTGGAATAAATGTCAGCTCAGAGCCAGTATCCAGTAAGTCCCTGAAAAGTCTGATCATTCCCCTTTCCCCAGTGCAGTTACTCTGGTAAAAGGCCAGAGGTCTCCTTGGGGAAGGATGGGAGAAAGATTAACAGCATAAATTGTCAGTAGTGTAGTGGGGTCCTTCCTCAGGGCACCCAGGCTCCCCATCATTCATTCCCTCCAGCTTTTCTTTCCTTTCTTCATTTAATTAAGAAATGAAGATTATGGGCAGAATAGAGTTGACAGCAAACTCCTTAGTCACACCCCCAAAAAAAGTTAGAGGAGTCTTTAGAAAACTAATAAATTTAAGTGAACCCTGTTCAGGAAACCAAAGATGGAATAAATGGAAATTGGGGACAGGAAGAAATTTGTTTATATGTAGGTATATATTTCAGAAACTGAAAACTAGAAGCAAAGACAGAAGAATTTGATAGCCAAAGAACAGGGATTGAGGAATTTATAGAGGTAAGAACAAGCCCTTAAAAATTTTAATACATTAATCTATAAATTAAACTTAAATGTTTAAGTTGAAAACCAAGCCATTTCTTAAAATTAGACTGCTTGTGTTTTCAGAAAAATGACATGAAGAATTCTGATTATACACTTGCTTGGAATTAATTGCTACATTGAAGCAGGTGACTCTCTCTAAAGATGATGAATTATTAATTCAACTCCTGAGATATTAAAACTAGATGTAACACATTAAAACCAAATTTCCATGGTGACTCATACCTGAAATCTCTTGCTTTGGGAAGCTGAAGTGGGAATTGCCGGCTTGAGGCCAGGAATTTGAAACGAGAGTGGGCAATAGCAAGACACTGATTCTACAAAAAAAAAATTTTAAAAATAAGCTGGGTATAAAAAAAAAATTAGCTGGGTATATTGGTGCACACCTGTAGTCCTAGCTACTTGAGAGGCTGAGGTAGGAGGATTGCTTGAGCCCAGGAGTTTGAGGTTACAATGAGTTATGATGCTGCCAATATACTCCAGCCTGGGTGACAGAGCAAGAACTTGTTTCAAAAAAAATAAAATGTTAAAACCAAATTCCATATACTTTTTTTTTTTTTTTTTTGTGACGGAGTCTCACTCTGTCGCCCAGGGTGTGATGTCAGCTCACTGCGACCTCTGCCTCCCAGGTTCAAGCAATTCTCATGCCTCAGTCTCCCGAGTAACTGGGATTACAGGCTCATGCCACCATGCCTGGCTAATTTTTCTATTTTCAGTAGAGACGGGGTTTCACCATGTTGGCCAGGTTGGTCTCAAACTCCTGACCTCAGGTGATCCACCTGCCTCTGCTTCCTAAAGTGCTAGGATTACAGGCGTGAGCCACCACGCCTGGCCAAATTGCATATACTTTCAATATGATACAGTTTACTCCTTCAATACGATGGGATTTGAATCTCATATAGTAAAAATAAATATTTTCTAATTATTGTAGAATTTCTTAAATAAGTGCAAAGACTCAAAGCATAAAGGAAAAGACTGATGAGTTTTACTTTATTAAATGAAAATTAAAAGATCATTAAAAAGTGAAAAATATAAACCAGAGATTGGGAGGATTTGCAATATATATAATTGAAACAGAATAAATATCTCTCATTAAATAACTCACAAATCTATGAGAGACAGACCAAAAAAATTGGAAAATGCCATAAATAGGCAAGTCACAGGAGAAAACAAGCTAAGACCAATAAATAAATAATGAAGTGCTCAATCTCACTAGCAATCCTAACTATGTGGTATGCAGTGGAGTACTCCACAATGAAGTTACTCTTCAGCCATAAAAAAGAATGAGATCCTATCATTGGCAACAATATAAATGGAACAGGAAGTCATTATGTCAAGTGAAATAAGCCAGGCACAGAAAGACAAACTTCAAACATTCTCACTTAATTGTGGAAGGTAAAAATTAAAACAATTGAACTCATGGAGACAGAGAATAGAAAGACGGTTACCAGAGGCTGGGAAGGATAGTGGGGGGCAGGGGGTTGAGGAGAAGTGGGGATGGTTAATGGGTACAAAATAATAAAGAAATGCATGGCTGGGCATAGTGGCTGTAATCCCAGCACTTTGGGAGGCCAAGGTGGAAGATTGCTTAAGCCCAGGAGTTCAAGACCAGCCTGGGCAACATATGGGGACCCTGTCTCTACAAAACATAATTTAAAATAAAATTTTTAAAAAAGAATACATAAGACCTAGTATTTGCTAGTTCAAGACCTAGTATTTGCTAGGGTGATTACAGTCAAATATAATTTAATGGTAGATTTTTAAATAACCAAAAAAGTATAATTAGATTGTTTGTAACACAAGAGAGAAATGCTGGAAGTGATGGATATCACATTTACCCTGATGTGATTATTACACATTGTATGCCTGTATCAAAATATCTCATGTGCCCTATAAATATATACACCTACTATGTGCCCATAAAAATAAAAAATAAAAAATAAATTAAAAAATAAAAACAGAATGAAAGATATAGAAAATAAACGTGTATTTTTTCAGTTTTGAGAAGGCAAGCTAATTAGAAAAAAAAACTTAATTCCTCATCTTATGTCATTTGCCAAAAATCCTTCTAAATATACATAAAATGAGCAAACAGATGAAAATTAATTATTGATATGAGGGTTAGAACCTGGGATCCAATCTCAAAATTAGTCATATTCCTGAAAAATGGATTCAGAACAACTGTACAAAAACAGACAAATACATACCAGAAAAAAACCTTCCTGAATTTAAGAATGACTTAAATTAGAAGATTAAAAGTTTCATTCTTTTCCTGGTAAAATCAATGTAAAGAAACCAAAACCTAGACATATCCTGGTAAAATGTTTAAATGTTTAAAAGAAAAAAAAAGCTAAAAAATTGTTTGTTGAAAAAAAAAGAGAGAGACATGAGACCATCATTCAAGAGTAAAAAGTAGACTTTTCATAAAACAAAAAGTCATACGCTTTTTACCACAGAACAGAAAGACATTCTATGATGTGTAAAGGCTTAACATCCTTCCTTCCTTCATTCATTCATTTATTATTTTATGCAGGCAATATTTATTGAATACTGACTATAAGATATGTATTTGAAAGTAATTATTGAAGGCATATATCAGCAGTCTAAGTGATATAAAAAATAACAACTCAAAAATGGGAGAAATTGACATATAAAAGGACCAGCAATAAGAAAAAAAATCAATTTAACAGAGTTAAGATTAAATCACAGTTACAAAAATAATTACAAAAGGCTGGGTGCAGTGGCTCACGCCTGTAATCCCAGCACTTTGGAAGGCTGAGGTGGGTGAATCACTTGAGGCCAGGAATTCGAGACCAGCCTGGCCAACATGGTGAAACTCCATCTCTACTAAAATTGTAAAATTAGCTTGGCATGGTGGCAGACGTCTGTAATCCTAGCTACCTCAGGAGGCTGAGGCAGGAGAATCACTTGAACTTGGGAGGTGGAGGTTACAATGAGCCAAGATCATGCCACTGGCACTCCAGCCTGGGAGACAGAGTGAGACTTTGTCTCAAAAAAAAAAAAAAAACACAAACACACACACACACACACACACACAAAAACAATAATTACAAAAGTATATGCAAAATAAAATTGGAAGGTTAAAAATTAAAGCTTGGGCAATGATTTCTTAGGGAAATACTGCCACCCAAACCAGGGGTGACAATATTAATTTCAAATAAAGTAGAGTCAAAATAAAAACTACTACAAAGGACCAGGAGAATCATAGTCCTTTACAATGATCAACAATCCCGAACTGTTATGCACTAAATAACACAGCATCAAAATACTTAAAATAGAAACTCTTACAAACTCCAAGGAGAAATTGATAGACATGCAACCATAGTAAGCTTCTTGATAAATCAGGTACACTTTTAAAATAATGTGATAAATTTCAGGATTAAATAACTGCATTACAAATGAAGCCATTAAAAAATCTAGGGTAGCCTGGTTCAGTAGTGTGTCACTGTAGTCCTAACTTCTTGGGAGGCCAAGGCAGGAGGATCGCTTGTGGCCAGGAGTTTGAGGCTGTAGTGTGCTATGATCATGCCTGTGAATAGCCACTGCACTCCCAGCCTAAGCAACATAATGAGGCCCTGTCTGTAAAAACATGGGGGTGGGGGGACAGAAGAAAATATAGGTGAAGAATTAACTATCTGGGAATAGGTAGACCTAAAACAATGGAATAGACAACAAAGGGAAAGAATGACAGATCCACCTATATTGTTTGAATATTAGTAAATAAAAAGAATAAACAAAATTAAAAGGTTAACGGCATACTGGAAAAAACTACAACAAATAGGATAGACAAAAACTAAATATATAAAGTTTCCTTATAAAAAAATATCAAAAGCTCTAGCTCCATGCTAGTGCTGTCCAGTTGAACTTTCCACTATGATGGAAACGTTCTGAATCTGCACTGTCCAATATGGTAGCCACTACTCACAAGAGCACTTGAAATGTAGCTAGTGCCAATGTTGAAATGATAATATTTGGGGTGTATGTAGTTAAATAAATTTTATTAAGATTTTTTATTACTAAAATAATTTTATCATTAAAATTTATTTCACCTGTTTCTTTTTACTTGTTTAATGAGGCCACAAGAAAATTTATTATAAAATTACATACACAGTTTGCATTAGGTGTCTATTCAGCACTGTTCTAGAATAACGATCAAGGAAACAAAAAATTCACAAAAGAAGAAATACAAACAGCCAGTAATCTATGAAAAAAAGTTCCATCTCACTTATAATCCAATAAATATAAATTAAAACAAGATTTTTATAATCAAATAGACAAAATTTTAAAAAATACTCATTGTTGGCAAGGGTTCCATTAAATGGGCACTCTCATACACTGCTGGTGGTGGTATAAATTGCTTCAACCTTTCTGGAAAGGCATTTGGCAATATTAATCAAGAGCCTTAGTGGCCAGGCAAGGCGGCTCATGCCTGTAATTCCAGCACTCTGGGAGGCCAAGGTGAGTGGATTGCTTGAGCCCAGAAGTTTTAGACCAGTCTGGGCAACATGGCAAAACCCCGTCTCTACAAAAAACACAAAAAATTAACCAGGCATGGTGGGGCACACCTGTAGTCCCAGCTACTTAGGAGGTTAAGGTGGGAGGATCACTTGAGCCAGGGAGGTTGAGGTTGCAGTGAGCCATGATTATACCACTGCATTCCAGCCTGGGCTATAGAGACCTTGTCTCAAACAAAACAAAACAAAACAAAACACTTATACTCTTTGACCTAGTGTCTCTATTTCTAGGAATTTACATAAAGACATTGATCACGGTGCTATTTCTAAGAGTGAAAGACTGGGAACAACCTCAATAGCCAATAATAGAAAAATTGTTAAAATAAATGATGGTACTCCTACTTTGTTAATAATCCAGTAGCCTTAAAAATGTTTTTTCTAATATTACCTAGTTATGAGAAAAATACAACAAAGAGTAAAAGAAGCAGAGCTCATTATATAGTATAATCATAAAGAACATTATAAGCATATACATAAAATGCATACGTAAACACTTTACTTCATAAAATTAGGATCATAATTTCATATTTTCTAGCACATGTCATACAGTTAGGATCAAGGTTAAGTAATAAAAAAAGGTTACAAGTGGTTATCTCTGGGTGGTGGGGTTTTTAATTTTCATCTTTATACTTTGCTGTTTGTTTTTTTTCCAAAGTATTTATGAGTATATTTTTACTATAAAAATAAAAAGGCTGGGTGCGATGGCTCACGTCTGTAATCCCAGCACTTTGGGACGCCGAGGTAGGTAGATCACAAGGTCAGGAGTTCAAGACCAGCCTGGCCAAGATGGTGAAACCCCATCTCTACTAAAAAAAATACAAAAAAATTAGCCAGGCGTGGTGGCGGGTGCCTGTAATCCCAGGTACTCGGGAGGCTGAGGCAGAGAATTGATTGAACCCATGAGGCGGAGCATTGCAGTGAGCTAAGATCACGCCACTGCACTCCAGCCTGGGCGACAAGAGTGAGACTCCGTCTCCAAAAAATAAAAATAAAATAAAAATAGTGGCCAAGTGCAGTGGCTGACGCCTGTAATTCCAGCACTTTGGGAGGCTGAGGCGGGCGGACTACCTGAGGTCAGGAGTTCAAGACCAGCCTGGCAAACATGGTGAAACCCCATTTCTACTAAAAATACAAAAATTAGCTGGGCATGGTGGCACATGCTTGTAATCCCAGCTACTCGGGTGGCTAAGGCAGGAGAATCGCTTGAACCCGGGAGATGGAGGTTGCAGTGAGCCAAGATTGCCCCCACTGCACTCCAGCCTAAGCGACAAAGTGGGACTCCCTTTCAAAAAAAAAAGAAAAAAATTAGTTCCTCACGGGCTGTTAGAAGCAGTCACCCTTAGTGATAAGAAACTACAATATGGACAATCACAACATGGCAGTTGACCTCATCAAAGTAAGCAAAGGAGAAAGAGCAACAGAATGACAGCAAGATAGGAGTCACAGTCTTTTGTAACCTAGTCTCAGAAGTGATGTCCCTTTGTTCTATTGATTCATTACAAACAAGTCATAAGTTCCCCGGTCCACACCTAATGGGAAGGGGATAACACAAAGCCAGGGATACCAGGAGGTGAAAATTATTGAACAGGGTTTTAGAAGTCTGTCTACTGTAAATATAAATGAACGAAATGTTCCAATAAAAAGGCAGGACAGTGGCTCACGCCTGTAATTCCAGCACTTTTTGAGGGTGAGGTGGGAGGCTCACTTAAGCCCAGGAGTTCAAGGCTGCAATGAGCTATGATTGTGCCATTGCACTGCAGCCTGGGCAACTGAGCAAGACCCTATTTCAAACAAACAAATAAATAAATAAATAAAATATACACATATATATTCAAAAGTCTATTTAAGTTAGAATAAAAACAATATAGTGTGGAGTTTGTAACATCTGTCAAAATAAAAGATCTGACAATAACAAAAATGCCAAGAAGGAAGAAATTGAATTTCAGCATTATAAATTTCTTATACTGTATGTATAATTGGTATGAATTGTTTTTCTAGTATTTTCTGTTGGATTTTGCATCTACGTTCATAAGACTAGGCTACAATTTCCTTACATTATCATTTGCTACCCTAGCCTAGAAATAATTTACTTTTAAAATATCTTTAATAATTTCTGAAACATTTTTATATATTATATATCTCTCTAATGTTATGTAAATATATATCAATATACACATATAGATATATTCCCAACCTTCAAGGAATACATCTAGGGATTGAGGGCATATCTCTTTATATATGTTTTTTGTACGTGATTGCTTTATTTATTACATTTACATAACACTTATGTAACTTACCATAGTCTACTGGTATTGACATTTTATCAGTTTGAATGAAGTAAAATCCTACCTTCCTTTAAACCTCTTTACCTTTCCCCAGTTACAATCGTCTTAAATATTTCCTCTACATCACTGAGAATCAAATCATATATTTTGTTTCAATCATGGACACATAACTTAGAAAATTCAAGAAGAAAACTATTGTATTTGGTCATATATCTTCCTTCTCTTTCTTTTTTCTTTCTTTTCTTTTTTTCTTTCTTTTTCTTTTTTCTTTTTTTTTTTTTAGAGACAGGGTCTGATTCTGTCTCTTTTTTGAGACAGGGTCTCACTCCACCCAGGGTGGAGTGCAGTGGCATTGATCATGGCTCACAATAACCTCAAATTCCTGGGTCAGGCAATCTTGCTGCCTTAGGCTCCTTAGTAACTAGGACTACAGGCACACGACACCACGCCTGGCTAATTTATTTTTTGTAGAGACAGAGTCTCGCCATGTTGCCCAGACTGGTCTTGAGAACAGGCTTCAACCTCCCTAAGTGTTGGGATTACGGGTGTGAGTCAACATACCCGGTCTTGTATTTGGTCACATTTTTGCTCTTTCCTGTTGTCCTTCTTTCCTAATATTCCAAGATTCCTTCTTTGATGATTTCCTTTATGTTTCAGGACTTTCTTTTTTTAAATAGAGAATGAGGCCTCCCTTTATTGCCCAGGGTTATCTTGAACTCCAGGCTTCAAGCTGTCCACCTGGCCTCAGCTTGGCAGGCCTCAGTCTCCCAAAGTGTTGGGATTACAGTCGTGAGCCACTGCACCCAGCCAGGAACTTTCTTTAGCCTTCTTTTAGGGTAGGTCTGCTAGCAACAAACTCTCTTAGTTTTCCTTCATCTAGTATGTATTTATTTCCCCCTCATTCCTAAGGGGTAATTTTACCAGATATATGATATCTGACAGGGCTGACAGTTCGTTGAGCAATTGAAAAACATTAAGCCACTTCCTTCTGGCCTCCTCGGTGCTTGATGAAAATCTACTGTCCTCCCAATTGTTTTTCCCCATAGGTAAGGTATCCTTTCTCTCTCAATGCTTTTAAGACTTTTTGCCTTCTCTTTTCAGTTTACTTACAATGTGTCTTGGTGTAGACTTCTTTAGGTTTATCCTTTCCTGAGCTGGGGTTCTCTCAGCTTCTTGAATCTGTAGGTTTATGCTTTTTACCAAATTTGGGAAATATTCAGCCACTATTTTAAAACCCACCCACTTTCTCCTCTTTCTGGGACTTTGATGACAAAAATATTAGATCTTTTTTTTTTTTTTAATTTTTTTTTTTTTATTATACTCTAAGTTTTAGGGTACATGTGCACATTGTGCAGGTTAGTTACATATGTATACATGTGCCATGCTGGTGCGCTGCACCCACTAACGTGTCATCTAGCATTAGGTATATCTCCCAATGCTATCCCTCCCCCCTCCCCCGACCCCACCACAGTCCCCAGAGTGTGATATTCCCCTTCCTGTGTCCATGTGATCTCATTGTTCAATTCCCACCTATGAGTGAGAATATGCGGTGTTTGGTTTTTTGTTCTTGCGATAGTTTACTGAGA
Organism: Homo sapiens; assembly: GCF_000001405.40. Taxonomy (NCBI): domain Eukaryota; kingdom Metazoa; phylum Chordata; class Mammalia; order Primates; family Hominidae; genus Homo; species Homo sapiens. The sequence continues at coordinate 65,499,953 of NC_000005.10, forward strand.
ATGGTGGTTTCCAGTTTCATCCATGTCCCTACAAAGGACATGAACTCATCATTTTTTATGGCTGCATAGTATTCCATGGTGTATATGTGCCACATTTTCTTAATCCAGTCTATCATTGTTGGACATTTGGGTTGGTTCCAAGTCTTTGCTATTGTGAATAGTGCCGCAATAAACATACATGTGCATGTGTCTTTATAGCAGCATGATTTATAGTCCTTTGGGTATATACCCAGTAATGGGATGGCTGGGTCAAATGGTATTTCTAGTTCTAGATCCCTGAGGAATCGCCACACTGACTTCCACAATGGTTGAACTAGTTTACAGTCCCACCAACAGTGTAAAAGTGTTCCTATTTCTCCACATCCTCTCCAGCCCCTGTTGTTTCCTGACTTTTTAATGATTGCCATTCTAACTGGTGTGAGATGATATCTCATAGTGGTTTTGATTTGCATTTCTCTGATGGCCAGTGATGATGAGCATTTCTTCATGTGTTTTTTGGCTGCATAAATGTCTTCTTTTGAGAAGTGTCTGTTCATGTCCTTCGCCCACTTTTTGATGGGGTTGTTTGTTTTTTTCTTGTAAATTTGTTTGAGTTCATTGTAGATTCTGGATATAGTGTCACAGGTCTTTGAGGCTCTGTTCATTTGATTTCATCATATTTTGTCTCTGTTAATCAGATTAAGGAATATCTATTGTTCTTTGTTTTTTCGGTTTTTTGTTTGTTTGTTTGAGATGGAATCCCACTCTGTCTCCAGGCTAGAGAGCAGTGGCGCAATCTTGGCTCGCTGCAACTTCTGCCTCCTGGGTTCAAGCAATTCTCCTGCCTCAGCCTCCCCAGTAGCTGGGACTACAGGTACACACCACCATGCCCAGCTAATTTTTGTATTTTTTGTATTTTCAGTAGAGACGGGGTTACACCATGTTGGCCAGGATGTTCTCGATCTCTTGACCTCATGATCCACCCACCTCAGCCTCCCAAAGTGCTGGGATTACAGGCGTGAACCATGGTGCCTGGCCATATCTATTGTTCTAGCTGCAACTTTGCTGATTCTTTCCTCTTGTCCTCTTCATGTTGCTATTGAGCCCATCACTGAATCTTGAATCTGGTTATTGTGCTTCTCATTTTAAACTTTTCAATATGATTCTTCTTTATATCTTCTATTTCTTTGCTGAGACTTTCTATTTTCATTTGTTTCAGGCATGTTTGCAATTGCTAAGTTTGTTTTTTTTTTTTTTTTTTTTTTTGAGACAGAGTCTCGCTCTGTCATCCAAGCTGGAGTGCAATGATGCAATCTCGCTCACTGCCACATCCACCTCCCGTGTTCCAGTGATTCTCCTACCTCTGCCTCCCTAGTAGCTGGGATTACAGGCACCCACCACCACGCCCAGCTAGTTTTTGTATTTTTAATAGAGATGGGGTTTCACCATGTTGGCCAGGCTGGTCCCGAACTCCTGACCTCATATGATCCACCTACCTTGGCCTCCCAAGATGCTGGGATTATAGGCAGGAGCCACTGCTCCTGGCCCTCTGTTTTATCTTGATGTTGCTGTATGTTGTCTTTTTTCATTAAAGTTCAGATTTTCCTAGTTCTTCGGGCATGTATTGTACCCTGGACATTTTGGTTATTATAACACTCTAGATCTTACTCAAATCTTGTTTTAGCAGGCCACCTTTGACACAATTCTGGTGGAGGGGAAATGGGGCACAGTCTCATCACTACCAGGTAGTGGTGAAAGTCCACGTTCTCTGCTCAGGCTTTTTGACACCCAGGGTAGGGAAACAGAAGTGCTTTGTGACATCTGGGCAGCTGTGGAAATTCAGCCTCTTCAAAGGCCTCCATTGACATCAGTCTGGCTAGGAAAGGAAGGAGCACCTTGTTACTGATTGCCAGGTGGCCTCCACTGATTCTATAGTCAAGAGTAGGAAGCCTCCTTACCTCTGGATGGTGGTGAAAGTTCTGACATGGCTTCCTCTAATGAACAGGGTTGCCTCTTTACTACTGGGTGGGTATGTAAGTTCAGAACCACCACATGGCCTTCTTACTGCTGGCAGGGAGGAAAGTCCTGACTCCCAACTCAGTCTTCTCTGATCACCCCAGGGGCAGGACACCATGTTATAGCTCAACAAGGGTGGAAGCTGAGGTCCACTACTTTTGGCCTTTTTGGACAGGGGTGGTGGTAGGGTGGTATTTTTTCCATGGTGTTTAGCTGCAGTAGGGTGGTTATAGTTGAAAAGTTTTCTGTCTTACTGTGTTGCCTCTTTCCTCATCCTTTTGATAGAGCAAAGTTTTGGGAAACTTTTATCTTCCATTGGTGTTTTCAAGGTTATGATCTTCTCTAGCATCCAGTCTGGTACGTATAAGGCAAAAAGAAAACTGCTGTGTCCCTCTTTGTGTCCCAAAGTCCCTAGGCAGTCTGCTGCCTTCGCTCCACTTTTCAGATATTTCCTAACATGTATATTACATATAATGTGCAAAGTTTTAAGCTACAATTAACAGGAGGAATAGAGAGGAGTGTGTCTACTCCATCTTAGTCTGAAACTAGAAGTCCTCTCTTTCCTTTAAAACATTTTCAAAATATTTATTCTCTAATATGAAGAGATATTTAAAACATTTTCAGGATATTTATTCTCTAACATGAAGAGTCTTTTTTTGTTTGTTTGGTTTGTTTTTTTAAGAAATAGGGTCTCACTCTGTCACCCAGGCTAGAGGCTAGAGTGCAGTGGTGAGATCACTGCAGCCTCAAACTATTGGGCTCTAACAATCCTCCCACATCACTGGGATTACAGGCGTCACCTACTGTGCCTGGGTTCTTAAGTCTTCTAACCAATATAAATTTTTAAATTTTATTTATTTATTTATTTATTATTTTTTGAGACAGTCTTGCTCTGTCACCCAGGCTGGAGTGCAGTGGTGCAAGCTCGGCTCACGGCAACCTCCACCTCCCAGGTTCAAGTGATTCTCCTGATTCAGCCTCCCGAGTAGCTGGAACTACAGGCACCATGCCTGGCTAATTTTTGTATTTTTAGTAGAGACAGGGTTTCACCACATTGGCCAGGTTGGTCTCAAACTCCTGACCTCAATTGATCCATCTGTCTCAGCCTCCCAAAGTGCTGGGATTACAGGTGTGAGCCACCGTGCCTGCCCACCAATGTAATATTTTTTTTTTTTTTTTTTGAGACAGAGTCTCACTCTGTCTCCTAGGCTGGATGCAGTGTCTCGATCTCAGCTCACTGCAAAATCTGCCTCCTGGGTTTAAGCGATTCTGCCTCAGCCTCCCGAGTAGCTGGGATTACAGGCACACACCACCATGCCCAGCTAATTTTTGTATTTTTAGTAGAGACGGGGTTTTGCCATGTTGGCCAGGCAAGTCTCGAAATCCTGACCTCAAGTGATCCGCCTGCCTCGGCCTCCCAGAGTGCTGTTCTGCAGGCGTGAGCCATTATGTCCGGCCTATAATTTTAAATTAGGATGAATGTCTTCTAATTGTTGATTTTAGGAGAGCTCTTTATGTATTTGAGATGTGAATTCTTTGTTGGATAGTTACCATACTTTCTCCCACTCTGTGGGTTGCCTTCTAACTCTGTCTAAAGATGTCTTCTTTTTCTACAGACAGAAATTTATAATTTAAATTGGCACATTTAAAATTTTTAAAAATATTTAGAACTTTTTCTATTATCTTTAAGATACTTTTTGTCTACTTGCTAAACTTTTTTTTTTTTTTGAGACAGAGTCTCACTCTGTCGCCCAGGCTGGAGTGCAGTGGCTTGATCTCAGCTCACTGTAACCTCTGCCTCCTGGGTTCAAGCAATTCTCTGCCTCAGCCTCCAGAGTAGCTGGGACTACAAGCACGTGCCACCACGCCTGGCTAATTTTTGTATTTTTTAGTAGAGATGGGGTTTCACCATATTGGTCAGACTGGTCTAGAACTCCTGACCTCGTGATCCGCCCACCTTGGCCTCCCAAAGTGCTGGGATTACAGGCGTGAGTCACCGTGCCCGGCCTGCTAAAAAAATTTTTTTTTTTAACAGAAAAGCCAAAAACATTGGCTTCTTTGTAATATGCAACTGTCCTGAAGCAAACACAACCCTTTGCTTGCGATCATTATACTAAGTATGAATATCATGTTCCACAGTCAAAGAACAACCAGAAAACACTTTGACCCAAATATAAGCTAAAAATAAGGGAAATCTTGTCTTATATATTTTTTTAAAAAAAACCTGGCCAGGCGCAGTGGCTCATGCCTGTAATCTCAGCACTTTGGGAGGCCAAGGTGGGGTAGATTACCTGAGGTGAGGAGTTCGAGACCAGCCTGGCTAACATGGTGAAACCCCATCTCTACTAAAAATACAAAATTAGCCGGACTTGGTGGCACATGCCTGTAATCCCAGATACTCCGGAGGCCTAGGTGGGAGAATCGCTTGAAACTGGGAGATGGGAGGTTGCAGTGGGCCAAGATCGTGCCATTGCCCTCCAGCCTGGGAGACAAGAGCAAAATTCCGTATCAAAAAAAAAAAAAAAAAAAACCCACGAGTATTTCTCTCGTAAGTTAACTTTCTACCAGATGTTTATTACTTACTTTTGCAATACTAATGTCTGAAGATATGCACTTTTGTGCATATGATATCAATGTGAAAAAATTGCTGTTTTTTTTCCCACTATGAATAGGCTAATACAAACTTTGTAACCTTGCAGGTAATTTTCCTTTAAACATATATTGTATTTTTTAATTGACTAGAGAGTTGCTCTGAAGTACGATATCCCTGTGACATCTCTTCAAGAAACACTTTTTCTTTCTAAATGTCTTTACATTCTTCTTTCCATAACTGATTTTAAATAAATTTATGTGCTCACGGCTGATTCCTTAACCCTATCCTCCCCTGGATTAACTTTTCCTCTGGTTGAAGTTATATCTGTTAACTCTTATTTTAGGGAATGTGTATGGGTGGGAAAGATTTTTAGTTTTTTATATGTCAGAAAGTTTATTTATTTATTTATTTAAAGATGGTCACTCACTGTCACCCAGGCTTCATAGAATATAGTGAATAGTTAGCTGCAACCTTGAACTCCAGGTATAACCAATCCTCTGCCTTAGCCTCTCAATTAGCTGGGACTACAGGTATGTCCCACCATATTCAGCTAATTTTTTTTTTAATTTTTATTTTTGTAGAGACAGGGTCTCACTTTGCTGCCCAGGCTACAACATTTATTTTGTCCTTATTCTTGAGTAATACTTTAGCTGGTTATGTGATTCAAGATTGATTATCCTTTTTACCCCCAGCACCAATGTCTATTGTTTCTGATGAGATATATAATTACTGTCCTTAAGTTACTATCCTTTCTCTTGGTATCTTTGAATACTTTCTCTTTAATGTGTTGTAGTTTCACTAAACTATGTATGCTGAGCATAGTGGCTTATGCCTGTAATCCTAGGATTTTGGGAGGCCAAGGCAAGAGGATCACTTGAGGCCAGGAGTCTGAGAGCAGCCTGGACAACATGGTAATACCTTGTTTCTACAAAAATAAAAATAAAAAATACATTAGCTGGGCATGGTGGTGCATACCTGTAGTCCAAGCTACTTGGGAGGCTGAGGTGGAAGGATCACTTGAGCTCAAGAGGTTGAGGCTACAGTGATCCATGACTCTGCCACTGCACTCCAGCCTGGGCGACAGAGTGAGACCTCATCTCAAAAACAAAACAAAGCAAAAACCTATGTCGTGTTGTGGATTTAGCATATTTAGCTTTTTTATCCTGCACAGCATTCAGTGTACATGCTTTTCCAAAGACTTCTGTTTTTCTCCATTCTGGAGATTTTTCAGCTATAACCTATTCAGATATTACTTATTTATATTCCTTCATTCTTTTTATCACAAACTTCTATGTGACATATGGTAGAGTCCTTTGATCTCTCCTCTACATTTCTTATCCATGCTTCATAATTTTTACCTCTTAGTCTTTCTGGGTTAATTTTTCAACTGTCTTTCAGTTCATTCTCACTGACTCTAGCCAGTTAAGAGTTATCCTACTTGCAGAAATTGTGTTGAAATTATTATATTTAATCCAATATGGAATCTGTAATTAATTCAATTTCATAACCTAATTTTGGTTCATTTGTTCCTATTTTTGTTTTAAAGTTCCTTGCTCTTTTTAACCAGGCATGGTGGCCCACACCTGTAATTCCAGTGCTTTGGGAGGCCCAGGCGGGAGAATGTCTTGAGACCAAGAGCTCAAGACCAGCCTGGGCAACATAGCAAGATCCCATTTCTTAAAAAAAAAAAAAAATTAGCATGGTGGCAGGCACCTGTAGTCCTAGCTACTTGTGGCACAGGAAGATGGCTTAAGCCTAGGAGTTCAAAGCCACTGAACTCCAGCCTTTGCAACAGTGAGAACTTATCTCAAAAAAAAAAAAAAAATGGCAGGGTGAGGTGGCTCACTCCTGCAATCCCAGCACTTTGGGAGGCTGAGGCTGGTGGATTGCTTGAGCCCAGGAGTTCAGGGCCAGCCTGGACAACATGGTGAAACCCGGTCTCTACTAAAAACACAAAAATTGGTAGGGCATGGTGGCTCACACCTGTAATCCTAGCACTTTGGGAGGCCAAGGCAGGCAGATCACTTGAGGTTAGAAGTTCAAGGCCAGCCTGGCCAACATGGCGAAACCCTGTCTCTACTAAAAATACAAAAAATTAGCCAGGCATGTTGATGAGTGTCTGTAATCCCAGCTGCTCAGGAGGCTAAGGCAGGAGAATCTCTTGAATCCGATAAGAGGAGATTGCAGTGAGCTGAGATCACGCCACTGCACTCCAGCCTGGGCAGCAGAGCGACACTTGGTCTCAAAAAAAAAAAAAGTCTTTTAAAATAAATTTGTTTTTTCAAACATCTTCAAAATACCCATTCTAAAGCCTCTGTCACACTATTCTATAAAACTAATTTTATCAAGACTAAATAAATGTTCCACTTCATGATTTTGTTAGGTGTTGCTACTAGCTAGGATGCTTTCAGTTTCAAGCAACATAAAACCTTGTCTCAATCGACTTAAACCAGAAGGAAAATTTATTATCTTACGTATCATGTTCCCAAGTAGGAAATCTCTAGAATAAATTAATTCACTTGCTCAATAACATTATCAGAATTTGCTCTTTTTCTTTTGTGTTTCTGCCATACTAAACATGCCAGATTTGGCCATGGCAAGCTCTCCTTATGGTTACAAAATGACTAAGCAGTTCCAGATGTCCCATGCAGACCAAGTAATATCCACCAGAACAAGAGAAGCCACTTCCTACTGGCATTTTTTTAATCAGTGAAAAAAAAATTTCTCCAAAGTTCCTCAGAAGATACATAATAAGTAAATATTGGATCAAATATATTCTTTAATAAATCACTAAAAAGGATTCAGATAAGCACGTTTGGTTTAGCTAAATGCACAGCTATATAGAGAAGAGTGGATTACCCAAACAAAAATCAATTCTGTTAGAAAGCGAGAAGGGAGAGCTAAACAACAAAATCTGTTTGCCTTGGCTATCTTTGCATTAGATTCCTTCATTTTGATTTGCACGGTCATATTACTAGAAAAGTGTTATGTTTAAGGCTTGTCACTTTTATTCTCTTACTCCCACTCTGTTTTCACCCCTCCCCACCTAAAGGTTTTAAATTGCTTCAGTCTGCCCCATCTACAAGCTCCGAGTCAGTTATCATGATACAATTATGTGTAACATTTTATAATAATTATATTAAAATTATTGAAACCAGTAAACTAACACTGATATAATAGTATTAACTAAACTGTAGACCCTATTCAAATTTCACCACTTTTTCCAGTATTGTTCTTTTTCAGTTAAAGGAACTTATGTAGGATCCCACCTTACAAGTAATTATTAATTCTTTTTAGTCTCCTCCAATTTGAGTTTATCGGGCTTTCCTTGTATTTCATAACTTTGACACATTTCAAGAGTACTGGCAAGTTATTTCATAGGATAAACTTCATTCACATTTGTCTGACATTTTCTCATGATTAGAATGAGGTTAATGCATTTTTGGCAATAATACTACAGAAACAATGTTGTGTCTTTCTAATTACATCATATCAAGATATTTTGATTATTGAGACATCTGATTACCTGTGATATTAACCTTGACCACGTGATTAAGGTGGTGTCTGCTGGGTTTCTCCACTATAAAGGTACTATATTTCCCTGTGTAAGTAAGAAATACAAAATACAATTTTAGATGATGCAAAGATCCTATTTCATTCTGAATTTTCACCCACTAATTTTAGCACACTTCAGAAGACGCTAAATTATTGCTGTGTGTCTACAAAATTATTACTAGGGTATTTGCCTAAAGACAACTTTTCTTCTATGTTTATTAGTTGTAATACTTCTATAAGGAAGATTTATTCATTCTCTCCCATTTGATTGTAATTTTCTATCACTATGGACTTGAATATTTATTTTATTCAGTGTATTAAAATCAAAACTATCTCCTTATAACATATCCGATAAAAAATTTAATTCAAAATAGTTCACATACACGAACATAAAAGTTAAAACTATGGGCCAGATGCAGTGGCTCATGCCTGTAAGCCCAGCACTTTGAGAGGCTGAGGCGGGTGGATCACCTGAGGTCAGGAGTTCGACACCAGCCTGGCCAATATGGTGAAACCCCATCTCTACTAAAAATACAAAAAATTAGCCGGGCATGGTGGCAGATGCCTGTAATCCCAGCTACTTGGGAGACTGAGGTGGGAGAATCACTTGAACCTGAGAGGCAGAGGTTACAGTGAGCGGAGATCATGCCACTGCACTCCAGCCTGGGTGCGACAGAGCAAGACTCCATCTAAAAAAAAAAAAAAAAAAAAGCTAAAACTGTGAAACTTCTGGGAGAAAATGTTGTGCATTGGTTTGGCAAAAAGTTTTTAGATACGGCACCAAAAACACAATCTATGAAAGAAACCATTAATAAATACAATGCCATTAAAATTTCAAATTTTTGTGCTTCAAGATGCCATTAAGAAAATAAAAACAGACAAGACACAGACTGGGAGAAACTATTTGTAAACATACATTTAAGAAAGGACTTATATTCAGAATACAAAAAAACTCTTAAAACTCAATAAGAGTACCCACTTTAAACATGGGCAAAAGAATTCCATTTGATACACTTTTTCCCATCCCTTTATGTTTACCCTTTCTGAATCATCTTGTCTTGGCGTATCTCCTGTATAGTGCATTTGGGTTTTGCTTTGTGAGTCAGGCAGATTCTCAGTTATAAACAATACGCTTGGTCTCACCTCTATATTAAGAAAGTCAGTCCTCACTGGGACAACCTATGCATTGCTTCCATCCACTCTCCCTTCTCAGTCTCAACCTCTGGCAACCACTGATATTTTTCCCACCTCCATAGTTTTGCCTTTTCCAGAATTCATATAGTTAGAATCATATAGTATATAGCATTTTCAGACTGGCTTCTCCAACTGAGTAACTGGCATTATGGTTCTTCCATGTCTTTTCATAGCTTCATCGCTCCAAATATTTTTGCAAAATATTATTCCATTGTACGAATGTACCTCATTTTGTTTATCCATTTATTTACTGAAGAATGTCGGTGTTCCTTCCAATTTTTGGCAATTACAAATAATGCTGCTATAAAAATTCATATGCAGGATTTTGTACGGACATATTTTCAACGCATTTGGGTCAATACCTAGGAGTGTAATGCTAGATCATATAAAGGCATGCTTTATTTTAATGAGTTTCCCTTTACAGACAGATATTGTCTGTTGTACAAATGGAAGGTTTTTGGTAACCCTGTGTTGAGCAAGTCTACCACTACAATATCTCCAACAGCTCATGCTCACTTTGTGTCTCTCTGTAACATTTTGATAATTTTCACATTTCAAAACTTTTCATTATTATTATGTCTGTTATGTTGATGTGTAATCACAGATCAGTGTAATTGTTTGGAGGAATCAAGAACTACATCTATATAAAACAGCAAACTTAAATAATAAATGTTGTGTGTATTTTGACTGTTCCACCAACCAGCTGTTCCCTTGTCTCCCTCTCCTTAAGCCTCCATAGTCCCTGAGATACAATATTGAAATAGGCCAATTAATAACCTACAACGACCTCTAAGTGTTCAGATGAAAGAAGAATCGCATATTTCTCACTTTAAATCAACAGCTGAAAAAGAATTAATCTTTGTGAAAAAGTCATGTCAAAAGTCAAAATAGGACAAAAGCTGGGAGTCTGGCACCAATAGTTACCCAAGTAGTGAATATAAAGAAAAAGTCTTGAAAAAAATTAAAAGTCCTGCTCTAGCAAACATATGAATGGTAAGAAAGTGAAACAGCCTTATTGCTGATCAATGGAGAAAGTTTTAGATTTCCAGATAGAAGATCAGACTAGCCTGCTATGGTTTGAATGATTGTCTCCTCCAAAAACCATGTTGAAATTTAATCCACAAAATGTGGCAGTATTGACAGGCAGGGAGTTTAAGAGGTGATTGGGTCACGAGGACTGTGCTCTAATGAATGAAAAATGGCGTCCGGGCACGGTGGCTAACGCCTGTAATCCCAGCACTTTGGGAGGCCGAGAAGGGCAGATCACCTGAGGTCAGGAGTTCAAGACCAGCCTGGCTAACATGGTGAGACCCCGTTTCTACCAAAAATACAAACAATTAGGCAGGCATGGTGGTGCACGCCTGTAATCCCAGCTACTCGGGAGGCTGAGGCAGGAGAATTGCTTGAACCCAGGAGATAGAGGTTGCAGTGAGCCGAGATTGTGCCACTGCACTCCAGCTTGGACAACAAGAGCGAAACTCCATCTCAAAAAAAAAAAAAGAAAGAAAGAAAAATGGTTTACGCAATTCATTAATTAATGGAGTATTGGGTTATCATGGGAATGGGACTGGTGGCTTTATAAGAAGAGGAAGAGAGATATTCCTCTCAGACCCTTCACCATGTGATGTCCTGTGCCACTCAGGGATTCTTCAGAGTCACCAGCAGCAAGAGGGCCCCATAAGATGCAGCTTCTCAACCTTGGACTTCCTGGCTCAGTAACTGTAGAAAGAAATTCCTCTTCTTTATAAATTACCCAGTTTTAGTTATTCTGTTATAAGCAACAGAAAATGGACTAAGACACAACCACAACATTCCTCTAAGCCAAAGCCTAATCCACAAGGCCTTAACTCTTTTAATTCTATGAAGGTTGAGAGAGGTGAGGAAGCTGCAAAAGAAAAGTGTGAAGCTAGCAGAGGTTGGTTCATGAGGTTTAAGGAAAGAAGCCATCTCCATAACATAAAAGCGCAAGGGGAAGCAATAAGTGCTGAGGCAGAAGCTGCACCAAGTTATCCGGAAGATCTAGCTAAGATATTGATGAAAGTGGCTATGCTAAACAGCAAATTTTCAAGGTAGACAAAACAGCCTTCTATTGGAAGAAGATGCCATCTAAGGACTCTCATAGCTAGAGAAGTCAATGCCTGGCTTCAAAGTTTCAAAGGACAGAAAGACTGTCTTGCTAAGGGCTAATGCAGCTGGTGACCTTAAGTTAAAACCAGTGCTCGTGTACCATTCCAGCAATCCTAGGGCCCTTAAGAATTATACTAAAATCTACTCTGCCTGTGCTCTGGTACCAGTCCATGGCCTGTTAGGAACCAGGTCACACCACAGGAGGTGAGCAGCAGGTGAGTGAGCATTATGGCCTGAGCTCCGCCTCCTGTCAGATCAGCAGCATTAGATTCTTACAGGAGCACAAACCCTTTTGTGAACTGCTCATGTGAGGGATCTAGGTTGCATGCTCCTTATGAGAAGCTAATGCCTCATCATCTTAGGTAGAACAGGTTCATCCCAAAACCATCCCCCCAGCCCCACTCTGGGTCCATGGAAAAATTGTCTTCTACAAAACTGGTCCCTGGTGACAAAAAGATCAGAGATGGCTGCTCTGATGGATTTGGATTTTCAAGTACATTGAAAACCTTCTGGAAATTATTCGCCACTCTAGATGCCATTAAGAACATGTGCAATTCATGGGAGGAGGTCAAAATATCAACATTAACAGGAGTGTGCAAGAGGTTGGTTCTAAACTTCATGGATGACTCTGAGGGGTTCAAGTAACCACACATGTGGTAGAAATATCAAGAGAACTAGAGGTGGACCCTGAAGATGTGACTGAATTGCTACAATCTCATGATACAACTTGAACAGATGAGGAGTTAATTCCCATGGATGAGCAAAAAATGGTTTCTTGAGATGGAATCTACTTCCAGTGAAGATACAGTGAACATGGTTGAAATGACAAGAAAAGATTTAGAATATTACATAAACATTGTTGATATGGCAGTGGCAGGGTTTGAGAGGAGTGACTCTTATTTTGAAAGTTCTACTGTGGGTAGAAACCTATCAAACAGCATCTTACCATGCTACTGAGAAATCTTTTTGTGAAAGTAAGAGTCAATCGATGTGGCAAACTTCACTGACTTATTTTAAGAAATGGCCACAGCCACCCGAACCTCCAACAACCACTACCCCAATCAGTCAGCAGCCATTAACACTGACAAGACCTTCCACCAGCAAAAAATTACTAGGTGAAGGCTGATTAGGCATCTCAGCACTTTTTAGCAATAAGGTTTGTTTTAAATAATGTATGCACATTTTTAGAAATAATGCTATGTATAGTTACTAGACTACAGTATAGTATAAACAAAACTTTTACATGTACGGGGAAATCAAACAATTTGTGTGACTCACTTGTAGTATTTGTTTTATTGCAGTTGTCTGGAACCAAACCCACAGTATCTTCAAGGTATGCCTGTATTAGGGCTATATTTAGCTTTGTAAAAAACCGTCAAACCGTAACACTAAGTGGCTATGTTCCTGTTGCTCCACATCCTCATCAGCCTTTGGTATTATATTTTAATTTTAGCCATTGTGGTAGGCACATAGTGATATCTCATTATTTAAATTTGGAATTCTCTAATGACATACGATGTTGAACAACTTTTTCATGCTTATTTGCTATCTATATATCTTCTTTTGTGAGGTGCCTGCTCAGATCTTTTACCTACTTTTTAATTGGTTTTTCTTATTGTTGACTTTTAAAGAGTTCATTGTATATTTTGGATACAAATCCTTTATCAGATATATTTTGCAAAGTTTTTATCCCAGATTGTGGCATATTTTTTCATTTTAACAGTGTCCTTCACAGAGCGGTTTTTAATTTTAATAAAGTCCAACTAATTTTTTTCTTTCATGAATCATGCTTTTGGTGTTGTAGCTAAAAAGTCATCGCCAAAGTCAGTGTCAGTCCTCTAACTTTGTTCTTCTTAAATATCTTAGCAGCTATTCTGGGTCGTTCCCTCATTAACTATAAAATTTTGTCAATATCCACAAGTACCTTGCTGGGATTTTTATTGAGATTTCAATGAATCCGTAAAGTTAGGAAGACGTAACACCTTAAAAATATTTAGTCTTCCTACCCATGAATATGGAATATTATTCTACTTATTTCTATCTTCAATTTCTTTCATGAGACTTTTGTAGTTTTCCATATAGATCTTGTACAAAGTTAATTTTGTTTCCTTCCTTCTTTCTTCTCTCTCTCTCTACTCTCTTTTGGTGCTAATGTAAATGTTTTAAATTTCTAATTCCAAATGTTCATCCCTGGTATATCTAAGAAAGTAATTCAATGTGTATGAACCATACATTCTCTGTAAACTTGCTATATTCAGGTTTTAGTTTCAAATTATTTTTTGTTGAGACATAGGAATTTTGTCTTATTGCATTAGCAAGAACTTCCAGTGCAACATTAAATAGGAATGATGCGATCTACTTGCCTTGTTTCTGTTCTTCAAGGGAAAGCATCTGATGTCCCACCATTAAGTATGTTGTTAGCTGTAGGTTTTTTGTAGATATTCTTTATGAAGTTGAGGGTTTTCTTATATTCCTAGCTGGCTGAGAGGTTTGTTTTTAATCACAAATAGATGTTGGCTTTTTTTGTCAAACGGCTTTTCTGCATGTATTGATATGATCATGACCTTACTCCTTTAGTGTGATAATGTAATGGACTGTATGAACTGATTTGTTGAACCAGCCTTGCATACCTGAAATAAATGCCACCTGACTGTGGTGTATAGTTTTTTGTTATATATTGTTATATTAGATTTGCTAATATTCTGTTGAGAATTTTTACAGCTATGTTCATGAGAGATACTAGTCTGTAGTTGTCCTTTCTTGTAACATCTTTACCTAATTTTGTTATCAGGGTAATGCTGGCCTCACATAATCTTTTTTTTTTTTTTTTTTTTTTTTTTTTTTTAGTTTTTTTTAGTTTTTTTTGAGACGTAGTCTCACTTTGTCACCCAGGCTGGAGTGCAGTGGTGCAGTCTCAGCTCACTGCAACCTCCCCATCCCAGGGTTCAAGTGATTCTTTTGCCTCAGCCTCCCGAGTAGCTGGGATTACAGGCGCGTGCCACCACGCCTGGCTAATTTTTTAGTATTTTTAGTAGAGACGGGGTTTCACCATATTGGTCAGGCTAGTCTCAAACTCCTGGCCTCGTGATCCGCCCACCTCAGCCTCCCAAAGTGCTGGGATTACAGGCGTGAGCCATCGTGCTCAGCCTCACAGAGTGTGTTAAAGCATTTCCTCTGCTTCTATTTTCTAGAACAGACTGTACAAAATTGGCATCACTTGACAAAATTGGCATCACTTTCTCTTTGAATGGTAGAATTCACTAGTGAAGCCATCTGAGACCAGTGCTTTGTTTTGGAAGCTCATAATTGATTCAATTTATTTTATAAGTTTATGCAAGGCAGTTATTTCTCCTTGTGTGAGTTTTGGTAGGTTGCGTCTTTCACAAAATTGGTCCATTTCATCTGTTATCAAATTTGTACACTCAAGAGTTGCTCATATCATTCCTTTATTATCCTTCTAATGTCCTAATGTTCACAAGAAGAGTAATAATGGCACCTCTTTTCATTTCTGATTTTAGTAATTTTTGTTTTTTCTTTTGTTATGGTAAAAGTTTTATAAATTTTAACTTTTCATTGAATTTCATTTGTTTCACTGAATTTCTCTATTGTTTTTGTTTCAATTTTATTGATTTCTACTCTATTTCTTCTGCTTACTTTGGATTTAATTTGCTTTTTCTAATTTCCTAAAGTAGATGCTTATTGATTTTAGATCTTTAACATTTTCCAATATATGCACTCAATACTATAAATTACCCTCTAGCCACTGCTTTTGCTGCATCTCAAAAAAATTTTTTTTTTTTTTTTTGAGACGGAGTCTTGCTCTGTCGCCCAAGCTGGAGTGCAGTGGCACAATCTCAGCTCACTGCAAGCTCCGCCTCCCGGGTTCAGGCCATCCTCCGCCTCAGCCTCCCAAGTAGCTGGGACTACAGGTGCCTGCCATCACGCCCGGCTAATTTTTTATATTTTAGTAGAGACGGGGTTTCACCACGTTAGCCAGGATGGTCTCGATCTCCTGACCTCGTGATCCACCCGACTCGGCCTCCCAACAAGTGCTGGGATTACAGGCATGAACCACCGCTTCCAGCCGCATCTCACAAATTTTGATAACTTGTAGTTTCATTTATTTAGTTCAAAATATATTTTCTCGAGACTTCTTTGACCTATGTGTTTAGAAGTGTGTTCCTTAATCTACAAGTATTTTGGGATTTTCCAGGTATTTTCATTACTTATTTCTAGTTTAATTCCTTTGTAGTCAAAGACATAGCTTCTATGGTGTCTTTTTTGAAAAGAATAAGTTAATTACCCTTTTATCACCATATATTGCCTCTCATTTTCCTTGTTCTGAAGTCAGCTTTGTATGAAATTAATATAGCTACTCCAGCTTTCTTTTGATGAGTATAGTTTCATATGTTAGTCTATCTAGGCTACCCTAACAAAACACCATACACTAGGTGACTTAAGCAACAGAAATTTTCATTTTCTCAAATTTCTGAAGACGAAGTCTGGGATCAGGGTGTCAGCATAGTCAATTTCTGGGGAAGGCTCTCTCATTTGTAGACAGCTACCTTCTAGTTGTATCTTCACATGGCAAAGAGAGCAAGCTTTCTGTGTCCCTTCTTATAAGGGCACTAACCTTATGTTAGTCAGGGTGCCACCTAACCTTAATATCTTCCAAGATCCTGTCTCCAAACACTATCGCACTGGGGGTTAGGGCTTCAACATATAAATCTGGGGAAGAGGGGAACATGAACATTCAGTCCATAACAAATGATGTATCTTTCTCCATCTCTGTATTTAAAGTGGATTTCTTGTTTAGTCGTTTTTTAATGCACTGTGGCAGTATCTGTGTATTTAGACAACTCACATTTAAACTGATTGATATAAATTACTATATTTGTTAATGTTTTCTATTAATCGATCTTTTGTTCTTGTCTTCCACTTTTCTGCCTTCTCTAAGTTTAATCCAGCATCTTGTACAATTCCATTGTCTCTGCTCTCTTACCAGGATTAAACAGATACGAACAATCCACCATCATGTGAATTGGCTCTCTGATTATTGCAAAACAAGATTCATTAAAATGGATGATCTTCTGGACACAGTCAAATGATGGAAGAGAATAATCATAACGTAACATGAAAAATAATAGCATGTATCAAATAGTGGTTACCCCAAGGCAGAGAGGACCTGGATAGGAAATATCAAACGAAATTTCAGTTTTATCTGTAGTATCTGCATTTTTTGTATAATCAAAAATAAGTTAAAAATTTTACATCTCTACATGCTAAAAAAAAAGCAAGATTCCATCAAAACAAAGTTGTAGGATAAACAATAAACTAGGGAAAGTATTAAGAATATTAAAAATAAGCTATTAGCAACTTTTCACTTACTAATTTTTGAGTCAACATGTCATAAAATGCAATAAAGTATTTGATACACTCCATTTAGCAACTGGAAGCATATTGACATACCCCATATAAACTTTTAGAAGAATACAGTCTATTGGTAGGCATTGCAAGCATAAGGATTACTTTTTTTTTTTCTTTTGAGACGGAGTTTTGCTCGTCACCCAGGCTGGAGTGCAGTGGCGCAATCTTGGCTCACTGCAACTTCTACCTCCCAGGTTCAAGCGATTCCCCTGCCTCAGCCTTCAAGTAGCTGGGATTACAGGTGTGCACCACCACACCCAGCTAATTTTTGGTATTTTTAGTAAAGACAGGGTTTCACCATGTTGGCCTGGCTGGTCTCGAACTCCTGACCTCAAGTGATCCGCCCACCTCGGCCTCCCAAAGTGCTAGAATTATAGGCATGAGCCACCGTGTCTGGCTCAATTACATATTTTTAATGTTTTAATTAGCAAACACCAAAAGTGTTTTGCTAGTACTTCACGGACAACAGTACTACCTGCTCTGAAGAATTCTTGTCAGACCTACACTGCCATTTCTTCCCTCTCCAGTAACTTCAAAGAGTAAAAAGTTGCTCACTTCTTCAATATCCAACTGCAGTATTCTAGGAGGTACTTTATATATTATCCTCCCCTAAAAGAGTTACGTTCCCTAAAATATAATAGTATTTGTATTTTCTACAGAGGGATTTGGTATACTTCAAATATTTGTTTACTTTAGAAAATATGAAGTAATTAAGGTAAGCCAGAGACTTGGATAATATACAGTAGAAAGCGCTTTCAAGTAAAAAAATAAACAAATTTATCTTAGAAAACTAATGATACTAAATGGATTTAGGATTCTCTAGTTTAGCTTGTTATGTAATACTAAATGAGTCCTATATCTTAGTTTATCGGCCTTTAAAAAACATTTGCTACTTATAAAAATATCCCACATCACTAATAGCTAGAGATTTTCAGAAATAATTTTATTTACAGAAAATTCACAGAGGATTAATAAAATGTCATGAATACAATTTTGTTGGTAATAATTAGCAGAATCAAGAGTAGATTAATATATAAGGTAACATGATATATTAATAATACAAACTAAAATATCAATTTTATGCTAGCTTTATCCATTAGTTTTTCATATTCCAATTTTAAACAAATCTAGAAATAAGACAGTATATATGAAACAAATTTGCTAAATATTTTTAAATTATGCCACCTCAGATATTACCTCAATTTTAAAACCATCTGTAAATTAAATGACCTTCCCATTATAATTTCTAAATATAAAGAAGCACCAGCTGGAACTCAAAATGCATAAAAGATATTGTTATATATTTTAAGAAAATATTATATTAGCAATATCATAAATCAACAAAGAATCCAAAGAATATTGCATGAGGTAAGGTACATTAAATGTTTTATGCCTAGAATATTATCTACCTGCATTCTTATCCATATAGTTTAAAACACTAAAGCACTCACTGAATAAGAAATGACCATTTAAAAATGAATAATAGATGGCAGCACATGCCATTTTGCAATAAAAGTAAGATGGCCTATGCGCATTAATTTGCAAATAATGTTTTTTATCCAAATAGTCCTGTGGTTCCAATATCCTTGAATGATAAGAATTTTTACTGTGTGAAAAAAGAAAACATCCTTTTACTGATGGAAAGCTTCTAATCTTATTCGGGTTGGATCTTCTGGATGTCTCAAGGCAATTCCATTACGCAGCAGCAGCTCAACATAAGGTGGCCAAAAGGAATCACTAATTTTGACATATGGATCATGTGGAACATCAAATAATCTATTTATAAGAATCTAGGAGAAAATATCATTCAAAATATACTTTACTTGGGAAAAAGTCAATATAGCTATAAGAAAGTTTTTTGTCAAAGAATATTGACCTCTTTTCTTTTTCAACAACTGTTTAATACTTTTAATCTACAAATTTGAATTTCCTTTTTGAAAGGACTATGGGTATTAGCTAATGAAAAAAGCTTTAAAGTGAATTTTTGCATCTTTAATTTAGAAAAACATTTCCTAAAAATTGGTTAGAAAGAATTTACAATCCTCCCACTTCTTTTGAGATTAATATCTTCTTTAGGATAAAGACAAAAATCTTAAAAAATTAATATTTCACAAAAAACACAAAAAGTTAAAAAGAAAGTGAGCAAGTGTGTCTTAATATTTGAAGGAAAAATAACTGGTCCTGTCCCCCACAAAACACCTATTCTTCTGATAAATCTTTGCAAGAGTCAATTTTATCATCATCACTTCCTTCAGCTTCATCCTGAGTATCCCTGATCTTCGTTAAGGATATTGTGGAATTAAAACCACAAATTGAGTTTTGAGTATTTGTATTAAATTATATAGGCTAGCATTTTCCAAACTGCATTCCATAGAATTAGTCTCCTAAAGATGTTCTTAGTTCCTGAAAAACAAGGTTCTGTGATCAAACAAGCTTGGGAAAGCTAGCTAATGTGGATTGAGAATCAGCTGTCTTTCCCAAATGCACTGCTATTATAAAAGTTTTTTCAAGAAACAAATAGTTACAATTGTTTGAATACTAATGTTATGAAATACAGTGGAAAAACGCTAAATGTAGATCAATTATTATTTTGCCTCCTCAGCTATCTTCCGGTGCCTTCACAAATTACAAAAGTAGAACTCAGAAGAGTTAAGAGATTCCTCAGGGGCACATAATCAGGGGTGGATCTTGGATTAGACTCCGTATCTCTGAATTGTCAGGCCAAATTTTTAACTGAAAGATGCTATTATTTTAAGGAACATGGAAAAGAGAATGCATAATTTATACAATTACAAAGTGCCATAGAAATAAATCAAATTAATCCATCAAGCTCTAATCTCAATTAAATTTTATAATAATACCTTAGTTCTTGAAATAACATTTTCAACTATCATTAATTATTTCAAGTCCCACATTCTGCAGGAAAAAAGCTTTGGCCTCATTTCTTTTGAGTATCATAATATAGAATTAAATATTATTTGTATTTTAGAGCAATGGCTTATTTTAGTACAAACAGCTTATTTTAGTACAAATCTTTCCTATTTTGCATTTCTAATTTTAATCATATTGTTTTATTTTTAACCTAACTGCAGTTTTAAGATTAGTTCCTTTATCACTGACAATATGAGCCTTGGAGACAAACTTAGGATTCTAATGCTAAGTTTTATATGCTGATATAGTTTAGGTGTGTCCCCTACCAAATCTCATATTGAAATGTAATCCCCAATGTTGGAGGTGGAGCCTGGTGGGAGGTGATTGGATCATCAGGGTGAATTTCTCATGAATGCTTTAGCAAATCCCCTTGGTGCTGTCCTCATGATAGTGAGTTCTCGCAAGATCCGGCTGCTTAAAAGTGTGTGTGGTACCTTTCCCCCTCCCTCTTGCTCCCACTCTGGCCATGTAAAGTGTCTGCTGCTGCTTCACCTTCTGCTATGAGTAAAAGCTCCCTTAGGCCTCCCTAGAAGCTGAGCAGATGCTAGTGTCATGTTTATACAGCCTGCAAACCATGAGCCAATTAAACTCCTTTTCCTTATAAATTATACAGTCTTAGGTATTTCTTTACAGCAACACAAGAATGGCCTAACACAGATGGTACATACTATGTTACACTATTAAAAAATTATACATGTAATACCTTTCAGTATTTCCATGACTGACAATTTTTATTAAAAAAAAAGGTTAAGTCATCCATGAGAAACTACAGTCATCTTAGTTTCAGCATAAACTAGAGTAGCTAGAAATATGTTAAAATATTCTAATTACGAATCTAATAAATATTTGTATTTTGCTTTTCAAAGCAATAATACTCTGTATTAAATCCTGAGGAACCAAAACTTGTCAGCTGGGCAAAAAGAGACTTTAACACCTAGTTCATTAAGTTAAATGAAACGCGTTTTCTGAAATCACTCTTTCTTCAAAATATACCAATGATTTTAAAAGGGGGTACACTAATTGGTAAATACCCTGTTCTTCATAAATTATTTCATTTTCCTTTCTGCCCAATTTACCATGAATTGTCATATCAAGATCTTCCAAAGTATTTAATGTAACTGATAATATGGTTGAGGTTCAAAAACATTTTTGAAAAGGTCAAAGGTATTTATAAAACAAGGTATATGTCAAATCAGAGAAAGTTGGAAAACTCAGTACTTACACTGTAAGAAAAGAGACTGATGTTATTTTTTAAAAATTGTACAATTTCTACAACTTTGTGGAAAGAATCTTTAAGTTCATTACGTATTTTATATAGAGTACAGAGCTACCAATTAAACAGTCAATGTAACAGCATAGAATTTTACTCTGTAAATACTAGATAACATCATTAAAAAAATTTTTTCACCCTGTCAGCTCATGCCTAGATAAAAATTTTACCTGTAATAAATCTTGGGAACATGATTAAGAGATAGACCTTAAATTCACATTATTTTAAAAATAACAATATTCCTCTCAGTACTGTACAGGGAACAGAAACTAATTTTATACCAAAGATATATTATTACAAATATATTTAATAAAGATTGATGCATACTTTAAGAATTAAAGCAGTATTTTTTGTTTTTCAAGTCTGAGTATAATTGTTCACAAATGACTAAGACAGCTTCAAGACAAAACAAACTACACAAAACACTTACCTCTAACATTTCATGCAGTGTTATCAGGTTTACAGATGATTCTTGAATGTTTTTCTTCAAGAGAAATGTGAATAACAAACAATTACCACTTCACTTCTGCCAATGGTGAAATATTGGACTGTTTTTATAAGACTTTTATTTCTGAGACAGAGTTTCATTCTTGGCGCCCAGGCTGGAGTGCAATGGCGCAATCTCGGTTCACTGCAACCTCCGCCTCCCGGATTCAAGTGGTTCTCTTGCCTCAGCCTCCCGAGTAGCTGTGATTACAGGCTCCCACCACCATGCCTGGCTAATTTTTGTATTTTTAGTAGATATGAGGTTTCACCCTGTTGGCCAGGCTGGTCTCGAGCTCCTGACCCTCAGGTGATCTGCCCACATCGGCCTCCCAAAGTGCTTTGATTACAGGAGTGAGCCACCGCGTTTGGCCAAGACTTTTAAAATTAATATTTCTTAGTTGTAATGGTACAAAGTAACTAAAATCAAATATTTGTAATTAAGTGACAAAAAATTCTGAAAGTAAACGTTGTATTTAAGTCAGATTCATAAAAATGCAGTTGAAATATCTTCTAAGACAGTGAAAACTCTTATAGTAACTGGAAGATACAATTAAAACTATCCATAAGCATATAATAGATATACACATTATATATAATCACATAAAAAAATTAGTATTTAAATCCCCCAATAAAAACTCCCCAAATGACATTCCAGAGTACATTTATGCAGTTTCAGTATAGGAAACTTGCTCTTATGAGAGACTTAATCATCTTTCTATAGCTCTTGACAGTTTGTCATGTTAGCTCAACTCATTAGTTGTTTCTTCCTTGGAACGACGAGAATAAATCTCATTCCAATTCTACCCAAGAGTTCCTCAAATATTTGAAGACTGCTATTATAAGGCTCAAATCTTCTCTTTTTCAAAATACTAATCACCATTTGTTTCTTCAATTATTTTTCTTTTTCTTTTTTTTGGAGACAGGGTCTCACTCTGTCACCCAGGCTGGAGTGCAGTGGTGCCATCATAGCCCACTGCAGCCTCAACTTCCTGGGCTCAAACTATCTTCCCACCTCAGCCTCCCGAGT
This sequence comes from Homo sapiens, assembly GCF_000001405.40. Classification (NCBI taxonomy): domain Eukaryota; kingdom Metazoa; phylum Chordata; class Mammalia; order Primates; family Hominidae; genus Homo; species Homo sapiens. Next base: position 65,522,558 of record NC_000005.10, read on the forward strand.
AGCTGGGACTATAAGCACATGCCACAGTAATGTTTTTGTTTATTTGTTTGTTTTGTAGAGGCAGGGTCTTGCTACGTTGTCCAAGCTGGTCTCAAATTTTTGGCTTCAAGTGATCCTCCCACCTCAGTCTCCTAAAGTGCGGGATTACAGGTGTGAGCCACCATACCCCACCTCAATTACTTTTCATATGGCATAAATTTGAGGCTTCTCAATACCATGATTATTCTCCGAATGTGCTCTAATTTGTCTTTTGTTTTCCTTCATCCAGTCTCCCACAATGATCTAGGTGTGATTTGACTACCAAAGACAAAAAAAGAACACCCACTTTCATAATTACGGAGACTGGAATTCTATTCATTAAATTTAAGATGGTATTAGCTTTTAGACAGCTATTTTTTCCTTGTGGACTTCTGAGAATACTATCATCTAAAATGCCAAAGTATTTTTCATATATCTAGCTAAAAATGTCTTCCTTATTCTGTAATGTAATGTATTCTGTATGTATGTAATGTATTCTGTACATATGTAAATACATATTCTATGTATTTCTATTTAAACATCATCCTATTTTATTTGTCTTAGTTCCTAACTAGCTAAGAAATAGTCTTCAATCTGTCATCCAACATATTTACTATCTAGCCCTCTTACTTTCACATCATTTGTAAACTTTGATAGCCACATATTCTATCTCTTTAAGTTATTGTTAAAAATGTTCAACAGGACAGACTCTAAAGGAAACTGCTAGAAAGTTCCAAGATCATACTAATCCTAATCAGAAGGTTTTGAATTCAGACATTCAATTAATTATAAAGTTGCCTACTACGGTGACAACTATTACTTTCCTGATACCAGTCAGAGATTACCATGGAATTCTTATAAAGCCTTGCAGAAATACAAATATATTAAACAAATAGTAAAATAACACTAACAAAATATGTATGATTCCTAAATCAAGAGAGCCGAGCAGGCTCTGAAAATCTAATACCTTAGTAAAGGAAAAAGAGTGGTATAAATGAGCATACGATTAGTGGTGAAGACAGCACAATTATAGTATTGATTAATAAATGAGAAGCAAGATACAGGTTAAATTATAAAGACTTGAGACAAACGAAATGCAGAAGAAAAATATAAAAGAAAATTTCTATGAAACAAATGTGAATTAAAACTGCCCAGAAAAATAACATATCTTTTTCAAAGGAAAACTGATATTGAATAACCAACATTGTGAAATATTCTTATGTTATTGGTTCAAATATAAAGAACTCTCCAGATATAGTCAGAAGCAACAAGTCATCCATAGACTGGCCTCAGAATTCTCTATACCACATTCCATCTTAAAAGACAGGGAGCAATACCTAACAGAACTTGAGATTTAAAAAAAAAAGTGCTTAAAATATCCTTTTAGTGTAAAGACAAAGTATTTACACCATCCAAGAATCCAAAGACTAAACACCCAGGAATTCTTGAACAAATTACTTGTCAAAGAAACTCATCAAACCAAGCGAAGGATTAAACTTAACAACTCTTGGAGGCTTGGCCCGGGCACGGTGGCTCATGCCTGTAATCCTAGCACTTTGCGAGGCCAAGGCGGGCAGATCACCAGCTCAGGAGATCGAGACCATCCTGGCTTACACGGTGAAACCCCGTCTCTACTAAAAGCATACAAAAAAAAAAAAAATTAGCCAGGCATGGTTGCAGGCGCCTGTACTCCCAGCTACTCGGGAGGCTGAGGCAGCAGAATCGTGTGAACCCGGGAGGTGGAGCTTACAGTGAGCCAGGATCACGCCACTGCACTCCAGCGTGGGCAACAAAGCGAGACTCCAACTCAAAAAAAAAACAAACAAAAACTCTGGGAGGCTGAGTCGGGCGGATCATAAGGTCAGGAGGTCGAGACCATCCTGGCTAACACAGTGAAACCCCGTCTCTACTAAAAATACCAAAAAAAAAAAAACCCCCCCACACAAAAAAACAAATTAACTGGGCATGGTGGAACACACCTGTAGTCCCAAGCTACTCAGGAGGCTGAGGCAGGAGAATCGCTTGAACCCAGGAGGCAGAGGTTGCAGTGAGACGAGATCATGCCACTGCATTCCAGCCTGGGTGACACAGGGAGACTCCATCTCAAAAAAAAAAAAAGATAATGAGCACTGACTCCAATACAATGTAGAATGAAGGCTAAATATAAATGGCGTTTTCTGAATAAAATATAAATAAAATAGAAGTTCTGAATAAAATATAACCTGCCAAAGTAAAAATAACACAAAATAGAAATAAGGGTATAGGAAAAAGAATGTTAATTTTCTTATCTTTTACAGCAGAGTCAATAACTGCCTAGAATTGAGATATGAAGTTAAACAAACTGTAATTAAATTTTCCATGTTTTTCATGATTCACTTGTTTCCTTTATATTGAAAGGATCTCTCCAGAACTAAAATCATTTGATGCAAAGAAATATTTATCCGAGTTCAACTGTTCAACTTCACTCATTCTTTTTCTTCTCTCAAAATTAAGTAAAATTAGGCCAGGCATAGTGGTGCACACCTGTAATCCCAGCACTTTGGGAGGCTGAGGTGGGTGGATCACCTGAGGTCAGGAGATCGAGACCAGCCTGGCCAATATGGTAAAATTCCATCTCTACTAAAAAACAAAGATAGAAAACTTAGCCAGCATAGCAGTGCGCACATGTAATCCCAGCTACTCAGGAGGCTGAGGCAGGAGAATCACTTGAACCCAGGAGGTGGAGGTTATAGTGAGCTGAAATCTCAGCTACTGTACTCCAGCCTGGGTAACAGAACAAGATTCCATCTCAAAAAAAAAAAAGTAAAATTACATTTATTTTATTATTAGCATTTACAAAATTACATTGATCCAGCCATCCATCAATCCATCTATTTATGGTTCTATATGTATATGTGCTTAGCAAGATGTCTCAAATGACATTCACCTAACATTAATTGTGATGTTCACTTAATGGTAATGATCTGATGGAGGGAGTTTTGTTGTTTTTAGCTTTCTTCTTTGTATACATCTTTGAGTTATAAAGTCCAGTGTTGTGGACTGAACGATGTCTCCCCAAAATTTATATGTGGAAGCCCTAATGTGACTATGTTTTTAAAAATAAAGTCTTAAATAACGTAATAAAGGATAAACGAGGTCATAAGAATCGGGCCCTAATCCAATATGAATGGTTTCCTCATAAAAAGAGGAAAAGACACTTGAGAATTCTTTCTTTCCTTGTGTACACAAAGAGCCCAATGTGAGAACACAGTGAGCAAGTGGTCACCTACAAGCCAGGAAGAGAGACCAGAAACCAACCCGACAGTACCTTCCTTTCGTCTTGAACTTCTAGCCTCTACACTGTGAAACTTTTGTTTAAACCACCCAGTCTGTGGTATTTTGTTATCACAGCCCAAGTAGACTAATAAATACAGTATTGTTGGGGAGAGAGAAAGAAACACACAGAGAAAGAAACAGAGAGACAAGAATTACTTTGTAACATGTATCAATAGTCCTTATACATCATAAAAAAAGAAGTGAGGTTATCAAATCTGACTTAATGACCCGATAATGGCTCATGGTAATCAAGCTTCCTTTTCAGGATGCCTCAAACCTCTGGTTCTATTAGTGGAGCAACAGCAACAAAAAAATGTTGAAAAAAATTTGAAAAAAATGGAGGAGACTGGGACCAGAAAATAAATCAGTGAGTTGTTGCAAGATTAAGGTCATAAAGAGGCAAGGAATCATGACTTTAATGAAATGGCCAACAGGAGGCTGTCATACTTTTACAAATAAATAAGAGGTAAAAAACAATAATAGAATGGAAGACACAGCCCATAACAAATGTAAAGCCTATAGACAATTATAAATAAGGGAAGAATAAAAAGAACACAGATAGTAAAAACAAAAACAAACAGAACTTTTTCTCCTTTTCCTAGTATATTCACATCCATTCAATAAATATGAACTGAGAAGGTTCTATATAAAAGATATGCAAGATAGAAGAGATACAAAGATGAATTAAACACACCGAGTAGCTCACAGGGCATGGGGATAAAGGGAGAGATAGACATAAATAACACTAACAAAATCATTTGAAAAGTGTTACTAAAAGGACACCTAGAGCCAGATTCAGTAGCTCACATCTGTAGTCCCAGCTGTGTGGAGGCTGAGGCGGGAGGATAGCTTCAACCCAGGAGTTCAAGTCTAACCTGGGCAACATAGCAAGACCTCGTCTCTAAAAAACTCAATCAATAGGTCAGGTGTGGTGGTTCACACCTGTAATCCCAGCACTTTGGGAGGCTGAGGTGGGCGGATCAACTGAGGTCAGGAGTTCGAGACCAGCCTGGCCAACACGGTGAAACCCTGTCTACTAGAAATACAAAAAAATTAACTGGGTGCGGTGGCACGCGTTTGTAGTCCCATCTACTCAGGAGGCTGGGACAGGAGAATCTATCACTTGAACCTGGGAGGCAGAGGTTGCAGTGAGCGGAGATCATGCCATTGCACTCCAGCCTGGGTGACAGAGCAAAACTCGGTCCCCAAAAATAAAAATAAATAAAAAATAAAAATAAATCAATAAAAGAACACCTAAATTTCATAATATGTTTCACTCAAAAGATGCTTGAACTGTCTTAAGTAGGAATCTGCTACCCTCACCAGATCGGAAGGGTTTTAACCTAGGCAGAAAAAATAGAATGTATAAGGCACAAAAAAGTGAGAGGTCAATTGGTGACATAGCTGAATGGATTCATGTAAAAGATGGATGAATGCTTGGAGATGAGGCTGAAGAGATAGAAGTCCATAGTATAAATCCTAATGAAGAGATTTCTAAGGAGTTTACAGACTTCATTCCCTAGGGAGACATGAAAGATTTTATGCTGAAAATGATTAAACATATTATTATTCAATGATTACTGCAATTTCAAAAGTCTTATTAACACCATATATATATATATATATATATATATATATATATATATATATATATATATATATATGAACTGTTCACAATCTTCTGCCACTCAATAAAATATTTATTTGCTTTTTCAGAAAAGGTTTATTTCATTATAGCTACTATTAAAATAGTCAATAACTTACATTAATCTGTAACAAATTTTAAACATCATTCTTTTGATTTAAAAAGTTGTACATACTCATCACAGAAAATTGAAAAAATTGTGAAAAGCAAAAAACCACCCACAATCCTAGCTGTCAGACATAAGCACTATCAATTTTTAAACATAAATTAGATTCAAACAATTTAATCATCAGTGTTTTATTCATTCAACAATAAGTTGTATTTCATTAACTTCTTTGAAGGTGTTCAATACATTATATGAAAAGCTAACTTACTCCCATCATATGGATATAACATAAGAAATATACTCTGGCTGGGCGCAGTGGCTCACACCTGTAATCCTAGCATCTAATCGTCCCACTTGGGAGGCCGAGGTGGGCAGATTGCCTGAGCTCAGGAGTTCAAGACCAGCCTGGGCAACTTGGTGACATCCCCTCTCTACTACAAATACAAAAAATCAGCTGGGCATGGTGGCACACACCTGTAGTCCCAGCTACTCTGAAGGCTAAGGCACAAGAATCACTTGAACCCAGGAGGCAGAGGTTGAAGTGAGCTGAGATCACGCCACTGAACTACAGCCTGGGTGACAGAGAGAGACTCTGTCCCCCCGCCCCCCTGCCCCCAAAAATATACATATACTTAATCCCATTTTATTGAATAATTAGGTTGCTTCTAGTCTTTCAATAAGTATAATGTGATAATGGCATATTTCCATACATGTGCATACCTTTGAACTAAATAAGAAAATATGCTTCTAAACCCACCTAAAATAATTTCAAATATGATAATTTACATAAATGTCTTCTCTAAAACTTACCTTTTTCTTTTTAACACTTCTATCAGGCAGAGGAAAATGGTCTTCTAGAAACTCGCCCAAGGTACTCAAGAGTTTCTCCTTATATTCTTTTATATTAAGCATTTTAGTTTTCAGTTCATTAAAGATTCTAATAGATTAAAAAAATTAAGAGAAACATTTAACTGATAAAACACATACACACATGTAACTAGTTATTCATGAAGTTGATCAAAAACTTTGTTAAAACTTCATTTGCTCAAACCAAATAACTACCTTTTTGAAAATCATATTGTCTATATAACAAGTAGAGAAACCAAAGGTACAGTCAAGTCAAGTCACCCATAAAAGATCATATAATAGCTAATAGTTAACAAAAGTTAGGGCAAGACTCCTGATTCCTGGTAACATTTAACTTCATCTATGTTTCATGTAACACAAAAAATAAAATACTTTTCCTATTTTAAAAACCTAGAACATAAAATTAATACCTTGATTCAGAAAATGTTTCAACCTTATTTTTCAATTCACTGTGTAGTACATTAAGAGATTCCATTATCTGTTGCTGTTCATCCAACCACCGTTGTTCCCTTTCGACATGGAAAAACAATACAAGCAATATCTAAATAAAACTTTAAATGTCACTTAATATATATGAATGATTAATAGTAATTGTAACATAAACAAACCTTTCTAAGTCTTCCTTTAACTTTTCATTCTTTGACTCCTTAGTGGACAGTACCATTTCAAGATCTTGTCTCAGCTTTTGGAACTAGAATAAAATAATTCAAATTAATTGCTTGGTCTTTAATCCCAGTTTTATTTCTGAACGATAGTCAAATTTACACAGTGGTCCAGGATACTTCCATTCAGACATCAGTAGTGAAAAAGCCTAGCAGAAAGCATTTGAAAAGGTAAATATACAGTAGGCGCTAAATTTGTGGTAATATTCTATGGTTAAATTAAAAAATACAAGAGGTTTTGAGCAGTAAATTTTAATATCATATTGAAAGGCAAAATAATGGTGTGTTTTCAGTAATAAGAGAGTAGGTACCTTTTCTTTCTTTCTTTTTTTTTTTTGAGACAGTCTCACTCTGTCACCCAGGCTGGAGGGCAGTGGTGCCATCTCAGCTCACTGCAAGCTCCGCCTCCCGGGTTCACGCCATTCTCCTGCCCCAGCCCCTGAGTAGCTGGGACTACAGGTGCCCGCCACCATGCCAGGCTAATTTTTTGTGTTTTTAGTAGAGATAGGGTTTCACCATGTTAGCCAGGATGGTCTCGATGTCCTGACCTTGTGATCCACCCGCCTCGGCCTCCCAAAGTGCTGGGATTACAGGCGTGAGCCACCGTGCCCGGCCCAGGTACCTTTTCTTTTATTTTTTATTTTTATTTTTTGAGACAGAGTCTTGCTTTGTCGCCCAGGCTGGAGTGCAGTGGCATGAACTCGGCTCACTGCAACCTCTGCCTCCCGGGTTCAAGTGATTCTCCTGCCTCAGCCTCCCGAGTAGCTGGGAATACAGGCACGTGCCACCACGCCCAGCTAATTTTTGTATTTTTAGTAGAGACGGGGTTTCACCATATTGGCCAGGCTGGTCTAGACCTCCTGACTTCATGATCCACCCGCCTCAGCCTCCCAAAGTGCTAGGATTACAGGTGTGAGCCACCACGCCCGGCCCCAGGTACCTTTACTGAGGAGACTGTACAAAACGGACACAAATGACTCACTCATTCAATATTTATTCAATCAATTATTCAATCAAATTTGTTGATCAATCATTGACTATTAGGCACTGCTGAAGGAGGGATAGATGTAAAGCTGAACAGAACAAAGAGGGGAATCCAGACGTTTACTCCAGCAATGGTCAAGTGTCATAAAGAAAAAAAAAATCAAAATAAAAGTAAAGGTATGAAGAGCAAGAAATAGATGTTTTAGGTAGTATGATATGGAAAGACTTCTCTGATCAGGTAACATTTAAATAACAGAGAAAGAAGACAAAGGAAAACATTATGTTACTCTCTAGCAAAAGAATGTTCCAGGGAAAGGGAATAGTAAGTACAAAGGCCAAGGGGCAGAAGTATGCTTGAGGGATTTCAGGAACAACAAAGAAGACTAAAGAGAATTACAATAAGCACTAGTGTTCCATTCTCCTGATCACAAGGGTTTCTATTAGCTTTTTCTAAATATAAATCAGTGATAAGTTAAACATGTATATTACAAACCCTAAAGTAACTATGAAAACAAAGAAAATAAATAACTAATAAGCCAATACTGATAATTAGAGACCAGCCTGGGCAACATGGTGAAACCCTGTCTCTATAAATAAATACAAAAATTAGCCAGGCATGGTGCCACATGCCTGTAGTCCCAGCTACTTGGAAGGCTGAGGCAGGAGGATCACTTGAGGCCAGGAGGCGGAGGCTGCAGTAAGCTGAGATCATACCACTGCATGCCAGCCTGGGTAACAAGGCAAGACCCTGCCTCAACAACAACAAAGACAACAACAACAACACACACAATCCAAGAAAGTGGGAAAAGAAGAAAACAGGAACAGAAAAACAGGATGAAAAGAAAGATAAATCAAGGCCAAGCCTGGTGACTCATTCCTGTAATTCTACCACTTTAGGAGGCTAAGGTGAAAGGGTTGTTTGAGGCCAGGAGTTCAAGGCTGCAGTGAGCTATGATATCAACACTGCACCCAGCCTGGGCAACGGAGCAAGATCCTCTGCTCCCAACCCTCCCTCCCCCAGAAAAATATAAATCAATAACATAGCTTTCAATGCAATCATATTGATTATATTAAATATGGTCTAACAATGGCATTAAATTGAAAAATAGAAAGGTATGTAGAAATCTTTGCAACTATTTGGATACCAAAAACATACATCTAAATAATCAATGGGTCAAAGAAGCAACCAATATGAAAATAGGAAATTATTATAACTGAATAGAAATAAAAACATTAACATCAAAATTTGTCTTTTTTTTTTTTTCATCCCCCAAACAATTGACATGCAACATCAAGATTTCTGGGATGAAGCAAAAGCAGTAATCAGATGAGAATTCAGAGCACTAAAAATCTATTTTTTTTTTTTTTGAGACGGAATCTCGCTCTGTCGTTAGGCTGGAGTGCAGTGGCACTATCTCGGCTCACTGCAACCTCTGCCTCCCGGGTTCAAGTGATTCTCCTGCTTCAGCCTCCCGAGTAGCTGGGACTACAGGTGCATGCCACCATACCCAACTAATTTTTGTATTTTTAGTAGAGATGGGGTTTCACCATGTTGGCCAGGATGGTCTCGATCTCCTGACCTCGTGATCTGCCCGCCTCAGCCTCCCAAAGTGCTGGGATTACAGGCGTGAGCCACTGCGCCCGGCCTAAAAGCCTATTTTAAAAGAAAAGAAAGCTCTCAAATTAATAACCTCAGCTTCTATCATAAGAAATATGAAAAAGAGCAAATAAAACCCACAGTAAGTTGAGGAAATAATAATAACAACAAAGAAGTTAAATCAGTACAAAATAAAAAAATAAAAATAAGGGAAAAGCAATGAAAATTGGTTTTTTGAGAAGGTCAATAAAATTAGATTAATTATGGGGTGGAGAGAAGGACATAAATCACCAATATCAGGAATGAGAGAGGTGACATCACTACAAACATTAAAATGATAATGGAGAAATGTTATCGACAATCTTGTCACTAAATTTGACAAATCAGATGAATAAATTCTTTGAGAGACATAAACTACCAAAGCTCATTTAGACAAATAAGAAATATGACTGGCTCCAGAGAAATAGAATTTGTAATTACAAATTTTCACAGATGAAAATTTTTTTCATCTCTAAATTTTTATTCAGTTTATGAGAAAATTTTAGGCCCAGATGGTTTCTTCTGTGACTTCAAACAAATACTTCAGGAATAAAAAATTACTATTCTATACAAACTCTTTTGAAGAGGAGAGAATACTTCCTAATTTGTTCTGAGGCTGGTATTAACCTTATATCAAAGCCTAACAAAGACATCACAAAAAAGAAAACCACAGACCAATATTCCTCATGAACACAGAAGCAAAAATCTCATAAAATTTCAGCAATTTAAATTCAGCAATAAATAAGAAAGATTAATATAGTATGGCAAAGTGGGGTTTATCATAGGAATATGCAGTTAAGCAGACAGATAAAATCAATTTTTGTATTTTTAGTAGAGATGGGACGGTGGTGGGTCTTGCCTGTAATCCCAGGACTTTCGGAGGCTGAGGCGGGCAGATCACCTGAGGTAGGGAGTTTGAGACCAGCCTGACCAACATGGAGAAACCCCGTCTCTACTAAAAATACAAAATTAGCCAGGCATGGTGGAGCATGCCTGTAATCCCAGCTACTTGGGAGGCTGAAGCAGGAGAATTGCTTGAACCCAGGAGGTGGAGATTGCAGTGAGCTGAGATCACGCCATTGCACTCCAGCCTGGACAACAAGAGCGAAACTCCATCTCCAAAAAAAAAAAAAAAAAAAAAAAAAATCAATTTTAAAAATCAATCAATGTAATTCACCATATCAATAGATTTAAAAAAGGAGAAAAACATTTAATAACCTCAATAAATTCAGGAAGAGTAAGTGACAAAATTCAATATTAATTTGTGATTTTAAAATAAAAGACTTAGGCCAGGGGCGGTGGCTCATGCCTGTAATCTCAGCACTTTGGGAGGCCGAGGACCTGAGGTTAAGAGTTCAAGACCAGCCTGGCCAAAATGGTGAAACCCCCGTCTCTACTAAAAATACATAAATTAGCCCAAAGCGGTGACAGGTGCCTGTAATCCAAGCTACTGGGAGGCTGAGGCAGGAGAATTGCTTGAACCCAGGAGGCAGAGATTGCAGTGAACTGAGATCGTGCCATTGCACTCCAGCCTGGGTGACAGAGTAAGACCCTGTATCAAAATAAATAAATAAATAAATAAAATAACAAAATAAAATAAGACTTCATAAACTGTAACAGAAGAAAATTTCCGCAATCTGCTTAAAAGTGTCTACGAAAAACCTACTGCTAACATCACACTTAATGGTGAAGGGGCAAATGCTTTCCGATAACATCAGGAACAAGGCAAAGATGTCCATTCTTACCGTTTCTATTCAATATTTTACTGAAGTACAAGTTCTAGGACAGCAAAATAACCCCCCAAAAAGAGATAAAAATTATACAGAAGGGAAAAGATATGTAAAACTGTGTTTGATCTCAGATAATAAGGATGTAGAATAAAAGTTTCTCAAGTTCACTGGATACAAAATCAATATATACATATTAATTGTATTTGTATTTATTAGTAATAAATAAAAATTGAAATTTAAGGCCGGGTGCAGTGCCTCAAGCCTGAAATCCCATCACTTTGGGAGGCCAAGGTGGGCAGATCATGAGGTCAGGAGATCGAGACCATCCTGGCTAAAATGGTGAAACCCCATCTCTACTAAAAATACAAAACAAAATTAGCCAGGCGCACTAGTGGCGGATGCCTGTAGTCCCAGCTACCTGGGAGGCTGAGGCAGGAGAATGGCGTGAACCCGGGAGGTGGAGCTTGCAGTGAGCTCAGATGGCACCACTGCACTCTAGCCTGGGTGACAGAGCGAGACACCGTCTCAACAAAAAAAAAAAAAAAAAAAGGAAAAAGAAAAAAATTGAAATTTAAAAGAATACCATTTAATAGTCAAAATTATGAAATAATAAAGGGATGAACTTGACAAAAGATGTGCAAGACCTGTATGCTGAAAACTACAAAACACTGGTGAGACAAAATGTTTAAATATCAAATAAATGGGGACCTAAATAAATACAAAGATGATACAGTGCTAATGGATCTGCATTCAGACTAAGTATGTTAAAGATAGCAATCTTCCACAAATTAACCTATGATTCAGGGAAATTTCAATCAAAGTTCCAGCTTTTTATGGGGCAGAATGACAAACCAATTCTAAAAGTTACATGGAAATATGAAACAATTTTGAAAAGAACAACAAAGTTAGAGAATTCATAATACTTGATTTCAAGACTTATTTTAAAGCTTTGGTAAAAAACATAATGTGGTATTGGCTTAAAGACAGAAACACAGAACAAAAAAACAGAAATATCCAAAGCACAGAATAGAGAAAAACAGAGTTCAGAAATAGATACACATATACATGGTCATTAATTTTCAACAAAAGTGTAAAGGAAATTCAAAAAAGAAAAGATAGTTTCTTCAACAAATACCGCTGGAACAGTCAGTATCCAAATGAAAACAAATGACCCGATATCACTAACTCATACTATATATACATAAACATTAACTCAAAATGGATCATGAACCTAAATACTGAAACCTAAAACTTAAAAACTTTTAACAGAAAATACAGGAGAATATCTTTGTGATTCTGAGTTGGGCAAACAGTTCTTAGATTTGAGCTCAGACCTTAATAGAAAACTTGATTAAATGGAGTTAATCAAATTATGAACTTAAGTTCTCCAAAACACCACAGAGAAAATGAAAAGAAGTCGGGCACCATGGCTCATGCCTGTAGTTCCAGCACTTTGGGAGGCTGAAGCAGGCAGATCACTTGAGCCCAGGAGTGCATACAAGCCTGGGCAACATTGCAAATCCCATCTCTACAAAAAAATACAAAACTTAGCCAGACATGGTGGTGCACACCCATAGTCCCAGCTACTCAGGAGGCTGAAGTAGGAGAATCCCTTAAGTAGGAGAATCCCTTAAGCCTGAGGTCAAGGTTACAACGAACTGAGATGATGCCACTGCAGTGCAGCCTGAGTGACAGAACAAAACCCTGTCGAGGATGGAAGGGAGGGAGGGAGGGAGGTGAAAAGACAGTTGTGCAGGAAAGAGTTAACTCAGCAGACCTAGACTGCAAAAACCTTGGACATTACTAAAGCCTGTCTTCAGAACTGCCCTTGGTCAGTTCCCTGAAAAAAAGCTCTGAGCCCTTGGAATACTCTACTTGATGAGCATTTTTCTATGTCTAGAACCTTGGGTCACATGGCACCAGCTTGATTAGAGAGTTTATGCTAACTATGTGATTTGTGTTAAATGCATTTTTACTCTATGCGGATGGAGTATACATAGTTAAGGTCAGTTACACAATACCTGACTGACTCCCAATAAAAACCCTAAACAAGGCTCAAGTGAGATTCTCTGGCTGCCAACTCGCCACGTCACACATAGTTGCAGGGAGAATTAAGCGCATCCACACAACTCTACTGGGAAAGAACTCTTGTAAGCTTATCCCATGTGCCTTTTCCTTTGTTCATTGTAATGTTCTCTCTCACTTTAATAAGCTGCAACCAAGAGAACAGCAGTTCTTCTGAGTCCAGTGAGTCTATCCCACAAATCATTGCACCTGAGGGCAGTCTTAGAGAAAACTCTGACACAACTAGCATTACAAATGAGATTTCCTATAACTCCTGCTAGCTGAAACATAAGGAAAGCACTGTTTGAGAAAAGGAAGGATTACAGGGCGGGTAAAGTTTGATGTCAGATGGTTACTGAGTCACCGATGGTATAAAACAACAGCTGCACTGCGATAAGTTACTGTAGGTAGAAGTTACCAGTAAAATATACAATGATAGAACCAGCTCCTGTAGAGCTGGCTCACTGAATATACAACAAAATGTAAAATGAGAAACAAGCTAAATATACAATCCCCTTCTTATTTTTAACTGTAATGAAAAATAGCTAAAATGAAAGTTTTTGGGACAGATGCTGGCACTGCATCAAGTTTGGATTCTGGCCACTCTAAGCTACAGTTGCTAGTTTGGGGTTGCTAAGAGTTGCTATGAAAGGGAAAAATTTTGCTGGATCATCTGCCATGGGTCATTCTAAACTCATTGTGTTGGAAATTTGGTGGATCTTTTTCAATGTAAAGAATCGTTATCTTAGCCAAGCACAGTGGCTCACGCCTGTAATCTCAGCACTTTGGGAGGCCAAGGTGGAAGGACTGCTTGAGACCAGGAATTCAACACCAGCCTTAACAACATAGTGAGATCCCATCTCTACAAAAAACCAAAAATAAAAAATAAAAAAATTAGCCAGGCATGGTGGCACACACCTGTACTCCTAGCTACTTGGGAAGCTAAGGCAGGAAGATCATTTGACCCCAGCAGTTTGAGATGAGACAGCTATAATCTTACTACACTCCAACCGGGGCAACAGAGTAATAACCTGTTTCAAAGAAAAAATATATATATATGTAGGGATTGGGGGGGAGAATAATTATCTTTTATTCTGAGAAAATGTCCATGTATTATTTATTTTATTATTTCTTGCCTTCGATTTTTTAATATTCTGCAACTTATAATGGTAAAATTTCATAATTCGACTTTAGCTTTATTTCTTCTATTATTCCAACTGTCCTTTTTTCCCATTCCTGACCCATTATTTACATTTCCATGACTATAGAAACTTGGTTGCCATTGTGGCAGTGTTAAGAGGTAGGGTCTTTGGGAAGCAATTGGGTCGTGGGGGCTCCACCCTCATGAAGTGATTAATGCCATAATTGCCAGAATAGGTTAGTTGTCATGGGAGTTCAGCCCTGCCGTTTCCTGTCTCTTGTATTCACTTCCACCTTCTATCCTTTTGCTGTGCTATAATACAGTAAGATGGCCTTCCCTCACCAAAAACAGCACCATGCTCTTAGATTCCCAATCTTTTTAAGTTCTGCAGTTAAAAAAAGTTGGAACTTTGTTCTGTTGGAGTTAAAGTGAGAGGAAACATTAATACAGACAAAGAAAAAGGCACATGGGAGAAGCTTACAGGAGTTCTTTCCTAGTAGAGTTGCATAGATGTGCTCAATTCTCCCTACAACTATGTATGAACAAACTTTTTAAATAAACTTTCTCAGCTATAGGTGAATAAACTTGTTTTTTTTTGAGACGGAGTCTCGCTCTGTCATCCAGGCTGGAGTCCAGTAGGGCGATCTCGGCTCACTGCAAGGTCCTCCTCCCGGGTTCACGCCATTCTCCTGCCTCAGCCTCCCAAGTAGGTGGGACTACAGGAACCCGCCACCACGCCCAGCTAATTTTTTTGTATTTTAGTAGAGACGGGGTTTCGCCGTGCTAGCCAGGATGGTCTCTCCTGACCTCGTGATCTGCCCACCTTGGCTTCCCAAAGTGCTAGAATTACAGGTGTGAGCCACCACGCCCGGCCGGTGAATAAACTTTTTAAAAATAAATTATCCAGTCTGTGATGCTCTGCAATAGCAGAAGAAAACAGACTAAGACAGCAGTTTTTTGTGGCGGGCTTTTTTCATTTAGCATGTTTTCAAGGTATATCCATATTTTAGCATGTATCTCCACTTCATTTCTTTTTATTGTCCAATAATGTGTCACTGTTAGGATATATTGCATTTTATTCATTCATTAATTGATGGATATTTGAGGTTGTTTTCCCTTTTTGCCTGTAAGAAAAATGATGCTATGAACATTCATGTGTAACTTTTCGTTTGGATACATACATGTTTTCATTCCTCCTGGGTATATATCCAGGAATGAAACTGCTGCGACATAGAGTTACTCTTTTACCTTTTGAGAAATTTCCACACTGCTTTCTAAAATAGTATACCATTTTACATTGCCACTAGCAATGTATTGCTATTCCAATTTTTGTACTTCTTTACCAACCCATGTTATTGTCTGTTGATTATAGCCATCCTAGACGGTGTAAAGTGGTCCTTTTTAAAAAAAATGGCATTGTTATTTTGTGGGATCAAAATTTTTTCTTATCCTGTGGATGGTATTATTTCTTTAAATTCTCGTTGGTTCCCTGAAGTGTCTCTCCTTGAGGCTCATCTTTGTTCAGTTGTTTTGAACTTCTGTCTTTCAACTTGGAGACATTTCACAGATGTGTATGATCCTTGTCTGGACATTCCTATTTAAAACTCAAAAACTTACTATGAATGCTATGTTTATGAATAAGGCTTTATGATGTGTGGCCACCCTACTTTTTCACTGGGGACTCCATATATTATTACTTAGAAATATTTTCTTTTCAAAATATTTTATCTCCTGTCTAAGGCTATGTTCTTTTTTGATTAGCAATTTCTTTAAGTCATTTTTCTCTTCTCACTTTTACTATACATTCAAGAGAAGCCAAGCCATACCTTCAACACTTCGTTTAAATATTTTCTCAGCGAAAGATTCAACTTCATTCCTCGTAAGTTTTATTTTTCATAAATAAAATAAAAAACTAGGGACCTCTGCAGACAGAGCGATGGAGGGAACTAGCAGTACACCATGCAGAATAAAAATGTTAACTTGATCTTTCTGACTTTCGACCTGCACACCACCCCTATTAACCACCCAACCTGGTATCCCTGAGTCAAGAGCCTCACTAGTTTAATGTCTCCATATCATATACTTCCGGTTCTCAGATATATAGGTAAGAAGTTAGCAACAGTAAGCTAAGAAGATTTAACCATCTATATTCTGACTTTAAAGAAATAGCCTTGATTTTAGCTCCACACTTGAACTCTGAGTTTTGCAGTAACAGGTTCCTTCAAATCCCAAGACTTTCTTCAATTTTGTGGGGGCAAACTCTTTTCATCATGATTTCTGTCTCTAGGCACATACTTACCTCTTTCCATGCTCTACAACTTGTAAAAGTTTCTGTTTGCTTCCATCTTCTCTTCTATATTTTAACCTTATGAACTGACACTTTAAAAACATGACATTATTGACATTTAAGTTTTGAGAAAGTGTCTATGATCCTTGTCTGGACATTCATATTTAAAACTCGAAAATTCAGGTCTTCCTCACATGCAAAAATACATTCATTCCATCCCAATAGCCACAAAAGTCTTAACTTATTCTACCAGCAACTCAAAGGTTTGAAGTCTAACATCTCATCTAAATATGATTTAAATTAAATGAATAAAATTCACAGTACAATAGATTTTGAAGCAAATTGATCTCCAACTGTGAACTTGTGAAATCAAACATGTTATGGGCTTCAAAAATACAATGGTGGGAGCGACATAGGATAGACATTCCTATTCCAAAAGAACGAAATAGGAAAGAAGGGGTAACATGTCCCAATTAACTCCCAACACAATAGGGTAAACATTAAATCTTAAGGCCCAAGAATAATCTTTGGTTCAATGCTGTCTTCAAGGCCCACTAGGGTGCAGGTGGCTCTGCCCCTGCAGCTTTGCTGAGCAGGTGTTTGGGGACCCACAGCTCTGAGCATCCTTGTTCCCACAGCTTGGCAAAATGGCCCTCTAGCAGCTCTCTGTCTGTGCTTCACTCACAGTATCGCTGTGCCTGGGCACCATGGCTCTCCTGGACTGAGGTCATAAGCTCAAGGCTCTGCCAGGAGGCTCCTTCCTTTAAAACCCAGGTGGAACCAGCCATTTCCCCTGGCTTGCACTTTCTGCACCCTGGAGGAGATATGACCCTCCAGAAGGGTGATCACTGCAGTCTCTGCCACACCTAGACACACTGAAGCTGCACCTGGGGCAACTGATGAACACAGTCTAAGTATAGGAAGCAGAGAATGAGTTCATGCTAGGCAGTATGGCCCAAGGTCCCACAGACTCCTGTAGCCCTTACATTGCATTCTTCCATTGTCTTGAACAACAGCACCTGGCTTCAGTTGAGATGGCTGACTAATCTCCTTATCAGATGGTCATTTGGCCACACCCTTTAAGTTCTTTCCCAAACAGCCTTTCTCATTCTTTACAGTAGGGATAGGCTGACAATTTTTCAAACATTTAAATTCAGCTTCATTTTTTATTAGCAATTTAAGTCATTTTTAACTTCCCACATTTTACTATACAGTCAAGAGAAGCCAAGCCATACCTTCAATACTTTTCTTAAATATTTCCTCAAAGATTCAACTTCATTCCTATAAGTTCTATCTTTCACAAAACACTAGGGCAGGAATGCAATTCAGCTCTCTGCCTCTTTATAATAAGAATGATATTTACTCCACTGTGCAATAACATTGTGATATTGTAAAATATATATTTGGTCTTTATCCCTATTGTGGTATCTTTTCATATGCATGAGTTGACTGATGGCTGGGAGCCCCTCAGTAACATCAGGATGGGGGCTGGTCATAAAAAAAGACCAAAACCTGACTAGAACATTAGGACTTTCAGCACCACCCCTGAAAACTCTGGGAAGGGAGAAGAACTGAGAGTTAAGCTGGTCATCAATGGCAAATGACTTAATCAATCGTACCTACATAATGAAGCTTCCATAAAACCCCAAAAGAACTGGGTTTGGGGAGCTTCTAGATAGCTGAACACAGGCAAGTTTCTGGAGAGTACCATGTCCAGAGATGGCATGGAAACTCCATGTCCCTTCCACCATGACTTGCCCTACACATCTTTTCCATTTGGCTGTTCAACTGTATCCTTTTTTTTTTTTTTTTTGAGACAGGGTTTCACTCTGCTGCCCAGGCTGGAAGGCAGTGACGCGATCATGGCTCACTGCAGCCTCAACCTCCCAGGCTCAAGCAATCCTCCCACCTCAGCCTTCCAAGTATCTGGGACTACAGGCACACACCATCACACACACACCACCACACACAGAAGATTTTTTATTTTTTTTGTAGGGACAGGCTTTTGCCATATTGCCCAGGCTGGTCTTGAACACTTAGGCTCAAGTGATCCATCCTCTTCAGATTCCCAAAGTGCTGGGATTACAGGTGTGAGCCACCATGCCCAGCCATGTATCCTTTGTAATATCTCTTATGACACCTGAGTAAATGAAAGTAAGTTTATCTCTCAGTTCTGTGAGCTGCTCTGGCAAATTAATTAAACCTGAGGAGGAGGGGATCATGGAAACCCCTGATTTATAGCCAGTCAGAATACAGGCGACAATCCATTACTGGCAACTGGTATCTGAAACCGGGGTCAGGCATGTGGGACTGAGCGCTCAACCTGTGGGATCTGATGTTACCTCCAAGTAGATTATGTCAGAACTGAAGTGAATTAAGAGGACACCCAACTGGTTTGTAGGAGAGAATCATCATCTGCAGAATCTGCCAAAGAATTGGTTGCTGGTGAGAATTCCCCACACATTTTGGTAACCAGAGGTGCTACGTTGTATTGAGTGGTGACGGAGACTAGGAAAAACACTTTGTTTTTTTCCTCTCTATCCTTAGACACATGTTCTTTCTTTCCAGGTGAGACCTATCAAAATGGCCAATACTGTGCATATTTCTACCAACATTCTTTTCAGGACTATTCTGGTATTATCTAAGAAAACTGAGGCTTTCTCTACAGCTCTCTTATAACCTCAGTTCCCACCAGAATCGCCTTTAAAGGTCTGCTCACAGCAATGTAGGCCTTTGCACTCATTTCAAAATTCTTCCTTCTACTACTGATCACCCAGTTTCAAAGGTGCTTCAGAATTTTTTGGTATTTGTTATATAGTACCACCTCCACTTCTCAGTGCCAACTTTCTGTCATAGTCCATTCAGTCTCCTATAACAAAATACTACAGACTGGAGATCTTATAAAAATTTATTTCTCACAATTCTGGCAGCTAGGAAGTCCAAGATTCAATGTCTACTGAGGGCTCACCTCTTCACAGACAGTACCTTCTAGTTGTGTCCTCACAAGATGGAAGGGGAGGACACTGGTCTCTTCAGACGTTTATAAGGGCATTAATTTCATTTATGAAGGCCCTACACTCAGCACCTAATCACCTCCCAAAGGTCTCACCTCCTAATATCATCACACTGGGGAATAGATTTCAACGTATGGATTTTGGGAGACACAAATATTTAGTCCACAGCAGAAGGAGAGATGTATGTATGGGGTCATTAAGCGATGTTTAATATTTTGCTTTTATTGTGAAGTTTAACTAAAAACTAGATATGAGATTAAGGTTTACATATAACCACTAACTTCAGTAATAGTTCTGATGCAAAAACCGAGTTCAAAATTCAAATCTTTAGGCCAGGTGTGGTGGCTTACGCCTGTAATCCCAGCACTTTGGGAGACTGAGGCGGGCAGATCACGAAGTCAGGAGTTCAAGACCAGCCTGGCTAGCATACTGAAATCCCGTCTCTACTAAAAATACAAAAATTAGCCGGGCATGGTGGTGCATGCCTGTAATCCTAGCTACTCGGGAGGCTGAGGCAGGAGACTCACCTGACCCTGGGAGGCAGAGGTTACAGTGAGCCAGGATTGTGCCACTGCATTCCAGACTGGGCAACAGAGCGAGACTCCGTTTCCAAAAAAAAAAAATCAAATATTATGTTCAATAAAACATAAATAAAAGCAGAAAATTTAATATGGTTTTAGAGTGGTTTTATCCTATTTCTTATGCCATGAACTTATCTAAAATAGATCTAGTTAGAAATTATTTGGGGTCACTACAAATTCATTGAGTGGCTTACCTCTTCTTTTCCTAATGTTATGAGAACGTCTTCAGTCAAGGGAATTGCTACAAAAACAAAACAAAACAAAGTTACACATATATTTAGTTAATTCTCAAAAATCAAGAATTTAATTTTGCGGTTTTCTAAGATACTTCTTTCCATCTCCATTTATATAATATACAACTTTTTCTCCCCTCCAAGGCAGAGTTTCCCTCTTGTCACCCAGGCTGCAGTGCAATGGCGCTATTTGGCTCACTGCAACCTCCACCTCCCTGGTTCAAACAATTCTCGTGCTTCAGCCTCCTGAGTAGCTGGGATTACAGGCATCCACCAACATGCCTGGCTAATTTTTGTGTTTTTAGTAGAGATGGGATTTCATCATGTTGGCCAAGCCAGTCTTGAACTCCTGACCTCAAGTGATCCACCTGCCTTGACAATACACAACTTTTTACGAAATGTGTGCAGTTTTCATTTTATTTATTTTTAACATCTTTGCACATATAGCCAACTATATATAATTTTAGATAAATTTGATCCTATTTATGTACTGTTTAGTGCCTTTTTCTTTTCTTCTTTTGTTCTTCAAACCCTCAAAAGGGAAGCTAATAATCTATAGTGTGTTCCTCAAATACTTTCCCTGTAGTCATATATCCTATGTACACATATGTAACATACATTTACATACACTTAAAAGGGTTATTTTTATCATCATTGGTTTTACAAGAATGGGGTCATATCACACATATTATATTCATCTTACTTTCACTCAATAAAACCCCCAGGGAAACCTAGACCTATATAGGTCTAATTCATAACTTTTAATGGCTGCATGATATTCCAAAATGAATATACCATAATATACTGAGTGATTGCCCTCTTGATTGAACACTTTTAGATTAACTTTGTGTCTAGTTTCTAGTCATAACAAACAAGGATGCAGTAAGCAGACTTTTATACACGTTTTTATGTACTGGTGCTCTCATTTCTATAGAACAGATTCTCAGAAATGAAATTTCAGAGAATGAAATGTGTACTTTGAATCTGAATAGAGAATGTCAGCTTCCTTTCTAAAGACATTTCCATGAGCTATGAAGAAAAAACAGCAAGAAATATTACAAACTCTTCTAAAATTTTTGCCAGCCTGATGAGTAGAAACAAATGTGTAATTTTGTATAGCAAATTTTAATGCGTTCAATCCTTATGCTAGAAATTTTCCTTTACTAATGAAGAGCTATTTGAAACTTCTCAAATAGTAGGCTACTGAAAACTTTCAAAGGTATCTGCTATTCTAGAAAGCCTTCTAACAGGGAAGAACTTTCTACATGTGCTTCATAGATAGGTTTGTATTAGAATATTCAGTGCCTTGGAAGGGTTTGCTCTCTGCTTCCAAGATGGTGTCTTCTTGCTGTGTCCTCACATAGTGGAAGGCAAAAGGGGAAAAAAAGACTAGATACTACCTTCAACCTCTATAAGAAGCTCACTAATCACATCCTAAAGACCTCACTTTTTAACACTATCATAATGGTGATTAAGTTTTAACATGAATTTTGGGGGATATATTTAGGCCACAGCAGACAGCTACTATCAAAAAAACAGAAAGTAACAAGTGTTAACAAGGATGTTGAGAAACTGAAACCATGTGCACTGTCGGTGGGATTGAAATATGGTGTGACCATTATGGAAAATAGTATAGGTGGTTCCTCAAAAAACTTAAAATAGAACTATCATATGATCCACTATTTCTGGTAGACATCCAAAAGAATTGAACGCAGGGCCTCAAAGAGAACTGCACATCCATGTTCATGGCAGCACTCACATTCACAGTAATGAAATTATGAAGCAACCGAAGTTTCCGTTGACAGATGAATGGATAAGCAAACTGTGGTATATACATACAATGAAATACTATTCAGCCTTAAAAAAGGAAGGAAATTCTAACGTGCTACAACATGGAAGAACTTTGAGGACATTACACTAACTAAAATAAGCCACCCACAAAAACACAAATACTATATGATTCCATTATATGAGGTATCTAAACTAATCAAATTAATAGAAAGTAGAATTGAGGTTGCCAGGGCTGGGGGATGATGGAAAAGGAGAGTTGTTGTTTAATGTGTATAGAGTTTCAGATTTGCAAGATGAAAAAGTTCTGAAGATACACTGCATAAAAATGTGAATGTACTTAACACTACTGTGAACTATACACTTAAAAATGGTTAAAATTGTAAATTTTATATTTTACCACAATTAAAAAATTTTCTTTAAACTAAACAAAACCTGAGGGACTTGGGTAACCGTAACAAAAGGTCTAACATTCATGTTATCGGAATTCCAGGAAAGGAGAAAGGTGGGGGGAGTTGCTGAAAAAATACATCAAATGATAGCTAAAAAGTTCTCAAATTCTGCAAAAGACATAAATCCACACATTCAGGAATCTGAGTGACTCCTAAGTAAGATAAAGCCAAAGAAATCCAGGTTAAGGTACAACATAATTATTCTTCTAAAGGCTGAAGACAAAGAAAAAGTCCTCAAAGCGCGCACACACACACACACACACACACACACACACACACACACACACACACACACACACACGCCTTCTCTATAAAGCAAAACCGATCAGAATGACAGCACATTTCTCATCAGTACCAAGGGAGGCAGAGGTAAGTGGCACATTTTTAAGTGCTAAAAGAAAACAACCCTGAATTGCACATCCAGTGAAAATATCCTTCAGGAATGAAAGAGAAATCAAGAAATTCTCAGATAAAGAAAAACTACGACAATTTGTCACCAGCAGACCAACTCTAAAAGAACGGCTCAAGGAAGTTCTTGAAACAGAAACAATAAAAGGAATTTTAGAAGATCAGGAAGGAAGAACAATAGAAAGAACAAAAACATGGACTAAAGCTACCATAAATCCTACAGTCACAAGGAAATAAATTCTGCCAACAACTTCAGTAAGCTTGGAGATGGATCCCTCCTCAAGCCTTTGAGGAGAATCTATCATTGCAGCCATGAAATCCCTAAGCAGACGACCCAGTTAAGCTGTGTCCAGACTCCTATCTGCAGAAACTGGGAAATAATAAATGTCCTCAGACCCCTGAACTACAGAAATTGTGAGATAATAAATGTATGTTATATAAAGCCACTCCAAAAAAGCCTAAAACAAGATTGAGAAAATGTTGATAACTGTAGAATCTGGTCTCTGAGTTTACTACAGTTAACTCTCTATATATGTATTTTTTAACTTTTCTTTAAGTTTGAAAACTTCTATCATTGCCAGGGTGGGGGAAACCCATTGAGGCCAAGAGATTAAAAAGTCTGTTATAATAATCTAATGGACTGGTGATGAAAACCCGAAGTAAATCTGTGACAGTAGGACTCGATATTTAGTAACTAGTTATATGTTCTAGTTCTAATGTTTTTGTTCTATTCTCCCCTGCCCCCCCGCTCAGGTGATCCACCAGCCCTGGCCTCCCAAAGTGCTGGGATTACAGACGTGAGCCACCACACCCGGCTGTTCTAATTTTAACAAATATGCTGTATGTGCAAAATGAAAAAGAATCTAGGAGGACTCTTAAATTGGGAGCTGATCAAATATGCTCCATTCAATGAGTGAGGAAACAGAAAAGGTCAGTTCATGAATCTGAGGTGTCTATGAAATATTTTGGAAAAGGTGCCTAGGAGGTACAAAGATACTTGAGTTTGATATTGCAGAGAAGTCTGCTTTAAATATATAGATTTGTAAATTGTTATTGGTTGATGTGTCCCCACCCCCAAATTCCTATGTTGAAATCCTAATCCCCAATACCTTTGAATATGACTGTATTTGGAATTGGGTATTTCAAGAGATAATTAAGTTAAAATTAGGTTATTAGAGTTGACCCTAATCCAATAAGACTGGTGTCCTAATAAGAGTAGGCGATTAGGACACAGAAGGAAGACCATGTGAAGACACAGGAAGAAGATGGACATCTGCAAGCCAAGGGGAGAGGCCTCAGAAGAAACCAACGTTATTGACACCTTGATCTTTAACTTGTATCTTCCAGAATTGTGAGAAAATTAATTTCTGTTGTTTAAGCCACCTAGTCCATAGTAGTTTGTTATGATAGCTCTAGTATACTAATATGGAAGTTATTATTATAGATATAACACATAAAAACAGAAGAAGATATAATGCTGGTATAGTATATAGTGTCCTCTGGAGAATATGAACATATGGAAGTTATTATTACAGATATAACACATAAAAACAGGAGAAGAAGATATAATGCTGGTATAGCTTATAGGGTCCTCTGGAGAACTTGAACATTTTAATATTTGAGGCTGGGCGTGGTGGCTCATACCTGTAATCCCAAAACTTTGGGAGGCTGACGCAGGAGGATCACCTGAGGTCAAGAGTTTGAGATCAGCCTGGCCAACATGGCAAAACCCCGTCTCTACTACAAATACAAAAATTAGCCAGGCATGATGGCAGGCACCTGTAATCCCAGCTACTCGGGAGACTGAGGCACAAGAACTGCTTGAACCTGGAAGACAGAGCTTGCAGTGAGCCGAGATTGCACCACTGCACTCCAGCCTGGGCGACAGAGTAAGACTGTCTCAAAAAAAAAAAAAAAAAATTTTGAGTATGAGCAGTTTTTGAGATGCTAAATATACTACTAAAAAGGCAATAAGACATACGGTTGAAGACAAATTAAAATCACAATTGTAATACTACACACCTATTAGAAATGCTCAAATTAATGACTAACAGGTAGTAACAACGATGTGGAAAAATGGCTGACATTGGCATGAAGACAGTCATTAAAGCAAGAATATGGATAAAATTGTATAGGAAGAGAATGAGGAGAAAACAGCTGAAGATTGCTCCTTGGGGAATTTCTTTTTTTTTTTGAAATGGAGTCTCGCCCTGTTGCCCAGGCAGGAGTGCAGTGGCATGATCTCGGCTCACAGCAAGCCCTGCCTCCTTGGTTCATGCCATTCTCCTGCCTCAGCATCCCAAGTAGCTGGGACTGCAGGCGCCCACCACAACACCTGGCAAATTTTTTATATTTTTAGTAGAGATGGGGTTTCACCGTGTTAGCCAGGATGGTCTCGATCTCCTGACCTCATGATCCACCCGCCTCGGTCTCCCAAAGTGCTGGGATTACAGGCATGAGCCACAGCGCCCAGCCTGGGGAATTTCAATAATTGGGAAAGAGAAATGATAAGCCTACAAAGAAGACTAAGAAGGGAAGCATGGGGTGGAGAACAATTAAAGGAAAGAAAACAGAGCGGGAGAAGAAAGAAGCAGGAAGACATACAGAAAAAGAGGGTACAATCCAAATAGAATATCATATGCAGGGATACTTTGGAGATAGTCCAAGTTTGGTTCTAGACCACCACACTAAAGCAAATATCACAACAAAACAAGTCACACAAATTTTTTGTTTTCCCAGTGCATATAAAAGTTGTTTACATTATACTGTAGTCTATTAAATTATGTATTAGCATTATTTCTAAAAATGTACATACCTTATTTTAAAAAAAACCTTATTGCTAAAAATTGCTAACTGAGATGCCTAATCTGAGCCTTCGGTGAGTTGTAATGTTTTGCTGGTGGAAGGCCTTATCTCAGTGTTAATGGCTGATGACTGATCAGGTTAGTGGCTACTGAAGGTTGGGGTGGCTGTGGCCGTTTCTTAAAATAAGACAGCAATGAAGTTTGCCACACCGATTGACTCTTCGTTTCACAAAAACATTTCTCGGTGGCATGAGATGCTGTTTGATAGCATTTTACCCACAGCAGAACTTCTTTCAAAATTAGTCACTCCTCTCAAACCCTGACGCTGCCTTACCAACAAAGTTTATGTAATATTCTAAATCTTTTGTTGTCATTTCAACCGTGTTCAAAGCATCTTCACTGGGAGTAGATTCCATCTCAAGAAACCACTTTTTTGCTCATCCATGGGAAGCAACTCCTCATCTGTTCAAGTTTTATCATGAGATTGCAGTCATTCAGCCACATTTTCAGACTCCACTTCTAATTCTAGTTAGATACTTCTACCACATTTGTAGTTACTTGAACCCCTCAGAGTCATCCATGAGGGTTAGAACCAACCTCTTGCACACTCCTGTTAATGTTGTTATTTTGACCTCCTTCCATAAATCACACATGTTCTTAATGGCATCTAGAATGGGGGATACTTTCCAGAAGGTTTCAATGTACTTTGGCCCAGACCATCAGAGGACTTATGACAGCTATAGCCTTACGAAGTGTATTTCTTAAATAATAAGACTTCAGTTGAGGTGGCTTCTTGGTCCCTGGGCGGCAGAACAGATGTTGCATCAACAGACATGAGAACATTAAATTCCTTGTACATCACCATCAGAGCTGTTGAGTGAAGAGATGGGGAGCAGTAATATTTTGAAAGGAATCTTTTTTTTTTTCCTGAGTGGTAGGTCTCAACAGTGGGCTTAAACTATTCAGTAAACCATGCTATAAACAGGTGTACTGTCATCCAGGCTTTACTGTTCCATTTACAATGCACAGGCAGAGTAGATTTGGTATAATTCTTAAGGGCCCTAGGATTGCTGGAATGATAAATGAGTGTTGGTTTTAACTCAGAGTCACCAGCTGCACTAGTCCTTATCAAGAGAGTCAACCTGTCCTTTTGAAGCTTTGGAGCCAGGCATCAACTTCTCTCTAACTATAAGAGTCCTAGATGGCATCTTCTTCCAATAGAGGGCTGTTCTGTCTACATTGAAAATTTGCTGTTTATCATAGCCACCTTCAAGTATCTTAGCTAGATCTTCTGGATAACTTGTTGACGCTTCTGCCTCAGTACTTGCTGCTTCCCCTTGCATTTTTATGTTATGGAGATGGCTTCTTTCCTTAAACCTCATGAACCAACCTCTGCTAGCTTCACACTTTTCTTCTGCAGCTTCCTCATCTCTCTCAGCCTTTGTAGAATTGAAAAGAGCTAGGGCTTTGTTGTGGATTACGCTTTGGCTTAGGGAATGATGGCTGGTTTGATCATCTAAGTAGACTAGTAAAACTTTCTCTATAACAGCAATAAGGCTATTCTGTTTTCTCATAATTTGTGTGTTCACTAGAGCAACATCTTTAATTTCCTTTAAAAATTTTTCCTGCACTTTGGGAGACTGAAGCAGGTGGACCACGAGGTTAGGAGATCAAGACCATCCTGGCCAACATGGTGAAACCTGTCTCTAATAAAAAAATACAAAAATTAGCTGGGTGTGGTAGCATGCACCTGCAATCCCAGCTACTTGGGATGCTGACATAGGAGAATCACTTGAACCCAGGAGGCAGAGACTGCACTGAGCCGAGATCACACCACTGCACTCCAGCCTGAGGGCAGTGCAACAGAGCAAGACTCCATCTCAAAAAAAAAAAAAAAAAAAAAAAAATTTTCCTTTCCATTCACAACTTGGCTAACTGGTGCCGGAGGCCTAGCTTTTGGCCTATCTTGGCTTCTGACATGCCTTCCTCATGAAACTTAATCATTTCTAGCTTTTAATTTAAAGTTATCGATGTGCAACTCTTCTTTTCACTTAAAAACTTAGAAACAATTGGAGGGTTATTAATTGGCCTAAATTCAATATTCTTGTGTTTTAAGGAAAAGGGAGGGCCAAGGAGAGGGAGAGAGATGGGGGAACAACTGGTCAGCAGAGCAGTCAGAATACACACAACATTTATTGGTTAAATTTACTGTCTTACACAGGTGCAGCTTGTGGTTCCTCAAAACAATTAAAATAGTAAGATCAAAGACCACTGATCACAGATCCCCCAACCAGATGTAATAATGACTTAAAAGTCTAAAATACTGTGAGATTACCAAAATGTGACACAGGCTCGCCACAAACTGAATTTGTTAAACATAGAGTGTCTGCAAAGTGCAATAAAGTGAAGCACAATAAAATGAGATGTGCCTGTATAGATGTATATTGCATAGAGAAACTTAAGCTCTCACATTTAAAAAAAAAAGATGTACTAGTGGAGTATCACAATTATAAATTTTTATGCTGTCTTCTACTTCCTAACTGAAGACAAAAACATAGTTGGCACCAGCTGGACAAGACAGAAGACATACAAACTATGTGTCCCTTTTGTGTAAGTATCTAAAATAAATTATAACTTTTCTCTTCCACTAGGTAAATTGCATTCATTAAGAAACAAATCACTGGCACGCCAGTAATCCAGGCACTTTGAGAGGCCAAGGCAGGAGGATCCCTTGAGCCCAGGAGTTCAAGACCAGCCTGGGTAACATGGTGAAACCCCGTCTCTACAAAAAAATACAAAAACCAACCACTAACCAAGCATGGTGGCACACACTTGTAGTCCTAGCTACTCAGGAGGCTGAGGTAGGAGGATCACTTGAACCCGGGAGATCGGGGCTGCAATGAGCCATGATTGTGCCACTGTACTCCAGCCTGGACAACACGATGAGACCCTGTCTCAAAAAAAAAAAAAAAAAAAAAAAGGAACAATTTACCATTTCTAGCGAGCATAAGGCAGTGTCTATGAGGATAACATAATAGCTATAATAACGTCTCCATAATCAAGCTTATTATAATCTAATGTAAGATATGTTTATCAATAATAATAAAAGAAGTACAAAATAATTCACAGAAAAAAAGTGGCTTCTCGGTATCAATGAAATTTGGGCAATTTCAAAAAGGCCAAATGGATCTTGTAATTTTTCCTACAATTATTAAATTAATTTGCTATTAATAGGTTTACAAAAAATTCAAATTTAAAATAAGAATCTTACTTTCAGGTGTTTTTTTCTGCCATTGACTGAGTTCAGCGGTTAAACATTTTACTTGCATAATTAACAATGATAGCTACAAAAGAAGAAAACAAAGTCATTTTCTGTGGACTATTCATACCTATTCATAGATGAAAATATAAACATTCTTAATATTTTAAAACTTTGCAGGGGGGTGGCATCCCTAACTCTCACGCTGCTCCAGAGGCAACTTTATTTTAATTCTTAATCTGTTTCACTGATCCACTGATCTATTCCTACAGCAATTCCATAATTCTGATTATTATAATGAATGTCAGTCCTTTTTTTAGGCCAAGAGTAAAATCAATTCAGATTCGACACAGATAGTAAAATATCTGTGACTATTATACCTAACACAAAGTTAGCCGCCTTTGTTCTATTTTTTTTTTTTTTTTTTTGAGACAGTCTTACTCTTTCGCCCAGGCTGGAGTATAATGGCACAATCTCAGCTCACTGCGGCCTCCATCTACTGGGTTCAAGTGATTCTCACGCCTCAGCCTCCTGAGTAGCTGGGATCATATGACCACATCACCAAGACCAGCTAATTTTTTTGTACTTTGGTAGCGACGGGGTTTTGCCATGTAGGCCAGGCTGGTCTTTGTTCTAATTTTAACAAGGCAGCGTAATAGCAACTAACAAGCAATTTACTCAGTTGTTAAATATATGTATAGTTGCTAAAAGACAAATAATAAAGAAAATACTCTCTTATTTATAATAGCTTGTTCTAGAAAGTTTTTAGAATATTCTTTCAATTCTTAAAGCAGGAAGAGTAAGAAGTTTTCCAAATGATTAAGCATACAGGTATTAACAAAGGTATTAAACTTGAGAAAAATACAGACACACATATTTATTTTCCAAAATACAATTAATTCCACTTACCTTGTATTTTTTAGGAAGAAAAAGATTCATACCTGAGCATTTGAATCGGTGAGTGTTTCAGTTCCAATAAGTGATAATTTATTCTGACACTTGATTTAAAAAGTAAAAAAAGGCAAGTCACACACGATAATTCACAGAAAATTCCCTTCCCCTCTCCTTTTCTACCAGGCCAATATAACACTCTTCTAAAGCACAAACATCTGATGGAGAAGAGTTTATTGAAATTCCTCACTATGTAAGACGATTAAGGCAGCCAAACAAGTCCCAAGGTGAATACATCACAAGTAAAAAGAGACACTAGAATGAAGAGGAAAAAAAAAAACCCAAAAACTAATAGCTAGAATGAATTATAAGTCAGATAATTGGAAAGTGGGAGATAAAAAAATAAGAGGGAAAGCACTATAGAAAAATAACAAGTAAGAAGATAGTTCAGATCCTAAGAAATCCTAAGAAAATAAATAAAGCCTTCAGGAGACATTGTTTCTGTGCCATTAAAAAAGTCCAAAACTGTTCATGATGATTATATGAGATAAAAATACGAGTAAATTCTATTTCTGCTCATTTGTAATGCAGCATTTCTCTATACAAATTTTAAGTCATTTTAAAATCCAAACTTCTATACTGAAAAAATACCTGAAGCAAAAAATAAAAAGGTGGGGGGATTATAAAAATTATCCTGAAAATACATTAATAATATAAAGTACCAAGTATTTATGTTAAAAATAATTGTAAGAAAAGAGAAAAACCTCACTAATTTGACCAGTTCTGAAACTTTACTGGGAAGAATAGGATGCTAAAAATATCTGTGCCCTATCTTTTGGCTTCCCTGAACTACACTGGAAGAAGAAGAATTATCTTGGGCCACACATAAAATACATTAACAATAGCTGATCAGCCAAAAAAAAAAAAGAAATCGAAATCCATAATGCTTTAAGAAAGTTTGTGTCGTGCTGCATTCAAAGCCATCCTGGGCCGCAGGTTGGACAAGCTTGCCTTAAGTAGAACAAATTTTCACCAACATACTCTAGTGTACCAAAGGCAGTTCTATCTCACCAACTTAGAAAAAGTACATATATTTCAAACAACATTTTCTAAATTAATTAATGTTTTCACTCATAATTATGTGTTCTTCCCACTTCTATATTCTCTATTTGGGGAAATAATCCCATCAACCACCCAACGGCCCAAACCAGGAACCTGAAACTAACCATATTTCCCTCCCATTGCACATAAATTAACTTCTAATCCTACCTACTTATCTTTGAATCCACTCTTCTATTTGCAGTGGCAATACTTAGGGCTTCCTTACTTTTTACCAGGACTATTACTAGAGCTTCCTAAATGCTTTCTATCTGTAGTCTTACTCTTCTGCATTCTATTTTCTTCAAAAACACCAGAGTAATTTTCCCAAACCGCATATCTGATCATGTCACTTCCATACTTAAAATCTTTTAATGGCTCCCCATAGTACACACTCAACAAAATCCTTTATGTTCTGGTCCCTGATTACTTCTCCAGTCTTACCCCAGAAGTCCTTCTCCTAATTTACATTATCCATAACATTCTATTTAATGTTCTGTCAACTCTCTGTTTTTACACATTTTCTTCTTTATGCTTTGTATACCTCTTCTACTTTTACAGGCTAACTCCTAATTATCCTTTAGAAATGAAACCAGTAATTATTTTTTTTTTTTTTTGAGACGGAGTCTCACTCTGCTGTCACCAGGCTGGAGTGCAGTGGCACTATCTCGGCTCACTGCAACATCCGCCTCCTGGGTTCAAGCAATTCTCCTGTCTCAGCCTGTCTTAGCCACCCGAGTAGCTGAGACTAAAGGTGCACACCACCGTGCCCAGCTAATTTGTGTATTTTTAGTAGAGATGGGGTTTCACCATGTCGGCCAGGATGGTCTCAATCTCTTGACCTCATGATCCCCCAGCCTCGGCCTCCCAAAATGCTGGGATTACAGGCGTGGCCCAGTAATTACCTCTTTCAGAAAGCTATCCTTGACCCCTTCACCGGGTTTAGCACTCCTGCTAAGTATAGTCTTTGTACTTCTACAATACATCTAATATTGTATTACAACATAATATAATGGCTGTTGTTTCCATAAGATTGTAATCTCCTTGGGAGCATGGATTGTCAAAATTTTTCTTTCTATAGCTCATCTAGTGTAAAGTTTCTTGAATGAATGCTGATAGGTCTAAAAGCTATATAAATATTTATCATACATAATGGCTTTTGGAAACTAGCACAATCATTTCTTTCCTGAGTCTATTTATTATTGAAGTTGATTTAAATCTTATATTAACTATCACTTCTATCTTTTGAAACTTACTTCTTCCATATCTTTCCACATTTCTTCACATTCTCTAATAAGTTCTTCTTCAGTATTTGTAACATCTCCCACATCTGTAGTACTATCCGGATCTAGATCCTCCTGATTCATTGATATATGCTTTGTGAATTTTTAGCCTTATAAGAAAAACTAAAGCAAAAAATATTTATTCATTCAGCAGTATTGGTTGAACACTTATTACCTGCCAGATACTCATCTAGGGGGTAAGAATATAGCAATGAACAAAATAGACAAAAATCCCTCCTACCGTGAACCTTATTCTAAGTAAGGAAAACAGACAATAAAATAAAAAATAAAACATATATATACTGTAGTATATCAAATGATTTATAAGTGCCATGGAGAAAAGACAAGGAAGAAACATAGGAAATGCTAGGGCAAGGACAATATAATTTTAAATAAGGTGGTCATATAAGGTTACTGAGAAATTGACAACTGAGTAAGAAGACATGAAGAAGATAAAGAAATGAGGTCAAGGATGAAGAGGGGCAGAGGGTTCAGACAGAGGGAACTGCAAGTGCAAAGGCCTTGATGCAGGAATATGACTGCCATGTTTCCACAGTAGTGAAGGAGCTGGTGTGATTACAGCAGATTAAGTAAGACAGAGTAGAATATGAGGTCAGAGAGACAATAGGGATGAGATCATGTGGGTTTGGTAGGCTATTTTAAGGACTTTGAGATGATAAGCAATTAGTTTTAAACAGAGGAATGAATCATTTGAATTACATTTTAACAATACAACTCTGGTTAACTACAGGCAGTAAGGATAGAAGCAGGAAAACCAATTAGAAAGCTACTGCAATGACCCAAGCAAGATGTAGACCAGGATAATATTGATAGAAGCAGCACAGAATGTCCCATTCTGGATATATTTTCAAGATGGAGCCAACAGAATTTCTTAACAGCATGTATATGGACTGTCAGAGAGAAGTGAATTATTACGTTGCCAGTTACTGAGGTGAGAAAGATGGTAAAAGAAACAGATTTGGCAAACATGGGAGAAGTGCTGATTAAAAACTCAGTTTAGGATATGCTACATTTGAGGTGTCAATTATTGGAGCTGCTGATTAAGCAATTAGATATACATGTCTGCAGTTGAAAGCAAAGTTTTGAGCTAGCAATATGAATTTGACAGCCATCATCACACAGATAAGACTTACACACTACATAATGACATTTTGGTCAATCACAGACTGCACATATAACAGTGGTTCCAATGGAGCTGAAAAATTCCTATTGCCTACTGATGTCTTGATGATCCTGACCTTGCCTTAGGCCTAGGCTAATGTGTTTGTGTCTTCGTTCTTAACAAAGAAATTAAAAAAGTAAAAAATAAAAATAAATAAATTAGCTAGAAAAAAAGACATAAAATATGCCAGGTGCAGTGACTCACACCTGTAATCACAACACTTTGGGAGGCCAAGGTCGTAGGATCACTTGAGTTCAGGAGTTCCAGAACAGCCTGGCAACAAAGTAAGACCCCTATCTCTATAAAAAAATTTTAAAAATTAGCTGGGTGAGGTGGCCCAGTCCTGTAGCCCAAGCTGCTCAGGAGGCAGGGGCAGGAAGATCGCTTGAGTCCAGGAGTTCAAGGTTATAGTAAGCTATGATCACACCACTGCATTTCAGCCTGGGTGACAGAGACAAACTCTGTCTCTAAATTAGAAAATAAAAAAAGAAAGAAAATATTGTTGCACAGTTATACAACATGTTTATGTTTTAAGCTGTTTTTATGAAAGAGTTGATATGTTAAAAAATTAAAAAGATAAAGCAAAAAACTTACAGCAAGCTAAGGTTAATTTATTATTGAATAATTAAAAAAATAAATTTAGTATAGCCTAAGTGTACAGTATTTACAAAGTCTACAGTAGGGTACAGTAATGTCCTAGGCCTTCATATCTTCTCACAACTCACTGACTCATCTAGAGCAACTTCTAGTCCTATAAGCTACATTCATGGTAAAAGCCCTAGACAGGTGTTCCACTTTTTGTCTTTCATACCATTTTTTTTACTGTACCGTTTCTATGTTTAGAAATGTTTAAATACAAAAATACCATTCTGTTACAATTACCTACGGTATTCAGCCTAGGTATGTAGTAGGTTATACCATCTAGGTTTGTGCTCACATGATGAAATCATCTAACAATGCATTTCTCAACACATATCCCCGTTGTTAAGTGACACATGACTGTACTTACAGTTGTGAGGATAGGTGAAATAAGAAAAGGAAGAGTGTGCAGCTAGAAATGAGAAGATCTTCAGGCCAGGAGCTATTGAGGTAAGAACCAACTGAATAGTCTGAGAAGGAGCACTCAGTAAGTTAAGAGGAAAATCAAGAGCATGATACCCTGAAATCCAAGAATGTATTCAAGGAAGGAATGATAACTGTCAAACACTGGAGACAGGTCAAGTAAATTACAGAGAATTGACAATTTATTTAGTAATATAGAGGAGCAAACTGTTTTTTCTAAAAATACTCACAGCAATATTTCATCATTCCCCATCAAGAGACAGAGTCTTTTTCCTCTCCCCCTGAAACTGAGTGTGACTTTGTGGCTGTCTTTATAAAGAGAATACAATGAAAATGACACCACATGACTTTCAAGACTAAGTCATAAAAGGCAATATAGCTAACTTCTGGCTTTCTGTGTCTTGGAACACTCACCCTTGCAACCCAGGCACCATGTTATGCGAAAGCCCAAAGTAGCACAAAAGGAAGAGATCAACATAAAGTCCATGAGGAAAGGAACTGAGGTTCCCAGACAAACGCTGGTATCAACTCCCAGACATACACACGATCATTTCTGACAATTAAGCCCCTAGGCTTTGATCTTCTAGCCAAGGCTCCAGATACTGTGGAACAGAGAAGCTGCTCCTGCTGTGTCTTGTCTGAATTTCTAATGCACAAAACTCATGAGCGTAATAAATAGTTGTTTTACACCTCTACATTCTGGGGTAATTTATCACAACAATTTTCTTGGAGTAAACATACAAAAATGAAGGCCACAGATAACCTTCATAGGAGTAGTTTTAGAAGAATGGCAAGAATAAAAATCTGATTGGAGTGGATTCAAGAAAGAATGGAAGGCAAGGAATTAAAAATATTAAGTATATGAAACGTTTTCAAGAACGTTTTCTCTAGCCAGGCATGGCAGCACATGCCTGTATTCCAAGGTATTCAGGAGCTGAGGTGAGAGGATCACTTGAGCCCGGTGAACCCAGGAGACTGAGGCTGCAGTGAGCCACAATCACACAACTGCACTCCACCCTGGGTGACAAAGCAAGACCGTTAAGACCATACCAAAAACAAACAAACAAAACAAACAAAAAGAAAACACACACACACACATTTTTTTTTCTTTAAAGCACAAGAGAGAAATACAGTTAGTAGCTGGAGGGAGATATAGGGTTAAAAGAGACTTTTTCTTTTTTAAAGATGGGAGAAAATATAGCATCTTTATACGGTACAGTAAAAGAAGGAAATGTTGCTAATACAAGAGAGAAAGGGGAGAAGAAAGAATGGGATCTAGTACATAAGTAGAGGTGTTGGCTTAAGATAAATGGACATGCAGTTCATCCATTTTAATGGGAGGGTCATCAGAATATCAAGAGTGTAGATGCAGGTAGGTAAGTAGACGTGTTGCTAGGAACTTGTAGAAATTCTATGTGGATTGTTTCTCTTTTCTCCGTAAAATGGTAACTACGGTTATCAGCTATGAAAGGATGGGAAGAAAGTACTGCGAGTTTAAGAGCACAGGAAAAGAGATGTATAAAACAGATATATAAAAAAATGGGAGAGGATAAAGTTACAGGATTATTCAGTAGTAGCATTACAGGCTCACCTGAGATTAGTATCATGAGTTTAAAGTAAAACCAGAGCATGGTTGTATGTTTTCTTCTATGGTGTAGCACCACAGGTACAGACAGGGACAAAGTGAAAGAATGGCCATAGGAATAAGTAGCTAAGACAAGAGAGAACATAATCACTAGGGGAAAGAAGGTCAAGAAAAAGAGAGGCCAAGTTATTGGATCATCTATAAGGATATTAAAATCACTAAGAATTATGATAGTAGTACTGCAAAGGGCAATGAGCCAGGAGCTAAAAATCTTCAAGGAATGAGGGTGAGTAAAACAATCTTGCTAGATGATTCCTGCAAAGAATGGAAGAGGATTAGAGTCTGGTGGCATAAGATTCAAAACTGGGCAATTTTAAGGAGGTAGACAGTGCAATAAAGAATGATGAGGATGTCTACCCCACATCAAACGCAAATCAGAATACCCCTCCTCAATATCTTTATTCATATGGAACTTCTGCATTTTATACTGCTTAATCAATAACTTATTAACAGAGAAGTTCTAAGGCAGACCTAAATAAATGGAAAGATACTTCATATTCATGGACTGAAAGACCCACATTGTAAAGACGTTAATTCTCCCCCAAGTTGAGCTACTGAATCTTAACCAAAATCCTGAAAGTTTTTGTTTCTCTTTATGGGACTTGACAAGCAAATTGTAAAATTTACATGGAAGGGCCGGGCGCGGTGGCTCACGCCTGTAATCCCAGCACTTTGGGAGGCCGAGGCGGGCGGATCACGAGGTCAGGAGATCGAGACCATCCCGGCTAAAAGGGTGAAACCCCGTCTCTACTAAAAATACAAAAAATTAGCCGGGCGTAGTGGCGGGCGCCTGTAGTCCCAGCTACTTGGGAGGCTGAGGCAGGAGAATGGCGTGAACCCGGGAGGCGGAGCTTGCAGTGAGCCGAGATCCCGCCACTGCACTCCAGCCTGGGCGACAGAGCGAGACTCCGTCTCAGAAAAAAAAAAAAAAAAAAATTTACATGGAAGCACAAAGGGCCAAAACTAGCCTAAGATCCTCATGAAAAATAAGATGGGAGGACATACCCTACACTATTATGGCAATGTAGAACTGGCACATAAATAGGCAAATTGAGCAATGGAACACAATACAAAGCCTTTCTTGACTTTCTATATTCACATACATATGGACACATGACACATGACAGAGATGACAAGGCAAATCAAGGAGAAAAAAATAATCCAAATAGATATATATTTTATATATAATACTGTTTTTTAAATGTATATTTTGGTCCATATAAATCTTCCTCATTTTTTTTTAACATTTATAGTATTTGCGGAGAAAAAAATAAGTCTAAATTCATACCTGAATCTTTATGTCATTCCTCACTCCCTCAAAAAACCCAAAATAGAAATCACAAAAAAATAGGATGAAAACACAGAAACTTTTAAAATCTTAGATTAGGAAACACCTTTCTAAGCAAAACTAAGTAAAATCTTTACACCAAAATTTTTTTTTTAATTCTGCATGGACAAACATCTCATCAACAAAGTTAAAATTTAAAACCCCCAAACCTAGGAGAAATACTTGTAATATATATGGCAACCCAAGACCTAATTTCCTTAATATATAACAAGTGCCTACAAATTCATAAGAAGAAACCAAACAACTCACCATTAAAAAAAATTTAAAAAAGATTACCAAAAAAGTCAGGTTACCAATTACTTTGGAGGAAGAGTGGAAGGGGGAAAAGGGTTGTGGCTGGGATGGGCCAAATGGAGAGATTTCTGAGGTAATTATCAAAGTTTTATTTTTTGACTAGCATGATGGTAAGGGTGTTCACCTCATAATAATTAGTAAACTTTACGTTTATTTTGTGTCTGCATTTTTACAATAAAAAGGTAAACAACAAAAACAATTCAATAGAAACTGGCAAAGAACACAAATGAGGAATTCAAAGAAAAAACAAATACCTTTTAAATACAGAAAAAGTACATTCATAAGCTCATATATAATTTATGAAAATCCAAATTAAACAAGCATTAATTTTCATTCAGAATGGCAATAATGTAAAATTGGTAAGAGATAATACTGGCAAGCATGTGAAATAAGAGGCTTGCACTGTTGGTGGAACAATCACTTTGTATGATAATATCCATCAAAATTTTACATGCATTTCTTGTGATCCAGAAGTTCTATTCTTAGGAATAATCCTAAAGATAGATATGTCTGCATAAGTCTATACAATTATGTTTACTGGCACATTACTTAGAGAAAAAAAAACTTTAAAGGTATGAACTCTGCAACCAGACTATACAGGTTTAAATCTGTTTTGATATTTAAAAGCTATGAGACTTGGGCAAGTCACTTAAACTTTCTATGCCTCAGTTTCCTTTCCTATAAAATGAAGATAATATTAAATACTCCCTAGGGTTATGACAATTAAATGAGTATATAAATATATATATATAAGTACTGTAGCTAGCATATAAAGAGCTTTATCAGTGTTAGCTATTAACAATTTGAATGTCAACTAGTAGAAGGCTGAAAATCTCACCTGCTATACCCATAAGATACAGTTTAAGTTCACAAAGCCAAAATCAGTCATCATGAATTTTAGAATATTTTTAAGCGAAAAAGTCAAACATAAATATTTCTTTACTGACCACCAAAATACATTATCAATATGCAAAAGTAATGCAAAACTCTGCACATGTGGTGGGGGCGGAGGGTGAGGGATAAATATTCAACAAATTATCTGGCTTGGCGATTTAATGTGGCAGTAGAATAAAAACATATAGAAACATTTAAGAGTTTGCTCTCTACCGCTTGAGGATGCAAGATGTAAGCTGTATGTAACCTGGAAGAGGGTCATCAACAGAACCAGAAAATGATGGCACCCAGATCTTGAATCTCCAGCCTCTAGACCTGTGAGAAATAAATTTCAGTTGTTTAATTAAAACACACACACACACACACACACTTAAGAGTTGAACTTTTCCCGTTCCCACATTTTGTATCCTTAAACCTATCTTCCTGGAAAGGGAACAAGTCAACTTTTTGAGGTCCCCAGTTAGGACTACAATACTTAATCATTTATTGAAGAAAAACAGTATCTCTTTATTTAGGGATAATACTATACTTAAAGAAACTCGTACTATTAATTGGGAAAAGATTAATATACATGAAATAAGCAAAAAATACCCACATAATTCTAAAATACATTCATTTATTCAACAAATATGTTAATGTGTGCCATTGGTCAGACACTGGCTTTAGCTGTGTAGATGAAAAAGTCTTTGTACTTGTAGAGCTTCCATTCTCATGCAGACAATATAAATGAATGGATAACTAAATACATGATATGATTTCAGGTAGTCAGAAGTGCTATGAAATGGTAAAGTATACAACACTGCCTGCAAGTACTATCGGAATTCAGGATAGGGAAGCTTAGAAAAACCAACCCGGAAGGAATTAGTCCATAATAATGCTTAATAAATGTTAACTAGCTACATTATTATTATCATTATCATTATCATCTTCATCCTCATTATTGCATTGGTCTCTGAAAGATGAGAAGCTGTAAACATGAAGGCTAAATCGCTGTGGAGATGCTTTCAAGCATAAAAACATAAGAGTAGGAGGCAAGAACGAACAAGGGAAATTTGTGAGACACAAAAGAAAGTAGTCTGATGAGAGCAGAGGGCAGAGAAGAAATGAGACTTGCTAGGTAGAATGGTCAAATAATGGGAACCTTTGAAATAAAATAAAGTGCCTACTATGGGGGGGCAGTTCCTTCCCTGTACGTGGTGCCTATCTCAAGGCAAAAGTAGAGAAGAGATTTACGACGAGGATTTTATTAGGTTGGTGCAAAAGTAATTGCAGAGAAAAAAGAAGTGTTTTACGGAGGTCATTTTGACAAGCTGTATTTGATTTTTTAAAAAAGAGATTAAGATAATACATTTTATGTTATGTGCTTTTTACCTAATTTTTTAAAAATGAAGAAGACAGATGAGGAGGAGGAGAAAGAGTTCAGATGACTGCTAGGAGATGAAATCCTATACCAGAGAGAAGAAAGAAGAGTGACCCGTTCTGCCCTAGGTCTTTTGGTTATTTGAAGTAGCTGCTTCTCCACCCCACCCCCAGAAACAGTAACAAGCACTCACCACCTTCTTCAGAGAGTGTGTGAGAGAATAAAGGTCAGGAGAGAAAACATGTTTAGTGCATCTGAAAGGAAACCCGCGAGTTAACCACTTCCTTCTGTCCCCACCCTTCCATCTTTCTCTAAATATTGGTGAGGTTATGGAGCTTGCGTTGGCGCGCGGGAAGCCGAGAAGAACGGGACTCAAAGCCCGGCTGGGAAGTCAGGTATCTAGTTGGCCGGCGATAAGGGTTTCACCTTCAGGACTGGAGCTCCACAAGATTCAACCGTTATATCAACCTCCCCGGCCCAGGTCTTACCATCACAGCGTCACAAACTCCAGGTCGCCTAGGCGCTGCGCAGGAAGCGCTTGCCAGCCCCGGACTTCTGCGCGCGCTGCATGCCCATTGGATGTGCTCATTCCCACCCCAGCCAATCCCGAAACTCGCTCGGACGCTGACAGAAGACTGCGCCGCTGCTTTGGGATTGGTAGCTGAGTTTTGTGTCGCGCCTTTTCTGACGATGCGAACAACATGGCGGCGGAAAGTGGTAGCGATTTTCAGCAGAGACGTAGAAGGCGCCGGGACCCGGAGGAACCGGAAAAAACAGAACTCAGCGAAAGAGAGCTGGCAGTAGCAGTGGCGGTGTCCCAGGAGAACGATGAGGAGAACGAAGAGCGCTGGGTTGGACCTTTACCTGTGGAGGCAACACTGGCCAAGAAGAGGAAAGGTAGCTGCAGACATAGTACCGGGACGAATTGGAGTGCTGCGTCCGCTGAGTAGGAGGGTTCAAGCCAGATCCGAAGAGGGATGATGTGTGGAGTTTTGTGCCCTCAGAACAGAGGGCCGTCCTCTCACTTCTGGCTACTCCATACTTGCATGTCTTAACGAAATAGTGATTTAAGCGTAGTACAACGTCTTTTTGATAATATCTAACACTTTTGATCATTGATTTGTTATGACAGATGCTAAAACTAACATTTTCCTATTCTTATGTGTTTGGCTCCTCTCATTTACTCCCCACAGCAGCCACATGAAGTTGGAATTTCGAACTCTTATTTAGGTATGCAAAAGGGTACCAGTTCTCTTTAAGGCTTTAGTTCAGGAGTGGTGTTAATGTATTAATGTGTTGGGGCGCGAGAGGAAGGCGGTGCTTATTTCGAATCATGGTAGGTAAAGATAATTTCAACTCTGACACTTCCACTAATAAATTTTCGCATCTAGGGAAAATGACGTAAGCTTCCTAGATCACAGATTTGTTTTCATCCAAAACCCGAAGTCTGTGGTTTTGAAATCACGCTCTTGATACGATGGGCTGAGTCTTTTTGTCACTAACGAGGAATAATCACAAATTATTATCAAATAAAAGGGGTGGGAAAAGGGGTAGATTAAGTTTTCTTGTCTTTGTTGTTTTGTTATCTTGTTTTTCTGTGAAATGTTTTCCTTAAGTATTTAAGACATTTTAAATGTGGTCTAAGCTCAAATCGTACTTTAGCACCTTCCCTTAAAAAACTTCAATGATTTGTCATTATTTTCTCTCTCTTTTTTTTTTTTTTTTTTTTTTTTGAGACGGAGTCTCGCTCTGTCGCCCAGGCTGGAGCGCATGCAGTGGCGCTATCTCGGCTCACCGCAACCTCCGTCTCCGGGGTTCAAGCGATTCTCCTGCCTCAGCCTCCCGAGTAGCTGGGGCTACAGGCGCACGCCCAGCTAATTTTTGTATTTTTAGTAGGGACGGGGTTTCACCATGTTGGCCAGGATGGTCTTGATTTCTTGACCTCGTAA
Source organism: Homo sapiens (assembly GCF_000001405.40). Lineage (NCBI taxonomy): Eukaryota > Metazoa > Chordata > Mammalia > Primates > Hominidae > Homo > Homo sapiens. The sequence continues at coordinate 65,564,559 of NC_000005.10, forward strand.
TCTGCCTGCCTCGGCCTCTCAAAAGTGCTGGGATTACAGGCATGAGCCACGGCGCCCAGCTCATTATTTTCATTAAAGCCCAAACTCCCTCACATGGCATATAAAGCCCTTTATGATGTGATCTCTCCTTACCTTCTTAGTGCATCTTCCATTACCTTCCTCTCCCAACCCCTTACTTTGTACTCCACCCATTCTAAAATCACTCGAGAATCGGTCTTGTACTTTTTTTTCCTCTGGATTCCTACCCAGATATGGTGTTTCTACCGGGAATAATTTCCCTCAACTCTTCCACTGAACTGACTTTTGGTCAACCTTTAGCACTTAGCTATCATCTTCTCTGGGAAGCCTGTGACTTCTCCAGTCTGGACTGGATTTCTGAAGCACTTTGATCATAACTCTGAGGTAGTTATATATCAATACTGAATTTACAGGTAGCCTTCAAATTTTATGTATCCAAATTTTGAAGAAGCTGTTTTTTTGAACGTTGTATATTGACACCCTTACAGTGCATTATCATTTTTACTTCCTGGTCCTCTTATTAAATGTTTCCATAGTAACCATTTTATTTATGGCACTTGCCGCAGTTTCTAATTATATATTTATTCATGTGATTGATGAATGTTTCTCTCCACTGCTAAGACTGTAAACAAGTAAGAACCAGAATCACGCCTTTTTTGTTTCATTGCTTGGTGTACAGTGCTTTGCCTAAGTATTTAATGACTGCATATTAAAGCTTTTATGCTGGTCTTTAGCTATTTTGTTGCATATGAATATTTTTGCAAGTTCTTTTTTAATTAAACGAGTAAGGAGAAATGTAAAAATCCAGAAATATCGAAATGCTGATATTAGTGTTACCGGACAAGTGTCTTATAAACTTAATATAACGGAGACAGATATAAATTAGTAGGTGTGAAAATCTTTCCTCTTAATCAGTTATTTATTGTTTTAAGACAGCCAATAGTTGGCCGGGTGTGGTGGCTGATGCCTGTAATCCTGGCACTTTGGGAGGCTGAGGCGGGCAGATCATCAGGTCAGGAGTTCTAGACCAGCCTGACCAACATGGTGAAACCCCGCCAGTCTCTACTAAAAATACAAAAAAATTAGCCGGGCGTGGTGGCGCACACCTATAATCTCAGCTATTCAGGAGGCTGAGGCAGGAGAATCACTTGAACCCAGGAGGCAGAGGTTGCAGTGAGCTGAGATTGTGCCACTGTACTTCAGCATGGGCAACAGAGCAAGACTCCGTCTCAAAAAAAAAAAAAAAAAAAGCCAATAGTTTATTCAGTTTGAAGAAAAAAATTGAAACTAAAAAACATACATAGAATGTTACAAAAATATTTAAAATTTTGTCTAAATGGACAAGTATTTAACAATTTCAGCTTTCTAGAAATGGAGTCACCCCCTTTAACATGTTCTTTGGACATTGGACTGTTGTATATATTTTCAGAAAGACATGATTATATAGCACTATATCTCTTCAGGACAGGAACTGTGTTTTACTCTTCTTTATGCCCATGTGACCTAGAACGTATTGTGTTCTTAGTAAGTATTTGTCCACAAGTGAACTATCACACAGAAAAAGGAATCTGGATCAGATAGGATTAAGTTTATCTACATACTACAGAAAAACCCAAAATAACGATGTTGAAGAGATAGAGCTGTACTTTTATGTGTAGAAGTACCAAGACAGGCAGGCAGTCCAGGATTGGTGTGGAGGCTCCAGAAGTTCCTAGGCTCTCTCCAGCTTTCTGCCCAACATAACTAAGGTACAGCCCTCATCTTCATTTCTCTGAATGATTATTAAGATTACAGCAGTTATATCCCAGTTCCAAGCTATAGGATTGAGGAAAGGAAGAAGGGTACACTTTTTCAAGACTTCCTGTGACAAAACATTTCCACTTTTACTCATTAGCATATGGTTAAACCTCACTCCAGGGGAAAGTGAGAAAGGTCATGTTATATCTGGACATCAGTATGCCCATATATAAATGGGGGTTCTGTTCCTAAAAATGAAGGGAAAAGTAGTTTATCAGACACAAGCCTGAAACAGCTCGTCATGTTTAATTTAGCAACTTTTTTTAGGCACGTTTGGTCATCGTTCAGTTATTTTATTTGGGATACATATAATTCTCCCCTCCCCTCGTTCCCTCCTTCCTTCCCTTCTTTCTCTTCCTTCTTCTCTCCCTCCCTCCCTTCGTCTTTCTTTCCCTCCCTTCTTTCCTTCCTTACTTCCCTCCCTCATTCTCTCCATCCCTTTCTTTCTTTTTTTTTTTTTGCTAGTAAAATTGTTCATACCTCATATAATAAATCAGTATTTCCTGACATTCCTCAGATTACTACTCTTTCAGGTGGATTTTTTCCAGGTTTTGCCGTTGGAAAAAATTTGAGATACATTCAACTGGATACTCCCTAGGATGTTCTCAGGCATAAAAATCTAAGAATTTTACCATGTTTAAATGTTTCAAACACAGTGTCAATAACTTGAAAGAGAATCAGTGCTTTAAATATTAACTGAGACATCTTACAGATGGCCACTGGACTCTTTTAAGTTAGCACTAAATTATGTCTACAATGTTAGGAAGATGGTTGTGATATTTTCATGGAACTTTTTAATTTTTTTTCCTTTTTCTTTCTTTTTTCTTTTCTTTTTTTTTAATAGAACATTCACATTAAGCCAGAAGCACTCATTTCTTAAGTCCTGGGGACAGTTAGCATGTATATAGTACCTGGGAACCTGTTGTAACTGACTAAATAATGACGCTATTCAGTGCTCTGAAATAATAGACGTTAAAACTGAGATAACATACTGGATTTTTTAATTGTGAATTGAGAAAAACTAAAATCCAGGAGAAAATACCAAGTAGAGTGTAGACAATTTTAAATAAAGAAAATACAAAATAGTATTTGGTTTATTTGTTAAAAATAGATCTTATACTTTACTTTTTTTTCTTCAGTCTTAGAGTTTGAAAGAGTCTATCTTGATAATCTCCCCAGTGCATCCATGTATGAGCGCAGTTACATGCATAGAGATGTTATCACCCATGTGGTATGCACCAAGTAAGTCTATCACATCTTTTTTACTTTGTTCTGAGTTTATTTAAAAAAAAAAAAAGCTTCAATTTTGAGGTAGATTTATAGAGATAATTTTAAGATTTTGTAGATTTTTAATTTCTTAAGTTCTGAAATAAAGGCCTACATGTTCTTTCCTATATCGTACAAATAATGCATTCTCTAAGATAGAACCCCTGAGTTTATATGTATGTCTTTGGAGATAAATGCCAAGAGGGGAGTGAACCAGGTAGTGTCTGAGCTTCCCTGAAGAAGAGGGTACATTAGTTAAGATATGAGTAACTGGTACCTGGCCTCTTTGGCACTAGTGGAGAAAATGTGGGCTAACATACCCTAGGAATAGCAAAGGACCTTCAAAACAGATGAGTAGGTTCGTGTAGAAGGATAATAATAGTACAAGTTGAGCACCCCAAATATAAAATGCTCCAAAATCCAATAGTTTTTGAGTGCTGAACATGATACTCAAAAAATGCTCTTTGGAGCATTTGAGATTTTCTGATTAGGGATGTTCAACCAGCAAGTATAATGTAAATATTCTAAAATCTGAGAAATTGAAACTCCAAAACACTTCTGGTCCGATACATTTTGGATAAGGGATACTCAAACTGTAGTAATATTCTACTGTTTGTTGAGCTTATAGTATGTCCCAGGTACTATGCTAAGGCTTTTTCTTTTTTTATCTATCAAGTTAAGGCTTTTTCATAAATTTTCTTATTTATCATAAGGATAATCTTGTGAGTTAGTACATGCTCTTCATTTTAGAGATGACGAAACTGAAGTTTAGAGAGGTTAGATAGCATATTAGGCTGCTATTTAAAAGGCAAGGGCTAAATCCTAGAAGACTTTTTATTTCTTGTACGGGTTTTGAACCTGTGAGCAGGAGAGTAACATCATCAGATTTATTTTTATTAAAGGACCACCCTGGCTGTGGTGAGATGAATGGATTCAAACAGGGCAAGAATGGATACAGGGAGATAAGTTAGGAAGCTGGTATAGAAATCTGGATGAGATATGGTGGCTTGGATGATACTAGCAGTGAGTATGGGAAGTAGGTGGATTACTTTACACTTTTTTAGATCAGTCTATTCTTGATGTCTTGAAGACAAATTTAATTTCATATATAAATCTAAATAAAATATTTATATTTCATGTAAAATAGGATAATTCTGACCAAATATTAGCACCTTTTCTAGTCTCAAGTTATCAGTGTGGTAAAACAGTATATATATACATATTAGCATTGCTGTCACTCTCTTCTCAAATATTTTTGTTTTGTTTTTTTAACCCAAGACAATGGAAGGTAATACAGAGAATATAGGTTTTGTGGTGTGGTAGATTGAAAGCCACTCTAGCTATATGGACCTGAGGCAAGTACATTTAACATTTTAAAACTATTTCCTACTTATAAAATGATGATAAAAATACGTAGAGTTGCTGTAAAATTAACTAAGGTAATATGTACAAAGTACCTGACATATACTGGGTTTCCATAAATGATTTCTATTTTTACATACCTAATAGGAAAGATTCTTCTGTACAAAATCTTTTTGATACTTAAGTAACCAAAATACCTTGTATAGGATATAAAAAAAACTTTTGTTGAATTTTGTTGCGTATGAAAGTAGTATGTTTAGATTTACTTATCAGCTACTGACAAATAGTTTATTTTCTTGTGAAAAGACTGTCTGTAGGGTAATTTTAGCAATAAGGAATCCAAAGTGTAGTGATTCCTAGTGAGATTTTTATTTTAATGTCAAATTCTAGTTCAATTCTGATCCTAGCTCTTGAGGTTAAAATTAGTACAGCTGTAACTGTTTTGACATCCAGAAAGGAGTTTCAAAATTTGCAGTGTTCTGTAATATAGTGGTCTGCTTAAAGAAGGGTTTTTTTTAAAAAAAAACCTATTATGCACAAGTCAGATTCTTAGTGAATGATTGCTTTGGGAATACTAAGTGATTCATAGATCTGTCTTAGAAATTAACTTTTAACATTTCATATATGCAGAACAGATTTTATTATTACTGCCAGTCATGATGGACATGTCAAGTTCTGGAAAAAAATAGAAGAGGGAATTGAATTTGTTAAACATTTTCGTAGTCACCTGGGTAAGAATTGCACCTCATTTTCTTGTAGCTCTTTCCTAAACTATACTAATTAAAGTTTAAATTTTTTAAATTTTTTTTCTTTGAATCATGCACACTTATTTTACTGTTATTTACTAGAATGTTTTAATTTCATTTATTGAAATAGGAGTTATTGAGAGTATTGCAGTTAGCTCTGAGGGAGCATTGTTCTGTTCTGTGGGTGATGATAAAGCAATGAAGGTGTTTGATGTAGTGAACTTTGACATGATCAACATGCTGAAACTTGGGTGAGTCTTTTTAAAAGTATATATATTTTAACTTATTGAAGTAATTTGTAAATCAGACTTTACCATTTAATAGGTTATTTCTAAATAGTATATTACCATATCTTTAAATAAAATGTGCTGTTGGGTTTTGCTTGGAAAATTAGATACAGTGAAGCCTTATAATGTTTGGAAGCATCTGCTATGATTTGTTATCAATCACAGAAATTTCTAAACAGCATCATAACAAGGATTCCTTATATCCAAATTGACATTACTTAGTAATATTACTGGAGCTCTGTCATATCTAATTACTGGTAGTTACAGTTAACTTCCTTGCTTTACTTATTTCAGTAATATAGAATTGAGTTCCTATAAGATTTATTCACATTTTTGGAATTAAAGCTATTTATTGGTGACTTTAAACTTTGGAATATATTGATACTAAAACTATGGTTAGATTGTACAGTATTAAGACTGATACTTTGTTTTAAGCATGTCTTTTTTAAGATAACATAGAATTTATACACATCTAAATGAATGTCAGCTTGAAAGTCATAACAGTGTCAGAAAGTTTTGGGACTCGCCTTAGTCTGCTTGGATGCCATAACAAAAAAACCATAGACTAGGTGACTTAAATACAGAAATCTATTTTCTCACAGTTCTGGAGGCTGGAAAGTCCAAGATCAAGGTTCCATCAGGGTTTGATTTCTGATGAGGGCTGTCTTTCTTACTTCTCCCTATGTTCTCCCATGGTTGGAGGAAGAAGGAAGGGAGAGGGAAGAAGGAAAGGGAGATCTTTTTTTCTTCTTATAAGGCTACAAGCCCATCAGATTAGGACCCCACCCTGACTCTTATGAGCTCATTAACCTTAATTACCTCCTGAAGACCATGTCTCTAGAAATTCCAACTGATGGAATTCCAACTGTGGGCTGAATTATGCCCACAATTCAAATAATTTCACATCTTAGAATTTCCTTCAAAATCAGTTTATGACTTTATGAGCCACTAAAGGAAATAAATCTCATTATTTATGGTTAGAATGGCACAAACATACCTGTCTTGATCACCTGTCCTACTCCCCAGGTTTGTTTCCTCAAAGCTTTCCATTCACAGATATTGAATGTTTGCCCTTTGAGAATACTTGGAAGAGTATATTTCAGACTTTGATAGAAATTCTTGAAGAAGAGGTCTGGAAGGTTTTGAACATCAGCACCGTGGTTAGAATAATAGTGTCACTTCTCCGAATCTCTACTTTGAAGGAAACAACATTCATTTTTGAGTGTTTTAGTACAATTGATTAGATCAGTCTGAATTCTGTTATGCCTTGTTCATCAGGTAGAATGTTTAAAGCTTTGAGTTTTAATATCAAGATTTAGTTAGTAATGAGAGTGTTTTAGGACAGTGTTTTTCTTTGACGTATTGTCATAATAAAATATTTGATTTAAATATTTCAAGAAAGGATTTATAAAATACACTATTACATGCTAATCTATTTTAAAGTAAGTTATACATAGACTGTTGTACAGAGATCCAAAAAGCAATGTCCCAGAAGATCTTAAGGTCCAGATCTGATTAGGTTTCCTTATCTGCCCAAGAGAAATAAGTGTGCTGCTATATGCAGTTCTTTTCTTATGTTTTGACAGATCCTTAGAACTATCATTATACTGATGAGGTCAGAAAGAGAAAAAATAAGTAACTATTCTTAGCTGTTCCTCCCCATTCTGTGTCTCTGCTACTTTTGAGCAAGGAATCCAAAACTGTCTAAATCACCAGCCAAGACATTTTTGGTAGTGGGATAGGGAGGGATGCTTGCTTGTTGTGCTGACCTTTTTTTTTCCCTCTCAATTCTTTACGATTTTAGCTATTTTCCTGGACAGTGTGAGTGGATCTATTGCCCAGGGGATGCAATTTCTTCAGTTGCTGCTTCCGAAAAGAGTACAGGAAAAATTTTCATTTATGATGGCCGAGGAGATAACCAGCCACTTCATATTTTTGACAAACTCCATACATCACCTCTTACTCAGATACGGCTAAACCCAGTTTACAAAGCAGTAGTGTCTTCTGACAAATCTGGGATGATTGAATACTGGACTGGGCCTCCTCATGAATATAAATTCCCCAAAAATGTGAACTGGGAATATAAAACTGACACTGATTTATATGAATTTGCCAAGTGTAAGGCTTATCCAACCAGCGTATGTTTTTCACCAGATGGGAAGAAAATAGCTACTATTGGTTCTGATAGAAAAGTTAGAATTTTCAGATTTGTAACTGGAAAACTCATGAGAGTCTTTGATGAATCACTAAGCGTAAGTGTAATTTAAATTTAACCGTACTTTACTTTTCTAAAAATGCTTTATTTTATGCCTTTTCTTGAAAGATCTTTTTTCTACAGATAGACATTTAGATAGACTTATTTTTTTCTTAGCACATTAGAGATATTCAACTGTTTCTGTCTTGTAGTGTTGCTCTTTGAAAGTCTCTTCTCTAGGGGTTTATGATGTGCGTTTTTCAAGTCAATTATTGTCTTATTTTTGTGGTTATTTTGTTTTTTACAATTTTGTTTTGTTTGCAAGCTGTTAAGATCCTCAAAACTCATTCTAGGACCCCTTATCTTCTCACTCTTTATTCACTCCTGTCCCTATGACTACTTCTAAATTTACTTCTCTAACCTTCTATTACAAGCAAACCTGGTGCTATCTCTTGTCCTGTCTTCATAAATGGTGCCAGTATCCATCTAGTTGCTCAAACCAGAAATCTAAGAGTTATCCTTAACTCTTTTACCCTTCTGTGTAATTCACTGGAGTCCTGCCAATTTTGCTTTCCAAATATACTTTAAATTCACCAATTTCTTTTCAGCACAGCTGTCACTAACCATAGTTCATGCTCTTTTGCCTGACCTATTACATGGCCTACTACCTGTATTTATTCTGGCTTCTTCCTAATATCCACTCTGCACCCAGGGCCATCTTTTACAAGCATATATCTGGTCATGTCATTCCTTTGCCTAGAACTTTTCAGTTAATTCCTTCTGTTCTTGGGATCAAGACCAGAGTCATGGCTTACCATGTTGTGATACCATAAGTCACCTTTCTCCCTGCCTTTTATTCTGCCATTTGGGTCTTCTTTTTATTTCTTGAACCTGCCTCCCACCACAGGACCTTTTTATAAGTTGTTTCCTCCACCTGGAGTGAGGCCCTCCCTCCTCATATTCCTCCATTACCTATTGAACTGGTACTTCAAATTTCAAATGAAGAGTCACTTCCCCTGGAAGGCTTTCACTAGTCATCCTGTCTTGCACAGTTTTTTTATTTTTTATTATTTATTTATTTAATTAATTTATTTTCTGAGACAGAGTTGCACTTGAGTGCAGTGGCATGATCCAGCTCACTGCAACCTCCGCCCCCTGGGTTCAAGCGATTCTCCTGTCTCAGCTTCCCAAGTAGCTGGGACTATAGGCGTGTGCCACCACACTTAGCTAATATATATATATATATATTTTTTTTTTATTAGAGATGGGTTTTTTTTAGTACAGATGGTTTTTTTTTTTTTTTTTTTTTTTTTTTTTTTTTTTTTAAGTACAGACGGGTTTCACCGTGTTAGCCAGGCTGGTCTTGAACTCCTGGCCTCAAGTGATCTGCCTGCCTTGGCGTCCCAAAGTGCTGGGATTACAGGTGTGAGGCACGGTGCCAAGCCAGCAGAGTTTTTTTTAATGTGACTGTAGATCACTGTTTCTTTTAGAGCATTTGATATGGTCATATTATTTGATTAATGTGTATCACCTCCAGTAGACTAAGCCCTATGTGATCTGTTTTAACTTATGATTCTATCTCCAGCAGTGAGAACAGTACCTCACACAAGAGTTACTCAAATATTTTGAAAGAGTGACTCTAGCCATCACTTGTTAGACTGCTAACAAGAATTTGTTACAGCATGTAGTCGTGGAATAAGAGTTTTTAATCCATGCAGTTAAGCGGTTTCTGTGATTGCAACTATTGCCATCAAGTGGTTCTCTGAATCCTCTGAGTCTGGATTGAACCTTTGTAGCAAAGTTTATTGTATGACAGTGTCAGTTCTTTTGTCCTTGGCAGTGACCAATTTGCATTGGATTCCCTGCTGTAAGCTCTTCATAAATTCTGTCAACTCTTTCTAGTGGCGATCTTGATTTGGTGGCACGTGGTAATAAATGAGTTGGTTGTCTGTCTGTCTGAAGTAATATATTTCCAGACAAATGTGAAGATCTGTTTGCCAGCCAAATTATCCTTATGACAAATTTTCTTGTTGGAAGAAGATAGCTTTCCACTCTGCTTTTAAGGAGAAACATTTATCGGTAATACTTTCTTTAATGGTGGCAGATAACTAAATATGACTTGCAATTTAAATATAATTTTAAAATTCTATTAACTTGCAGCTCTTCCAAGATCCCTTAGGCAAAGAAATATTCAGAATCTAGTCTCTGGACACAAATCTCTTTTTTTTTTTTTTTTTTTTTTTTTTGAGACGGAGTCTCGCCCTGTTGCCCAGGCCGGACTGCGGACTGTAGTGGCTCAATCGCGGCTCACTGCAAGCTCCGCTTCCCGGGTTCACGCCATTCTCCTGCCTCAGCCTCCCGAGTAGCTGGGACTACAGGCGCCCGCCACTGCGCCCGGCTAATTTTTTGTATTTTTAGTAGAGACGGGGTTTCACCTTGTTAGCCAGGATGGTCTCGATCTCCTGACCTCATGATCCACCCGCCTCGGCCTCCCAAAGTGCTGGGATTACAGGCGTGAGCCACCGCGCCCGGCCGGCACAAATCTCTTAACACACATACTCTGAGCTGCTCAATCCACTCTATTTGCTCATTGTTGTCTTCAACATTTGCTTAAATGATTAGCCTGAGGTGACAAGAAGTCAGTAGTAGAACTTAAGACAGAAGTGGAGATTCAGAATGAGAGTTTGCCAAAAAAGCCAACCATCAGTTAAATTACTTACAGTGCTAGTGACTAGTAAATGACTGGAATCTCAAGGAGGTGGTAGTGGAGGAGGGTAGTTTCTAACCAGTCGGAATCCTAGTTTAACAGAAAAGAAATTGAATGGGATGGTGTAAATTATCTTTTAGTATTTATTAACCAGGGTCACTATATATGGCTGTGCAGTTGAATATCACAGAAGCCCTGCTATGAAGTCTAGAGCACTCTGAAAAAGATTCTGATCAGGTACTTACCAGGTTGGATAACATTTATGGAATACTTATATAGGGACAGATGACCACCTACAGACCTTATGCCTTAAAAACTGAGTCTTCTCTCCGGCAGAAATGATCATTAGCCCTTCCCTGCAAAATGTGTAGTCCAGCATCCTAGGCTATTCCTGGCACATGAATAAGCAGCGTAATATGTATCAGTCTCCCTGTCTTTGAGACTAGAGACAAGAAAACCTAACAACTAGGCTTTTTAACTGTTCTGTAAGACCTTGACCTTGTGCTTATACCCTAACACACATACCTCATTTTGATTTTTTGAGTTTTGTATATAGTTCTAACCTTATCTAGAAAACACAAGATTATGGTTAATATAAGCATGAAATAAGGATAGAATTAGATGGGACAGAAGTCTGGCTTATTTTCATCTGCAATGGAGAGCTATTTTTGAATGCTACTGTTTGATGCCCTGATTGTGTAGAAAAGAATGTAAAGATCGTTACTCTTTTGGAAGGTTCATAATATGTTAATACAGTTATTGAGATGTGATGCCTATCTTGAAATTTGTGTAATATCAAAAGAAAAGTAAACCAAATTTCCAAACTATAAAGGACACTTATAGAAATAGTCATGTCTACTAAATAACATGTACCTAATGGTAATCTCACTGCCCTGTGTCAGAATAACTTGAGACATTTTCTGAAATATTATGAATTTGTTATAAATTAGTGAGATGAATTCATTCAGCAAAAATTGAGTGCTTGTTATGTCAGGCACGTAACCTTGCTCAAGGACCTCATAGTCTATAGCTGCATTATCCAGTATAAACAGTCACTAGCCACGTGTCTACTGAGCATTTGATAGATGGCTAGTCCAAACTGAGATATGCTGAAAGTGTAAAATACAAGATTTCAAAGACTTAATTTTTTTTAAAAGAATGTAAGTTATCTCAATTTTTTATATTGTTGAGATGATATTCTGGATATTTTGAGTTTAATCAAACATTAAAATGAAATTCACCTGTTTTCTTTATACTTTGTTTAATGTTACTAGACACTTTAAAATTACCTATGTGGCTTGTGTTATATTTCATTGGAAAGTGCTACTCTGTGACTTTTAAAAGGCAGCAGATGTATTCTGTAGAGAAAGCAGTAGTTCTATTAACCAACCGGGTTTTGTTTTAAATTAGAAGAACCAGTTACCATTTTGAAATACAATTTTTTTTTTTTTTTTTTTTTGAGACGGAGTCTCACTCTGTCCCCCAGGCCAGAGTGCAGTGGCGCAATTTCGGCTCACTGCAGCGTCTGCCTCCTAGGTTCAAGCGATTCTCTTGCCCCAGCCTCCCGAGTAGCTGGGATTACAGGCACACATCACCATGCCCGGCTAAGTTTTTATGTTTTTAGTGGAGACGGGGTTTCACCATGTTGGCCAGGCTGTTCTTGAACTGATGTCAGGTGATCCACCTGCCTTGGCCTCCCAAAATGCTGGGATTAGAGGCATAAGCCACCATGCCCAGCCTGAAATACTATTTTTTAGTGATTGGACTTACTAATGTCTATTTCATATTGTTTAGAATCCCTCTTAAGAAGTACAAACAGTTAGTGGCTCTTAATATGTATTCTGCTTCTATTTAAATTCTCATTGCATATATAGATAGATGGGTTGATATAGATATAGGTATATGTATATAGAGTTTTTGTTACTAAATGGTTTATTTCCTAGATGTTTACTGAACTGCAACAGATGAGGCAACAGTTACCAGACATGGAATTTGGCCGACGAATGGCTGTAGAACGTGAGTTGGAGAAGGTTGATGCTGTAAGATTAATTAATATAGTTTTTGATGAAACTGGACACTTCGTGCTGTATGGAACAATGCTGGGCATTAAAGTTATAAATGTAGAGACAAACCGGTAAGCTTTAATATGAGGTATGTTTTTTAAAAATGTGTTTGTGGGGGACCATTTCCTCCATCATGGGAACAGTGGGAGTATTGTTTGTTCCAAGAAAAGTGGAATGGCCCCAAATGTCTAAACTTAACCAAATGTTTTGACTGGATTTTTCTGTGGTCTCTTGGTTGTTTATAATCTTATGTAGAAAGTTTCCACTCATGTTTGTAAAAGAAATGGAAAGAAGATATGCATAGTTTCAAGTTGTTGTGTGTTTTTTTTAACAAGTTTGTCTGTCTTTTGCTTATTGATTTAAATTAGCCTGGTTCATGTTAAATGTTGCCAAAGATTTTAACCACAGAATTCAGCATTACTTCCTGCTAGACATAAAATCAAAAGTTAAAATGCATGAAACCACAGTAAGCCTTTTTTGTGAAAACAGTCCATTTGGTCTTAGTACAAAATAGCTACAATCAGATACTCTCACTGAATGTAAATGAACAGAACTTAATATTTTAAGGAGAAAAAAATGTCCTGTACATTTCCATGTATAAACATATTTATATTGTAGTTCTTGGCAATACAAAATCTTTGAAGTTTTGCAGAACAGTTAACAGACATGGAATTTTAATAAGAATAGGTTAAAACTGTATAAACAAATGATTGATTGTTTTTAATAGACCTTACTTTTTTGAACAGTTTTAGGTTCACAGCAAAATTAAGAGGAAGATACAGAGATTTTCCATATACCCTCTGCCCCAACACATGCATAGCCTCCCCATTATCAACGTCCCCCACCAGAGTGGTCCATTTGTTCCATTGATGAACCTACATTGACACCCAGAGTCCATAGTTTACATTAGGGTTCACCCTTGGTGTTGTATATTCTATAGGTTTGGAGAAATGTATAATGGCATGTATCCACCATCATATTATCATATAGAGTAGTTTTACTGCCTTCAAAATCCTCTGCTCTGACTGTTCAACCACTGATCTTTTCACCATCTCCATAGTTTTGCCTCTTCCAGAATGTGATATAGCTAAAATCATACAGTATGTAGTCTGTCCAGATTGGCTCCTTTCGGTAATATGCATTTAAGTTTCCTCCATGCCTCACCACAGCTTGATAGCTCATTTCTTTTTAGCACTGAATAATACTCCATTGTCTGGATGTACCACAGTTGATCCATTCACGTACTGAAAGACATCTTGGTTGCTTCCAAGTTTTGGCAGTTATGTATAAAAGCTGCTATAATCATCTGTGTACAGGTGTTTGTGTAGTCATTTCAGCTCCTTTTGGTAAATACCAAGGAGCACAATTGCTGGATCATATGGTAACAGAATGTTTAGTTTTGTAACAGCCAAACTGCCTTTCGAAGTGGCTATACTCTTTTTGCATTCCCACCAGCAATGAATGAGTGTTCCTGTCACTCCACATCTGTGCCACCATTTGGTATTGTCAGTGTTCCAGATTTGGGCCATTTTAATAGATGTGTAATGGTATCTTGTTTTAGTGTGGATTTCCCTGGCAACATATGAGGTGGAGTATCTTTTCATATGCTATTTACCATTTGTATATCTCTTTGATGAAGTATATGTGAAGGTCCTTGGGACATTTTTTAATTGGGTTGTGTTCTTATTGTTGTGTTTTAAGAGTTCTTTATATATATGTATATACATATATATATACATATATATATACACACATATATGTGTATATATATATACATATATATGTGTATATATATATACATATATATGTGTATATATATACTTTTTTTTAAAAAAAGAGTTTTTTATATATTTTGGATAACAGTCCTTTATGAGCCGTTCTCCTAGTCTGTGACTTTTCATTCTCTTGATTGGTTTTTTGTTGTTGTTGTTTTTTATTGAGATGGAGTCTTGTTCTGTCACCCAGGCTGGAGAGCAGTGGCACGATCTCGGCTCACAACCTCTGCCTCCTGAGTTCAAGTGATTCTTGTGTCTCAGCCTCCCTAGTAGTTGGGATTACAGGTGCCTGCCACCATGCTTGACCAATTTCTTGTATTTTTAATGGCGATGGGGTTTCACCACGTTGGCCAGGCTGGTCTCGAACTCCTGACCTCAAGTGATCTGCCTGCCTCGGCCTCCCAAAGTGCTGGGATTACAGGTGTGAGCCACCGTGCCTGGCCTCATTTCTGTTTTTTAACCTGAAAATTATAGCTGCCTACCAGTTTAAATTGATACCTTTTGGGGGGTAGAGAAACACTTTTAAAAATCTTTCACTAGTTATTTTGTACATAGATAAGATAGTTGATTCCCAGCTTTTATCTGTAAAGTTGTCATAATTGGAATTAACTTCGGTGATTCTGTTGTATAAAACATTGTTATATTTTTAGGTGTGTGCGGATTTTAGGCAAACAAGAAAATATTAGAGTGATGCAATTGGCTTTGTTCCAGGGGATAGCCAAAAAGCATCGTGCTGCAACTACTATAGAAATGAAAGCTTCTGAAAATCCTGTTCTTCAGAATATTCAAGCTGACCCAACAATAGTCTGTACATCATTCAAAAAGAATAGATTTTATATGGTATGTGTAAGTACTAGGAGATTAGACGGTAATGTTCCTTCCAGTTTGGTTTGACTTTTCTTTGTTTGTACCTTCAACTGAAGAGAATGTTGGCACTAATAGCAGACTTCCTAAACAACCAGAATACCATCTTACATTAATATTGTAGAATTTTAAAGTAGAAGTTGATTTTAAGTATTTCTGTACTGTTTTCCATCATGTTTTGAAATTTTTCAACCTCGTTTCCACAACTATTTGTGTTGTTTTAGATAGTAGGAAGTTAGTGGTTATAGTCATAATTACATCCAAAATAGTTTCACTGTGGGATTTTAAAAGTGTTTTTATTTTTTCAGCCTTTACTCTTGAATATAATTTATCTTCCCCAAATTAGCACAGCTTCCTTCTCTAAATGCATTTCCTTTTTTACCTTTTGACTTTTATTTTAATGGTGCTACCTTGGAATTATATATTCCTGTGGAATTTTTTTTTTCTCTTCTGGAGAACTAAAAGTACTTTGCATGTTAACTAAGACTGAGATAGTTAAAATCAAACTACCGTGCCATGAAGGAGTAGCACAATTTTATTTGTTCATCCAAGCAGGAAAATCAAAAGTATAGAGACCTATGCCCTTGCATTCTATCCTTCACAATGGAATCAGAGAACTTTTTAAGACCCAAACGTGACTCTTATTTTCTGCCTAATACCCTTTAATGGTGCCCCAGCTATCTATGCTGGCTGGCCCTCCTCACTTCTGTAGCTTTATCTTTCTTCATTTTTCATTCATTTGCTACACGAACCATACTGAAAGTTCACATGTAGTTGAGTGTGCTTTTTAAACTCTGGGCCTTTGCACAGGCTATTCATTCTACCAGCCACACACCTCTCTCCAACTCCTAACTCATACTTCAAGTTTCAGTTTGGAAGCCCCTCTGTTTTTTGGAGATGGCATCTTGCTCTGTTGCCCAGGCTAGAGTGCAGTGACGTGACTTCAGCTCACTGCAGCCTCTGCCTCCTGGGTTCCAGCAATTCGCCTGCCTCAGTCTCCTGGGTAGCTGGGATTATAGGTGCATGCCACCATACCCAGCTAATTTTTGTATTTTTAGTAGTGACAGGGTTTCACCATGTTGGCCAGGCTGGTCTCGAACTCTTGACCTCAGGTAATCCACCTGACTCAGCCTCCCAAAGTGCTGGAATTACAGGCGTGAGCCACCGCACCCAGCCTGGAAGCCCTTTTTAACATCAAGTCTGAGTTAGATGTGCCTGCTATGTTTCTCTTATGCTTCCCCTGTCATATGATGTGTCACACTTTTTGTGTGAACATCAATAATTTATTTTTTTGGCCTCTGACGCTGTGCTCTTCTTCTGAAGATAAAATCCATAAATACAGGCACTATGTCTTCTTCACTGTTAAATCCAGAAAGTTAGGAAATGACTACAGCATTACAGTATATTCATTCATTCCTCCAAAACATTGTAAACTGATGTAATGCTATTAAGGTTAACAGCATTTGATAAATGTATGAAATAGCAGTTTCCCTACCCCAACCAACCTTCCATCTAAATGGGTAAATACTTTTAAGATGAGAATTTCATTTACACCTTTCAAAATTATTACTAAAAATTTATTAGTATATGAAGGAAAAAAATTAATCGTTTTACCTTTAATTTAACTTTGTTAGGAAGTAAAAATTACCCATAAAAGATAATTCTTGGCCAGGAATGGTGGCTTATCCCTGTAAAAACAGCACTTTGCGGGGGCCCAAGCAGAAAGATCATTTGAGCCCAGGACCAAGACCTGCCTGGGCAACATAGCAAGACCTCATCTCTACAAAAAATTTAAGAAGCTAACCAGGCATGGTGGTGTGCACATGTGGTCTCAGCCATGCTGGAAGCTGATGTGGTAGGATCTCTTGAGCCAACGAATTCAAGGTTGCAGTGAGCTATGATCACACCACTGCACTTCAGCCTAGGTGACAGAGCAAGACCCTATTGCTAAACAAAAACAGGCAAAAAAGGATATTTCTTGATATACACTCAAAACACATACACTAATTTTCCATCCACTTTATTCAAAAAACTTATATTTTTTCTTTTCCAAGTTTACTTGTGTGTTGATCAAAGTATATATATTCATTATAAAGTTTGAAAAAATAGAGAAACAAAATAAGTCATTCACTGTAGCTTTATACAGCTAACATTGTTACGAATTTTCTTTGAGTCTTACTAGTACATATTCTTAAGCAAAACTAAAATGGTATGCATATATATGAATTTTGTGTCCCATTTTTCAGATCCAACATGAAATAAAAGTATAATTTTACAAATCCATATATGAGCTAAATCATAATTTTTCAGATCCAACATCATGAAATAAAAGTATGATTTTACAAATCCATATATCAGCTAAGTCATAACTTTAAAAAATTCATATAAACAAATAGTACAACAGACATGCCATTCCTTTGAAAACTGGAGAATAGGATGTTAAGGTGATAGCATCCTAACTTGGTTGTTTATTTGGAATCTATCCAAGCAGATCAAGGAATGACATTAGGCAAGATAGGGATGGAGGCACTAGCTTTACGTTCCCATAATTAAGTTACATCAGATAGAGGTTGCTTAGGAGAGAGCATTTCTACTTAAAGAAACAGGCCTTGAGAAGTCCAGAGTTTTAACAACTGAAAGGTTTTTCTCAATTCTTCCTAGACCCCAAGGATCTGAGATTTCTACAACTTCACTGAAAATTTGCATTCTTTCTCCTATGCTTCAGGGTTTAGATTCTAGGTCAGTTGGGACTGTGAAAAAAAATTAAGGATCCATTTCAGATTCATTTTTGTGAATCCTTATTCTACCTAGCATGGGGTCCTGCTCATAGTAGTAATAACAACTGTTAATATGTATATAGTACCCTCTATGTATTAGGCACTGTTCTCCAAGGACTTAATATCTATTCGTTTAATCTTCACAACTACCTTCATTGCAAGGTATGTACTGTTATCATCATATATGAGTGAGGGAAGAGAAGAAATGAATTCACATCCCCAAAGTCGCAGAACTGGAATTCAAATCCAAACAATCTAAATAATGAACTGAGCAACAAACAGGTGGCATGTTAGGCCTTACTAGAAGGCATAAGTCGAGAGCTACCACAAATGAAACAATTATTCTTGTTAAATGTTTGCCCAAGAAAATTTCTAACCAAAGAAATTAAATTCCATTTGAAATCAATGTGTTCAGTATGTTATGTGGATCCTTTTCATATTAGACAATGTAAAAATAATTTAATTGCCTGACACATCCTGTATGGGAAGTGATTCCTGAAATAAGGATTCTGATGTGAATTCTTACATTTCTTAAGTACTTCATTAGAAATTCTATTGTTCATAAAATTTTTACCAGATGAAAACTTTAATTCGTTGACTCACTTTTTACTTTCCTCCTTGAGTTTACCAAACGAGAACCAGAAGATACGAAAAGTGCAGATTCTGATCGAGATGTTTTTAATGAGAAACCTTCTAAAGAAGAAGTCATGGCAGCTACTCAAGCTGAAGGACCTAAACGAGTTTCGGACAGTGCCATTATCCACACCAGCATGGGAGACATTCACACCAAACTTTTTCCTGTTGAGTATGTATAACAACTGTTTTTATTGGCTTATGTAATTAAGAATGTAAATGTGTATATCTGAAGAAACCATGCAACTTAAAATTCCCGTTACTTTGACTTAAGGAATTTTGAAGAAACGTTTGATAAAAAACATCTATTCCTGAGCTTTCTGATAAGTGTTACGGTAGAAAATGGGAAATTTTTATGCATATATACTTTATAGGTTCATTACGAGGACAAAATGTATTGGCTATGAAAGTGCTGAGTGTAAACTGTAAAGTGATACACAAATGTGTATCACTGTTACTGTTAACAGCACATCTGAACTCTAGGTTTTGTGGATTGCTTTGCTTTCCTCTCAAAGCAAATCCTTAAGAGAAAGATAATTATGTTTCCTTACCAACAGTTGCTAGATACCTACTATCTCTTTATAGTTTCAGTAGCTCTGTGTTTTAAAAGTGAACTACAAGCTGGGTGCAGTGGCACGCACTTGTAATCCCAGCTATTCAGGAGGTTAAGACAGGAAGATCAGTGGAGGCCAGCAGTTTGAGACTAGCCCGAGCAACACGGCAAGACTCTATCTCTTAAAAAAAATTTTTTTTTATTAGCTGGGCATGGTGGCACGCACCTGTATTCCTGGCTATGCTAGAGGCTGAGGTCAAAAGATGTCTTGAGCTCAGGAGTTTGAGGCTGCAGTTAGCTATGGTCAAACCACTGCACTCCAACCTGGGCAACAGAGTGAGACCCTGTTTCTACAAAAACAAATTACAACAAAACCGTAAGGGCTTCAATTGAAAAAAAGGTGAACAGTTTTCTGGACAGTTTAAAAGACTGTAAAATTAACATACAATGTCAAATACAGTAGAGTATCTCTGGCCATTCTTGACCCAAAAAATGACATCTTTTACAACACTTTTACTTAAAAGTTCTTATTTATTAACATTTTGAATATGAACGTTTTATACCATATCTTGGTACTCAACAAATAACTAGGCAGCTCTAGACTCTTGGACAGTCTCACTTTAAGTGCTCAAAACCCATGTACTCTTCGGCCTTGTTTGCTGATGTACTTGGGTACAAGATTCTCTTGGTTCGTCCATTTCCAGCTCTTAGAAGTATTACATGGTAATGAACCGTATGAAATAATTGCATAATTTTCAGTTAATATTATTGAGAAAGCTTCGTACTCTGAGTGTGATTGTCATTTAAAGTTGAATAAATTTAGATGTCATTTCTATGATTAAGGTTTTGGCCAAGAGTATGTCGCTGTAGCATAACAATGCTTTTGTAAGAAAATGACCTTTCCCAGGAACTTAACCTATACTACTACATGCAGACCTATAATACTATATGGAGTAAACTAACTTAAGATATTGGGCCAGGTACAGTGGCTCAGGCCTGTAATCTCAGCACTTTAGGAGGCTGAGGCAGGAGGATGTCTTGAGTCCAGAAAGTCAAGATCAGCCTAGGCAATATAGTGAGACCTTGTCTCTTAAGAAAAAAACATATTTTTAAGGTGCTATGGCTGTATTTTTTTTGACTGCTAAATGACCTTGAAATTTTAATACTGTCAAACTCAAATATTAGTTAAGCAGTCATGTTCTAAAGATAACTAAGTTGAACAATAAGAATATACTACTTACATGACCCTCCGTGCTTGTCCTGAGATTAGAGATTATGAAAAAAAAAAACAACTGTCCTTCTGAAACATTCAGAAGACATGGAAAGGAAACATCATTAGGAAGCAGAACTGCAAAGAAAACTGTTTTAAGATGCTCTGAATAGGTTTCATATTTGTAACATATGTCTTAATAGGTGCCCTAAGACAGTGGAAAACTTCTGTGTTCACAGCAGAAATGGTTATTATAATGGGCATACATTTCACCGTATAATTAAGGTAAGTTACATAAATTTCATGTCATATAAGAAATACTGTATTATTACATAGCAAGAGATTTAAGCGCAAGGAATCTTCTTCTCTCACACTTAATCAGTTTAGTGGAAAGGAACAGGAAAAATACACTATGGAAGCCAAAGGAGGAGTGGATGGTCATAAATATCAACATCTAGAATCAACAGGAATAGTGGCATGATTAGAAACACTGAAGCAATATTTTGTCAGCAGCTAAAGTAAAGGGTAAGATAATGAATAAAGGGTCATGCTGAGATTACATCAGTAACCTAGGTAACCTCTTTGTCGTGGCTAGATAGGGTCTAGATCTAGAAGATATGATTTTTCAATCATAGAGGAGCCACAGTGCCATCTGATCTGTGAGAACCTGTAATATACCAGAGGAGGAGAGAGAACTCAGCCCCTGGATTTTGTTGAGCAGCTTTCCATAAAGTGGATGGGGCACTGATACAGTGCTTGGTTTCTGGCAGGTCAGAAACGGCAGGATGAAAAGTCAGATCTCAGGGTCCTAAAGGAATTAGCGAAAAGGCTTTCCAGGAAATCCAGAGTATTTGGGGAAAGGGAGAGGGAGAAGAGGAGGGCAATTATATAAAACATAACATACAGATCCTAAAATTGATAGTATTAACTGGCTTTATTTGGGTTATTGAGAAAGACAGAACATGTCTATAAATGAGAAGACGACCTTTGCATTTATGTTTCAATCAAGGTGGTGGTTGGGCAATGGAAATACATCATCCAAATTTAAGTGTTAAGGGTTTAATCAAATCACTTTATAGTGACAGTTAATATTACACTGAATACAAAGCACTCTTGGCAGAAATAAAACTTCAAAGCGTACATATATCGAAAAGGACAATGTAATGTTTTTGTGTACTTTCTGTTAAGGGCTTTATGATTCAGACTGGAGATCCAACAGGTACTGGTATGGGAGGAGAAAGCATATGGGGAGGAGAATTTGAAGATGAATTTCATTCAACATTACGACATGACAGGCCATACACACTCAGCATGGCTAACGCGGGATCAAATACTAATGGATCCCAGTTTTTCATAACGGTAGTACCAACGGTAAGTACAGTATCATTGTTTATAAACTACAGATTGATAGGTTATGATGTAAGAGAGTGAACTCAGTAGAAGAGCTGCATTATTCTGTATTTTCTGCATTATTTATATCATCTAGCAGAATACAAATATGAAAATGATCAAGAATATAAAATTATGTGACTAATCAGTTTAGAATTGGTAAAACAATACTGCCACTGTAGTAAGAAATACAATGGACTACGATTCAAGATACTTGAGTTTCAATCTCAACTCTGCCTCTACTGATGATGTAACCTAAAATAAATTATTTCACTTCTGTGAGCCTATTTCCTTGTCTTTAGAATACAAAGATTAGAGTATATGAATTCACAATTTTGAGACAATTTCCCCCACATTTTAGTATCTCTGAAATCAGAATACATTAGATTTGATGAAATACAGTATAAGGTAACCTAGCTCTATTGCTATGCCATAACACAAAATTATAAAAATTACCTAGTTTTTGTTTTGGAATTAAGCACTAAGTGATGAAGAAGGGAAAAATGTAACTACCATCTGCCAGGCACATAGTTTTATGTAGTATTCACAGTACTTCTACTATCAGTATCCCCAGTTTTCAATAATAGATGAAGAAACAGTGAGACATGATTAACTTGCCAAAAGGTCAAGTAGCCAAGCTAGCATTTGAACTCCCACCTGTCTAATGCCAAAGTATGTGCTGCATAAACTATTTCAAACTGCCTCTGAATAAACTGTTCAGGTAAGAGTCCTCCAGAGACCTTTTAAAGCCTTAGCCACAATTCTGTAAGCCATGTGAAGTAACTTACCTTTAGGGAAGATCTTCCAGTTCCCTTTGGTCTGAAAGATGCAGATATTTAATTAAACATTATACTATGCTTCTATTTTTTTTAACACACTGGAAATAACTTTTAAAAGCTGCTACATTTTTATTGCTGAGAAATTATTGTACTTCTTTTTAAATATATGCTAAAGGGGAGCGTAAACTTAAATTCTCTTTAATTTGCTCAACCAGAGGATATAATTTAAAGAAATTGGGGTTTACCAAGATTTTCCATTTGTCCTCCAACACAGCCTTGGCTTGATAATAAGCATACAGTATTTGGACGAGTGACTAAAGGAATGGAAGTTGTACAGAGGATCTCCAACGTCAAAGTCAATCCCAAAACAGATAAGCCCTATGAGGATGTCAGCATCATAAATATTACTGTCAAGTAAAATAAGATTTGTTTTAATGTACTTGCAAATAAAAATACAATATTAAACAGATTATTTTACATTAGGAAGCTTAGGACTTGCTGAATATACAGATCATGTTTCAAAGATACAGTATTTTTGTATTTTTTATTAAAGGCTATTTTTTAAAAATTACCTTTGACTTTTCTCGCAATATTTCTAATCCTGGGAGGTGATAAATTGAAATGGACTAAACTCAGGCAAATAGCACTCATTATAGGTAATTTCTAATCAGCCTCAAATTAAATATTAAATAATTACAGTACTCTCCTCCACCCCCTTTCCCATGGTTTTCTTTCTACTGTCAACCATGATCCAAAAATAGGTGAGTACAATACAGTGAGATATTTTCAGACAGCAAGACCACATTCACTAACTTTTATTACAGTATACTGCTATAGTTGTTCTATTTTATTGTTGTTAATCTCTTACTGTGCCTAATTTATAAATTAAACTTTATCATAGATATATATATATGAAAACACAATATATATGGGGTTTAGTATCATCTGAAGTTTCAGGCATCCACTGGAGGTCTTAGAAGGTATCCCGTGCGATGACAACTCTATTAAATAATGACAGTGGTACACAACTGTGCTTTAATTTTGAATACCTGCCAGATATTCCGCCCTTATGTTTAGAAGAGTGCAGATCCCTCCTATAAGAAAAAAATACTAGGATATGATATTATATGTCATTTCCTTTGTTTTACAAGGTTTCAATGCCAAATATTTTAGTCTTTTGATAACTGTTTAGTAAGTAGTGGTGAGTAAAGCCTCAATAAACAGGAAGTTACTTTGGTCAAAGTGTTATATTCCTTAATAATTATGAAATATTCTTTCAAATGAAAGATTCAGAATAAGTGAATACCTGAGTCCTTAGTTTATTATATGCAGGTTGATTTTCAGATTATTTTTCTAACATAGGTAAACAATTTTTTCTGTCCTCAAGTTATAGTATATCTTTAGAAAATATACCATTAAGAAGTATACATAAAAATTTTGGTATCTAACAATGGAGAGATTAGTAGAAATTGGAGCAGTAAAACAATATGAGCACAAATTCTTATATTGATCTTCTTCACTTACACTTATAACTAACTTCATAACTATTAAGACTCACTGCTTCGTTTCCAGAAAGAAAGACTCTTTCTTTCAGAAACTTACAGGAAGAACATTCTCAACAGACCTGTGTAGGGAATTTATATTCTTAAGTTTTAAATCGGCTTAAACTTTTCCTTCTATTGATCAGCAGGATTCTTTATTTATTTCGTGCTACAAAGTTGTGAGATAGATAGGAGATTATGCCAGATTGTGCTCCTGTAATGTATGCTCCTTTTTAAAAGTAGAACTTAAAGTTAGACATGAAAATGACTTTTCAATGTGACATTTACTGTTTCTAATTTTAGTTGTTTAGTCTTACCTACCTAGCTTTATTCATTCCTAAAAATTTAATCTAAATTTTTGGTAATATTGCCACCAAGTGGTGATGATGCCTCATTCCCCAACAAATACAATTATTTTGCTTTGAGTGAAAACCATATTTGACTAATGAATTTTTCGATTAATATCAAAAACTTAATCGGCAGACCTAAAAACATACATTGCCCATGTCTTTTTAAAAGCATGTTTTAAGTTATCAGGATATAATTTCATCCTTATTCATTAGTCCTTTTCATCCTTTATTCTTTTAGGGAAGAATACAGCTGTCTTCTTCTTTGTTAGCACTTTGCCAATTGAGAAGTATCCCAGTGTTACATAAAAAGCCTTTCTCTTAGCAGTATTAGTTCATGAGCTACCACTAAGTTTTGCAAGCCATTTTCTAAAATGGTCATTTAAAATACTATGTTTTCTTATGAAACAAGTTTACATTTAAAATTTAAAAGGCAGTAACAAAGTTTCACTTCGTTCAATGTAAAACTTTAGCTCCGCCTTCAAAACACTATGGTTATATTACTTATTTAAATGTGGCCTGCACATTACTTCTCGGCCTTTTGGCTAAGATCAGGTGTAGTTAAGATCAAGTTTAGTATCTGTTCTCATCAGTAAATGTGGCCTATGTTGCAAATTCAAAACGTTATTTCTAAAATTTTGCTGTATCAAATAAACTACATCTCAAATTTGACAGGCATGCCAACCCATACCCATTTTGTTTTATTTTCTCTCCTAACCACAGCACAAATAATGACTTCTTAAATTGGTTACAACTAGCAATAATATTAGGTAGATGGTTCAAGAAAGAGACTTTCAAGAATAATGATGGGACTTCTTAAAAATGATCTTAACATTTTATTGCTGTCTATACTTATCATATATGTAGTGCAAATAATGGCTTCTGATGGTTATAAAGCATTCCTGAATTATAGACTACGGCTATACACTTGACATACCTGCTTTATATAACATACAGTAATATTTAGACCTAATACAGAAATTCAGCTACTAGGAAAATTCTAATATACTGTATATAAAAAAGCTCTCTTCTTAGTTTCCCAGGGAAGACTAGCACAGTCTTAACTAATGATTAGTGAAATAATACAACCACAAATAGTAATAGGAGCTTGAGAAAAATATTTCTTTAAAAATGAATCACACACAAACACCTACCATTATACATACATTATAATCAGGCACAATTTTTCAACTGTGTTCAGTTATATGCTAAGAATGTGCATTACAAAGTTTAGCAAAATTAGTGAAAAGGGAAGCAAGTTCACCTTAGTGTTACACTTTTTCTTCAATTAACTAGTAAACAGTTCAAGTTCTCACAAGCAATACAACACCTTTTTTATTTTTCACAGTTATTGAAATCAGTCAAATATTAAATAATTTAATTCGGAAGTATTATTTATGCACACAAACTACACCTGTAACAGCATGACCTTTTACCTGAAAAATAAAGGATGAAATATTACATTTATTTATTTACATATTGCCCATAATACTGATAGGCTTTTTTTTTAATGCTTTGTTTTCTAAAACTTGTATTGTTTTTAAACAAAAATAGATTTGAAAAGAATGAACCACAACAGTGCTACCAAAAAGTCACATCTTGTTACCAGACATCACTGTCCTTACAACAATTCAACTAATAAGATTTAAGATTTAACTTCATCCTAATGTATCAGAACATTAAAAAAAAAAAAGTCTCAATGTACCTATTTAAATAAATCGTGCTTCCATAATAATATTCTTTAAAAATGAAAAACAGTAAAGAGCACACATTTTTATTTACTCACAACACTGAATAATTAATGTAAACTTTTTGAATTTTTTTTTTCTTTAGACATTTTTCCTCTAGAGTAACTTTTCAAGGCCTTCTCATGAACAGCCTTAAGTTTTATTGTCAAAATAAATGCACTTATTTTGGGAAACAGTTTGAAGTAAGTAATAAGCATTTGCCACTGTACTTACAACTTCTCTTGAAGTTCGCTTTCTATTTAGGTCACTAGCTTTTAAATAAAGCCAACCCTGGTTCTGCGTTACTTACTACATTTTACCTATAGTCATTCCCACAAAGGATGCAATATTATATTAGAAAGAAATATTACTTTAAATTTGTTGAAAAATAGAAGGACCAATTTAGAGCTCTGACCTAGGTTCAGTCCTGGAAATGGGTCTTTCATAAATTCAGATCCAATTACTTCCACAGTTTTATTACTGTTCAGTTTATTACTAACCTGACAAGCCTAATTGGGTAACATTTCACTCCCTCATTGTGTTTTATACAAAATGCTGTAGGAGAAAGTTAATAAAACACTATATAAAGTATTAATTTTCTGTACCTTATAGTTCTTAGCATTAAAGGTGTTCTGTTAACTCTGAACATAAACATAAAGTAATCCTATTATCCAAATATGTAGTTTGGATTCTATTTCATTAAGCAACTGTCATTTCTACTACTAAATGCTGCCAACATTCAGTGAAAAGGCAGGTTAAAAGAAGCAGCTATACTTCACTTGCTTCACACAGAGGTCTCATTAGGCACTCAATTGGCTATTCTTTTTTCACTGAAAGAATAAACCTTCACTTACCCTTTCTCTGTGACTACCTCTTTCCCAGTATATTGGTCACATATTATCTGAAAAACTTAAATAACAAATATACTTTTTAAAAGAATGTATATTCAATAAGTTTCTATTTAATTCAATCTAATCTGCTCAATTAGAAATTTAATTCTGCCACAAAATTTTTTTAAAGCAAAGTACTGAATTCCCAATCCAAGATTCCTTTATATATATATATATATATATGCATCCTAAATTACCATCTTTTGAGATGTATAATTTCTTAAAACATACTATGTGCAAAGTTACTTTTAACCACAAAACTTCAAACAACTGCTGCCTTTAAAATCAAGCAACATCCAATACTCCAGCAGCTACAAGTTGCCGTGAGAGCCAGTCCAACCCTTCATACAGTCCCATACCACTTCGAGCATCACAGCCCTGAATATACCAGCTACGGCCACAGCATAATTTATGGAGACTGAGTAGTTCAGTGATTTCTTCTACTGACAGTGCTCCAGCAACATCCTGAAAGATATATACACATATTTTTTATCAGTCCATCCAAATTATAATTTTTCTAATTATCACCATTTATAGAGAAATTTGTTGACAGTGTTCTAACAGAAGCCTAAACAAAAAACCTAGATTCATCTTTCAGTAATTATTCTGAGATTAATAAGAATAGAAAAAATTAGTTTGGTTTAACTAATTTATATGTGTGTGTATGTATATACTTTGTAAGGCTAGCTTAACAATGAAATCAATAAAGTCCTTGCAACCTAAAAGGAAACATACTGCCTAAGTAATTTTTTTATCTTTTGAGACAGAGTCTCACTCTGTCACCCAGACTGGAGTGCAGTGACATGATCTTGGCTCACTGCAACTTCTGCCTCCTGGTTCAAGCGATTCTCCTGCTTTGGCCTCCCAAGTAGCTGGGATTACAGGCATGTGCTACCATGCCCGGCTAATTTTTTTGTATTTTTAGTAGAGATGAGGTTTCACCATGTTAGTCAGGCTGGTCTCGAACTCCTGACCTCAAGTGATCCACCAACCTCAGCCTCCCAAAATGCAAGGATTGCAGGCATGAGCCACCACGCCTGGCCTGCCTAAGTGTAAGGCATCAACTTAAAAAAAAAAAATTAACACATAGAAACCTTAATAAATGGTTTATATATAGGGTTATATATTGAAGAGTTCACTACATTCCCACTCTGAACACCCATTGCCCCAACTTCCCAGGAGCAACCACCAGTTACAACATATTTTTCCAGAAAATTTCCATGCACACTCATGCAAAGAGACACAAACAGGAACATAGTTTAGACTTTCTATAACTTGCAGGGTTTTCTGTTTGTTTTTTACGTAAACATGTTGAAGATGAGTATCTTTCCATTATCAGCACAGATGGTCTGCATTATTTTTAATATCAGAATTCCCTTCCATTGTGTGGCTGCAACATAATTTAACCAGTCCTATACTGAATGTTCAGATTGAAGTTTTATGCTTATGTGCTATTATAAATCCATATATATACACATACATACATAAACATACATACACAAAAGTTGACATACATTTATGTATATTTGCAAAATTATCTGTAGGATAACCTTTGGATATCTGTCTACCAGATATATAAAGGTAGAATTGCAGGGTAAGGGACTTTGATGAGTATTGCCAAATTGTCCTCCAAGAAAATGTCTCAGTTTAATAACCCACGAACAGTGTTGACCAGGCGCAGTGACTCACACCTGTAATCCCAGCACTTTGGGAGGATGAGGCGGGCAGATCACTTGAGGTCAGGAGTTTGAGACCAGCCTGACCAACACGATGAAACCCTGAATCTACTAAAAATACAAAAGTTAGCCGGGTGTGGTAGCAAGCACCTGTAATCCCAGCTACTTGGGAGGCTGAGGCAGAAGAATCGCTTGAACCTAGGAGGGGGAGGTTGCAGTGAGCAGAGGTTGTGCCACTGCACTCCAGCCTGGTGACAGAGCAAGACTCAGTCTCAAAATAATAATAGTAACAGTTGTATATAAGTCTGAGGATTATAAAACACTTTCATCTTTAACTATCTGATGAGCAGAAAATGGTATTTCACTGACTTATTTGCATGTCTTAAATATACCAGTTCTTAATAGTTTGCCTTTTTTATTAAGGGGAAAATTCTTTATTCTTCATCCTACTCTTCCCCTCCCATGACATCTCCTCTGCTCCACTTCTACTCTCCTTCTGCCTCTACTTAAAAGCATCTCATCCTCCTAGAAAGGCTCAAGGTCTAGGAATCTTCAGCTACTCCCAGTCCTTCATCCTCCCCATTCAGTCACCAGTTCTGCCTCAAAGTCTTTTCCATCTGCCTCCGCCTTTCTATTCCTCTAATTCAGGCTCTTGTTAATGCTCACTTGAATTATTTAAGCAATTTACTGCATCTCCCTGTCTCCAGTCCTTTGCCCTGATTCATTCTACCCCTAGAATTATAGTATTGAAACACTGATATGATCTTATTACCCACTAATCCAACATTTTGATGACTCCTCCTTGCTCATAGAATAAAACCTAAATTTCTCAGTCTAGCACTGTCAGACCTTTACAGCATGGCCTTGTCTGTTATTCTAAATTCTCTTCATCCTCTACTGAGACCTGACATATAGATCTGCTTGATGTTCCCTAAACTAAAAACATTCATGCTATTATCTTCTCTGTCTATAATGTTCTTCCTTTCACATACTGACTCAGCCTCATGCATAATTTCAACTCAAATTCTACATTTTACAATCTTACAACATGCCACATTTAGAACTACTTTCCTAATTCCCGTAACACTGTGTTACTTAAGTTACTTATCAGTCTTCTTCGTATTCAGATCTCTTATGTGTTCATATGCATACACAGGAGTTTCTGGTGAGCATTAACTACCTTATTTCTATTTTGTATACTCCCAGGTACCCAGCACAGCATTTTCACATAGATTGTACTCAAAATACACAGAAGAAACTATAAATATCTATTGAACTGATTGTCTTCTGAAATATTTCCAGTTGCCTTTTGACATGCACAAAACTACTAAAATAAATATTCCAATATAAAAATGCATTACCTGTTTGTTAGCAAAAATCAGGAGCAGAGCATCTCGGAGTTCTTTTTCCGTTAACAACTTTGCAAGTTCGCTGTGTGCTTCACTAATTCTGTCTCTATGACTGCTATCTACAACAAACACAACAGCTACCCAAAAAAAAATAAAAAAAACAAAAATAGTCACTTGCTAAAGTTCAGTAAATGAACCAAATATTTAATGATATCATTATTATGTTATGGTTAGAGTTTGTCTACCATCATTATTTTCACACAGAGGGTGCCTAGTATGGCAGGGGCACCTACAAATAATTAACAGTATGATTTCAAGTAGTTTACATAACTTCTCAGGTTTAGTTTCCCCATCTAGGAAAGGATTTACAACACTTGCTCTATCAAATGCAAATTGGTCTGTATATCAAATAACTTTTTACATAACGAATTTCAAAATATGCCTCATGATCCTCTACCTATGGATGCTACTTGTTCTTCGAATACTACTTTTCTAATATTTAGTCTTTGAATAAAAGACTAAAAGATAAAAACCATCACCATTTTTATTTCTCCAAAGTATTATGTCTAAGTTAACTATCTCCAGACTTTCAACCATTCCTCATATTCAAAATTTCATTTTTGTAGGGCACAGTGGCTCACACCTATAATCCCAGCACTTTGGGAGGCTGAGGTGAGAGGATCACTTGAGCCCAGGAGTTCGAGACCCCTGGGCAATATAGTGAGACCTTATCTCTATTAAAAAAAAATTAAAAATTAGCTGAATGTGGCCGGGCGCGGTGGCTCGTGCCTCTAATCCCAGCACTTTGGGAGGCCAAGACGGGCGGATCACGAGGTCAGGAGATGGAGACCATCCTGGCTAACATGGTGAAACCCCGTCTCTACTAAAAATACAAAAAAATTAGCCAGGCATGGTGGTGGGCACCTGTAGTCCCAGCTACTCAGGAGGCTGAGGCAGGAGAATGGCGTGAACCTGGGAGGCGGAGCTTGCAGTGAGCCGAGATCGCACCACTGCACTCCATCCTGGGCGACAGAGCAAGACTCGATCTCAAAAAAAAAAAAAAAAAAAAATTAGCTGAATGTGGTGGCATATACCTAGTCCTAACTACTTGGGAAGTTAAGGTGGGAAGATTGCTTGAGCCCAGGAGACAGAGGTGACCATGAAATGCAATCATGCCACTGTACTCCTGCCTGGGCAACAAAGCAAGATTCTGTCTCAAAAAAAAAATACATTTTTTCTATTAATTATGGCTCATAATAATATCAAAAATCCCAAAGTAAAAATAATTATTCAGTCTCTCATCTTGGTGGAAAGCAGAATAACATACAGAATAAGCGGCATGAGCGTAAGCATTATGTTGGGGTCTATGAGGCAGAAGTGTAGAGTAAGACCCAAATGTGACTAAAACCTATGTAGAGTATAGATATGATATAATACGGTTTGGTCAAAAGCAAGCTACTGTAAGTTCTTCTGCAGGTAATAACTATTTGTGAAAGAAATGTGGGAGTGGGGCTATAGTGAGATTATAATGGGATAAATGTTGAGTTTAACTGAATTCAGCAGAATCATACAACATAAATTCAACTCTATACCACTACGCTACCAGCAGTCACACCCATATAATACTGGTAATATACACTCTCTGTTAAGAGAAGCAAGAGTACTCTTAACTGACTACATATCTAAGCTACGTATGGTTTTTATTCTGTAATAATGGTATATCAGGAATAAACTAAAAGTATATATCCTAATCTTTCTACTTTCATTTTTTACAAGTTAAGAAACTGGCCACAGGTACTTAAGTATACAGTCAACGACTTAATCATAAGTATCAGCTTTGCTAGTTAAATCAGTACACTGAAAACTGTCATCCTAAAAATGTGAAAAATTAAATGTCATTTTTAACTCTCACCTTGAGTATTGAGGTAATAATGTTTCCACAATGGTCTTAATTTGTGTTTTCCACCTACATCCCAAATAGTGAATTTTAGATTTTTATATTCTACAGTTTCCACGTTAAAACCTGTTTTAAAAAAAAAGTTACTTTTATACTATATTTGTATTTACAATGAATGACATATCAAACACAGACAACCCCCAGTTTATAACTGTGACTTATCAAATTATCTACATGCAGCAATATCTACTGAAGCCTAATCAACCCCATTCCTACTCCTACGTGGTGAATGTATACCTGTAACAGCTCCTAGCCCTCTAAACCTCCACCAAGGTCCTTAGGACCTTGGGATCCATGTACCTTCCAGCTCTGTTCCACAACTACCCCCCACCCCACACCCTCAGCCAGGATCACCAATCCTCTATTCCTTCCAACTGTCCCACCAATACTCTGTTTCTTCTTTTTATCCCCATCCACATTTCAATCCCATAGTCATACAATCTTGCATTTTTTCTCTGAGATGCTGATATCTTAGAGCCAGAAAAGAGCCCACCACCATGACAGATCAGTATCAAATAAGACCCCAAGAACTTGGCTGTAAGCTAGGGTTTGTCTATTAAGGTAAAAACCAATATTCATACTTACCAATTGTTGGAATGGGCTGCATGAATTCATCCTGTTTTAACTTAAACAAGATAGTAGTTTTTCCAGCACCATCCAATCCTAACGTAACGACCCGAATTTCCATTTTTGGTCCAATGTGAACTCGATTATCCTACAATTTAAATATTTTTAAATATGTTTGACATGCAGTTAGAAAGTAATAGCATTTAGCACCTTTATTATTTCTACATCTCCTATTCATTCCTCAACCATTGCAATCTGAATTGTATTCCTCAAAATACTGAGTCTGATCTCAAGAAGATGAAATCCTTCCCCATGGCTAAATCTTGCCTTAGTAAAACTGACCACTTTGTCTTTGTATAACAGAATATACATACCCACTTAATTTTCTCAGATTTTCTAACTCAAATGAATCCTCTAAATCTTAAACATGTTTTTATGCTATACTAAAAAAATCACAATAAGGGTAAATCAATTAAAATGAAAAAGTGCTGCTCAATTCCCAGAAATTTCTACTATGAATCTGATGTATATCCCTCCAGACACTTTCCATGCACATACTGGCCAACATACACAAACAAAACAAATTTTTTTTTAAAAAAGTATTACCCACACATTGAAACTAATGTGTTTCACTCAACAGTATATTATGGAATCCTGTCAATACATATTGACCAACCTTTTTCTTTTAATGGCTTCTTTACATTTCATAAACCACAATTTAACTAAACCCCCAACTGATAGATTTTAGGTAATTTCTGATTTTATGATATTACAAATAATGCTATAATGAACATTTTTATATATTACTAGCTGCATGATTTCTCTGCTTCACTTCTTTCATCTCATAAAAGGAGGATTAAAATAGTACAAAATTTACATAGGATTCTTGAAAGGATTAATTTTTAAGAATACATATAAAAGTCCTTACAACAGTTCCCAAAATATATGTGTTATTTTTGCTTACTCCTTTGAGCACTCTTTGCTTGGATTTTATGATACAAACTTTTCCTGGTTTGGTTTTATCCCATTTTTGGATGTTCCTTCTAATTTTTCTTTAATCCAGCTCTTAAATGTTGGTATTCTTGAGGGTCTATATGAGGCCTCCTTCTCATTCTACATATTTTCATTCTCTTCATGAGCTTTAATTACCATGTATATTATGGCTCCAAATCTATACTTAAGTCCAGTTATACACCTCAGAAATAAAACAATATATGGAACAGAACTACTTCTGTGAGAACTCTAGAGAACAGTTAAGAAACTACAGCACCCAGGCCATAAAACCAAGAAGGCATTCCAGTGAAAGGGGTAATAAAATTTGGGGCATTCTGTGCACTCATCCCTGCCCTTCCCCATATCCAACATAGTGAGGATGAGGTGCAACCAGGAGGAAACTACAAAATACTAGCAAACTGAATTCAACAACACATTAGGCCGGGCGTGGTGGCTCATGCCTGTAATCCCAGCACTTCGGGAGGCCGAGGTTGGGGGTGGATCACCTGAGGTTAGGAGTTCGAGACCAGCCTGACCAACATAGAGAAACCCCGTCTCTACTAAAAATACAAAATTACCCAGGCATGGTGGCGCACGCCTGTAATCTCAGCTACAAGGAGGCTGAGGCAGAAGAATCGCTTGAACCCGGAAGGTGGAGAATGCAGTGAGCCGAGATCGCGCCATTGCACTCCAGCCTGGGCAACAAGAGCGAAACTCCGCCTCAAAAAAAAAAAAAACACATATTAAAGGGATTGTACGCCATGACCAAATGGGCTTTATAACTGGAAGGCAAGAATTATTCATCATCAATCAGCATAATACACAGAATGAGAGAAAAAAAGCACGTAATCATCTCAATAGTTGCAGAAAAAGCATTTAACAAAATTCAATACCCTTTCATAATAAAAACATTCAACAAACTAGGAGTAGCAGGAAACTGCCTCAGTTAACATACACCATATAAGAAATGCCCACAGCTAACATCATACTCAAAAAACTGAAAGCTTTTTCTCTAAGATAAAGAACAAGAAGATGCCCACAGAGCAATTAGGCAAGAAGAATAATAAAAGACATCCAAATTGTAAAGGAAGATGTAAAATTATATCTCTTCACAGATGACATGATCTTGTATGTAGAAAACCCTGAAGAGTCCACACAAAAAGACCTATTAGAATAAAGTCAACAAAGTTTCAGGATATAAAATCAACATGAAAATCAGTTGCATTTCTATACATTAATGATAAAAATCCCAAAAGGAAATTAAGGAAACAATTCTACTTAAAATAGCATCAAAATTATACTTTCAGGGATCATTTTTATAGTTTATGACTAAAGAAGTTTCTCTGAACATGTACAGAAAAAAAAGTTTAAGATACTTAGGAATAAACTCAACCAAGATGGTGAAAGACTTAAGATACTATGTTGGTGCAAAAGCAACTGCGGCTTTTGCCAGTACTTTTAATGGCAAAAACCACTATTACTTTTGCACCAACCTAATATGTAGGCGTACACCTAACCAAGATGGTGAAAGACTTGTACACTAAAAACTACAAATATTGCTAAAATAAATTAAGACATAAATAGACATTCCATGTCCATGGATTGAAAGACATAAAATATTAAGATATGAATAACAGCCCAGGTAATTTATATAGATTCAATGCAATCCCTATCAAAATCCCAATCATGTTTTTTGTGGAGATAGAAAAAATTAAGCTAAAATTTATAAGGAAGCTCAAGTGACCCTGAATAGCCAAAACAATTTTGAAAAAGAAAAAAGTTGGAGGACTCACACTTCCTTACTTCAAAATATATTACAAAGCTAATGTATTGTTCTGTTTTTGCACTGCTATAAAGAAATACCTGAGACTGGGTAATTTATAAAGAAAAGTTTAATTGGCTCACAGTTCCACAGGCAGTACAGGAAGCATGATGCTGGCATCAGCTTGGCTTCAGGGAAAGCCTCAGGAAACTTACAATCATGGTGGAAAGCAAAGAGGGAGTGAGGCATTTCACATGGCAGGAGCAGGAGCAAGAGAGAGGGTGGGGGAGGTGCCACACACTTTTAAACGACCAGATCTCATGAGAACTCACCTATTATGGCAAAGACAGTACCAAGGGGGATGATACTAAACCATTCATGAGAAACTGCCCCCATGATCCAGTCACCTCCAACCAGGCCCCATTTCAACATTGGGGATTACAACTGGAAATGAGATTTGGGCAGGAACATAGATCCAAGCCATATCAGCTACAATAATGAAAACTATGTGGTACTGGCATAAAGATGAGACATACAAACCAACAGAACAGAAGAGAGAGCCCAGAAATAAACCCTCAGGAATAGGGTCACATGATCTTCAACAAGGGTGCAGGACCACTCAATGAAAAGACAGTCTCTTCAATAAATGATGCTGGGGAAACTGGATATCTACATGCAAAAGGATGTTATGTATCTTACACCACCTAAAAAAATTAACTCAAAATGGCCATAAACTTAAGACCCCAAACCATAAAACTCCTAGAAGAAAAAACAGAGGAAAAGCCTCATGACATTGCATTTGAGAGTGACTTCAGGGATACACGAAAAGCACAGTAAAAAAAAAAAAAAAAAAGCAAAAATAGACTACATCAAATTTACAATTTTTGTGCATAAAATGACAAAATCAACAGAGTGAAAAATTGACCTATGAAATGGGAGAAAATATTTGAAAGTCACAGATCTGATAGGGAATTAATATCCAGAATATACAAAGAACTCCTACAATTCAACAACAAAAATAGTCAACCCAATCAAAAAGTGAGCGAAGGACAGAAATAGACATATTCAAGGCAATATACAGATGGCCAACAATTATATGAAAAGATGGTTAATGGCACTAGTCATCAGAGATATGGATATCAAAACAAATAAGGTATCATTTCAAACCAATCAGGATGGCTACTATCCAAAAACAGAAAATAACAAGTGTTGGTGAAAATGTGGAGAAACTGCACCCTTGTGCACCACTGGTGGAACTGTAATATGGTGCAACCATTATGGAAAACAGTATGGGGATTCCTCAAAAAATTAAAAACAGAACTACTATATGATCTACCAACTTCACTTCTGGGTATATATCCAAAAGACCATGAAAGCAGGGTCTTGAAGAGATATTTGTACACTCACGTACACAGCAGCACTATTCCCAGTAAACCAAGAGGTGGAAGCTACCCAAGTTTCCATCAACAGATGAATGAACAAACAAAATGTGGTATACACATTGTATTAGTCCATTTTCATGCTGCTGATAAAGACATACCCAAGACTGGGAAGAAAAAGAGGTTTAATTAGACTTACAGTTCCACATGGCTGGGGAAGCCTCAGAATCATGACAGGAGGCAAAAAGCACTTCTTACATGGCAGCAGCAAGAGAAAAATGAGGAAGAAGCAAAAGCGGAAACCCCTGATAAACCCATCAGATCTCGTGAGACTTAATCACTATCACAAGAATAGCACAGGAAAGACCAGCTCCCATGATTCAATTACCTCACCCTGGGTCCCTCCCTAACACATGGGAATTCTGAGAGATACAATTCAAGTTGAGATTTGGGTGGGGGCACACCCAAAATCTCAAGCATATCATTCTGCCCCTCGCCCCTCCAAACCCTGCCCTTACAGCAAACTTCTGCCTAGGCTTCCAGGTGTTTCCATACATCTTCTGAAATCTAAGCAGAGGTTCCCAAACCTCTATTCTTGACTTCTGTGCACCCACAGGCTCAACACCACATGGAAGCTGCCAAGGCTTGGGGATTCCACCCTCTGAAGCCACAGCCCGAGCTCTACATTGGCCCCTTTCAGCCACAGCTGGAGCAGCTGGGACTCAGGGCATCAAGTCCCCAGGCTGCACACAGCATGGGGACCCTGGGCCCAGCCCATGAAACCACTTTTTCCTCCTGGACCTCCAGGCCTGTGATGGGAGGGGCTGCCATGAAGGTCTCTGACATGGCCTAGAGACATTTTCCCCTTGGTCTTAGGTATTAACATTAGGTTCCTTGCTACTTATGCAAATTTCTGCAGCCAGCTTGAATTTTTCCCCAGAAGATGGGTTTTTCTTCTCCATTGCACAATCAGGATGCAAATTTTTCAAACTTTTACGCTCTGCTTCCCTTATAAAACTGAAGGCCTTTAACAGAACCCAAGTCACCTCTTGAATGCTTTGCTGCTTAGCAATTTCTTCCACCAGATACCCTAAATCACCTCTCTCAAGTTTGAAGTTCCACAAATGTCTAGGCAAATGCCACCAGTCTCTTTGCTAAAACAGTAACAAGAGTCACCTTCGTTCCAGTTCCCAAAAAGTTCCTCGTCTCCCTCTGAGACCACCTCAGCCTGGATTTCGCCATCCATATCATTATCAGTATTTTTGTCAAAGTCATTCAACGAGTCTCTAGGAAGTTCCAAACTTTCTCACACTTTCCTGTCTTCTTCTTAGCCCTCCAAACTGTTCCACCCTCTACCTGTTACCCAGTTCCAAAGTTGCCTGCACATTTTTGGGTATCCTTTCAGCATCGCCTCACTCTACTGGTACCAATTTACTGTATTAGTCCATTTTCACGCTGCTGATAAGGACATACCCGAAACTGGGAACAAAAAGAGGTTTAATTGGACTTACAGTTCCACATGGCTAGGGAGGCCTCAGAATCATGGCAGGGGGCAAAAGGTACTTCTTACATGGTGGTGGCAAGAGAAAAATGAGGAAGAAGCAAAAGCAGAAACCCCTAATAAGCCCATTAGCTCTCATGAGACTTATTCACTATCACAAGAATAGCATGGGACAGACCGGCCCCCATTATTCAATTACCTCCCCCTGGGTCCCTCCCAAAACGTGGGAATTCTGGGAGATACAATTCAAATTGAGATTTGGGTGGGGACACAGCCAAACCATATCACACATGCAATGGAATATTATTCAGCTTTAAAATGGAAGAAAATCCTTTCACATGCTACAATATGGATGAATTTTGATGACAGGCCAAGTGGAATAAGCCAGCCACAAAAAGGCAAATACTGTATGATTCCACTTATATGAGGTATCTAGTCAAATTCATAAGGGAAAAATACAATAGTGGTTACCAGGGACCGATGAGAGGGGGCAGAGGGGAACTGTTTAAAGGGTATAGAGTTTCAGTTCTACAAAATGAAAAATTTCTGGATATCTGTTTAACAATGTGAATATACTTAACAGTACTGAATTGTACATTTTTAAATGGTTGAGATAGCAAATTTTTTATTATGTGTTTTTTACTACGATAAATAAATGTGGCATATCCTCACAATGAAGTACCTTGCAGCTGGAAAAAGGAACAAAAAATGTCACTTTCTACTGCTACAGAGTGATGTTTAGGATGTACAGCTAAGTAAAAAGAGCAGGAAAAAAAAAGTGTGTAAGGTATTCCACCTTTTAAATCCAAGTGGTGTGCATACAAATATATAAACATATGTCTCTATACTTTTTAAAATGATGACTAAAACTAAGAAAAAATTCTAAATGATTTTCTATGGGGAATGAAGTAAAAAGGGTAGAAGGACCAGGCATAAAAGCTAGATTTCTCTGAATAAACCTTGCTTTGAACATTTGACTCTGGATCACATAAACATTTCACATAATTGTGAAAACATAATTAAATTAAAAAAAAACCAGCCCCTAAAAATGGAAAGCAAAATGGTACACATGAACACTTTTTAATCAGGGAGAACCCACTTTAAAAGAGGTTTAAATATATCAACCAAATCCCAAGTATGAAACTTTGCTTGGATTGTATCTAAAATAAAGCAACCATTAAAAAAATTGTTTTGAAAACAATCTGAGAAATTTGAATACTAACAAGTTGATAATATTAGTGAAAATATTAGAGATTCATTATTAAACTTTTTTGGTGTAATAATGATATTTTGGCTTTTTTTTTTTAAGTGACGGGAATTTCACTGTATTTCCCAGGCTGGTCTTGAAGTCTTGGGCTCAAGCCATCCTCTCACCTCAGCCTCCTGAGTAACTGGGACTATAAGGTATGCCACCATGCCCAATTATGTTTGTTTTGTTTTGTTTTTGAGGCAGGGTTTTGCTCTTGTTACCCAGGCTGAAGTGCAGTGGCGTGATCTCAGCTCACTGTAACCTCTGCCTCCTGGTTTCAAGTGATTATCCTGCCTCAGCCTCCCAAGTAGCTGGGATTATAGGCATGCACCACTATGCCAAAAATTTTTGTACTTTTAGTAGAGATGGGGTTTCTCCATGTTGGTCAGGCTGGTCTCAAACTCCTGAACTCAGGTGATCCACCCGCCTCGGCCTCCCAAAGTGCTGTTATTACAGGTGTGAGCCACCGCACCCGGCCCCAATTATGTTTTTAAAAAGAGTCCTTATCTTTTGGAGATACACCCTAAAATATTTCATAGATGAAATAAGATATTGGGATGAAATAATATGATATTAGGATTTGCTTCAAAATACCCTGGGAGATTGCAGGTAGGAAAAGGAGTAGGTAAAAGGGGAGATGAAATAAGTTTATAATTGCTCAAGTGGGTGATGGATACAGGAAGATTCATTATATATACCATATATATACCATTTATATTTTCTTATTTTTACTTTTTTAAATTTAAAAATATGGCACACTTCACAAATTTGTGTGTCATCCTTGCACAGGGGCCATGCTAATCTTCTTATTCCAATTTTAGTATATGTGCTGCCGAAGTGAGCACACCATTTCTATTTTCCACTGATAAAAGTTTTCTTAAAAAGCCCCTAATTCATGAATTTCATGGTTGTCTCTTTAAGGTGATTATCATGAAACGTAAATCAATTATGATTTGTCAGAAAAAATACCTAAAAATAAAGTACAGTACATTACCTTTGTAAAAGTGACAGGGATGCTGGCATCCAACTGAATGTGATCTGCAACTTCTGTAAACTGCTGCTGCTGTTTCTGCAATGTTTCCAGTAACCTTGTAATTTCCTGTTTTGCCAAGACAACTCTACAATCATCCTATAAGAGGCAAAACAATATTTCTTATAAACTTTTTATAAGAAATAAGGAAAAGAGACTTATATTACCAACTCACAATAAAAGCAGTTTTAACATTATAGTAGTCAAAGTTAAATGTAAATTTGACAAAAATAATAATTGAGCATTAATAAATAATTTAAGGACTTAGCAACGAAAGAATGGATAAATTGTAGCATATAGATAAATGGAACACTACATCACAGTGAGAATAAACCATAGCTACACGTGATGATAGAAATTTCACAAACATAATGTGGAGTATAAGAAGACATGGCATGGAGAATTCATACTGTATGATTTCATTTAATTACCAAAACAACCAAAATTAAGATATACATTAGAAGTCAAGATAGTGGTTTATCATGGTGGGAAAGGCAGGTAGTGGCCAGAAGTGAGTATGAGGGAACTACTGGGGTACTGACAATGTTCTGGTACTTGATCTGAGTGCTAGTTACACATTAATGATCAGTCTGAAAATTCAGCCAACTGAATACTTATGCATACATTTCTATATCTATGTTCTATGTCTATAAAAAGTTTAAAAATTAATTTCAGATATACATGTATTCGTTAAAAAAAATAAAGAATACAGGTCCACTCCTCAAAGTCAAGAACTTTCCAGTTTCTTGAATATTATTCCAGACTATCTATACATATACCAACATAGTCTTTATATGAAAGAGATCTCCCAATAATATGCAAGCTCCATGAGAACGGTAGTATTATCTGTTTTTGCTCACTGTTAGATACTCATGTTAGTTGACAGCAATTCCACTGTTTCAGTTGTTCAGGACAAACGCTGAAGTCATTATTGCTTTCTCTTTCCCGCATGCCCTACGTACAATCTGTTAACAAATCCTTTTGAACATCCAGAATCTGGGCACTTCTAATCCCCATTATCCAAGCCACTATTACCTCTCACCTGGAATTCTACAACTGCTGCTTAACTGTTGAATTCCTTCCTTCCATTTTTGCCTTCTTTCAATCTATTTTAGACACATAGGCCAGAAAAATCCTTTTAACATATAAGATTAAGTCACTCTTCTACTCAAAACTCTACAATGGTCCTATCCCAATCAGTAAAAGTTGAAGTCCACCCAAGGATGGTGGCTCACACCTGTAGTCCCAGCACTTTGGGAGGCCAAGGCAGATGGATCACTCGAGCCCAGGAGTTTTAGACCAGTCTGGGCAACATGGCGAAACTCTGTCTCTACGAAAAATACAAAAAAAGTAGCTGGATGTGGTGGCTTGCCCCTGTAGTCCAGGCTACTCAGGAGGCTGAAGCAGGAGGAACACTTGAGCCCAGGAGGCAGAAGGTATAGTGAGACGAGACTGTATCACTGCACTCTAGCTAGCCTGGGAGCAAGACCCTGTCCCCAACCCACTCCTCCCGCCCCCGGCCAAAAAAAAAAAAAAAACAATTGAAGTCCTTATAATGCCTCACAGGGCCTTCCTTACATATAATTCTCTATTAACCTCTGATTTCAGCTCCTATTACTCTGTCCTTCGCTTATTCTACTCCAGTCAAGAGGCCTATTTTCCTGTTCCTCAAACATACCAGGCATGCTGCCCTAGGGTTTTTGCTATAACATTTCCTCAACTACAATGTTCTTCTCCCAGTTACGGCCTGAACGAATTCCTTCAACTTTTTACTTGAATCTTTGCTCAAATCTCACCTTCCCTCAATAATGCTTACCCTGACTACTCTACTTATTAATGCAATCTGCTGTACAAACATAAACATGTAGTTGCAGAATTCTTTTTTGATTAGCTCTCAGAACTTTCTAACATATAGTATAATTAACTTACTTAGATATGGTTATGGTTTATTGCCTGTCTTCTTGCTAGAATGCTAATTTCACAAGATTATGGCTTTTTGCTTATTGTGTTCACTGATATATTTTAAATACATGGCATATGTTAGCTACTCAATACATATTTGCTAAATGAATAAATATTCAGCATCCAGTATCATGCCAAGAACTTTAGATGATGCATAATTTGTTTAGAGTGGATGGATGATTAAATTATGTTCTCAGAAGTGAAGATCAATTTGTGATGTTCCATCCATTCCTCTGTTCAATTTTCTCTGTAGTGGGAACTTTAAAGAACATTGGTTAGTATTCTGTAGTTATAAAATAGAACAAAACTAATAGGTCCATATGAAAAATGAATCCAAGACCTTGATTTTTTTGCATTAACATAGATAATACTGTATCATTAAAAATTACCAGTTGATATGGTTTGGCTCCGTGTCCTCACCCAAATCTCATCTCGAATTGTAATCCCCACATGTCAAGGGAGGGACATGATTGGATTATTGGGGCAGTTTCCCTCATGCTGTTCTCATGATAGTGATTAATCATGACATCTGATGGTTTTAAAGTGTGGCACCTCTCCTTTGCTCTCTCTTTCTCTCCTGCCGTCCTGTAAACAAGGTGCTTGCTTCCCCTTCGCCTTCCCCCATGATTGTCTAACTTTCCTGAAGCCTCCCCAGCCATGCAAACCTGTAAATTAAGCCCCTTTCCTTTATAAATTACCCAGTCTCAGGTAGTATCTGTAAAGCAGTGTGAAAATGGACTAATATACCAGTC
Source organism: Homo sapiens (assembly GCF_000001405.40). Classification (NCBI taxonomy): domain Eukaryota; kingdom Metazoa; phylum Chordata; class Mammalia; order Primates; family Hominidae; genus Homo; species Homo sapiens. The sequence goes on from NC_000005.10 coordinate 65,607,661, forward strand.
ATTTTGGCACAACACTTCAGAAACTCTAAAATACTTAAATATTTCAGTAACTATGAACAAACTTTTTCATAAAATAAATATGAAAATACTTTTAAGTGTTCAAGTAAATATGATTTAGGACATGACTCCACTCTGATTTTGCTATGTAGCTTCATTATCCGCCATGAGTTAAACATGTATTTATTAAGCTCTTTCTATCTAGATGCAAAGAATTTAGTGACACAAAGATGAACAAGATGCATCAAAGATGAACAAGGTCAGCATCTAAAACACATAGGCATATTGTGTCATTCAAGGTCAAATCGGAAGACACAAATCACACCATTACTTGAATAGAAAGAACTTAAAATAAAAACTGTTAACTAGGTGTAGTTATTAACTAGGTAGCTAAAAGGTTAAAAGGAACTCTGAGGTATTAAGGAGGTAGCAATTGTATGAAATAACATAGCTACCACTTCCAGTGCTAAAGGAATAAAAGGAAGAAGTTAGAATTATTAAAACTTAGAAACTTGCAGGAGTGGCTCATGGAGCTGAAACTCAAACCTCCGAGAAGGGTGGTCTCCTCACATGAGTAACTATGCCCCCTCTTGACAGTACCTAACATGGGCCCAGCTGGCAACACAATTATGAGGTCTGTAGAGTTCTAGCCCTAGTATCACAAAATAGAGGATAGAAGAGTAGGTTTGGAGCTGAAAATCAACTTAATAAATAGCATACATATCAACTGTTACAATTCAGTGTGGTAAGGACTAAATGATAACCCAAGACTGATGAGGCTATAGACTGGCCACTCTCATGTAAGTGTAATCACATATTTAAGAGAAAAAGCTCTACAATGGTACAAGGCTTAGCCTACAATGATTTGAAATCAACACAATTATTAGCAATATATCAGTGAAGATAACACAGACTGCAGCTTTTCTGAAATTCCTAGGGCAATAGTTATTCTTATACCTCACACTTATGAAAACAGATCCAAAACACAAATGGGTAAAGCTGACATTTGTGTTAGAATAACTGAATCTCATTTATTTAAAAAAGTAAGTCATCTGCAAACTGGGTAACAAATTTCTTATGGTATCTCAACCATCACAAAACATACGTTTGCTCTAACAGTGAAGAACCACTGAATTATAGCAGACGTAGGCAGTACATGGTAGAGAGGCACTCAAAAAAAGACCAACAAATAGAAAGCTTCAAAGAAAGGCAAATATTTAAGCTGGACCTTGAAGGAGAAGGAAGATTTCCACTATTAGAAAAGAGAGATATATGCACTCCAAGCAGAAAAAAAAAAAAAACTACATATATGCTTGGCAAAGAAGAGTAAAAGGATTTGGCATAACTGAAGAATGGCAAGAAGTTAGAAGGCCTCAAGAACCCATGGCTTATGGTGGGAAAGGCACGTGAACGACACTGATAATTCCATACTAGTGAAATAATTCAAGGTTGCAGACCATTTCCTAAGCACAAAGTTACTGCATACAGCAGACACAAAATATTAATAAAACACACTAATGTATACCTCTGGTAATTATCTACTTAAACTTACAACTAAGTCCCTAACCACATTTAAACTACCTACCTGCTGCAAAGTCTTTTCACAGTGGAGGCAGGCTGCAGAAACCTCTGACAACAAAATAGTCATATCTTCTTGTTGCTGCCTGAGCCAAATCAATTTTTCACGAACATGAGCATCAACAACACTTAGAGCCATTTCTTCTTGACGACACAGAGTTTCATGTAGATCATAAAAATAAGCTCGAATACATGACCGGGCATTCTCTGCAGTCCCTGGTACCTAAGAAAATGAAAATAAATTTTAAGCAACTGTAATGTTAATAAAGATTTTACCTGTGAAATATTTAAAATTTCAGCCTAGGCAACATGGCAAAACTCTGTCTCTACAAAAAATGGAAAAAATTAGCCAGCCGTGGTGGCATGTGCCTGTAGTCCCAGCTACTCAGGAGGCTGAGGCGGGAGGATTGATTGAGCCCCAGAAGTCAAGGCTGCAGTGAGTGGTGATCACAACACTGCATGCCAGCCTGGGTGACCGAGCGAGACATTGTTTAAATACCATCTATATTAAATTCCAAAATATAAATCTCCATGCTAGATCTTTCCCCTAATGCACAGACATTGGAAATTCAACTGTTTATAAATGACATCTCAAGCAAAATGGAATGCCTAATCTCCAGTCTCCCCTATTCCCAAACCTAATTGCCTCTGTCTTGGTAAATGGCAACTCCATCCTTCAGGATGTTGAAGCAAAAACAACCGGAGTCATCATTATCAGCTCTCTTTCATAGCCCACTAGTCCCTCAGCAAATTCTGCTGACTTCAAAATACACCCAAAATCTGATCATGCCTCATCACCTCTAAGTTACCTATCCAATCAATATTAACAATTAATCACTAAGACCTATCTATTCTACTTATTTAAAATCTCAAATCCATTGACTTGTGTCCACTCTCACTACCCTAGTGTATTATAGGCCATAAACATCTCTAGTATTTTAACTAGAAAACTTTAACAACATCCTAATAGGTCTGCCTGCTTCCAATTTTGTTGCTCCTCCAATTCATTTTCTACATTTAAAACAACCTTTCTTGAGGAAAATCTGATTATATCATTCCTAAGTCAATTCTTCAATGGCTCATCACTGTCCTTAAACTAAGTTCTGAACTCTTTAACATGGCTGACAAGATCCTGCATGATTTGGCTTTGAACTCTCCATATCCTCTTTTCTTGTCATGTCCCATTCAATACTTAAAGCTCTAACTACAGTGAGCTTCTTTAAGTCTCTACAATATGTACAATCCTCACTTACAAACATTTTAACATATTGTTCCCTTCTTGGGACAACTCATTCCCCGTTCTGCTCTTTTCCCTGACTGAAATTCTTCAAATCTCAGTTTAAACACCATTTCTTCTATAAGGACTTCTCTGACCTCCATAAATCATTGTCCCTGTTTTGTGATGCCAAAGCACCCTGTACTTCTCCTCCATAAAATAGTTACCATATTTCAAACTCTCTCTTTTCCATGATGAATGAGTTCCTGAAAGACAGGGACTTTTAAAAAACTTTCTAATGATTGGTGCAATACTGGCAAATTGTAATTGCCCATTAATTACTTAGTAGAAGGTGAAAATATGAAAAATAAAAAAGAATGAGAAAGTGAAGAAGAAAAAAAATCCATACATGTTCTGTGTGAGCCATTCCAATTCCATCTTCCACGATTTGTTCTCCTCCTTCAATGTGCTGCACAATTCCAACTAATTTTCTGGAATAATCTGAGATTTCCTCTGTGAAGGTCCGTATGCAGTGAGCCATATCTAAAATTGATGCTCGGATCTGATTAGCTTCTGGTTCCAATACTGAATGCTATAAAATGTACCATAATTAGAGAAAAGAACTCATAGTATTGACTAATAATATAAAAAACTATTTAAATCCCTATTAATACAAAAAAGCATCAGCCACAAGTGACTTTTATGACACAGAAAAATACTAATTTACTTTCACTCCTTTATAAGAAAACTGTACTGCAAAGAAGTAATTTAAAATTTGGAAGTCCGTTTATTGCTAAACAAAAAACCAAGAGACTATCTCTAAAATCATATCCTAAGTAAGAGCTAACAGACATAAATATTGTCAAAACAATCTGGTGCATTATGAAAACATGCAAGCAAACAGAATGTTTGTTTCCTGCTCGAAAGCTATTTTTTTGTGAAGAATCATGATGCCTCTTTGAAGTTTTTTTTTTTTTATAACATTCAGAAATTAAATCTCTCATTTATTTTCATGCTACCAAACCCAATCACTCATCACTTAACTCTTCTTCAATCCCTACTTTCAGAATAAAGAACCAGGTCAGTGAAAACGAATACTGAGCTGGTAAAGTAGCTACAGTGATCCAACTGATTAATAATTAAATTCATACCTTGTGACCCTGGTGTTTTCCATATTCTTTGCAGACACAGCACATGAGTGGGCTAGTTTGACAACCTTCTTCCAAGCAAACAAACTCAATGGCATGCACCTGGTGCTGAGAGCACATAGTTTTCTCATGAGGTTTATCAGCTAGAGGAACTCGCCTGTGCTTTGCTAATGTCTTTGTAGAATGAGTAACTTGAGAACACTCAGAGCACAAATGAGTTGCACACACAGTGCAATATACAGAGGCAAGGTGAGCTTCATCTTCATCACAACGAATGATGCTCTGATAAACAAAAAATTAATGCCTTAAAATTGAACCCAATCAGTATAACATGACGAATTTTTAAATATAGAATCCATAATCCTTTTTGCTTAACTGAACAATATTTACATATGAAAATATATTGGTCATTAAGAACAAAGGTCATTCAATACTCATCTGAGAAGCATTCATTTCTAGGGGTAAGAAGCTATTTCCAAGATTAACTGGCCAATATATGTTATGAATTTGAAGCCAAAAATAGAACTATTCTCATAGATTCATATTCGGTGCAAAGATCTCTTCCACCAAATCCCCTCACTTTACACAAAAGAAACTAAACCATAGAGAAGTCAAAAGTCTTTCTGTAAAACTACAAAAATCTGATATTAAATACATCCCCATAGCTTTAAATATTAGTTGTCATGATGATGTATAGGAAGGACAGAAGCACAAATGCTATTTAGAAAATGTAGGAGTATGCATCAGAATTAGCTGTAAGCTTTTAAAAACATAGCTGTCTGGAAGAGAAATTCTTATTTCAACAGGTTGTGGATGAACCCTAGACTTGTATATATTTTTCTAATTATACGCCATGTTATTTTAATAGCTCCACAGGTGAGTCTATTGCACAATCACGGCAGAAAACCACTGATTTAAGCAAATAAAAAAAAAAATAGGCCAGGCTCAGTGGCTAACATCTGTAATCCCAGCACTTTAAGAAGGCTGAGGCAGGTGATCACTTGAGGCCAGGAGTAAGAGACCAGCCTGGCCAACATGGGGAAAGTCCATCTCTACTAAACATCCAAAAATTAGTCAGGTGTGGTGGTACATGCCTCTAATACCAGCTACTCAGGTAGCTGAGGCACGAGAATCACTTGAAGCCAGGAAGTGGAGGCTGCAGGGAACTGAGATCACGCCACTGCACTCCAGCAAGGGTGACAGAGTGAGACTCTGTCTTAAAAAATAACAATAAACAAATAAATAAAACCTATATGTAAGCATGTAAATATTATTTCTAGTTTTCAGGAATTACAAAAAATAACTAATTATGAAATAATTACTTTTATTTCAAGTAGATAAAAAATTACATGTCAGATAATCAAGAATGTTTTGAACACTTTTACTCAATATTAAAAGGCCATAATTGGAAGGGGAGAAATTTAGTATAAATTTTTTCAAAAATAAAAATGTTTAAATACATCAATGGTGTCATTCTTTATCACATTAAATAAAAAATGAATCCAAAGTGGAAGAGTTTTGTTTGCAATTATGAGAAATAAACACATGTACCATAAAAATTCAGGTCTTCTGTTTCCCAGACCTGACAAATAAATAAATTATAAACTATAATGTCAACATTAGCTAACAGTAATGTCTTTTGAAATAAAGATTAAAGATTTAGCACAGAAAGAACTGCATAACTTTTAGAAAACAGAGTGTTGCAGTTTGAAATTCATTTCACTGATTCACTTTAGTATAAAGAAATCATCATCTAATGAAAGAGAAGTGAAAGCAATCCGACATTTTTTTTCCTTCATACAAAATATGTGGTTTGCAAGTTGATCACCAAAATCATTAACTGATATTTACTCCAAATATATTTTTACCCATAACAGCCTACGAAAGCCATGTCCTATAGTACATATGTGCAGCTATGCAAACACATAAGTGCTAAAAATATACTTTTACATTATTAAAATCCAGTGTTCATGGATTCTGATATTTACTAGACATCTACCTGTATGGATAAAGACAGTACATCTATACAAAGTTTAACCTTTTCTTGAAGCTATAACAGTAACAATTCCCTCAGAAGTTACTGCTATCTTTAAGGCATTTTCCCCTCTGTATTAAATGGCCTCTTACATCGAGTTTTTCTTTCTCTCATTGAGTTTTACTGTTGACTACTTTTGCATCCTCTTCTCTACTGTTGCTTACATATCTTTCTTACTATTCCATAATCTTCTTCCTCTTTTCACTTTATTCTTGGTAGAACTGAATTATGATAAGGAAAAAAAAGTTCACACATAAAGCATAGTTTAGGCATAGGATTTTCAAATAATTCTAGTTTTTTCTCTTGGGAATAGTGTTGGCCTTCAGAACTGTAATGTAATGAAAAGTTGTGTTTCTAGAAATTTACCTGCTGAAATAAATGAAGTAATATTGTGCTAATAATGGCATCTATTAAAAGAAAAATTCATGCTCGTAACAAATATTTCACCAAGTATGATCAATACCTCTCCAGATATCCCAATGGATTCTTCTGCAGCTCCATACTGACCAATAGGCCCATTCTGCAGTCGTTCCAAAAGCTCCAATAAAGCAAAATTTTTTTTCAATCCCCAGACACCTGAATCACCTAGAATAAATATAAAAACAAAAACTAAATCTAACAAAATGGACTATTAATCATTTTACCCATACCTCAAAAGTAATTTCTAATATAGTTCAGTAGTTAATGTCTAAATTTTTAAAATTCAAATTTTCCCCATTTTTAATACCAAAATAATTGCTTTGTTAATGCTCTCTTAAAAAACAGAAGAATCCTTCAGCCTTCCAAGTAGAAACACACTTTAAAATTTATTATTTTTTGGCCAGGTGCTTTGGCCCACGCCTGTAATCCCAGCAGTTTGGGAGGCTGAGGCGGACAGATCACTTAAGGCCAGGAGTTCAAGACCAGCCCAGTCAACATGGTGAAATCCCGTCTCTACTAAAAATACAAAAATTAGCCAGGTGTGGCGTCAGGCGCCCATAATCCCAGCCACTCAGGAGGCTGAGGGACGAGAATTGCTTGAACCCGGGAGGTGGAGGTTGCAGTGAGCCAAGATCACACCACTGCACTCCAATCTGGATGACAGAGCAAGACTCTATCTCAAAAAAAAAAAAAAAAAATCTAAATACACATAAAAAAAATTATGGTGGTAAAGGCTGCACAACAATATGAATGTACTTAATGTCCCTAAACTTAGAAATGGTTAAAACGGCAAATTTTATGTTATACATATATTTTGCCACAGTTTAAAAAAATTATTTAAATCTCTTTTACTTTTTTTTTGAGACAGAGTCTTGCTATGTTGCCCAGGCTGGTGTGCAGTAGCGTGATCTCTGCTCATTGCAATCTCCACCTTCCGGGTTCAAGTGATCCTCGTGCCCCAGCCTCCCAAGTGGCTGGGACTACAGGTGTGTGCCACTATGCCCAGCTGATTTTTTTGTATATTTTGGTAGAGATGGGGTTTCGCCATGCTGGTCAGGCCGGTCTCAAAACTCCTGGCCTAAAGTGATCTGACTGCCTCAGCCTCCCAAAGTGCTGGGATTACAGGTGTGAGCCACCGTGCCCAGCCTATTTCTCTATCATTTAATTTTACAAGTCCTATTTTGTCATTGACTTTTACTATACATGCTAAAACAAGCATTTTCAAATACTTTTTGCAGCAACCTACCTTAAGAAATACATATAACATTGTAACCCAGGACAACATACACACTCTTCCTGAACCTATGAATAAAAGTCAGATCCTTTAGCAGAAGGAATATTTGTTATGGTAAACTCCTATGCAACAAATAACATCTGATATAGCTGCCACCTAATACATATTCATTAAATGAATAAATATATAAAAGGTTGATGGAGTCATTGCCTGCAGGGCCCCCCTTCCTCCTGGCTCTTAAAAAAAAAAAAGCCATTCTGTGTTGTGGTTCTCCCAAAAAAACTGGACTGAACATATCTATCCTCAGCCTTGCCCCTAGAAGGCTTTCTCCTTAATTTTTAACACATATTCTACAACAAGCTGAGTTCTATCTATTTACATAAAGGTTAAGAAGTACACTAAGTGATCATTTAAAAATATAGTCTTGACAATTTTCTAAATATCCAGTCACTATATAATGAATATATACAAATAAACCTCTAGCATTATTACTAGGTAGTGCCTAATATTTATATCACTTAATTCTGTGTCAAAACAACTCTATAATCTCAATGGCTTAACACAACAAAGATTTATTTTTTGCATCATGCAACATCTCAGGGATTAGGGAAGACAAGAGAGACTCTGTTCCCCACTGACCACAAACAGGGACACAGCCTACCGAGCCTCCAACCATCTGGACCACCTCACTGCAGCAAGGAGAAGAATTTACTTTGAAAATCATAAACCTTCTCTTATTAACTTCTACCTGGATGCTAACACTTCACTTCTGCTTACATTTCACTGATCAATGAACATCACACAGTGATGCGTAAGAGGGCAAGGAAGTGTAATTTCACCATATGAGCAGAAGAAAATCAGGAATATTGCTGAATGGTATTAATAACTACTCATATTCTTCTTGGACTAGAGAGAAATTCTGATTCAGGATTCAGAGAAGTCAGAGAGGAGGATGGATGTATTCAGTCTAGTTCCCTGTCATAAATTTCTAGTTTTGTTAAACATTGAGGATAGTAACTCTTCACATTGTGGTATTAATGTAGAGAAGGTAAAGTGCTCTTCAAAAAGGTAGAAGAGCCAGGTGTGGTGGCTCATGCCTGTAATCCCAGCACTTTGGGAGGCTGAGGTGGATCACTTGAGGTCAGGAGTTCGAGACCAGCCAGGCCAACATGGTGAAACCCCATCTCTACTAAAAATACACAAATTAGTCAGGCGTGGTGGCAGGTGCCTGTAATCCCAGCTACTCAGGAGGCTGAGGCAGGAGAATCGCTTGAACCCCAGAGGTGAAGGCTGCAGTGAGCTGAGATCGCGCCACAGCACTCCAGCCTGGGTGACGGAGTAACACTCTGCTTTAAAAAAAAAAAAAAAAAAAAAAGTAGAAGAAAGGTTCTATTCTCTATTTGAAAAACATTACTATTTCTTTAAGCATAGTTTTTTTGTTTGTTTGTCTGAGACCAAGTTTTGCTCTTGTTGCCCAGGCTGGAGGGCAATGGCGTGATCTAGGCTCACTGCAACCTCCATCTCCCAGGCTCAAGCGATTCTCCTGCCTCAGCCTCCCAAGTAGCTGGGATTACAGGCATCCACCACCATGCCTAGCTAATTTTTACATTTTTAGAAGAAAAGGGGTCTCACCATTTTGGCCAGGCTGGCCTTGAACTCCTGACTTCAGGTGATCCACCCATCTTAGCCTTGCAAAGTTCTGGATTACAGGTATGAGCCACCTCACCTGGCCTAAGTATAGTTTTATATAAAGAAATAGTATGATATATGCATATTTCACATAATAAAAGACCAAATAAAAGTACAGAGACTTTCCCAATCCCTATTATTTCTTGGCTACTGGTAAGTTAATGCTATCTATAATGTTATTACTGTCTATTAGTTGTCAGGCAAATAGACTATTTATATACATCAAAGATCACCAAAACCTTAAAAATCCTTTTCTTTCTCCAGAAAATATTTTAAAACCATGTTTCTTAGCATTTCAAAGTCTTCCAGCCTAAAATTATAGGTACTCTTGCTTCCTTTTTTGGTGGATAAATTATTTTGAATGTGTTCCACTTGAAAAATAGTATGAATATATTAAAACTGTCTTAGATAGTGCAACTGACCTGGAAAAAAAATGGCAACCTTAAACTCTTTTGGAGAAAACTCCCTTATCAAAAAGAGTAAACTTACAGAACTTACGTTTGTAAAATAACTGTTCAAATGTTAGTAAATGCTATTATTTCCAAATCTGGTATCTGAAAATAACTTAGTTTGAAATACGTAAAGAAAAGTTTTAAAAGTATACAGAAAACTGCAAAAAAAAGCCACAAACCCTTCAAACTCATTTTAACAGAAAATAAAGAGTAATTATCACAAGCTACAAACACTTCTGTCCTTGATATTAGTAAATAAAAACATGGTGAGACTCAAATGACTTATCTGTATTTTCATTATTGGCTTATTTATTTGTAAAGAAAACATTGTTCTATTGGGTTTATGGCTTCAGGCAAATGATTCACTCTGTGATACACATTCTTATTTATTTGAATCAGGGTAGCACGTTTTTCTCAGGTGTCTTAAAGCTCTTTACAGATAAGTATTGAATATAAACATCTCAGAAGATAAAATAAAATTAGTAACTAAGAGTGAGATAGTTTATAGCTTGAAGATTATTGACCTTAATAGAAACTTAGGCTTTCTGAAACTTTCTGGGAATTTTATCATTCTAAAAATCAAGTGGAAGGACATTGTTTCCTATGACATTTGCATTACATGAACAATTTTCAATCTTAAATCCATACAAATACTTTTCCTACCTAGGTCTGTTACTTGTCGATCAAATGGGCAACGGATTGCTCTTCCATGAAGAGGTAGGCGAGTGAGACAGTCATGACAGACGGTATGGCCACAAAGCAAAAGACGGGGAACTTTGTCTCCTTGCAAAGAAAAGACATCTTCACAAACTCCACACTCTAGCACCTAATATTTGAAAAGGAAGGATGTGCTCTTTAAACAATTTTAAAAGCATACATATTTTAGGTATATAAGAAAATTCACCTAATATATTGAATCAACATTGTTACTTTATTCCTCTATGAAAAAAAAACTATGTAGGTTGTAAAATCTTGAATCACTTTTAAGTCATTCCATTTGACCGACCCTGTCAAAATTATATCATAATGAAATATCTTTGAAATACTAAGTGTTGGGGCAAAGATGCTGTAAATTAACATCTTTGTTATCTTTTGAAAATTATGATTTCAGTCATTACATCTGAATCTGTACAAACAATATGTAATTCTACTGAAGGTGGGTTCTTAAGCAATTTCTCTGCAACTACCTAACCCATCATTAATTTCAACACAAATAAACTATCATTAATTTCAACAAAAATAATCTAAAATATGTACTGAGATAACAATTACCCCTGCAAATGATAAAGAACTTGTTAAGAAAAGACTGCAAGTAACTTTCAAGTATCTTCTACTATCTAATGTACATTAAATAATACAAAGGCAAAAAAAGCAATCATCTTAAATTTCAATTCCTGTTCTCTATCAATAAATATAGCTCTGAATTAGAAACTAGTTTGTCTTTCTAGCTCTAGTTACAGACACATGACTTGCACAAGGCTACACAGTCAGTCAAAAGAAAGGCCATTTATCAGCATATTCTGATTCTCAAGTCCATAAGTTTATGTTTTACAAATAGTCAACAAATTGTATTTATAGCAATAAAGCATTTTCAGCACTTATTTCTAAGTATATTTGTAGTGTTTCATACCTTGCATTAATTTTTTAAAAATACCCACACTGTACTATTCAATCATACCTCAAACTCCTGTCATTCAAGACCTGCTACAATCTGGTCCCTGTCCTATTGCTTCACTGCCATACTCTTCTGACCCTATGCTCCAACTATATCCAACAGCTTATAGTTCTCAGAACATGAGAAACTGTTTCATGTCTCTTCATGCTAACACTGAGGAAAGGACTATACTTGTCCTTTGGGCCCCGATGTACTCTGTATAAGCGTCTACCGTAACACCCAAAACACTTTAATACCTTGGTCTTTTAGCCCGTCTTTCCCTGTTGGACCAAAGAACCCTCAGGAACTGGGTATTTTAAATACCAAGTACCTACTGCTTACATAAAGTCCAGTAAAATAATTTAAAAACAATTAAGCTCACCATCATCAAACACACAACACGAGGTAAAAAACAGAAAACCCAAGGCAGAAATCAGACTAAATCTACTATGATTTTAAACCTAACTCTACAATTAACTTGGACTTAGTGCTTGAGATGCAAATATCTTTCACCATACAGTGATAATTCATAATTGCTTTGCATCTTATCATGGTTCAAAAGAAATTTAAATTTAGTCCTTCAATGTAAATAAGGGTTTGGGAAGATAAAAATGAATAAAAATAAGAAACATAACATTGTTCAGAGAAAAGAAGATGAAAATTCTTTACGTGAAAAGATGTTCAATCTAACTCATAATAAGAAAAATGCAAATTAAAGCTAGGCATGGTGGTTCATGCCTGTAATCCCAACACTTTGGGAGGCCGAGGCGAGTGGATCATCTGAGGTCAGGAGTTCGAGACCAGCCTGGACAACATGGTGAAATCCCATCTCTACTAAAAATACAAAAAAATTAGCCAGGCATAGTGGTGGGCGCCTGTAAGCCCAGTTTACTCAGGAGGCTGAGGCAGGATAATTGCTTGAGCCTGGGAGGCGGAGGTTGCAGTGAGCCAAGATCACGCCACCGCACTCCAGCCTAGGTGACAGAATGACACTCGGTCTCAAAAAAATAAAGAAAGAAAAATGCAAATTAAAGCTACATCAAAATACTTTTTTCAGATTAGATCAAAAATGTTGGTAACATTTTGTTAGTGAAGGTGTGGGAAAGCAGACACTCTCATACATTACTAATTGCTATGAAATGTTTATTGAGCAATACAGCTTCTATGGAGGGCAACTTGACAATACTTACCAAATTTAAATAACTCAGTAATTCTAGTTGCAGGAATTTATCCTACAAGCATACTAGACACGTGTGACAAAATCTGTATGTTACTCCTTAAAGCATCATTTGCATTAGCAAAAAATTGGAAAGAAAGTAAATATACATCAATATCAGCTTGGAAAATAAATTGTGGCACATTCATAATACTATAAAACTATATAGGATAGTGAGAAAGATGAAGTTTTTCATATATACACAGAATGATTTCATATGATTAAAACAAAAAGAAAAATAATAGAATATATTCATTTTTGCATAAAGGTGGGGAAAGAGCAAATTTTTTTTGTATTGTTGTATAAGCGTATTGTCTTCCTGGAAGGATACATAGGACACCAGTAACATTGGAACACTGGTTCCCCATGAAAAAGGCAAACAACTGGGGAACAGCTATCCACGTATAATTCTGTCTATTATTCATATATACACATACTTCAATTTATCCTACATTTTTTAAAAAGGGGAAAGTTTCACGTTATCAAATTCTTTAGGCCAGGCACTGTGGCTCACACCTGTAATCACAGCACTTTGGGACACCAAGGCAAGAGGACTGCTTGAGGCCAGGAGTTCAAGACCAGCCTGGGCAACACAGCGAGACCCTGTCTCTACAAAAAAAAATCAAAAACTGAGGTGGGAGGATCATTTGAGCCCAGGAGGTCGAGGTTGCTATGAGCCATGATCGTGCCATTGCACTCCCACCTGGGTGACAGAGTGAGAACCTGCCTCAAAAAAAAAAAATTCAATTAAATATAGAAAAAATATTCATAGGCTGGGTGCGGTGGCTCACGCCTGTAATCTCAGCACTTTGGGAGGCCAAGGCGGGCAGATCACGAGGTCAGGAGATTGAGACCATCCTGGCTAACGTGGTGAAATCCCATCTCTACCAAAAATACAAAAAATTAGCCAGGCGCGGTGGCGGGCACCTGTAGTCCCAGCTACTCGGGAGGCTGAGGCAGGAGAATGGTATGAACCTAAGAGGCGGAGCTTGCAGTGAGCCAAGATTGTGCCACTGCCCTCCAGCCTGGGCGACAGAGTGAGGCTCTGTCTCAAAAATTCACAATAGAATTTGATATAAAATAAATGCAACATTTTATAAATGCTGTATTATGATACTCTAATAAAGTAAATTTATGACAATAAACTCCAAAGAACCATATTAAAATTGTTTAGTTCATTTCAATCCTGTATCTCTGATCCCATCACTATACAAAGATTTAAAAGAACTTCCTTATGCTGTTAATGTATTTTTCAAAAAGCACTAATAAAATTCCATTGATTAGCAAACCAAACACAGGTCCAAAAATAAAGTTACTAGACTATTTTGCATCAACTCGGTAAATAATACAGCAAGAAAATATTTCCTCAGTATCTATAAATAGGAATTGTGGTTAACAGCAAAAAACCCTAGATAGGAAAAAGCTCTTAATTTTACACTTCAAAAAATGCCAAAAAAGCTTCAAACTTATTACTTGTAAATCAAACTGTAATCAATCAGATATTTTATTTTATGTTGTTATTTATTATTATTATTATTTTTTTTTTGAGAAAGGGTCTCACTCTGTCAGCCAGGCTGGAGAGTAGTGGCCTGAGCATGGTTCACTGCAGCCTTGACCTCCCAAGCTCAGACAATCCTCCTGCCTCAGACTCCCAAGTAGCTGGTACCACAGGCATGTGCCACTACGCCTGGCTAATTTTTTTTTATTATTATTTGTAGAGATAGGATCTCACCATGTTGCCCAGGCTGGTCTCAAACTCTGGGGCTCAAGCAATCCTCCCACCTCAGCCTCCCAAAGTGCTGAGATTAAAGGTGTGAAACTTTCTGTGATACATTTTTAAATGTCAGTTATTTCACAATATCAGATTTTTTATCTTTTATTTTTCAGATGGAGTCTCACTCTGTCACCCAGGCTGGAATGCAGTGGCACAAACTCAGCTCACTGCAACCTCCGCCTCCTGGGTTCAAGTGATTCTCCTACCTCAGCCTCCTGAGTAACTGGGATTAACAGGCCCACACCACAATGCCTGGCTACGTTTTGTATTATTAGTAGAGACGGGGTTTCGCCATGTTGGCCAGGCTAGTCTCAAACTCCTGACCTCAAGTGATCCGCCCACTTTGGCCTCCCAAAGTGCTTCCCAGGCACTTTGTGCTTTACAGGCGTGTGCCACCGCGCCTAGCCACAATATCAGATTTTTATGTTACTGTTTTCTCTAATGATAAAAGCCATGTCATTATCAACTTGTTCACAAGCAAAAGGCCATTTTACACAGTATTAGCATTATATACTTCAACTTTTACCTTCCAATAAATACTTCTTGCTTTCATCTATAGAAATGACAGTGAGATTTTTTTAGTTTATGCTACTATACCTACTACAAATTATGGCATGAAGATTTTGTCAGAAAGGACTATTTCATTGCACAGTTCAGGAATATTTTACATGTTAAGATGAAAATGAACAAGGTGAGCCTCCAATGTATCAAATTCTGTGCTGTAAGAAACTGGAGTTACATCAGGCTTTGGTACACTTTTGAGACTGTAAGGCAAACAGGGTAACAAAAAAATAGATACTGCAATGATACCCATTCCAATTATGAAATAAAACTTAAACTTCAAGTTAATTCACAAACTGCTCTTCAAGTATTCTCTACTTAGCAAAAGCACAATTCAATAAATAAAATCTCAGTCACACAACATGCCTAATAATGAGGGCTCCTTTGCATATCAGATATGCCGTGTACCTGTAGAATAACTTCATTAGTACCTAAAGGTCATCTGAATCAACAACCACCAATATTCACTGATACTAAATTGTGGGAAGAAATGTCTCATTTGCTGTCATATAAAACCAACATTACCTGAATAATCATAGGTGTCTACTTTTCAAGATGTGAAAAAAACTTCATATATTACCTTGATCAGTAATTCATAACCCTGGTTGCACATTAAAATAACTTCTGGTAATTCCTAAAATATACTGATGTCAACCTCATCAGAACTGGAGGAGGAGTGCATCAGTAGTGTACTAAAACTCCTCAGTGATCCTAATATGTAGCCAGGAATGAGAATTATCAATCTCTTAGATTAGAGATGCTCCTGAAGGTTACTCTATAAACCAATGGGATCAGTTCTCCCCTCCATATCTTTCCGTGCACAACAGTGGAAGGGAAAAATGAGTGCCACATATTTCAAATGATTTTTTAGCAAATTGATTCTGGAGCATGTATACATGGTAGAATCTCAAACTTCAAGCATAAGAAAATTCATAAACTCTATCGTTAATGCCCAGCTATGACGATGCTGCAGACTTGTGCAAAGAGTTAATAGACTGTACTACTAACAGGGGAGGGGGCAGCTCACCCAATAACAGATGTCTGATTACAGACGCAGTACAAGAGCGAAAAGTACAGACTTTAAAGCCGGTCAACCCGGGGCTCTGCCACACACTGTTTACCTAAACCTGGGTTTCCTCCCTGTAAAATGGGAATTCACATCTACTTCATAAGTAGATATTAACGAGCTAAAACACCTAACTTAGTACGTAGTTACGATGATGATGACTCAATTTATAATACTAAGCTAATTAATGTCTGTTGAGTTTAACTAAAAGCAGAGGACCTGGAGAAAAGACCGGTCTAGGTCACTGCCACTGGCCCGCAAGCTCCTTTTCACAAATGTCCCGATGATGACATGTCATGAGCAGAAGACCAGGCAATTTCAGGCCATAGGAGAGAAAGGATGCAGAGGACAGGACGAGACTTGTAATGCCAAAAGGGGCCCAGAGGCCGCGCATCCCACCTATCGAAGCCTGGGCCGCGGCGATGCCGCCAGGTCTCCAGGATGAACCGAAGGGAGGCCGATGGTGGAGAATAGAGCACGCAAGGTCCCTCACCTTCACTACAGCTGTCCCCCGGCTGCCCTGCCGGCCACTGTCTACTCCCGCTCCGAGCTTGTTTACAACCAGGGTAGCCATCCTCGCAGGGGAAGCGCCACAGAAACAGCCTTCAGAGTCCTCAACTGAGAGGCGGGGTTGAGCCACCTACCCAGAGGCCTCTGCGCACGCCACCGGCGCACAGGCGCAGTAGGACACTGGGCGCCGCTTAGCCGACTCTTACTCCTCCTCCCCGCAATCGTCGGGTGGTTAGTTGCACAGCCTCGCGCATGGGCACTTTTGTTATTTTTCATTATGTAGTCTGCAGCTGCTGGAGGAAAGACAAGAAAAAAAAAGAAGGGACAAAACGATTAAAGTTTTGGGGTGAAAACTCCAGATCCTTTAATGATTTTTCCTCTCGAATCCAAACCAGCCAGGGCGTGAACTGAGGGCGGTGAGGGGGTACGGGCATCTCCCTGCATGCAACGCGGTTTTTGTATAAACTACAAATCCCAGCATGCCACTCTCTCTCTCTCTCTTTTTTTTTTTTTTTTTTTTTTTTAAAAAAAAAACTCCGGCAACGTTGGCCTTTGGGAGGCCGCGTATTGTTACCTAGGGGTGGTTTCTTTTCCTGCAGTCGCGATGTGTGATTGCAGATGGAAAACAAAGTATTTTATGCCTACGTTTCTAAGATAGAAGAAATGGACTTGTTGAAAAGAAGCCAGTTTGTAAAGGACACAGTAGGAGAATTTAAGGTACCACCACCAGAGAGAGGTTGAGAGTGCGTTTGACTTTTGGTTTTGCCAAACGCGAGGTTTTCCGTTTCCTTCCGGGGCAAGTTGAACCTGTCCAGCCCCCGTAGGCTGTGGGTCAAAAGTGCCGGTCAAAATGGAAGTGAATCCCCCTAAACAGGAGCACCTGCTGGCGCTAAAAGGTAAACTTTTGCGAACCTGATTCCCCCTTTTCTGTTTCCTTGCATTCCCTACTTATCGAAGCCTTTGCCATGTAGGCCTCATCCTTCTTAAACACTCAGTGCTCGCCCTCCTGCTCTGTCCTTTGCCGCCAAGCGGGAGGAAGCGATTTCTCCTGGATGCTTTTTAGGTTTATGGGCCCCTTTCTAGAACGAAATAGATACCTGGTAAATCGTTCTTTCTGATCTGTGCTGCTTCAGTCACGAGATTTTAGCCGCAGAAGCTGACGTCCCGCTCCTACCGTGGAGATCTCTGTGAATTACAGCGGGCATCCAAAGTGCTTTTTCCTTCTGTCTCTTGTTTCTTCCTGTGGCACTGACGAAGTTAATCAGGCTTCAGCTTCCCCTGTAAAATTAGTATTGCATGACAGTAGTGCAGAGAATTTAGCAATACATAGTAATACAACATATAACTTAGATTTATTCAAAACAAACTGCAGTTTACTTCAAATCACTGTGTATGTGGGAAATATGTCCGAGATCTAATGTCAACTCTCATTTTTTGTACACAGCCATTTTGAGTAAGTTTGGTGATTTAATTAGATCATTATTTAGGAAAAAACAGCAGCACTTTTTTTTTTAGGACAATTTTTTTAATGCCTATTTTCTGGAAACCTTTTATTTGAAATCTTTTCAGCTTTATTTTATTTGTTTTTTACTACAACAAATGCGCTTTTTGTTTCTTGGATGCCTTAATATATGGTTAACAATGACTTCTTGAATGAGCTGAGGAAATGCTCAATAAACATTCGGGTTCAATTGAATTGCGCTTACTTTACTTATGGCATCCATTTTGAGGAACGCCTTATCCTTCCCATTATGATGTAGTCATCAGACTTTCTAGAAGCTCATCAGTCTCATATAATGATGCCTGTGTTAGCGAGATTGTCTCTTACTGTGGAACTTTGTAATGTTTAGTGATACAGTGATGGGACCTGTAAGCTTAACCTGAGCAAATGATCTAGACTAAAATGGAGATTAAAATGGATTGTTACTCGTGGAGAAGAGGGAAAAGAAGAAAAGCAACTAATTGTCGTGTTCTTTATCTCACAATCTCACTTCAAGTATGTGGAGTAAATATTAATTCTCAGAGTTTAAGTAACTTTTCCAAGATCACATAGCTAGTGATTGAGGCAGTGTTTCAACGCAAGGCCTGCCTCTCTTTCCAAGAGTCCGTGTTGCCTCCTAAAGAATGAAGCAGCATTCTCAGAGATAATTCCTCTACCAGCTACTCCGATGGGAATTTGGAACAGTTCTATTAACTGCTACGTGTGATTTATACAAATTAGAAGCTATTAAAAACAGTTAAATTGCAGCCGCGCGTGGTGGCTCACCCCTGTAATCCCAGCAGTTTGGGAGGCCAAGGCGGGTGATCACAAGGTCAAGAGATCAAGACCATCCTGGCTAACATAGTGAAACCCCGTCTCTATAAAAATACAAAAAGTTAGCCAGGCGTGGTGGCGGGCGCCTGTAGTCCCAGTTACTCAGGAGGCTGAGGCAGGAGAATGGCGTGAACCCGGGAGGCGGAGCTTGCAGTGATCCGAGATCACGCCACTGCACGCCATCCTAGGCAACAGAGCGAGACTCCATCTCAAAAAACAAACAAACAAAAAGTTAAATTCCAGTGATACAGAGACTGCCACTGGGAATTTTTAGTTTTCTGTTATTCTTTTTTTTCCAAAACCAAGGATACCTAAGAAAGAATATTTAAGCAGCCTAAGCCAGGCGTGGTGGCTCACGCCTGTAATAGCACTTTGGGAGGCCGAGGCTGGCAGATCACTTGAGATCAGGAGTTGACACCAGCCTGGCCAACATGGCGAAAACCCGTCTATACCAAAAATACAAAAATTAGCCAGGTGTGGTGGTGTAATCCCAGCTACTCGGGAGACTGAGGCAGGAGAACCGCTTGAACCTGGGAGGCAGAGGCTGCAGTGAGCTGAGATTGCGCCACTGCACTCCAGCCTGGGTGACAGAGTGAGACCCTGTCTCAAAAAAAAAAAAAAAAAAAAAAAAAAGAACAATAAGCAGCCTAAACGGACAAGTGCTTCAAAATTGACTGATAGTTTCAACTTTATTAAACCTCTTTAGTACCATCTTATAGTTAACCCATTGTTCTAGTTAATCAACAATTTTCACACATTTCAATGTGCTGATGCTGAATGCCAAATGTATTAATTTAAGTGGTCATTTAAGTTCACTTTATCTTTTAATATGTAAAATGTTAAAGATAATATCTTGTTATTCTTGGTTGGGTGAGGTGGCTGATCACTTGAGATCAGGAGTTCGAGACCAGCCTAGCCAACATTATGAAACCCCGTCTCTACTGAAAATACAAAAATTAGCCAGGCGTGATGGTGTGCACCAGTGGTCCCAGCTACTCAGGAGGCTGAGGCACAAGAATCACTTGACCCTGGGAGGCGAAGGTTGCTGTAAGCCGAGATTGTGCCACTGCACTCTAACCTGGGCAACAAAGACTCTGTCTCAAAAAAAAAAAAAAAGTCATCCCTTGAGTATAACACTGATTGACTTTAGACAACAAGAGAATTTCTCAGTGCCATATTTTACAATGTGAAAGTATAAGGAACAGGGAAGAAAAACATTAGTGCATCATTAGTTCTTGAAAGTATATATGATAACATTTAGATCCATATTTAAAATATGGATGTTAAAGATCACAATTATTTATGAATTTGAGAGTTGTCAGATCTGTTAGTGGGCAGTATCAGTAGGTAAAAATAATGAAATTATTTCTTCTAACTCTTCAGAATCAGACAGTGATTCTATTGTGAAATGATGACAAGAATCCATACTCATGGTTATCCTAGCAGTGGGAGAACCCTCATCAAGTAATTCTCTAATGATTTTTGGGGAGAAGGGATTCAACTTATTTTTTTCTGCTGTTGTTAGGATGTGAAAAAGTCTGTTTTATGGCTCTTACAGCTTTGGGCCTGATTAGCAAGCCTAACTTGCAGATATTGGAAGGCTCCATTCTTGAGCCTATGCACCATATGCTGGAATTTATTATCAGTGACTTAATTTGGGGCAACTTGAGGACTTCTGTGCTCTAAGAGAAAAAAATAGGAGTCTAGACTTCTTGTTCTCTTCCAAACTGGAATTCAAAAGCCATGGTATTGGGGTCTCCATACTGTTTAATTGCCTGGATTATGAGGAGAAGACAGTGTCACAAAACTGGTTCTTAGCCTGGTTAAACCATATTAGCAAAGTTAAACCATATTAATGGTTTTAGTTTTTACTACAGAGAATGACGTGAAATCATCAAATATTCTATCTATATATTTGTTTGGTGGAATCCATATAATTTTTTTTTTTTTTTTGAGACGGAGTCTTGCCCTGTCACCCAGGCTGGAGTGCAATGGGAGTACGATGGCGCGATCTCAGTTCACTGCAAACCTCAACCTCCCGGGTTCAAGCGATTCTCCTCCCTCAGCCTCCTGAGTAGCTGGGATTACAGGCACACGCCACCACAGCCGGCTATTTTTTGTATCTTTAGTAGAGCCGGAGTTTCACCATGTTGGCCAGGCTGGTCTCAAGCTCCTGACCTCGTGATCTGCCCGCCTTGGCCCCCATAAAGTTCTGGGATTACAGGCATGAGCCACCGCACCTGGCAAATCTACATAATTTTAAGTATAAAATGATTAATTTTCTTCCAGACAGATTAGAATTTTTTTTTTTTTTAATGAGATGAAGTCTTGCTCTATCGCCCAGGCTGAGTGGCATGATCTTGGCTCACTGCAACCTCTGGCTCCCAGGTTCAAGCTATTCTCCTGCCTCAGCTTCCCTAGTAGCTGGGACTACAGGCATGCGCCACCACACCCAGCTAATTTTTTTTTGTATTTTGAGTAGAGATGGGTTTTCACCATGTTGGATTAGAATTTACAGTGATTTCATTGTCCTCAATTTAGTTGCCTCAAATTTTTAAATATTACATTTTTTGTTAATTCATATGAAAACAATATTTTAAGAATCATTCATTTACTCTTTGTTTCTGCTAAAGTTTTAAGACTATTATTACTTAATATATTAATATCGATACTTCCAAGTCCTTTATATCTATTGAGTTAAACATGTTGACTACTAGCGTTTTTAGGCAGGAAGTGATTTTATAGGGCATCTAGTTCAGATCCCTTATTTTGGTAAGAGAAAGAATTTTCAGGTTTGTAGATTACATTCACATTTACCAATAGCACTTTGGTAAAATACCACATTGGGATTGGTTTTTGTTTTTTGTTTTTCCTTTTCTCCCTGCCTGTTGGTAGGCAGGGTATCCCTACCATATCTTATTCTTTGCAATACTTCTACTTTAGGTCCTGTTTCCCTCTGATTTGGCAAGAGAGACAATCTTGCAATAATAAATTAACATTCTAGCTCTGAGGAGTTCAACTAAGAAATTTTCTCATCACTAAGAGTAACTGGATTACTGCAGAATGACTACAGAAGTAATATTACATTATCGACCATGTGAGAGTGATCCCACACAACTGCCAAAAATTGCAGAAAAAGCAATTCAAGACTTTCCTACTCGTCCGCTATCAAGATTTATACCTTGGTTTCCATATGATGGGTCCAAGCTTCCACTCAGACCTAAAAGATCACCACCTGTGATTTCTGAAGAGGCAGCTGAAGATGTGAAACAGTACTTAACCATTTCAGAACATGATGCTAAGTCACACAGTTATGATTGCACAGTAGATCTATTGGAGTTTCAACCTAGCTTGAAAAAGCAGCATTTAACCTGGTCACACACACTGAAGGAACAGACTAATTCTGGAAATCTGGGTAAACAATCAGAAAAGGGAAAACAGCACAAGAGGAGATCTTGGAGTATTTCCCTTCCCAGCAATAATTGTACTAAAAACGTTTCTCCTTTGTCTAAAAAATTGCAAGATAGTTTAAAGGCACTAAATTTACACTCACTTTATAGAGCAAGATGGACAATAGAACACACTATTTGTAACAGCCAAACTCTGGAAGACATTTGGACAAAACTCAATCAAATTATTAGGCACAATGAACTTCCATCTTGTAATGCTACAATTCAGAGGCATTTAGGCCAAATATGGGTGTTCTGTGATATTATGTATTGTGAATATGTGGGAAGTCTTCTTAAAGGAAGATTAGCTCTTACTGGAAAAATTAATTTATTTGTGCATAAATATGGTGTTATTTTTAGTATGTAATGAATTCCACTGATTGTCAAAAAGAATATTCTGAATGAAATGAATATGGATTGAAATAGATAAAATAATTTTTACAGGTTTTAAAATTTTTAATGACTTTTTAGAATTCCTAGGCTTGTCAATTAAGTCAAGAAATTGCTGAGTTCTGCTTATTGGCAGCCTTCTTTTAAATGTGATAAATTATTGTTTACACTGAATTTGAAGGTAAAAATGTTCTGTTCCTTTTGTTACAAACTGTGATTGAATTAGTCATGAATTAAGTTGTATAGTTTGGATTTTGGTTAATCTCTAAAATCTAATTTTACTGTATTTTTTTCCTTACCTCAAGTGTAATTTTTTAAAAAATAAAACTCGAAACAATTCTCTTTGGAGTGCTATTTATGTGGCATGAATGTAGTTCAAAGTGGGAGACTAGTCTAGATTTATAATGATGTTTCCAAAGATATGTAATAACAATTGATAGGCTGTTTTCAAACAACGATACAAAATGTATACTTTGCCTAAAACGATAATGTATCCTGTTTTGAAGGAAAGTATCAAATGTTGAATGATTGTTTATTTCTTCTAATACAGATAATTCAGTATTAATGATAGTTAGTGCTAATTATTACTTGGCTGATGATTGGAGTCATTGTAGGTTCCCCATAAGCATAATCTTGTAATTGGTTTTACACATCACCTCATAAAAATGCTCAAAGGGATTAAAACAGTAAAAGTTTTGTAGAAGCATGTATGTTTGTTTAACATATTTAAATGCCTACTTTGCACTAGGTGCTAGGATATACTAGGGAAGGAGACAGACATGGACCTTGCCCTCACACAGCTTACATGTCATTACTACTATTAAACACACCAGCTCCCTAAGAAAAATAAGACTGCACTTAACTAGGAATATAGACATGTTTACCTTGAAGCTCAGTGCCTGTCATGGTAGGAGCTTGATAATGCATGGTAAACATTCCCTTCAGAGGGATTCTTCATAGCCTGAGATGGCTGAGGTTGCTTAAAATGGAAGCCCACTAATTTTTTTTTCTTTCTAACTTTTATTTTAGGTTCAAGGGGTACATGTGCAGATTTGTGATATGGGTAAATTGTGTGCCACAGGGGTTTGGTGTACAAATAGTTTTGTCACCCATGTAATCAGGATAATACCCAATAGGTAGTTTTTTAGTCCTCACCCCCTGCCACCTTCTACCCTCAAATAGGCCTCAGTGTCTATTGTTCTGTTTTTTGTGTCCATGTATACTCATTGTTTATCTCTCACTTATGAGAATATGTGGTATTTGATTTTCTGTTCCTGCATAAATTGGCTTAGGATAATGGCCTCCAGTTGCATCTACGTTGCTGCAAAGGCCATAATCTGAAAATATGAAGAAAAAAGTTGCTTTTAATACCAAGTTGGGATCACTTTATTTTTAATGGAGGATCATTTTTTACCCACCATCTCATCCCCTGCTAAACCACAGGAATCATGAAAAACTAAGCTTTATAGGACTTTTCTTTATAATAGAAATTGGAACCTATAATAAGCAAATATGTTAGCTACATGTTTGGGTGAACTCCAGGACACTAAGAAAAAAAAAAAAGGAATGTTTCAGGATTCCCTTGAGACTGTATTTTCTCTTTATTCAGATTTGTTTTCTAATGAAATGAAAAAAATAATAGGGAAGAAATAGAAAACACCAACTGGTACTAAAAGTGAACTTACCAGCCTGGGCAACATGGTGAAACTCCGTCTCTACAAAAACTACAAAAATTAACCGGGCATGGTGGCATGCGACAGTAGTCGCAGCCTCTTGGTGGGCGGGGGTAGGGGGTGGGTCTGAGGCAGGAGGTTCACTTGAGCTCAGGAGGTCAAGGCTGCAGTCAGCCATGATCGTGCCACTGTAGTCCAACCTGGGTAACAAAATGAGACCCTGTCTAGTGATTTTAGCTGTTTAAATTGGGAGAAACTGCCTCCTGTGTATCACTTTCAGGGCACCTTTTTATCTGTTTTCAGGGCACCTTTTTCTCTGTTTTCGTAGTTAAAAATAAGAGTGAAGGTTGGAAACGCCTCCCCATATTCATCTGTAGCTGATTAATACTCTTTGGAATACATTCCTACTTTGAATTCCCATGGGGTATTTCTGGTAAGGCATGACATTCCAGGTTTATGGCTCCAGGCTTATAATTAATAATTATTATAGAGAATTATTTTTCAACAGAGTGAAATCACCAGGGTTCAAATCTAGATTCTACCACTTATCTACTAATATAATCCTTTGTATGCAAATTACCCTCTGCAGGTATTGTCAATGCCCTATCTGTATATTGGGGTTAATGTAATACCAACTTAGAGAGTACTCATGAGAATTAAATGTGTTCAGCTTGTAAAATATTTAGCATAATGCCTGGCGCTAGTAAATGCTCAGTAAATGCTAGCTATACAGAGTAACTTCAGAAATTTTAAGGGTAGCATTTGTTGACTATTTCAAAAGCCAGCTGCTTAATATAGCAGGTTTTTAATTGCCTTCAGTTTCTGAAACTTACACTTTCAAAATAATGTCAGTTATTTAGGGACTTTCATGAAGTGCTAATTATTTTATTCAGGGAAGATCTGAATAGCAGAACTTACACCAAATATGGATGCTACAAAACTGAACGTAGTACATAAGAGCCTAGACCTCATGGAGTTTGGAAAGGAGTGCTATAAACAAATAAATATACTGCATGATAAATACAAGGTACCATGAGTGAAACAGAATGACCTGTTACTTTTTTTCTGAAAAAGATGACATTTAAGCTGAAACCAGAATGAGAAAGCCACTAAATTTGATATGAATGCCATAGTTGGTTAATTAGTAGTTGGGTGGTACATTTTTACATATGCTAGAACATTACTTATATTCTGAATTGACCATGTAGGTCTATAGTCTTTATAGTATTTTGGCTTTGATTTGAAGGAATTTTTTTTTTTTTGAGGCGGGGTCTTGCTCTGTTGCCCAGGCTGGAGTGCAGTGGGCGATCTCAGCTCACTGCAAGCTCCGCCTCCCGGGTTCACGCCATTCTCCTGCCTCAGCCTCTGCGAGTAGCTGGGACTACAGGCGCCCGCCACCATGCTAGGCTAATTTTTTTTATTTTTAGTAGAGACGGAGTTTCACCGTGGTCTCGATCTCCTGACCTCGTGATCCGCCCGCCTCGGCCTCCCAAAGTGCTGGGATTACAGGCATGAGCCACTGTGCCCAGCCAGATTTGAAGGAATACTTTTAATAATGAACTAGCCCTCTGTGATTCATTTTCTGAAAAATTTTACAAGTTTTTATGATTTTTTAATTTTATGTTTTTGTTTTTATTTTGATGTGGTCAAACGACAGTCTTTAGAAGTAACTGAAAAAGATTTTTAAAAAAATTATAGAGTGTTTACTCATTAGACTATAATAAATATTCAATTTCTTTTTTTTTACTTTTCTGTGGCTTAATTTTTGTCTATTTATATTTAAAGTGAATTTTTTAGTTAAATTTTATTTTCCCAGATAGCTAACCATGTCTTTGCACCTTATAATGAATAATCCTTTTGCTAATTGATTTTTTTAACTTCTAATCCTTTAATTGATTTTTTTTTGTCAAGAGGTTGTTTTTTAAAATATCTCTCCCAGCGTTTTTTTTTTTTTTTTTTTTTTTTTTGAGACGGAGTCTTGCTCTGTCGCCCAGGCTGGAGTACAGTGCCGCAATCTCGGCTCACTGCAACCTCCGCCTCCCGGCTTCATGCCATTCTCCTGCCTCAGCCTGCCGAGTAACTGGGACTACAGGCACCCGCCACCACGCCCAGCTAATTTTTTGTATTTTTAGTAGAGACGGGGTTTCACCGTGTTAGCCAGGATAGTCTCAATCTCTTGACCTCGTGATCCGCCCGCCTTGGCCTCCCAAAGTGCTGGGATTACAGGCGTGAGCCACCATGCCTGGCCACTCCCAGCAATTTCTTTATATAAGTATATCCTATCTTTTTTTTGAAAAACTAATATATCGGTATGGTCTTATATTAATAAGTCAATTAGTTGATTATGGACTTAAATATGTTATAATATGTAGTAAATTCAGTTCTTCCTCTTTTTTCTCCGTTAATTTCCTTAGCTTATTTTCATTTATTTGTTTCTCTAAATAAACTTTAGACACATTCTGTCATGTTCCAAAAATAATATCTTACTTTTGATTGGAATTATATAAACGTATATGTTTTCTGACATTTTTGTAATTTCTACACAGAATTAATATTACTTGAAGAAACACTTGGCCGGGCATGGTGGCTCATGCCTGTAATCCCAGCACTTTGGGAGGCCAAGGTAGGCAGATCACTCGAGGTCAGGAGTTAGGGACCAGCCTGGCCAACATGGTGAAACCCCGTCTCTACTAAAAATACAAAAAAAAAAAAAATAACCAGGCATGGTGGTGCATTCCTGTAATCCCAACTACTCAGGAGGCTGAGGCAGGAGAATCTCTTGAACCTGGGAGATAGAGGTTGCAGTGAGCCGAGATCGCACCACTACACTCCAGCCTGGGTGACAGAGTAAGCCTGTCTCAAAAAAAAAACAAAAAACACTTACTGAGTTTCCAAAGTTAATATTTTGTTGATATTGTTTATGGTGAAATCACTTAGAATTTTTTTAAAGCCTTATGCTCCTAATACTCTTTAAGCTTTAAAAATTATATTTTCCAGTTTTTCTATAATGAATGCATATTGTATTTACATTTAATTTTTATAATTCATAGGTTGTAAATAAATGGTGCTTATTTTGTAACATTACAATTCTTAATAAATCACTGATGTGTGATAACCTTAGGAAGTATGTAGTATTATATTTAGGAAGTATTTAGGTTATATTTTATGTTAGTATAAAATGGATGAATGTCATACACTAGACTTGAGAATATTAACCCTAAGCAGTATTAATGTTTTGTTTTCTTTTACTTTTTTACTTCACAGTGATGCGGCTGACTAAGCCTACTTTATTCACCAATATCCCAGTAACATGTGAAGAGAAAGACTTACCTGGTATGGCACATGCTTTCCTCTATTTGCACCTAGGGAAAGGTTGAAACCTGAATTGCCTGCATTACCTTGGACTAAGCCTAGCCCTGTAAATTTTATGCTAACCATTTGCTGGATTCTTTGTTGCCTATTTTTGTATCATGTGAAAGGTGGCCATCTGAGTAACAGGCCTTACTTATACTCTACAAGTCCAAATTATGTTGATATCCTATGGCAGTATGAGACAGTTTAAGATACATTCATATTCATAATACTATTAAAATTGCCTTTATCCTCAAATGTTGCATCAATGTATGTATTAGCATTCCCTTTTTTTTTTAAGAATTATTGGGGCTTTCTCTAGTATATTTTCTATCTCATGACGTACATTTTTCTTTGTTTCTAAAGTTTCCATTCCCTGTGAGATCAGAATTTTTTTGACATGCTTTGTTGTATTAAAATCTAGAAGTTAGACTTTTTAAATATCATCTTTGTCAAGAGGTTGTTTTTTAAAATATCTCTCCCAGCTATTTCTTTATATAAGTAAAAGTTATTTAAAGGGTAGATGTTAGAATTTTATGTTTTTCTCTTCATTCAGGAGATCTCTTTAACCAGCTGATGAGAGATGATCCTTCAACCGTTAATGGTGCAGAAGTTTTAATGTTGGGAGAAATGCTGACTTTACCACAGAATTTTGGGTAAGAATGACATATTCACATAAGAAACCTTGTAAAGCCATTACAAATTATGTTTTCAAAACAGAACCATGGGATGGGGAAATGCTCATGATACATTTACCTTTTTTTTTTTTTTTCTGAGATGGAGTCTCGCTCTATTGCCCAGGCTGGAGTACAGTGGTGCCATTTGAGCTCAGTGCAACCTCCACCTCCTGGGTTCAAGCAATTCTCGTGCCTCAGCCTTCCGAGTAGCTGGGATTACAGGCGTGCGCACCGCTCTGGCTAATTTTTGTGTTTTTATTGGAGACCGTGTTTTGCTATGTTAGCCAGGCTGACCTTGAACTCCTGACATCAGGTGATCCACCCGCCTCAGCCTCCCAAAGTGCTTGGATTGCAGGCATGAGCCACCACGCCTAGGACATGATACATTTGAGGGGCAAAAATATTATTAAAAAATCATACTATGTGATTATGGCTTTCTGTTATTAAAAAAAAAAGATATATACCAAAATAAAATGTTAATAGTGGTTCCTAGCATAATAGAATTTTAACTTTCTTCTTTAGATCTTACTATATTTTGTAATGGCCACATAGTCTTTTAACTACTAATGTAAACATCTTTTTCAGAAGCCAGTCTTTGTTTTTTTGCATCATAGTCCTCTCCCAAAATGAGTTATCAGACTTGTCAGCTAATTAGGAACTCTAAATTTATTTCTTCTGTTATCCTTAGCTGTATTATTATTCTAGATTAATAATAAGGTAGAAGCCCCTGGTTCCACTCTGTTTGCAACAGACAGAATTTGAGACAAAAAGAAATTTTACAGATTGTTTTTATAGTTTTACAGAATGTGGTCATTGACTAGTGTCTTGAAAAACTGGGAAATATATTCATGTAAAAAGTATAAAACTAAAATAAAACCACTGGTGATTTTTATTCAAGTAACCTAGGAAATAAAATAAATTGGTAAAAATACCCCAATATCAGTAACTTAGATCTCTTCTAGATTCAGGGAATAAGTTATTTCAAGAATGGAAACTTGGCTCTCTCTAACCTATTCAGATACAAATCCTAAGACTTTAGCATAGGTCTAATTTCAATGAGTCTTATCTCTAGTGAGGTTGGCATTTTGTACAGTAGTCAAAGGCCAAGATATATCATGTTCTATAGATTACGTCTGTATTTTGAATTGCACTAGGTAATGAATGAGTGGCCTAGTGTGAACAAAGGAATGTTGAAGCAGTATTTCACCAGATTTCTATCCTTCAGTAAATGTTTCTCCATTTGAAGTTCTTAGTGATTCTCAAACAGATTATTTAATGTAAAACCTGATGGGCACAGTGGCTCACGCCTGTAATCCCAGCACTTTGAGAGACTGAGGCGGGCGGATCATGAGATCAGGAGATCGAGACCATCATGGCTAACATGGTGAAACCCCGTCTCTACTAAAAATACAAAAAATTAGCTAGGCGTGGTGGTGGGTGCCTGTAGTCTCAGCTACTCGGGAGGCTGAGGCAGGAGAATGGGGTGAACATGGGAGGCGGAGTTTGCAGTGAGCCTAGATCGTGCCACTGCACTCCAGCCTGGGTGACAGAGCGAGACTCTGTCTCAAAAAAAAAAAAAAAGAAAAAAAACCTGAATGGATTTCTGCCTAAATACTTATTTTATTTTACAGGAATATATTTTTGGGAGAGACCTTTTCCAGTTATATCAGCGTTCATAATGATAGCAATCAAGTTGTAAAAGACATATTAGTAAAAGTAAGTAACATTCTTACTTGGGATGTATTTTAGTCTTTAACAAAGGTTTTTTTTTAGGCCGGGCATGGTGGCTCATGCCTGTAATCCTAGCACTTTAGGAGGCTGAAGCAGGTGGATCACCTGAGGTCAGGAGTTCAAGACCAGCCTGGCCAACATGGTGAAACCCCATCTCTACTAAAAATACAAAAATTAGCCAGGTGTGGTGGTGCACACCTGTAGTCCCAGCTACTCGGGAGGCTAAGGCAGGAGAGGCTAAGGCTTGAACCCGGGAGGTGAAGGTTGCAGTGAGCCAAGATCACGCCACTGCACTCCAGCCTGGGTGACAGAGTTAGACTCCATCTCAAAAAAAAAAAAAAGAAAAAAAGGTTTTTTTATATCTATTATGTTTTTGGCACTTCATTAAATGCACGTTTGATACAATAATTTTTAATTGTCATTAACAAGCACTAATGAATGCCTACAGTTATAAAGTATTATGTTAGGCATGAAAACATTTTTCCTATTCCACAAGATTTGTGATTGCTTGGGTGAGAAAATGTACTAGTCAAAGCTAAATAGCAGTTTAGTATTTGTTAATGTATGTCATTAACATGGAAGATGAAAGATCACTGGAGATTATGTCAATCTGGAAGGTTTCTTGGGGGAGAGGGAATGCGAAGAGGATCTTGAAAGAATGGGAGGATACAGATAACAAGGCAAGGGAGACATGGTAATCAGAGGCAGAGACATAGTGGTACACATGTGTTCTTTTAACAGTGAACAAATTTCACTTGGTAAGAGTCCGTAAGGTGGTACAGAGGAATAGTAGCTGTATTAGTCCATTTTCATGCTGCTGATAAAGTCATACCCAAGACTGGGCAATTTACCAAAGAAAGAGGTTTAATGGACTTATAGTTCCACGTAGCTGGGGACAATCATGGCGGAAGGCAAGGAGGAGCAAGTCATGTCTCACGTGGATGGCAGCAGGCAAAGAGAGAGAGCTTGTGCGGGGAAACTCCCATTTTTAAAACCATCAGATCTCAGCCAGGCGTAGTGGCTCATGCCTGTAATCCTAGCACTTTGGGAGGCCAAGGCGGGTGGATCACTTGAGTTCAGGAGTTCGAGACCATCCTGCCCAACGTGGTGAAATACCATCTCTACTAAAAA
This sequence comes from Homo sapiens, assembly GCF_000001405.40. Taxonomy (NCBI): domain Eukaryota; kingdom Metazoa; phylum Chordata; class Mammalia; order Primates; family Hominidae; genus Homo; species Homo sapiens. Next base: position 65,638,927 of record NC_000005.10, read on the forward strand.
TACAGAAATTAGCCAGGAGTGGTGGCGTGTGCTTGTAATCCCAGCTACCTGGGAAGCTGAGGCAGGAGAATCACTTGAACCTGGGAGGCTGAGGTTGCAGTGAGCCAAGACTGTGCCACTGCACTCCAGGCTGCCTGGGTGACAGAGTAATACTCCATCCCCCAAAAAATAAAAATAAAACCATCAGATCTCATGAGACTTATTCACCGTCATGAGAACAGCACAGGAAAGACCCACCCCCATGATTCAATTATCTCCCACCAGGCCCCTCCCACAACACATGGGAATTACGGGAGCTACAAGATGAGATTTGGGTGGGGACACAGAGTCAAACCATATCAGTAGCCATACAATAGAGCATCTTGAAAGCCAGGCTAAGGTTTTATTTAACCTTTTTTGAAAAATTATTTTTTAAAATGGACAAAAAAATTAATTAAGAAAAAAAAAAACAGGCCTGGCACAGTGGCTCATACCCAGAATCCCAACACTTTGGGAGGCTGTGACAGAAGGATTACTTGAGGCCAGGAGTTCAAGACCAGCCTGGGAAACATAACGAGACTCCCATCTCTACAAACAATTTAAAAAGTAGTTGAGCATGCTGGCACACACCTGTAGTCCCAGCTACTCAGGAAGCTGAAACTGGAGGATTGTTTAAGCCCAGGAGTTTGAGGCTGCATTGAGTTTTGCCTGGGCACTCCAGCATGGGCTACAGAACAAGACCTGTCACTGAAAAAAATTAAATAAAAAACAGCAGGCAGTTGGCTTTTGAGCACTCTTTGTGTTAGAAAGACTGATATGAGCACATTGTGTGGGATGCTTTGTAGAAAATGGAACAGTTAGAAGACCTTTGAAGTAGTGTAGAAATTAAAAGATAGAATATGCTAACTCCGCTAATGACCTGAAATTTCTTCAAAAGAAAAAGAGCAAAAAGAAGGTAAGAACTCACAGTATGTGGGGGAGAGGTTTTTGTAAAACCTGTCTTAGAGTGATGAGTTCAGGTAATTGGAGTATTCCAAAAAGGACCTCTAATTAGAATGAGTTTGAAAATGATCATAGAGTTTTAAAGTTAACAAGGACGTTAGAGAGCAAATAGACCCAACTTCCAGAAACTGGATGCAAATTTGTGCATACACGTACATATGTTTGTCATATATGGATGGGGTCTCTGCCTTTCATTAAATTAGGAGTTGACAAACTACAGCCCAAAGACCAAATTTGGTCCATTGTCTGTTTTTATAAGGCTTTTGAACTAAGAATGGTTTTCACATTTTCAAATTATTGAAAAGAATATTTTGTGACTTGTGAAAATTACATGAAATTCAAATTTCAGGCCAGGTGTGGTGGCTCCTGCCTATAATCCCAGTGCTTTGGGAGCCAAGGCAGGAAGATTGCTTCAGGCTACGAGTTTGAGACCAGCCTACACAACATAGCAAGGCACCGCCTCTACAAACAAACAAAAAAGAAATTCAAATGTCAGTGTCCTTAAATAAAGCTTTACTGACACACAGCCATACTCATTTGTTTATGTTTTATCTGTGGCTGATTTCCAGCTACCACAGCAGAGTTGTATATAGTTGAAACGGAGATTGTATGGCCTCTAAAATCTAAAATATTTGCTAATGACTTCAGAGAAAAAGCTTGCCAACCTCTACATTCGATTGTGAAAAGATCTGATTTTCAAAAGTTTGAGAACATATACTTTTGTCTTTCTATGTTGTAAATATTGAATTTCTTGGAATTCAGTAAATACTGGCAATTCAGTAAATTCAGTAAATATTGAATTTATTTTTATAAGAGATTAATAAAATAGCAAAGGCATATACTTTAAGATGTCAGTACTATAAAGATCAAAGAATACAGTAGTATGCATGTTCTAAAACATGATTTTATATTTCATGCCTTTATTCACTTTTATAATAATAATTATAAGCAGTGTAGTACTCACTAGGGGTCTTAGGCTCAACTAGACATTCAGACTCATGATATATAATAATGCTATTTTTCTTTTTCTTTCTTTTTTTTTTTGAGAGAGGATCTAGCTCTGTCACCCAGGCTGGAGTGCAGTAGCATGATCATAGCTCACTATAACCTCAAACTCATGGGCTCAAGGGATCCTGCTGCCTTAGCCTCCTGAGTAGCTGGGATTGCAGGGGTGTGACACTATCCCTGTCTAATTTTTTAATATTTTTTAGAGACAAGGTCTTGCTATGTTGCTCAAGCAGGTCTTGAACTCCTGAACTCAAGCAAGCCTCCCGCATCAGCCTCCCAAAGTGCTGGAATTACACATGTGAGCCACCATATCTGGCCAGATAAGCCAATTGTGACATCAGAATCACTTAAGAGGATATAGGTCATGAAGCACAGCTTGATATTGACCTGTATTTGTGTGAGTGTTGTCTTTTGATCAGGTTTTAGGTGTCAGTATTATGGTTGCTTAATAAAAGATTTCGGATGTTTTTCCAGTATTTTCAGTGCTTTGGAACAATATGTGCATCAGGCTAGACTCAGTGGCTCATGGCTGTAATCCAGCACTTTGGGAGACCAAGGCAGGAGGAGCCCTTGAATCCAGGAGGATCCCCAGGACTCACCTGGGGAATATAATGATCGATGTCCCTACAAAAAAGAAATTTAAAAATTCTCTGGCCATGGTGGCGCATACTTGTAGTCCTAGCTACTTGGGAGGCTGAGGCAGGAGGATCACTTGAACTCATGAATTCGAGGCTGCAGTGAGCTATAATTGTGCCACTGCATCCTAGCCTGGATGACAGGGCAATACCCTGTCTGAGAAAAAAAAAAAAACAAAAAAAACAAGACAAAACAAATACAGAGAACTGTGGATCATTTAGATTACCTATTCTTTGAACGATTTGTAGAATTCCCTGCAAAATCATATGAGCTAGTTCTTTTCTTTTTTAAAATGGGGAAGCTCCCTGATAACACTTTTTCTTTTTTTTTTTTTCCTATGAATATAGTATGTTTAAGCAGTTTATCTCTAAGGGTGTCAATTTTGTTAAGCTGTTTTTTTCTAGGAAATAATCCATTTCATTTCATGTAGATTTTCACATTTATCTGCATAGAGGTCTGTAAAGTAGGCTCTTAAAATTTTCTTCTGTTGGCCGGGTGCAGTGGCTCACGCCTGTAATCCCAGCACTTTGGGAGGCCGAGGCAGGTGGATCACCTGAGGTCAGAAGTTCGAGACCAGCCTGGCCAACATGGTGAAACCTCATCTCTACTAAAAATACAAAAATTAGCTGGGCGTGCTGGCGAGTGCCTGTAATCCCAGCTACTCAGGAGGCTGAGGCAGGAGAATCGCTTGAACTTAGGAGGCGGAGGTTGCGGTGAGCCGAGATTGTGCCACTGCACTCCAGCCTGGGCAACAGTGTGAGACTCCATCTAAAAAAAAAAAAAATTTCTTGTATTGCAACATTTTCCCCTGGTCATTTCTTAGGTTTGGTTTTTTTCTTGATTAAGTTAGCTAGCTCTTGGTTTGTGTATTTTAACTTCAAAAAAAATCCAAGACTTAAAAAATTACTTATATCCCATATGTTTCTATTCTCTTTAAGTTGTGCTTCTATTTCTTTTATTATGCTTCTGTTTATTTACTTTATTCTTTTTCTACCATTTTTTAGCTAGGAATTTTATTCTTTTATTTTGATTCTTTGATTTATATTGATAAAAGTTAATTTTCCTCTGATTCACTGCTTTTTATATCCTGAAGATTCAAATGCATAGCATTTTTATTCTCATTACTTTTGATTTTAAGAGGTGAGGTTTCACTCTGTTGCCCAGGTTGGTGTGATCATAGCTCACTGTAGCCTCCACCTCCAAGGTTCAAGCAATCCTCCCATCTTAGCCTCGCGAGTTGCTGTAACTGCAGTTGCATACCACCACACCTGGCTAATTATTTTTTATTTTTTGGAGACAGCATCTCACTCTGTTGCCCAATGTAGTGAGACCAAATTAAAAAATAAATTAAAAATTAAAAATTGATGGTGGAAGAAAGAGCTGATGCCTACTGTACAACAGTAAAGAGGTAGTAGCATTGTTGAACATCCCAAACACCGTATCTTACATTAAGACAATATAATAAATGTGAAAATACTTTGCAGAATTGCCCAAATTAAAAACTTTTTTTATATTTTTATCATTACTTTTTAAAGAATTCTGTAATTTCAGTCGTATTTCACCTTCTACCCAAGGGTTGTTTAATGGAAAAGCTTTTTAGGGGGAAAGGCTTTTTTTTTTCTATTTTAATTGTTGTTAATAATTTATAGTTTTATTACATTCCAATCAGCGTTGTTCTTGTAATATTTCAGCTTATGGAACTTACTGATGATGTCTTATGACCCAATATTGATTTTTTATGAATTTTCCATGTGTACTTGAGAAGAATGTATATGTTTTATTATTGGCTGTAAAGTTAGAGATATATATATATATTCATAAGAGCTATTTTATCAATTGTGTTGTTTAGGGCTAGATTCTGTATATTTATTGTTAACTTCATCCGTCTTATACTAAGAGTGGCATGTTTGTCTCATATTACTAGTGTATTTCTATATATATATTCTAAAATCTCATATATTTTGCTTTATAAAGACTGCTGTTTCGGCTGGGTGGGGTGGCTCATGCCTGTAATCCCAGCACTTTGGGAGGCCGAGGCGGGCGGATCACAAGGTCAGGAGATCAAGACCATCCTGGCTAACACGGTGAAACCCTGTGTCTACTAAAAATACAAAAATTAGCCGGGTGTGATGGCGGGCGCCTGTAGTCCCAGCTACTCGGGAGGCTGAGGCAGAAGAATGGCGTGAACCCGGGAGGCAGAGCTTGCAGTGAGCCGAGATCGTGCCACTGCACTCCAGCCTGGGCGACAGAGTGAGACTCCGTCTCAGAAAAAAAAAAAAAAGAAAGAAAAAAAAAAAAAGACTATGCTGTTTCATGCATATTTATAATTATTGTTAGTCATTGTGAATTGCAGCTTTTAATATTAAAAATATTCAAGTAGATTGCTCAGGAAGTTCTTGTGGGTACAATATTCTCTGAGCCCTTGTTCAAAGATGTTTTTCAATACTTCAAGTTTAGTTTGGCTAGATTTAAAATCTTCTGTTTACATTTTTATTTCCTTATGTTTTTTGAAAATGCTACTCCTTTATTGCTCAGCTCTGTATGTTGTTTTTGAGAGGATTGAGGCCAGTCTAATTCTCTTGCCTTGTAAGTTATTTCATAATTTTTCCTGGAGGTCCTGGTGATTTTTTTTCTTTATGTTTCAAAATTGGTCTTTGGGTGTGATTTCCCTGATTCCAAGTAGACCCTTTCAATATGGGTCTGCAACCTCCACCTCCTGGTTTCAAGTGATTCTTCTGCCTCAGCCTCCCGAGTAGCTGGGATTACAGGAAACTGCCACAATGCCTGGCCAATTATACCAAACTCTTAGTGTCCTCTGAAGACATCTTGAGCTTTCACACTTGTGGTATTTTGCTAGCTCTGTTCAACTTACTTAGAATAAGTTCCCCCAACCCCTTTCCTCTTTGCCTTTTCAAATCCTACTTATCAAAAAACTGCAGTTATGATTAAAATGACACATAGGACACACAGGAAAACATATTCAACAGAAAGCCAATGGGTTCAATTATTTCTTTTTTTCTCTAATTTCAAAAATGTTTAAGAATTTATATCTGGGCGCAGTGGCTAACACCTGTAATCCCAGCACTTTGGGAGCCCGAGGCGGCAGATCACTTGAGGCCAGAAGTTTGAGACCAGCCTGGCCAACATGGTGTAACCCTGTTTCTGCTAAAAATACAAAATTTAGCCAGGCTTAGTGCCGCTTGCCTGTAATCCCAGCTACTGGGGAGGCTGAGGCAGGACAATCACTTGAATCTGGGAGGTAGAGGTTGCAGTGAGCCAAGATGGTGCTGCTGCACTCCAACCTGGGTGACAGAGCGAGACTCCGTCTCCAAAAAAAAAAAAAAAATGTTTAAAAACTTTTAGGGCTGGGCGCGGTGGCTCATACCTGTAATCTCAGCACTTTGGGAGGCCAAGGCGGGCAGATCACCTGAGGCCAGGAGTTCAAGACCAGCCTGGCCAACATGGTGAAACCCCATCTCTACTAAAAATACAAAAAATTAGCTAGATGTGGTGACGGGCGCCTGTAATCCCAGCTACTCCGGAGGCTGAGGCAGGAGAATCGCCTGAACCTGGTAGGCAGAGGTTGCAGTCAGCCGAGATCATGCCATTGCACGCCAGCCTGGGCAACAAGAGTGAAACTCTGTCTCAAAAAAAAAAAAAAAAGAATTTTGAATCTCAGCTTTATTACTTATGAATTGTATAACCTTGGGAAAGTTGTTACTTTTCTGTGCCTTGGTTTCATTGTCTGTGGTCTGTGAAATGGGGATAATACTAATACCTACTTCAGGATATGGGGATTAAATGAATAATATGCTTAGAACAGGGCCTTGCACATAATAGGTACCAAATAAATGTGAGCTACTATTGTTTTATAACTGAATATAACAAAAGACACAGCAGTAATAAATATCCCATTTCAAAGTGTCTAACATAAAATTGTTGGGTTAGAATTAACTGCAAAACTGTTTTTTAGCAGGGCGCGGTGGCTAACGCCTGTAATCCCAGCACTTTGGGAGGCCGAGGCGGGCGGATCACGAGGTCAGGAGATCAAGACCATCCTGGCTAACACGGTGAAACCCCGTCTCTACTAAAAATACAAAAAATTAGCCAGGCGTGGTGGTGCATGCCTGTAATCCCAGCTACTCGGGAGGCTGAGGCAGGAGAATGGCGTGAACCTGGGAGATGGAGCTTGCAGTGAGCCGAGATGGTGCCACTGCACTCCAGCCTGGGTGACAGAGCAAGACTCTGTCTCAAACAAACAAACAAACAAAAAACTGTTTTATAAAAGAAACAAAAACTTAAAAGAATCCTAACTCTCATGTAAAAACCTCCACTAATTCCCATGACCTAATGTGATCTTTGCTTTCCCTCAATTTTTTTTTTGCCTTGGAAGTTTTATCATAAATTCATCCATTCATTATTCAACAAATATTGATTAATTGCCTACTATGTGCCAGGCACCATGCTATAGTGGTGAGCAAGAGAAGACGAGGTTCCTGCCTCCATAGACTTTTCTGGTAGGGGAGACAGAAAGAAACAGGTAAACAAAATCATACATAAGGTAATTATAGATTGTGATAAATGTTACAAAGGAAGCAAAAGTTGAATGTGGTAGAAAGTAATTGAGATAAGGGGGAGGGTAGTTTTAAGACAGAGTGATAAATGTTCAAAAGGAGAAAAAAGAAATATAATGGAGCATCATCGGGTGGAGGGAAAGTGCTACTTTAGATGAGGTAGTGCTTTCTTAGTTGGTGGCTTTAATGTCATTTTCTAGTTCTCTTATAAACGAATTGATCTCTGACATCTAATTTTGTTTTGGACGATTACTTATCTTTTAGTGTTATATACTAGCACATACATACATATCTATTTGTTTCAGTGAAGTCCATCTGAATATATATTTAAAAACCATGTGTTCATACTGATGCCTCAAATTCCAGTCCAACACCATTGTAGCTTCCCCCCTTCCTTATTTGTACCTTTTTTTTTCTCTGAAGGTAAGAAACCTGTCTCTTGTTATCCACAATGTATTATTTTGTTTTGTCCTAGTATACACATAAAATGGTGAAAAAACACGTGTCGTAGCTAGAGTATATTTGTGTACCATTCTTTTTGTCTTTAGCCATAGATTACAGTTAAGATTTTGTTTTCCAAACTTACTTAGGTTAGTTCCACTTTTACCCTTCCCTCTGCTATAGCCCGATTGTATTCTTCATTTGTAATGCAGTTAGGTTCATTTGTTACTGTTTATATTCCATTTTGAATTCTCCCTAATTCCTGCTTGATCTTATTTATTTATTTTTTTGGGGTTGGGGGGGTGTGCCATTGCCATGGTTCTAAGCATCAGAGCTATACAGAAAGGTTTACACATAAAAGTGTTGCTCCCCCTTTCATCCTTCTTTCCTAATTCTTATTCCCCTATTCTTTCCACTCATAGCCATGCACACCCTGTAGGTAACCAGTCTCATTTGGACTTTTTTTTTTTTTTTAACTTTCTTTCAAGGCTGATCTTCAGACAAGTTCTCAGCGTTTAAATCTTTCAGCCTCCAATGCTGCAGTGGCTGAACTTAAACCGGATTGTTGTATTGATGATGTCATACATCATGAAGTCAAAGAAATTGGAACACACATGTAAGGATTAATTTTATTAGTTCTCAAAGGTTTTTACTTATATATGCCTTTGTTTGAAATTTTTGCTTTCTTTTCATTCACCATGAAGCATAGGAACCTACTTCAAAAGGAATTTTATGTTCTATGTTGGCATGTTTACCAGAAATAAAGTTTAAACCAAATGTTTGTTTTGTAGGGAGAAAATCCAGTTTATCATCATTTATCTCTAGTTTTATTTTTTTACATCTACAATCTCTAAAAAATGAAAAGCTGTACAAAATGTTTAAAACCCAGGTAGCACTCTAAAAGTAAATTTATTGTGTTTTGAAATGCTAGTAACTGATGTTCATAGTGTTTATTTTTAAATTCAGTTTTTCAGTTTTGTATTTAACCAGGTATATGCACTCTGTCCTGAGAACTCAGAAATGTAGGACCAAAATAAGGCACACTGTGAAAAAAAATCAAATTCTGTATTCCTGCCTTGTGTATGTATCTGAATGTGAACGCTCTATTTTTCTTTCAGTCTGAGAGGCAATATGAAAATTTTAGCCATCTGAAGTAATTTTAGACTTCTTCATCTCCTTTAGAAATCCTGCATCCAGTCAGTTCACAAAATCCTATTAATTCTCCTGAATATCTTTCATTTATCTCTTCTTCATCTCTACTTTACCACTTTTGCTTCTCTTTGTGCCCATTGAAGTATATAATATTAGCTGTTATCTAATCAGTTAATTTTGGTGACAAGCTCTATTTTAGGGACTTTTTCATGTATATTCTTTGGGCTTTGGAGTCAGACTTCCCAGAATTCAAATTTCAGCTTCATCATTTGTTATGTGATCTTGTATAAGTCACTTAATTCTTCAGTGATTGCCCATTGTCCTTAGGAAATTCTGACTTTGCAAATGTTTTACAAAGCTCTCTGCAACCTAATTCTTAACAAACCACAGTAGTTCTTACCATCACCACCCATCCCTCCCTCTCCACCCTGCAGTCATTATTTGACTTCTTTTATCTCCAGACTCCATGGATTGAAATGCATTCTTCCCTTACAAAGGAATACCTATGGCATTTTATTTAGTTTACTTCTACTTCTCTTTCAAATCTCAGATTCAGCACTACTTCCTCAAGAAGTTTTCCTAACCTGCTAGACTAGATTAAATCCCACTTTTTGTATCTTCTATAGCACCCACCATTTATCATTTTAAAAAATGTTTCGTATTTACTTATTGAGTGCCTGTCCCTGCCTTTCCCATTAAAGTAGGAGATGCATGAAGTCTGCTGTAGTCCAAGGATCTAGCAGAGAACAGAAGTCAGTATTTATTGAAATGGTAATAAATGTGTAAAATCTCCATTTTACAGAAAATGAGACTTGTACAATTAAGCAGCTAGTTTAGAAGACATAGAACTCAAATCCAAACCTAGTTTTAGATCCTCTACCTTGCTATACTATTCTTACTGTGAGCACTTAGAAGGCATGTATTGTGCTTTGATCAGTCCTCTTCCTAGCCCCTGCCTTACTTAGTCAGTACTAGGCAGCACAAGTATAAAGGAGAAATTAAATTACCTGCTAATGTTACCACCCCATATAACCAACCACTATTAAAATATTAATATATTTCTTTCCAGTCTTTTTGCATATATATATAAAATAAATGTGTATAAATAATATTTTACAAAATTTTGGCCATATTGCTCATAGTTTTATTTTTTTAAATACAGTGTGAACATTTTCACACACAATAGACAGTATTTTTTGGAAACACAGTTTTTGGGCCGGGTGTGGTGGCTCATGCCTGTAATCCCTAATAATTTGGGAGGCTAAGGTGGGCAGATCGCTTGAGCTCAGGAGCTCAAGACCAGCCTGGGAAACATGATGAAATCCCATCTTTACAAAAAATACAAAAATTAGCCAGACATGATAGAGCATGCCTGTAGTCTCAGCTAGTCGGGAGACTGAGGCGGGAGGATTGCTTGAGCCCAGGAGGTCAAGGCTTCAGTGATCCATGATCACGCCACTGCTCTTCAGCCTGGGTGACACAGTGGGACCCTGCCTCAAAAAAAGAAACTTTTTTTTTACATGACTCCATCTAACACAATTGTACAGTGTTTTTTGTTTACTGTAATGTTGGATGTTTATTTTTGGTTTTTCACTGTTAAAAGTAACACAGAGATGAACACCTTAATGTTTCCTTATGTGGAATATTTGAAGTGGTTTTACTATGAGAACACATTAAGCATTTTTAAGGCTCTTTCACTAAAAGATTGTTAAATTTCTTCCAACCACTAGCAGGGTAGAAAGACAGTTTCTCTAAACCCTCACCAACTCTGATATCACTTATAAAGAATTTTTTCAACTCTTGATAAATGGAAAAATATTACCTCATTATTTTAACGTGTTTCTCTGACTACTTGTGAGGCTGAACATTTTCACATTTTTGTTAGCCAGTTATGGTACTGTGATTTAACTGTGTATTCCTTTTCTGATGTTTTGAGTGATCTATTGGTGTTTTGCTTATTAACTTATGGGAACCCTTTGTCATATTAAGTATTAAAGTGTAACCACTTTCTCGTATTGTTACAAGTATTTTATCCTAGTTTGTTTCTGCTTTGTAATTGTTTTAGTGTTTTTGATTCAACTTAAAATTTTTTACATAACAGTATTTCTCATTGCATTTATGTTAAGAAATCTATCTGTATTTTTTTTTTTTTTTTTGAGATGGAGTCTTACTCTGTCGCCCAGACTGGAGTGCAGTGGCGCAATCTCAGCTCACTGCAAGCTCTGCCTTCCGGGTTCACGCCATTCTCCTGCCTCAGACTCCCGAGTAGCTGGGACTACAGGTGCCCGCCACCATGCCCAGCTGATTTTTTGTATTTTTTTAGTAGAGACAGGGTTTCATCGTGTTAGCCAGGATGGTCTCGATCTCCTGACCTCGTGATCTGCCCACCTCGGCCTCCCAAGGTGCTGGGATTACAGGCATGAGCCACCACACCTGGCCTTTTTTTTTTTTTTTTTTTTTGAGATGGAGTTTTGCTCTTGTTGCTCAGGCTGGAGTGCAATGGCGCAATCTCAGCTCACCACAACCTCCACCTCCTGGGTTCAAGCGATTCTCCTGCCTCAGCCTCCTGAGTAGCTGGGATTACAGGCGCCCACCACCACACCCAGCTAATTTTTGTAATTTTAGTAGAGACAGGGTTTCACCATGTTTGCCAGGCTGCTCTCGAACTCCTGACCTCAAGTGATCCGCCCGCCTTGACCTCCCAAAGTGCTAGGATTACAGGCATGAACAACCGTGCCCAGCTGGAATTTTTTTAATCCATATTTTTTTCTAGTTTATATGAACTTGTTTTATATACTCAAATATTTGATTATTCTGAGAATTATTTTGGAATATATTTCACCTTTCAGGTGAAGTCAGGAAGTTTCTGATTTTGTGCTCCAAAAATGTTATATCTCATTTTACTAATCAGAGCTTTGTTGTTCATGTAATTATGTCCATATCTATTCTGACTTTTTCCCCTGCTCTAATCTCACACATCCACACCATAGATATAAGTGTTTTCCAAATTTCTTAGTAGAATTGAGGTGTGTTTGATTTACTATTAAAATTAAAAATGACTCAGAATCGTTAAGACATCTTTCTGTTTCAGCTTGGTATGTGCTGTGAGTTATACAACTCAGGCTGGAGAAAAAATGTATTTCAGAAAATTCTTCAAATTTCAGGTATTGAATATGACAATGGTAAATAGTTTTTATATGCCTTTTTCTTCCTGGTAGTATACAGTTATTCCCGTTTATCTGCAGGGAAAACAAGCTCCAAATAAAGCAAATAGCTCAATATTTTTGAATGTGTCATATGACTAGCAGTCTAAACTCAGACTAAATTAAGGTGAATAAAAGCAGAAGAATTATCATTGCCAACATGTTTTTGTAATGAAACTTGAAGGTGTTTATTCAAAATAAAAGAAAAAAATAGCTGAGTCTGGCACAGTGGCTCACACCTATAATCCCAGTGCTTTGGGAAGCAAAGTGGGGAGGATCACTTGAGGCCAGTTCAAGATAGCCCAGACAACATGACCTAGGACTACAGCACAAGCCTATAATCCTAGCTCGTTGGGAGGCTGAGGCGGAAGGATCGCTTGACCCCAGGCTTCAAGGCTTCAGTGAGCTGTGATCACGCCACTGCACTCCAGCTTGGTCAACAGAACAAGACTCTGTCTCCGAAAAGTAAATAACTTGTTTTTATGGCCTGAGAAAACACACAATGTAGACAAGGGATAAAATGAGTGTAAAGTCCAGATAAAATGAGAGTAAATAATATCAAATTTCTAAAGAAATTTAAAGGAGAGACAATTGACTTAGAGTAGACTGAGCTTCCTTCAAAGACTCCAGGAATCACTGGAACTTTAAGTTGAGTTTTGTATTAATATACAGTTTTCAGCTTCCATCAAAAATAGTTTCAAAACACTGGTTTAGCACATTTATGTGGGGGGGGTGGTGAGGAAATGTGAATACCACGTATGTCTATTATAAATATAGATCTAAATATGATACTGTATATGGTTTTTTTCATTCCTTTGTAAGTGGAAGAAAAAATACTATTCATAGGGAAAAAAAATCTGCCATTCTTTTGCTGAATCATTCATTTGTATGCTTTTTGAAAGAAAATAAAACGTGATTCAGTTTTTTTTTTTTTTTTTTTTTTTTTTTTTTTTTTTTTTGAGATGGCGTTTCACTCTTGTCGCCTAGGCTGGAGTGCAATGACGCGATCTCAGCTCACTGCAGCCTCCGCCTTGTGGGTGCAAGCGATTCTCCTGCCTCAGCCTCCCGAGTAGCTGGGATTACAGGCACCCGCCACCACGCCCAGTTAATTTTTGTATTTTTAGTACAGACGGGGTTTTGCCATGTTGGCCAGGCTTGTCTCGACTCCTGACCTCAGGTGATCCGCCTGCCTTGGCCTCTAAAAGTGCTGGGATTACAGGAGTGAGCCACTGCACCCAGCTCAGTTGCTTTTTTTTGCAAACAGTTTTTGTGAATATAGATATAGAAAAATACATAAAATGTATGTGTTTGGTTTAACAAAATATTATGGAGCAAAAACCCATGTAATGTAATTATCACCCAGTCAAGAAATAATGGTAGCCTCTCAAAAAATACATTAGGGATTCTTTTTTCTTTTCTTTTTTTTTTTTTTTTTGGAAGAATATTGCATACCTATTAGAAAAGTCTTTTAACAATTAAAATTGGAAAATGACTGACAAACTTACACTATTTGATTTAAATAAATAAATAAATGGTCACATGATAACAATCTCCTGATTGATATGCTTTATTTAACCAGGTTCTCAAACCATTGGATGTGAAAACCAAATTTTACAATGCAGAGGTAAGTGTTGAGTGTTTAATGGGATTTCATATTAAACATTAAGATCGTATTTGACTAAAAATCTCTTATATACATTTCTAATACTGAAGCAAATCGCCAACGTGACTGTAAATTATTTGAAAAAATCACAAATTTCAGTTAAAATTGAATAATTTTATTATAGGTCTCATAATCTTTTTCAGCTTACATGGAATCAATGTGTCTTGATTTTTATTCTCGTTAATTTTATAAGGCTTTCATCTCCTTTCGTTAAATGATTGCCCTCTCATTCCATTTAATGGTGGTTGTTACACTAGCAATCTGTTGAATATTTACATGTGGTTCGGGATTTTACAAAAATTGAATTAGTAGATCTAACGCTGCAAAATAGATTTAATATTCACATGGAAAAATACTGACAAGTGAAGCTTAGCACATTAAATTATTTCCAGGGTAGTCAGTTTGCCAGCCAGAATTAGGTTGCTGAGTTTGGTGTAATGGCTTTAAAAGCTCCTTGGGAAAAACAAATTTGGCAAAAAGAGAAGTAACTTATAATAGAAGATACTCTATCTTTTACCCTAAAAAAAAAGAGATAAAATAGAACTTGCCCAAAAAAAAAAAAGAACTTGCCATAGGAGAAAGGATTTATTGCTTGGATTTCTTTTCTAAGATTCTGTTTTATCTTGGCTTCTAGAGCTGCAGAAAAATCAGATCTCTTGCTAGCCCTCTTATGCCCCAAAATCTTGTGTTTCATACCAGTGATAAATTCAAAGATATCCAAATACAGTATTTTGAAATGAAGATTATATCTCTGCTACTCTAAAACCAGATAATGATCAGACATTTTTAATCACATGGCAAATTCGGTATTTATTTTTACCATCCACAATCTGAATTTTTACTCAGTAAAATTTATACTATAACTAGGATTTCTAAGATGTCAAAGTTAAGGAACCTAACCTGCAGCAAAGACCTATTAGGAGAAAAGAAAAAATGCATGTAATAACAAAACTACCTAGAATGGAATATAGTGAGAATGATACGAAAAGATGTGCTGCAAGAGCTCTCGGGAATGTGATCTTGGAATAGTTTAAAGAAGCTTTATGGAAGAGAAGGAAAACTGGATTGGAGTCTGAAAGGAATGCAGGTTGGAAACAAGTGTCAAAGCAGTGAAGGCATTCAAGCAGGGTTACAAATGGACATGAAGTATCAAGTACATAGGAAAGAGCATACCTATTTGACGAGAGGGAAAAGCATCATCAAGATTACTAGATGTTTACAAAGTTGATGTTTCTTTTGTGGGGGATAGGTGAGTTGGAGTAATACGCATTTATTCCCTCTTTTTTGTTATTAATACCACACTGTTGATTAATTACAGTATAGCTAGTCAGCATGGTGAGATTTAAATAGTCTAATTTTTGCTGGAAAAGATTTCATTTATAGTATGAGGGGAAAATGTTAACTATTCTGTTAGAAAATTAATTTAAAATAGGGCAATAGGTGGGTTATTTTCTGTAACTGGCTCCTAGGAGTCACATATTCAGTTATTTTAGGTTTTCTTCATTAAAAATATGGTAGTACACTAAGATACCTGTAAATTAGTTTTATAACGCTAATATTCAGAGTGATTTGTGAATAATTTTAAAAATTGCTAGTTTTTCTATAAACATTATAGAAGTGACATGCTCTCCATAAAGAAATAAAAATTCACAATTCCACCACACCAATTGATTTTTCATTATACATACTCTTTTGCAGTCTTTATTCACTTATATATAATATTCTATTTTTATAATCACGACAATTTTGTTTGCTTCCTTTGTCAGTTAACATTATATGTTGACATAATCTTTAAATCTTGCTAACAAACTTCAATCAAAATAATTTCAGTAATATTCTGAACTTTTGAAAATAGATCTCACTTTAAAAATCAGGAGTGAACAAATAGCATTTTGGGTCTCTCTAAGATACTTAATATTACCTATTAGACAAACAAATACTGTTCAGCCACTAGCATGAGGCAGATTATGTTGACCCCAACCAGGAATTTCAGGTAGATTGTAGGAGTTAATAAACCACAGTAATATCAGTAAGTGATGCTTATTGCTCTGTGCTGTAGTCCTTTTACAGTTAATATTATTGGCCCCACATCTGTCTCAAACATATATTTTGATACTGTTTCTAATAATGCTGTAATATGTGAATCACCTAAAGGAAAACAAGTTCATGAGAAACTTTGTTATAGTCTTCTAAGATAGAAAAGCCTTGCAGGCAGATTGGTGAGACTAGAAGCTAGGTTTCAAACATTTGGTCACCTGCCAGGTACCGAAGATAAATATAAACAGAACATCTTCCCAATTCTGAAGGGACCTGCATCCAGTAGAGGAGACTGACATGATGCAACTATAATGTAAGCCCCTCCCACACATATAACCCAAATCGTGAAGTAACACATCCTGGGTACCTAGAGAGGTGAAAAATGATTTCCAGCTATGCATTTGATGGAGGTGACATTTGAGATTGCTCTTAATAAAACATTGAAGAAATATATAAGTTTTAAAAAGGCTAACTATGAAATCTACTAAGAAGAAGAGAATTCTCAATTTTTTCAAGTGGTTCAGCCCCACATTCCCTGAAGTGATCAACGGAACTCTAATTGCCCAAGATATTCCTTAGAAAGATGATTCCATTATTACATAAATTTAAGAGAAGGTATACGGTGTATATCTATTCTGAATGTGGAGGATAGTATATATTCATCCTAAATTATCTATGAAGAATTGCAATGTTGGTAAAGAATTATAGAACTAGAAAGTCATGGGGTATACCTCTCTGCTCCAAAATGTGCCCTTAACAGTTTGCTACTGTTGAGTATTCAGCCATAGGGTTCTTCTCTATTCCATTGTCATTTAACCTTAGCAGTTTCACCTTTTTAGAAAAATGGTTTGTCATATTTCTTTATGTTGCTTCCTGTTTACTTTCTTATTTACTAATGCTGTCTTGTTTAGTAATTTAAAAAAATGCAGAAATGCATTTTATTTTAAAGTAATTCTTTTTTCTTTAACATTTAACTCTGATTTTTCTAATTATTCTTTTTTATTTTTCCATTAGAGTGACCTCAGTTCTGTGGTAATTTGATTTTTTATTATAAATTTTTATACTTTTCTTACTCACCACTTTTTGACTCTGCCTAATTAATCTCTCTTTACAAAACATAGTGGAAAAACAGTTAGTTGTGAATACCACCTATGTGACTTCAGAAAGATTATATATAATTTTATGTACTTTTTAATTATATCAATTTTCTATTCCGTGGGGCAAAATTAGCTCAAAAGTTAAATTGTCATACTGAAACAATTCTCATTTTCAGTGTTTCTTCTTTAGATTTTTTTTTTAAAGAGGTATGTTACCTTGTGTCAAATGGCCTTGTGATTTTCATCATCTTACTGTAAAATACCCGATTATCCTAGCCTTCAGTTCTTTGAGTAGACTGTATAATCGAAATTCATTTTCAGATGCACAGTGGTTTTAGTTTTAAGTCTGGGTCAGGTGATGATGGCCGCTTGACAAAATGAAACAGAAGAAAAGCAAATTTTCCCAACTTGGCTAAAATTTTGTTTTCAAAGTTATATTTACAATAAGCAGCATTTGCTTATATCACATTACATATGTAATAACATCAACTGCCTTAGCACTGAATTCTTAATTTTTAAAATATCAAATTGCTTTACACTAACTGTTCAAACTAACTTGATTTTCCATTATGCTGCTTGTTTTTCTTTCGTTTTATCTAAGCTCTTCCTAAATTTATGCAGAAAATTGCAGTTTTTAAATTGAAATGTGGGTCTGTGGTTATTTTTTTAAAAGCAATGGATTGATGGGATATATGTACTTTTTTTTAGAACCAGTAACCAAAAAATGCCATTAAATGATGCATTTTTTTAAACTGATAAATCATTTTATTTCTATTTTCATTTGAACACATGTCCCAAAAACTAAAGAATCTGTTTTATTTTAGATAATAGTACATTATATTATAACTTAATCATTATATTTTTGCAAATGATTTTCATTTTCTTGGTGTTAGTGTTTAAAAAGCTCAGCCAGGCGCGGTGGCTCATGCCTGTAATCTCAGCACTTTGGGAGGCCGAGGCGAGCGGATCACGAGGTCAGGAGTTTGAGACCAGCCTGGCCAACATGGTGAAACCTCATCTCTATAAAAAATACAAAAATTAGCCAGGCATGGTGGCACTTGCCCGTAATCCCAGTTACTTGAGAGGCTGAGGCAGGAGAATCACTTGAACTCAGGAGGCAGAGGTTGCAGTGAGCTGAGATCGCACCACTGCACTCCTGCCTGGGTGACAGAGTGAAACTTCGTCTCAAAATAAATAAAAATACAAAAATTTAGCTGGGCATGGTGGCACTGCCTGTAGTCCCAGCTACTAGGGAGGCTGAGGCAGGAGAATCGCTTGAACCTGGGAGGTGGAGGTTGCAGTGAGAGGAGATCTTGCCACTGCATTCTACTCTGGGCAACAGAGCAAGACTCCATCTTGTGGGGGTTGGGGGAAGCTCATAGGCCAGGCACAGTGGCTCACACCTCTAATCCCAGCACTTTGGGAGGCCGAGGTGGGTGGATCACTTGAGGTCAGGAGTTCTAGACCAGCCTGGCCAACATGGTGAAACCCTGTCTCTACTAAAAATACAAAAATTAGCTCAGTATGATATTGCGCGCCTATAATCCCAGCTACTCGGGAGGCTGAGGCAGGAGAATCCCTTGAACCCGGGAGGCGGAGGTTGCAGTGTACCAAGATCACCCCACCACACTCCAGCCTGGGTGACAGAATGAGACTGTCTCAAAAAAATAAAAAGCTCTTAAGTGGCAAATTTTTCTGGTCATAGTTGATTTTATGTTATTTATGTGTAGTAAACATATTACTATGAAACTTTTGAAAAAAATTATTGAATACCCTTAGTGTATCATTTTTCATGTAGGTTTGTTTCAAAGATAAATCAAGTTAGTCTGTTATCCTTCAATTACATGAAGGAAAATAATAACCAAATAGCATAAAATAATGTTTAGCATAATTAGGGGAATTAATTTATCTAAATTTATCTAATTATCTAATTTATCTAATTATTAAAATTACCTACTGGCAAATATTGCTAAATAGCATCAGCTTTAAAATCTGTCACTGAGGCTACAAAATACCTTTTGCCTGATTTAAAAGCTCTACGATGGTGAAGTATAATCCACATATTCTTTTTTTAGCCCTCAATATACATTTAAAATGAACTAAGAAATCACTAATGACCACTCGCAAATTGCTTTAATTTAAAAAGTTAAATCCTTCAAGATTACAAAATAGATTATTCATAGTATTAGTGGTCACTACACTATCTAAATTGGCATTAATATGACAATCAAAGTTATACTGCCATATTATAATGAAGACTTAATTATCTTAACGTAATACTGAAATTATAGGAGCATAGGTATATTCATCATACTAAAGCACATTTTAATATTTTAATACCTAATGAAAAGAAAGAGTATTTGTAAATGAAATTCCAGTTAAGTATTTTGGGATGTTAAGACAAAATATAGTTATCCTCCATCCATTGTTTGACAAGGTATCAGTTGACTAACACTTGACTTTGCCCCTGTTAATTATGATAGGGTGAAGATTTCTTTTCTTGCATTAATTGTGGTAACTTTGATTTGCAGGCATGAACTAATCACATTTGTGGTTAATATTTTTTCTTCATATAGATAAGATATTTTTGTTGAGATAAATATTTTAAATGCCACCACACCTTGGTGGATATTTTTTTCATATCCTCAGACTGATGAAGTATTTCTGGAAGCCCAGATTCAGAATATGACAACCTCACCTATGTTTATGGAGAAGGTTTCACTGGAGCCATCTATTATGTACAATGTAACAGAATTAAATTCAGTCAGCCAAGCTGGAGAATGGTAAATATTAATTTATGAAGTCTTTATCCTTGTTTTGAAAGATACATGTTTTTCTAAACATCCATTGCTCTTCAGTGGGTTTTTTTTTAATAGACTTTTTTTAAAGAATTTGAGGTTCATAGAAAAATTCATCAGAAAGTAGAGTTTCCACATACCCTCTTCCACTCCTCACAGTTTCTCTTGTTATTTACGTCTTGTTTTTTATTTTATTTTTATTTTTATTTATTTATTTATTTATTTATTTTTTGAAAGAGTCCAGCTCTATGCAGTGGCATGATCTTGATCTAGGCTCACTGTAACCTCCACCTCCCAGGTTCAAGCAATTTTGGTGCATCAGCCTCCCAAGCTGCTGGGATTACAGGTGCATGCCACCACGCTTGGTTAATTTTTTTATTTTTAGTAGAGATGGGGTTTCACCATATTGGCCAGGCTGGTCTTCAGCTCCTGACCTCAAGCGATCTGCCCACCTTATCCTCCCAAAGTGCTGTCCTTACAGGCGTGAGCCACTGTGCCTGGCCTACATCTTGTTTTAATGTGGTACATTTACTACAATTGATGAAATGATATTGACACTGATTACTAACTAATGTCTATAATTTACATTAGAATTCACACTTTTTGTTGTATGTTTTATTGTTTTTGGTTTTTGGTTTGTTTTGTTTTAAGAGACAGGTCTCATTAATGTTGCCCAGGCTGAAGTCAAATTTCTGGACTCAAACGATCTCCCAAGTATCTGGGACTATAGTCAAGCACTGTAGGTTTTGACAAATATATAACATGTATCCACCATTACTATATTATGCAAAATAGTTTCACTTTCCAAAAACTCTCCTGTGCTCCATCTTCATCCCTCCATTACATAAAAATAAAGATCCTAGCCCTTTTAATTTCATGTTTTACTATTCAAAGCATTTGGTCTTTTAAGTCTCATAAAAATCCAGTGAGGTAAATATGAATCCTATCATTGCTATCCTGCAAATAATAAAATGGAGGAATGTGAAGGAATGGTAGAGAAGTTAAAAAGAGTAAGGGTGAATGTGGGTTTAAAAAAAGAAATACTCTCTCAACATCAAAAGAAAAGGACATAGGAATAGATGGTTTAATACTTTGTGAAAAGGAAATACATACACCTTTCCACAGCTAATTTAAAAGAGGAAGAATAAATGTAAAGTTGACAATAATACAGATAAGAAAGTAATAGGCTGGGTGTGGTGGCTCATGCCTGTAATCCTAACCCTTTGGAAGGCTGAGGCCAGAGGATTGCTTGAAGCTATGAGTTCTAGACCAACCTGGGCAACTTGGCATTTTTTTTATTTAGCTGGGCATGGTGGTACACTCCTGCATTCCTAGCTCCTTGGGAGAGAGGCAGGAAAATCGCTTGAGTCCACAAGTTCAAGGCTGCAGTGAGCCATGATTGCACCACTGTACTCCAGCCTGGTGACAGAGAGAGACCTTGTATTTTAAACAAAAAAAAAAAAAAAAAAAAAAAGAAGAAGAAGAAGAAGAAGGTAATAGCTTGGGATAGCATCTGAATTTCTTAATTAGGAATGAAAAGTTTGCTTTTATATTCTTAGGTTGGTTACACACAGAAAAGTTCATAGCCTCTTTCATCCTCACTGAGGAAAACAATTTTCCATTCTTTTCTAGATGTTTTAGTTCATTTTGAAAATTAGTTTAGAATGGTATGTCTCTTATTATTCTAAACTCTTATCTTTGATAATTTTAGAGAAAAGAGACAGGATACTTAAGGTTCTGGTTTCTGTTGCACTTTTCAGTTAATTGATACATGTTCAATTTTATAAGTAATATATTACATTCTATTATAAAGAACCTCCTTGAACCCAGAAGTTAGAAGTTACAGTGAGCTATGATCATACCACTGTACTCCAGCCTGGGTGACAGAGCAAGACCCTGTCTCTTAAAATTATTTAAAAAAAAAAAAAGGGACCCCTGCCTTTCGGGGTCCAATTACTATAAAGAACCTCAAGATTTTCGATATCAACTGAAAAAAATGAAGGAAAAATAAATCATTGCAGTATACGTTCTTTTTATTTGTATTGAAATCGTTAACATGTTCTGTTGTTGATCTTTGGAGGGTACATCATCCAGTTCCTATCCAAAGGAACAATCACAGCCATGGTTTTTCTTTTAAAAGATGCTAGAGAATTTTCTCCGTCTCTGTCTCCACCCCTCTCAGTGTGTCTACGTTTGGGTCAAGAGCATATTTGCAACCAATGGATACACGCCAGTACTTATACTGCCTAAAGCCAAAGAATGAATTTGCAGAAAAAGCAGGCATCATTAAGGGAGTAACAGTAATTGGAAAATTGGATATAGTATGGAAAACAAATCTAGGTGAAAGGGGAAGGTTACAGACCAGCCAACTTCAAAGAATGGTGAGTCTGGAAAAAACTTCGCTGGGGTTTTGGTGTGTGAAAGACAGGTAGTTAGAACAACTTAATTTTTTCTACATCCAGCAGTAAAAAATTGGAGCACTATAAAAGGCATTACTACTACTGGAGCAGAAAAGATTAATAGTGTCACTGATAGGTAGGTCGAAGACTGGTGTTGCCATGAATGAAAAATGGTCAAATGTTAATTTATCCTTAATACACGTGTTCTTTATCACACAGAAATTAAAATAACTGTTATTAAGTGTCTCTCCTTTGGTAACACATGCTCACTCTTCTTCTGATTTCCAAACACATTAAGGTTTTCTATTTTGCAATGTCCTGAAACTCTTGGACTTACTTCATTCACCTACTCAGTTCCTACCATTTTTAAGATGTTAAAAATCTGAGGCATCTCCTCAGAAGGTGAGTTCTACTAAAGTTATCTTATAAGCATTGGTTGCATATTTTACCTAATTTCTTCTCTGAGAGTAGGGATAGCTACCAGGCTTCTTTTTCTTATGCTTGTAAGAATATACGACAGGATTCTCCTCCCTTTATGCTGAATATTACCTGTTTTGACATATTCCAAATTTTACTTTTCTTTCCACTGTTTGAGGCAATAATTTTTAAAAAATGATGATGATGATTCCTGGGCCCACTTAAATATAGCCGTTAGTTATTTTTCTGCCATGGCCTGTTCCAAGCCTTCGTGTTGTTATAATCCATCCTCATCTGTGCGTCTTGTAAAAAGTCATGATTTTCTTCCTGGCTCCTTTCAACATCATCCCCCTCTTTCTTTAGAAAATAACTTTACCTATTTAGAGTTACACACATAGAAGCTACAGCATCTGGAAAGTGTCCCTTCAACTCCCTGAAATTTCTTTACTGACTACTTACCTGTGAGATTCATCTTAACTCTACTGAACATGGAATAATTATATAACAAAAACAGTCCAGGTCTGCCAGGCTATTCCACAGGCAGTAGCTGCAAAAGAATTTAAAATGAGAGACAAGTAAAGTGAATCAGAAGTATTTTCTTAGAACATCAGCTTGGAAACCCAACAGCTGTTGAGTAAATGTGCTGCTGTGGTGCCTTCATTAAAATGGAAAGGTTTTGTGATAGATATACATTAACTGTGTTGCTTGTTTTCTTAGGCTCCAGGTTATGGAGATGTTAGGTTGTCTTTGGAGGCAATACCAGATACCGTAAACCTTGAAGAACCTTTTCATATTACCTGTAAAATAACAAACTGCAGGTAATGCCACTGTTTGTAGATGGATGTCCTTTCTACCTCACCTGCCTAGAAGATAATTTTAAAATCTTTTTGTTACTATCTCCTTTTAAGTTTTCCTCTTGACATACAGCCTTCTCTGATGTTGATATTGAGTACTGTAAAATTCTTCATCTGGTAGCAGTATAATTACATATTTTTAAGGGCCTATTGTATTATGCATCTTCTGTATTTTATTTCATTCATTTGTCACACCCTATGAGGTAGGTATTCATTGTTTATACTTCCTTCACCAAAACATGAACTAATAGGTTCTTATGTATTAATATATTATGAATTGAAGTAGCAAGATTTTTTGAGGCATGCTTGTACTTGAGCTGTATCTTGAGTATTAAGAAACCAAACATTGCTTATGGATTTAATGTAAGGGGAGATCATTGATTCGAAAACTGGGTTTTGACAGTAAAGAGAGAGCATAATCTGAACTGTCAGGAAGCAAAGAGCACAGGGCTTTGAAACCAGAAAAAAATAGAATTAAGTTCCAGTCCTATGCCCTCTGCTCCTACTTGTATTACCACTTGGTTTGTATTATTATTTGGGGTATTTTTATAATATTGCAGTGATGAATCCTAGTCCTCTTAGTGTGAATGTATAATCCTTTTAATTCCATATTTATTCTTTTTGGTATTAGAAAGATAGGAAATATTTATCCTTCAAAATTACAGAAATACCCACTTCCTCTATGAAGCTACCTAGACTTTCCAAAGCACAGGTATTCATGCCTTCTCCATCATAGAAAATTTTAACTTAGTTTTTTAGTGACACTCATATATTGTGTATTTAGTGACACTCATATATTACTGTAAGTATTAGTCTCTTTCTCACTGGACTGGAATTATTCAGGAGAAGGGACATGGCCTTACTCAGTGTCTGCCACATCGTGAGCTCAGTAAACAACAATACAGGGCAAAGACCCTGTGCTTATAGGGTGTTACAGGGTGTTGGGGAATTTTTGGTTTTTTTTTTAAGTTTTTTCAGCAAATCAGTTTATTGACCAGCTCACAAGTGTTATTTTTTTCAAAAGTTAACTTCTCTTGGTGTTCACTTTAACTTTTGGTGATTCATACAAGTTTTCTAAAAAGCACATGTCTCTTAGATCTTTAGTTTCCTCTCTATATAAATGTCATTCCCTGCCCCTACACACCAGGGACATGCACAGACACATGCACACAACATATATAAGTCTTACTGGATTTTTGTGAAATTAACAATATTCATGTAGTGCATCCACCTTGGTCTCTGGCACATAGTAGCCATCTCAAATGCTTGTTAGGGAGATTCAGGCATATACAAGTTAATATTATAAAGTCAATATGTCTAAAAAAAATAAAATTTAAATAAGCAATTTAAAATTTGGAGCCAAGTATAAGAATAAACAGCTAAAAGCCATAAGTAGCCGTGAATGGTGGTAGGAGACTATTTTTCATTATGAGCCTTTTGGTTATTTAAAGAAGAACAATGTGCATACTTTCATTAAAAGTTTTTTTAACTTATTTAAGCTGAACTGGTGATATCTATTATAAGCAGAAGTAGTCTTTTCTTGGTAAATAATCCAGTTAGCAAACCTGAATAGTATTTATGTCTTATGAATCCTGCCAGTTGTTTCCCAAGTTATGGTAAAGTAACATAGATTAGGTATCAAAAGGACTAGACCAGAATCAGTTGTTTTCTTCTTTTCCTGTAGAGTACCTAACAGAAATAGTGAGAATATATGGCAACAAGATTAGACACAAATGTGTGGAAGTCTCCCAGAAAAATGGTAGCACCAGATCAGCACCAGGAGGCCAGTGTTGAGTAATAGAACCAGAAGGCCAACATCCAGACAGGCAGATTAGTCTGAGGCTATTTTAAGTGCTAGAAGGTGTGACTTCCTTTCATCTTCCTGGTTCTATCTTAAGTGACATAAAAAATGTTATAATAGCTTTTCTCTTTCTGGTTTTTATTCTCCTGGATATGGAGAAAACAAGTTTACTGTCACTAGTAGAAATATTGCAGTACCTCTTTGTGAAATGAACAAGATTTATTCCTATTATTCTGATTCCTCCAGCAGTGAAAGGACTATGGATCTGGTTTTGGAAATGTGCAATACCAATTCCATCCACTGGTGTGGAATTTCAGGAAGACAGCTGGGAAAGCTGCATCCAAGTTCTTCGCTCTGTCTTGCCCTTACTCTGCTTTCTTCAGTACAGGGACTGCAAGTATGCTGTCTTTTCAAAAATTCCAATATTTGGGTGCTGTTAACTTACAAGTCATTTGTGATGTCTGTATTTCCTCTGAATGAATGAAAACTTAGACTCATCTCTCTCTCTCTCAATAGAGCATCTCTGGCTTAAGACTAACAGACACATTCTTAAAGAGAACATATGAATATGATGACATCGCACAAGTCTGTGTGGTATCTTCTGCCATTAAAGTGGAAAGCTGAAGGAAACTTCCAATGTTAGGCTTTTCATTTAGTTTCACAGAACTGCTCTTTTTGTTACCTTTGTAAAATGATGACGTCAACAACGAAGTAAATATGTTACTTAAATTTTCTTTCCTGTAAAATGGTTAAAATATTAAATATTTGTTTTGAAGAGATCTGATTTTATCTTGTAATTTATATTTGAAATGAACATGTGTATATTTTCTACACCTATTATTTAATTTCATTTCATTTTAGATGACCATTGGACTTTGTTCTCCAAAAGCTGTGTATCTGAGACCATTTGTCCCTAGCAAGTTATCTAGAACACGAGTCAGCACACTTTTTATGTAAGGTACAAGATACTAAATATTTTAGGCTTTGCAGGCCGTAAGGTTTCTGTCACAAATACTGAACTCTGCCATCGTACTTCAAGAGCAGCCAGTAGGCAAAAAAAGTACAGTGGTGTACACAAAAAGAAGCAGTTGGACTCGGGAAGCTGAGGCAGGAGAATCACTTGAACCGGGGAGGCAGAGGTTGCAGTTAAGCCGAGATCATGCTACTGCACTCTAGCCTGAGCGACAGAGTGAGACTCTGTCTCAAAAAAAAAGAGGCAGCTGGGCAGATTTGGCCTGCAGGGTATAGTTGGCTGACCTCAATCTAGAAGATAGAGTTGTTTCTTAGAACTTTGTAATATTTTGGTTAGAAATATTTCAGTTAACTCCAGTTTTTTCCTAGCTATTCGGTCAGCAGAAAAAGTTTGCTTAAAACAAAGGGGGTAGTCCTCTTATAACCTGATATTTGTCAACACAGTATAAGCTTTCTAGTTGTTTTCAAAATTACTGTAATGGTTTGTGTCTGTATTTGTATATTATACCTACAAACATACATATCTTTCAGCTACTGAACACATCAGAATTGGTTTTACTTTTTAGGTTGTTGATTTTTTTTAATTAACTATTAACTAAGAATAATACTTATTTTCTAATTATAAGCCAAAAACCCCTGGGTTTTTTTCTCATTGATTAAGCCACTTATTTTTATAAGGTATATTTAAATAATTCCCATCTTCTGATATGATTTTAAACTCTAAATCATGTGTTACTGTTACAAAACTTTCTCTCTCCATGTAATCACACTTAGTTATGAGCAAAGCAGTGAGAAAGTTGAGGTGATAAACAACTTTGCAGCATTAATGTAACAAAAAGTTTCAGTATTTGTCAGGAAAACAAAAGCTTAGGCTGTTAAATAAAAGCTATTCTATTTTGGTAAGTTGAAATTCAAGAATGTATATATAATTTCTTAAATGTAAGAGTGCATTAAATCAAATACAAAAATTGGTTTTTCAATGCATCATTATTTATTGCCATAACAAATTGTTTGGTCCAAAATGAAAGCTATATTCAGAAGGTTTGCACCTCAAAATTGAGTAATAATTAATGAAATGTCTGTACAAAATAAAGTGCAAGCAGTGTAAAATTGAAGTCTGTCTTTGTTTCAAAATGATTAAGATTAAATGATGAAATAATATTTTATAGCCACTGCATTGGATACTTGGATTGTTTTTCAAGCATCTTCTTATGACTAAATCTTCTGTTTCATTCTGTTTTAAATCTAAAAAGTAAAATGATGGTCACTTGGAATCTGCTCTATATTTTAATTATAGTCTCTTCTGTTTATAAACAATAACTTACACATATTTTTCATAGTTTTAAGTAAAGATTAAATAATGCCATCTTAGAAAGGATCTGTTTAACCTATATTATAAAAGTTAGATACACAATTTGGTACATTAAATGAAAATGTCATTTGCATATATAGAACCTGTTCTGTTTTACACAGTATCATAATAGCTACAGCTACTACAAGAAATATGGTTAATGGAAGTCAAACATTTAGTACGATGCTTAAAGAGTTACTTTAATAATGCCCTCTTATTTTTCTAGTTAGATAGCAACTATATTTCCCAGACAAGCAAGAAAATATATGGGGCATTTTTTATAAATTTAAAAGTAGCTAGCACAATCCAACCACGCAACTTTTTTTGAAATAGCTTGCAATGCTATGATTCCAAAGTGATCAAGGTACTTGAAGAGCAAAAATGGCTTGAATAGAATGGAAATGTAGGCAAGTGGACAGATAGCATCTAGATTGAATTTGTTACAGGTGGTATATTAGCAAAGAAATAGAAAAATGAAATGGAAGAAATATACCAATTCCCATTATTTCATGTAAAAAGAATGGCTAATTTAACTACAGATGTTAGCACATGAAGACATTGTTTTAAAGTTTTTTTTCTTATAGTATCTTTGTCTGGGTAATACTGGTCAAATAAAATGAGTTGGGAAGTATTTCCTCCTCTTCTGTTTCCTGGAAGAGATTGTTTAGAATTGATATTATTTCTCCCTTAAGTGTTTGGTAAAATTCATCACGGAAGTTATCTGGGCCTGTAGTTTTCTTTACTGGAAGGTTTTTAACTTAACCACAAACTCAATTTCCTTAATAAATATGGTTCTGTTTAGGTTATCTGTTTCTACAGTGAGCTTTCTAGTTTGTATCCTATAGGGAATCTGTTTCATCTAAGTTGTTAAATATACAATCCTTGAGTTGGTCATGGTGTTTTCTAGTTAGCCTTTTAATAACTATAGTGTCTGTAGTGTATTCCCTTTCATTTCTGACACTGAATTTGTATCTTCTGTTTTTCTAGGCAGTCAGCTAGAAGCTTATCTTATTGCTCTAAAAGCATTTTTAATGCACTCAAGATAGTTATGCTAGAAACTTTAACTTCTTATTCAACACTGAATATGAGTGACTAATTTTTAATTAAGGATCTATTTTGCTTTTTATATCACAGTAATGACTTCTATGTGTTAGTAGTAGTACTTCGTTCTGTGTAATACTGGAATACTAGGAGTTCATTCTAACTTAATGAAAATCAAAGTTGGCTTAGATGGAATATGAATTTAACTTCTGAGGGCCGAAGACTTAAATTGTGCTCTTTTTAAATTCTGCAGAACTATATATCTTCATACAGATCTTCGTTGTAGCTTTGTTTGGCCCAGGTGCTTAGGTGTTTGCAGGTCTGAGAAACCTCTAACCTAGTGTTCCTCTAAATTAGAGTCCTTGGATCTGTATCAAAACCACCTAGTGTACTGTTTAAAAATGGCCATTCCTAGGCCTTATTACAGGACCTACTGTATCAGAATTGAACACGTGGCCCTGAATCTGCATCTTTAATGAATTATCCAGGTGATTCTTACAATGAAGTTATAGAACTACTGTTCTAATGTCACAAAGGAGAAAGAGAAAAGTTGGATTTTAAACTTCAAGATACAAAATAATTAGTCTCTTAGTCTCTTTTTCTTTTTTTTTTTTTTTTTGAAATGGAGTCTTGCTCTGTCACCCAGGCTGGAGTGCAGTGGCGCAATCTTGGCTCACTGCAACCTCTGCCTCTCAGGTTCGAGCAATTCTCATGCTTCAGCCTCCCAAGTAGCTGGGACTACGGGTGCCCGCCACCAAGCCAGGCTAATTTTTGTATTTTCAGTAGAGGTGGGTTTCACCATGTTGGCCAGGCTGGTCTCAAACTCCTGACCTCAGGTGATCCCCCCTGCCTTGGCCTCCCAAAGTGCTGGGATTACAGGCATGAGCCACAGCGCCCGGCCAATTAGTCTTTTGATAAGGGTTCTATAAGGCCTAATCATCTGCATTATTACTCATTTAATTGTATATTACTTCCTGGCCAGGCACAGTGGCTCACACCTCTAATCCCAGCACTTTGAGGGGCCAAGATGGGCAGATCACTTGAGGTCAGGAGTTCGAGACCAGCCTGGCCGATACGGTGGAACTCTCTCCATTAAAAACAAAAATTAGCGGCCAGGCACGGTGGCTCACGCCTGTAATCCCAGCATTTGGGAGGCCAAGGCAGGCGGATCACGAGGTCAAGAGATTGAGACAATCCTGGCAAACATGGTGAAACCCCGTCTCTACTAAAAATACAAAAATTAGCTGGGCATGGTGACACGTGCCTGTAATCCCAGCTACTCAGGAGGCTGAGGCAGGAGAATCACTTGAACCCGGGAGGCAGAGGTTGCAGTGAGCCGCGATTGCGCCACTGCACTCCAGCCTGGCGACAGAGAGAGACTCCATCTCAAGAAAAAAAAAAAAAAAATTAGCTGGGCGTGGTGGTGGGCGCCCGTAATCCCAGCTACTTGGGAGCTTAAGGCTCGAGAATCACTTGAATCCAGGAGGTGGAGGTTGCAGTGAGCTGACATTGCAACACCACTCTAGCCTGGCAAAAGAGTAAGACTCCATCTCAAAAAAACCCCACAAAATTTATATTACTTCCTTTTTCAGTTTTCCCTCGTAAAACTTGTGAAGTCATTACATGTCAGCACCAATTTCATTATTAATAAACAAAAAATATACTCTAGTTGGAATTAAACTCTCATCATCAATGTAGTTAGACCCATGCAATTAATACCTAATGCCCCTTTTCTCCACTAACTAATATGGCATCTAATTTATAATAAAATATTTTAAGTCTCCTGTTATATTTAAATTGCATCAAATTTAAATTATGTTAATTATAAGACTGGCATGCCAAGCCAAATTATCACAGAAGATTACATGAACAAGCAATGTTAGTGATAGATGCTTTTTGTTATCCATCAAATAATTACTAAGTTTTCTTTTTAAAAAAAATCAGTGTTTATGGGCACACAATTAAATACCATTTAGAAAATCCTTAACTTAGGACCAGGTCACTGGCTTAGTTAAAGTATATTTATATTTGATAGTTTCCAAGGTAAGGTTACCATTGGGGAAATTGTGATAATTAAGTCAAACAGTTGTACCACTGACCTAACCAGTACATTAAGGATTTCTAAATGTATCTTATTGTGTATTTAGCATAAGTGGCCATGCTAATATTATCAATACCAAACTGCAGACAAGATTAGTTAAGAACTATGCAGAAAACCTGAGCATCCTACCTTTACTTTCTATACATTCGCATTACCAATTTTTTCTTTTCAAAACATCCCTTGCATCAAGTGCTACTTTCTAACAGCTCTTAAGATTCTCTGTTCACCAGAACAAGCAACATTAAAGATAACATTGGTTCCCATGTTATATATTCATTACTAATAGCACTTATCAAAGCTAAACCTAGATAATATTCCTTCTTTCCTGACATACTGCTCAGTGGCAAGTACACTTCTTCTCAACCAGCATAGGAAACCTTTCCTTTGGGTCATTTCCCTTCTCAAAAAACTTTGCTTAAGGGAAATTGGAGCTAAAGAGCTTACCAACAAATAGCCCTACTAGAGTTCAATAAATATGCTTTGCTATTAAGTCTAATATACAAATATGATAGAAGTTTGAAAATGGAACCTTATCCCAGTGCTATATTGGCACGTAACATGGCTAGTGATCATTTCAAAAGGAGTCATGTTATGTTTTGAGTTTGTTTGTGATAAACCTATTGTCTAAACAGATTTATTCTTTAAGAATATACACAAGAGGTTTTCCTCCATTATTTTCACACATCAGATATGGTGTTTGGTTTTTTGAAGGAGGGAGGGGGTACTATCTACAACAAATACTTCATTCATAGCCATAAACCATTTGTATCTTGGGCTTGAGCCCCTGGTTAAATCAGGAATGCTCTTCAGCGCTGCTGCTGAATGATCTGCTCCGGATGTGATTTCTCAGTTGCTCTATAAGTTCAGGATTTTGTTGCTGTATCTGCTGAGCAAACTGCTGTCCCCTGTAGTAAAGAGGCAATGTGGTTTGAATAGGGAATTGCCAGTCACATTTACCCACGCAAAAAGAAATGCAGAAAATGTAGGAGCTACCTAAAGGGGGCTTTTTTCTATAAAAACAAGTTTCAGAGCCATGACTTTAGAATCTACAAGTTTACCAATGCCTCCATATAGCATTATTACAATGCAGTGTTCTTTATAAGAAACAAAACACCCATGCTAAAAAAAATAAGTACCTCAACTGGGTGAAATCTACTTCTCTAGTGCTAATGACAAAGAAGCAAAGGGTAAGACGTATATGTTTTTATTGTATGTGCTCAAATACAATGCTTTTATACCCAAGTCTTAATAGTCTCATATAACACCCAGTTTGGGATGCTTTTGGAGGTCACCTAACAAGTAATTTTAAAAACACTAAGAAGTTTAACACAAATTGTAGTATGTGACCCTCTATTGCCAGTGTTAGATGTCATTATATGCCATTTAAAGGTCATTCTAAAAATGCAATATTCTAAGTGGATACACAGTTGTGCTGACAAACAACAAGTGGTACTGTGGCTTCATATAAAATGTCCAGCGAGAGCATCAGACACAGATTCAAAAAGCAAAGTTGTCTTCGCCAATTTGATATAAGTGAAGGCAATGTGCTCAAGTAATGAGAAGATGCAAGTAGTTCCTCTAAGTGTTGACAGGCACTGAAAAAGTTTGAATAAAAATTTCCTGAATTGCCTGAACATTAAAGTATGTAACAAGTGATTTTAAACTATGTATGTGTACCTAAATTGATATATATTTTAAGAGGATATTTGACCTTCATCTGTGTCCCTGAGTAGTTTGAAGTCTGCTGAAAAACTTCCTGGATCTTCATTGGGAAAAAATGGGGGATTAATAGCTTTATATATATATGAGATCACAATTTATTTGGACATATGATTTTTACTGTTTGTCTCCATACCCTCAAAGTACCAGGTCACCAATCCTTGGGACCCTCTGTAAGCAGAGATACAGTATTGATACCCCCACTTAAAAACCAAGGACCCTAATTTCATGCTGACAACACAATCAAGTAAAATTAGGCTGCAAATGAAAAGACTGAATGTGCTATGGGTTCCTTAGTAAGTCACTAACCTGTACCTCAGTTTCTCTAGCCATTGGGTAGGGATATAAATTATCTACTTTTCTAATATCTGTCCCTCACCTGCCTTATTGAGATGGTGCCAAAAAAGAAAAGAAGAAAAAGATTCTGCTGGTACTTGAAAGTCCCAAAAAATAAAGCATAATGAACCGGGGGCGGGGGTGGGGGTGGGGGGAAGCATAATAAACATGGTTCTTTTTCTCAACAGACAGGGCTGGCCAGACTATCTAGGTATGGATTCCTGCCCTGCAGTCTAAAAAGTGGTTGTAATTCATGAACTTCTTTCAGATTTAGTAACATTAAGGAGGCTAAAGTTACTAACGGTAAAAGATAAACATTTAAAAAGAAAGCCCTGACCCCTCACCATAGAGATAGGCTGTAAAACATAAAATACATCTTCACTATTTCTGTTTTAAATAATACTTACGCTTGGATGAGGCTTGACAGGTCAGTTAGGCCCCCAACTCCAGCAGCAGGTCCCCCAATGGCATTTGTCATCATTCCTGACATTCTAGAGTACACAAGAAATACATCACTGGGATTGGTATATATTCTTAACAAATAGGACAACTGGACGAGGAAAAGTTAATAAAATACCCATGTTATACCAGAGGCTAGGCCAAATGTGTGTGGCTTTAAGCTCCAACTGACTGTCATTCAGAACAGTTTCATCATTTTTGAGCTGATGTGCTCAAATTAGGAGCCTGGCAAGTGGAAGGGTTGGGGAAGTGTAATAAGCTCTTTCTATATACTTACAGCTGTTGAACTTGAGGGTTCTGCATTAAACTTGCCGCCTGGAATTGAAAAACAGCACCTCCCATTAAAGGCAGTTAATATGTAGGGATCTTAGCAAAGATTTTTTTTTTAGAAGAATGAAAGCTAAATCATGTATGCACTAACATTTTGTAGAGTTTCAGTGTGCTATGCAAAGTAAAGGGGAATGTAAAAAGAGAGAAGGTACTAGAAAAAGTGGCATTAAGAAGACATGGTGAGGATAAAGAGATTACAAACAACACTATAAACTGAGGATGTTGACAGCAGTTTACTTACTACTGCTATCAGACCAATTAAGCCAAAAGGAAAAATAGGAACTTTAAAAGTATGGTTAAGGGATCTCCTACACTTGAGAAGGTCCATTCCAAACGAGCTTTTAAGAGATGTGACTTTGCTCCATGGGGCCCAGCAATTTCAATCCTTCCCATGCTTACAGTGGCACAAGGAATTATATTTATGTGCACACATACTTTTAAAACATTCTATTTTGAAAGCATCACATTTTTTCCCTCAAATTGGTAATGTCGACAATATTTATGTAAAATTTGAATTTAGTCTAAATCTTTGTAGACAATAGATTATATTCACAGACTCTCTATGAGGTGTTGGGAAAAGCCACCACTTGCTTATATTACCAGAAAGATCACTGACTGATTCGTAAGTAATTCAAAACTTTCCTCAAGTCCCAGTCAGGATTGGTGCCTCTGAGCCAACCCATAAGTGCTAAAGGCATTACACAGGAAAAGCAGGATGTATGAGCTATAAACATGAAATGCTGTGTTTTGCAATCCCTTTAAACTAGTTCTGCAGCAGTAGTTCTTCCCCTTCTCCCACAATCTAGGACCTAGAGGAAATTTAGAACAGATCTATGCTTTTCCAGTCACTTTTCAGTAAGCAATCCTCCTGTCACTTTAAGTTCTATAAAATGACCTCCAGTTCAGCAATTAATGTCTCAGTGTAACAATCAAATACATAAAGCTTCATTTACAGGTAAAACTTCTCCCTTCCTAGCATGGGCCTGCTACAGACTGACCGGTTGTAGTAGAAAAGAGGCACCATTGACTGCTTTGTTTCCTATAGTAGCGGTCCCCAACCCCTGGGCCACAGACTGTTAGGAACCAGGCTGCACAGCAGCAGGTAAGCGGTGGGCGAGCAAGCATTACTGCCTGAGCTCCACCTCCTGTCAGATCAGCTGCAGCATTAGATTCTCATAGGAGCAAGAACCCTATTGTGAACTGCGCATGTGAAGGACCTAGGTTGAGTGCTCCTCAAGAGAATCTAACGCTCCTCTCCCCATCCTGCCCCTACCCCCTACACCCGGTATGGTCCATGGAAAAACTGTCTTCCATGAAACCAGTCCCTGTTACAAAAAGGTTGGGGACCGCTGTCCTATAGGGCTATTTTTTTTTTTTGAGATGAAGTTTCACTCTGTCACCCAGGCTGGAGTGCAATGGCATGACCTCAGCTCACTGCAACCTCTGCCTCCCGGAGTCAAGTGATTCTCCTGCCTCAGCCACCCAAGTAGCTGGGATTACAGGCATGCACCACCATGCCCAGCTAATTTTTGTATTTTTAGTAGAGACGGGGTTTCGCCAGGTTGGCCAGGCTGGTCTGGAACTCCTGACCTCAAGTGCTCCGCCCATCTTAGCCTCCCAAAGTGCTGGGATTACAGGTGTGAGCCAGCACACCAAGGCCTATAGTGCTTCTTTATCCTGTAGTACTTCCAGTCCTCTTCCCTCAGCTTGCTGATTAAGAGTTGTGGCCCTCCAGGTTGAGGGTTAAATGGAGGGAAAGGTGAAAGGAGCAGCAAAGTTCTTATTTGATGACTGGTATTATCTTACTAGTTTTGCATTGGTGCTTTTTGAGTTTGCAAGGTATTCAAAAACTACTGTGGTTCTCTTATGGGGTACTTTCTCATGTTCTTCAGACACTTCTCCTTTCCCTAGGCCCTGGAGATTTCTTACCTATTCTTTGAAAAGGGTAATTTACCCTCTGGATGGATGCTATGACTTTCCCTTCAGTCTTAGGTTCTTGGCAGTCCTCCAGAGATTCTCTGTGTTGGGATCCTGTCACACTTCCAGGAAAGCCTCTTGAACATATTCAGACACACTCTCTCACAATTGTGTGTGCTCACCTTGGTCCACAGGAAACACCTCTGCTCCACTCTCATCAGTACAGTAACTGCCCAAACCACACAGCTAATTCTGCCACTGGCTATCCAGTTGAACTATCAGGTAGAAAGTCTCTGTACCAGAAAAGCCCTTTCTCAGTGAGGGCTTGAGATGAGAGCAAGCCTCCCTAATTCCTTCATATAGGGAGCCCTAAAACTCTAATAGCTCTCTCCAAAAATCATGTTTTAATTTCCATCAACCTGGCCTTTTTTATGAGTCACAAAACATGTTTTTTATCCCCATCTTTTGCAACTCCTACATGGTGGTCTCACACCTTATTTTGGTACATAGCAGCTTGGAGCCTAAGCCAAATCTGAAACTAAAAGAATTCCATTTTTCACATCTTGTTACAATGCCATAACCTGAGTCCTAGAATGGGTAACCATTCTTAAAAAAAAAAATGAAGTCACAAGATCTACAAAACATGTATTTGCTAGCATGGTAAGAAGGCTGAAATTTGATAAGGGAAAAATAAAAACTACCAGTTGCTAAAAAGACTTATCTCACTGGGAATGAGTCATCTGTGCATTTCAGTTCAACAGAAGATTTAATGGATGCAAGACACATTTTTTGAAGGAAACAAAAGATGAATAAAAACTGATTCCTGCCTTCCAAGGGCATATCATGGATAGAATAATTCTCATCCAAAGTATACAGTCACCCCAGGAGCTTGATATGCCCTGGTAACATCCTAAACCCACTAAATCAAAGTTACCACATATTGGACCAGAGCGTGTATGTTCTCAAAAAGGCCCATACATTATTTTGTTGTTTTGTAAGAATAGAAGACAAACACATGAGATATCTATATCTATATCTATCTATCTATATCAAATAAACTCTAAAGATAGAAAACAAGGCAGACAATGCTGAGGGGCAAGCTAGGGAACCACAATGGCCAAATACTCAAACTGCAGATGTTAGATATCTTCCTAGGACCACTTTTATGTAAGAGAGTAGTTTTTAACCTTTCATATATTGGCAGATTCCTGTGCCAATCTCATGAAAAATATGATGCTCTCCCTGGAAAAATGCACACATACACATGTACACAGATTTTTATATATAATTTTGGAAAAATCCATGAGCTTCCTAAAGTCCATCCATGGCTTTCCCACAGGAGGTACATGGACACGTTAAGAACCCTGCCATTCAGCCAGAGAGAAAGGCCAGGCCACCTACAAAGGGAAGCCCATCAGACTAACAGCAGATCTCTCAGCAGAAACCCTATAAGCCAGAAGAGATTGGGGGCCCATATTCAACATCCTTAAAAGAATTTCCAACCCAGAATTTCATATCTGGTCAAACTAAGCTTCATAAGCAAAGGAGAAATAAGATCCTTTTCAGACAAGCAAATGCCGAGGGAATTCATTACTACCAGACCTGCCTTACAAGAGTTCCTGAAGGAAGCACTAAATATGGAAAGGAAAAATTGTTACCAGCCACTACAAAAACACACTGAAGTATACAGACCAGTGACACTGTGAAGCAACCACATAAGTTTGCAAAATAACCAGCTAGCATCATGATGACAGGATCAAATTTACACATAACAATACTAACCTTAAATGTAAATGGGCTAAATGCCCCAATTAAAAGACACAGAATGGCAAACCAGATAAAAAAACAAGACCCATCAGTGAGCTGTATTCAAGAGACCCACTATACATACAAAGACACACATAGGCTCAAAATACAGGGATGAAGGAAAATTTACCAAGCAAATGGAAAACAGAAAAAAGCAGTGGTCGCAATCCTAGTTTCTGACAAAACAGACTCTAAACCAAAGAAGATCAAAAAAGACAAAGAAGGAAGCAGAGGTTGCAGTGAGCTGAAATTGCGCCACTGTACTCCAGCCTGGGTGACAGAGCAAGACTCTGTCTCAAGAGAAAAAAAAAAGACAAAGAAGGGCATTACATAATGGTAAAGGGTTCAATTCAACAAGAAGAGCTAACTACCTTAAATATATATGCACCCAATACAGGAACACCCAGATTCATAAAGCAAGTACTTCGAGAGCTTCAAAGAGACTAGACTCCCACACAATAATAGTGGGAGACTTTAACACTCTGCTGACAATAGTAGACAGATCATCAAGACAGAAAACTAACAAAGATATTCAAACCTGACCTCAGCTCTGGATCAAGTGGACCTGATATCTACAGAACTCTCCACCCAAAAACAACAGAATATACGTTCTTCTCATCACCACATGGCACTCAATTCACTCAAAACCACACAACTACATGGAAATTGAACAACCTGCTCCTGAATGACTTTTGGGTAAATAATAAAATTAAGGCAGAACTTCTTGAATGAGAAGAATGAACTTCTTTGAATGAGAACAAAGATACAACATACCAGAATCTCAGACACAGCTAAAATTTCATTCTTGTTAAGAAAGAAATTTATAGCACTAAATGCCCAAATCAAAAAGCTAGAAAGATCTCCAGTTGACAACCTAATATCACAAATAAAAGAACTAGAGAAACAAGAGCAAACAAACCCCGAAGCTAGCAGAAGACAAGAAATAACCAAGATCAGAGCTGAACTGAAGGAGATAGAGACACAGAAAACCCTTCAAAAAAAAAAAAAATGAATACAGGAGCTAGTTTTTTGATAAAATTAATAAAATAGACCGCTAGCTATACTAATGAAGAAAAAAGAGAGAAGATTCAAACAAACACAATCAAAAATGATATTACCACTGACCCCACAGAAATACAAACAACCATCAAAGAATAGTATAAACAGTCCTATGCGCATAAACTAGAAATTTTACTAATGAATTTCTAGAAGAACTTGATAAATTCCTGGACACATACATCCTCCCAAGACTGAACCAGGAAGAAATTGAATCCCTGAATAAACCAATAATGAGTTCTGAAATTGAGGCACTAATAAATAGCCTACCAACCAAAAAAAAAAAAAAAAGCCCAGGACCAGACGAATTCACAGCTGAATTCTACCAGAGGTACAAAGAAGAGCTGGTACCGTTCCTACAGAAACTATTCTAAAAAATTGAAAAGGAGGATCTCCTCCCTAATTCATTCTATGAGGCCAACATCATCCTGATACCAAAACCTGGCAGAGATACAATAACAAAAAAGAAAACTTCAGGCCAATATCCTTGATGAACATTGATACAAAAATCCTCAGCAAAATACTGGCAAACTGAATCCAAGCAGCACATCAAAAAGCTTACCCATCACAATCACGGAGGCTTCATCCCCAAGATGCAAGGCTGTTTCTACATATGCAAATCAATAAATGTGATTCATCTCATAAACAGAACTAAAGACAAAAACCCCATGATTATCTCAATAGATGCTGAAGAGGCCTTCAAGAAAATTCAACATCCTTTCATATAAGAAACTCTTAATAAACTAGATATTGAAGGAACATACCTCAAAATAATAAAAGCCATATATGACAAACCTACAGCCAATATCATACTGAATGGGCAAAAGCTGGAAGTGTTCCCCTTGAAAACCAGCACAAGACAAAATACCCTCTCTCATCACTCCTATTCAACAAATTAATAGTATTGGAAGTTTTGGCCAGGGAAATGAAGCACAATAAAGAAATAAAGCATATTCAAATAGGAAGAGAGGAAGTCAAATTATCCCTATATGCAGATGACAGGATCCTATATCTAGAAAACCCTATTGTCTCAGTCGAGAAGTTTATTAAGCTGATAAGCAACTTCAGCACAGTCTCAGGATACAAAATCAATGTGCAAAAATTGCTAGCATTCCTACATACCAACAACAGGCAAGTCGAAAGTCAAATCACAAATGAACTCGCATTCACAATTGCCATAAAAAGAATAAAATATCTAGAAATACAGCTAACAGGCAAAGTGAAGGAACTCTTCAAGGAGAACTACAAACCACTGCTCAAGGAAATAAGAGAGAACAGAAACAAGTGGAAAAACACTCCATGCTCATGGATAGAAGAATCAAAATCGTGAAAATGGCCATATTGCCTAAAGCAATTTATAGATTCAATGCTATTCCCATTAAACTACCATTGACATTCTTCACAGAATTAGAAAAAACTATTTTAAAATTCATATGGAACCAAAAAAGAGCCCAAACATCCAAGGCAATCCTAAACAAAAAGAACAAAGCTGAGGCATCATGCTACCCAATTTCAAACTGTACTACAGGGCTACAATAACCAAAACTGCATGGTACTGGTACAAGAACAGACACATAGACCAGTGGAACAGAACAGAGAACCCAGAAATAAGACTGCACACTCACAACCATCTGATCTTTGACAAACCTGGCAAAAGCAATGGGGAAAGGATTCCCTATTTAATAAGTGTTGCTGAGAGAATTGGCTAGCCATATGGAGAAAATTGAAACTGGACCCCTTCGTTATACCATATATATACAAAAATCAACTCAAGATGGATTAAAGACTTAAATGTGCAACTCAAAACTATAAGAACTCTATAAACCGAGGCAATATCATTCAGGACATAGACACAGGCAAAGATTTCATGATGAAGATGCCAAAAGCAATTGCAACAAAAGAAAAAATTGACAAATGGGATCTAATTAAACTAAAGAGTTTCTTTTCCACACCAAAAGAAACAATCAACAGAGTAAACAGACAACCTACAGAATGGGAGAACATTTTTGCAATCTATCTATCTGACAAAGGTCTAATATCCTACATCTATAAGAACTTAAACAAATTTACAAGAAAAAAACAACCCCATTATAAAGTGGGCAAAGGAAATGAACAGACAATTCTCAAAAGAAGACATATATGTGGCCAACAAACATATGAAAAAACAGCTCAACATCATTGATCATTAGAGAAATGCAAATCAAAACCACAATGAGATACCATCTCACACAAGTCAGAACAACTATAATTAAAAACTCAAAAACAGGCCAGGTGTGGTGGCTCATGCCCGTAATCCCAGCACTTTGGGAGGCTGAGGCAGGCGGATCACCAGAGGTCATTTGACTAGCCTGGTCAGCATGGTGAAACCCCATCTCTACTGACAATACAATAATTAGCCAGGCATGGTTGTGGGTGCCTATAATCCCAGCTACTCAGGAGGCTGAGGCAGGAGATTCGCTTGAACCCAGGAGGTGGAGGTTGCAGTGAGCCAAGATCACACCATTGCACTCCAGACTGGGTGACAAGAGTGAAACTCTGTCTCAAAAAACAAACAAACAACAACAACAACAAAAAAAACAAAAACCAACAGATGCTGGCGAAGTTGTGGAGAAAAAGGAATGCTTTTAACACTGTTGGTGGAAATGTAAATTAGTTCAACCATTGTGGAAGACAGTGTGGTGATTCCTCAAAGACCTAGAAGCAGAAATACCATTCGACCCAGCAATCCCATTACTGGGTATATACCCGAAGGAATAGAAATCTTTCTACTGTAAATACACATTCGTACGTATGTTCACTGCAGCACTATTCACAATAGCAAAGACATGGAATCAATGCAAATGCCTATCAATGATAGACTGGATAAAGAAAATGCGGTACATATACACCATGGAATGCTATGCAGCCAAAACAAGAAATAAGATTATGTCCCTCGCAGGGACATGGATGGAGCTGGAGGCCATTTTACCATTTTACTTAACAAACTAACACAGGAAAAGAAAACCAAATAACACATGTTCTCACTTACAAGTGGGAGCCAAATGATGAGAACACAATGACACATGTAGGGGAACAACACACACTGGGGCCTGTTGGAGGGCAGAGGATGGGAGGAGAGGAAGGATCACGAAGAACAGCTAATAGATGCTGGGCTTAATACCTGGGTAATGGGAGGATCTGTGCAGCAAACTACCATGGCAGACGTTTTACCTATGTAACAAACCTGCACATCCTGCACATTTACCCCTGCACTTGAAATAAAAGTTGGAAATAAAAAAACAGAACCCTGCTATAGCCTTATATCAATACTCCACTACAACCACCACCACAAAAACTCACTTGTTTCTAAAAAAAATTGCATAGCTACATAGTCTATGGAAAACATAGCCAGTAGAGGCAGAAAAGAAAGTATACTCACCATACTAATGAAGGCTGGATTATTTATCAAGCTAGCCATGTCAAAGCTCAGTCCAGTTCCTGTCTGTAAAACAATTATATCTGAGAATCAGTCCAGTATCTACAATTACAATAAATTGTGAATGACAGAAAATACTTCACTCATTTGGCATTAACAACTTACAGGACTGGATACCTCTCTTAACTTCTGTTCTGCTATTTTCAGATTTGACTTATAGGAATCATTTTCAGGGTCAAGATCTAATGCCTTTTGATAACTTGTAACTGCTTCTTCAAATTTATTCAAGGCAGTGAGGGCCAGCCTGAAGGGAATAGAATATAAGAATATCAGATATATGATTAAAGAACATCAGGACATCACAAACATCGTCAAACGTCTGTCTGTCTTGGTATTCAGTTCTAATCCAGATTACACTTAATTTATTCACTGTACTATGGCTCACGGGAGCAAAATTCCCTCCAACTTAAGATTCTATATATCTGAACTCACTCCATTCTGCTTGCTGATAACCTGGTTGTCCTATAGATCATGAATTTAATGCTTAGAGATTATCTTACTTACTCTACCATTTTTAAGCTTAATATGTAAAATAATTTGCTTTATAAATGCCTAGACTAAGTTCCAAAAGATGTGAGTTGACAATCATGTGGTCACATAAATCCATGATGCTAACACCATTTTTAAGGACTCTAAACTGTATTTGTGCTTCAAAATGGCCTACATGCTTTCTTCTTCCTAACAGAGGAACAATTAATATCAATTTTCCATTAAGAAAACAGGCTGTAGTTATTAGATAACTATTCCTGATCAAAAGAGGTAGATAAAATTAGCATCCTTTACAATTCAAATAACAAATTATACCAGGCACAAGTCAAAGAGGTATTAAATTTTAATGTTCATATTTACCTAGTTATAATTTACTTATTGAAAAATTATTATAGAACTAAACAATAACTGTATATATGGTGACATAGTATTAGGGGTTTCTGTTTGTTTTAGGTTTGTTTTAAACAAATTACTGTTTTCTTTTCTCTTTTTCTCTTTATCGGAACCTAATTCATTTTCTACCAGTCAACCATGTATGATACTTTATCAGAGTCCCCAGTTAATCAAGAGTCAAGTCAGTAACTATTTACTGAAACTCTATGATGTATAAGAATATTATTAAAATAATATCTAAAGATACTGAGGATCCTGGCTGGGCGCAGTGGCCCACGTCTCTAATCCCAGCAGCACTTTGGGAGGCCAGGGTGGGTGGATCACTTGAGGTCAGGAGTCTGAGACCAGTCTGGCCAACATGGTGAAGCCCTGTCTCTACTAAAAATACAAAAATTAGCCAAGCATGGTGGCAGACGCCTGTAATCCCAGCTACTAGGAAGGCTGAGGCATGAGAATTGCTTGAATCCAGGAGGCGGAGGTTGCAGTGGGCCGAGATTGTGCCATTGCACTCCAGCCTGGAAAACAAGAGCGAAATTCCATCTCAAAAAAAAAAAAAGATAAAGTTTTCTGTCTTTAAGAAAATTTCATTCTACCTGGGGAAGACAGGCAACAAGCATGCAAATAAAAAGGGCAATATTAAAGGAATGAATAGGAGAGCTGCTCAAAAAGTAGCCACATTGGAAAGATCTGAGTGATGTAAAGAAAGCAGTCATGAAAATGAGGGAGGAGCATTGTAGTGGAAATAGCAGTAAACAGAAAGGTCCCAAGAAAGATGCAAGCTTGGTATTCTTAAGGAACAGGACAAGGGCTGATGAGGAGGGAACACAGAAAACAAAGCATGGAGAGATGATGTCAGAGAACAGTTGGGTGCCAGATGATAGAGGACCATTGCTTGGAGTTTGAACTTTATTCTGGTTGCAATGGAGTCACATGATACAATTTGTGCTTTTGAAAGCTCACTCTGGCTTCTACGTAGAGGATCTACATGGGCAGAAGGGTA
This sequence comes from Homo sapiens, assembly GCF_000001405.40. NCBI lineage: Eukaryota > Metazoa > Chordata > Mammalia > Primates > Hominidae > Homo > Homo sapiens. The sequence goes on from NC_000005.10 coordinate 65,682,433, forward strand.
GAATGGAGGCAGGGAGATCGGTTAGGAAGCTATTGCAGTAGCTTAGGTAAGAGATGTAGTTTGGACTGGGGCTATATGTAAGATAGCGATCAACACTTGGATTCAAGATATATACAGAAACTAGAATTGACAGGACTTGATGACAGAGTATCAGTACTTATGTCAGGCGTAATAACAATGAAGGATGACTCTTAGGCTTCTGACCTGTGCATGGGATAGATAACTAATTGTACAATGTATTGAGATTGGAAAGATTTTGGAAGGGAACATGAGTTCTGTCTGGGACATGTTAAGTTTAAATACCTATTAAACATCCAAACATAGAGTTGAAGAGTAGTAGAATATATGAGTACGGAGTTCAAACATATAAATTAGATCCGATAATATATATAGTTGATTCTTATTCACAGTAGTCCTGTTCTATAAAGTCACCATGAACAATGAATTAGCAAATACTGAACAATTGTTCCTAGGGAAAATACAGAGTTAGGTTCCTGCAACTGTTGTAAATAGTCATATTTTCATCAACTGATCAATATATAATCTTGTTTTTATGTGTGTTTCTGATTAAAGAAACTTTATTTAATATATATATTTTATTCATTAGCATTGAACTCATAGCCAACGGCACTAACTCATGCCTGAATGAAGCTTGTCTCATAAATATATTTTCTCCATAAGGCACATTACAGTCCTCTTGCACTTAGGAATACTAGATAACACTTCAGCCTATAGTTGGGGGCCACTGTAAACAGCAAAATCACAAATAAAAGGCACAAAAATACAAAAAAAAATGTAGCACTAAATAGACTGTTTCAGCATGAGAGCTGAAACAAAAAGATAGAGCATCACCTTATTCACCCTCAGTTGAGATCGAGAGCATCAGAAGACACATTTTCACTAATTGTGCATGTACATGAATGACCACAGAAGCAGTGTAAATATTGATTTGGGGATTACAAATTAATTTAGCAAGTAGGCAAATTCATAAATACAGAATCTGCAAATAATGAGTATCAACTGTAGATGAATTTTAAAAGCATGGAGCAGGATAAACTGAGCAGAGAGAAGACAAAGAAACAGCAGCAGCAGAGGATGCAACCCTAAAATACAGCATTGTTTAGAGATGGTAGAGAGGAAGAACAAGCAAGGGAGACTGGAAAAGAGCATCCAGTAAAGTGGAAGGGGAAACAGGGCAAGTGTAGTGTCAGGATCCTAGAGAGTGATGTATTTTGACAATAAGTTAATAGTGGCCTGTAATCCCAGCACTTTGGGAGGCCGAGGTGGGTGGATCGTGAGGTCAGGAGATCGAGACCATCCTGGCTAACGCAGTGAAACCCCGTCTCTACTAAAAATACAAAAAATTAGCTGGGCATGGTGGCGGGTGCCTGTAGTCCCAGCTACTCGGGAGGCTGAGACAGGAGAATGGCGTGAACCCAGGAGGCAAAGCTTGCAGTAAGCTGAGATCGCGCCACTGCACTGCAGCCTGGGTGACAGAGCGAGACTCTGTCTCAAAAAAAAAAAAAGAAAAAAAGAGATGACAAAGATGAAACAGCAAGTACAGATAACCATCAGGGGCAGAGAACGAGGAACTGAGAAGTGGGATGGTGGCTAGAGGGGAACGCTGGGTAAAGGGATGGGTCCAACTAATGATTTTTTTTCTTTTTTTTGAGACAGGGTCTCACTCTGTCACTCAGGCTGGAGTGCAGTGACACGATCACGGCTCACCACAGCCTCGACTTCCCAGACTCAAGCAATCTTCTCACCTCAGCCTCCCAAGTAGCTGGGACTACAGGTGTACCCCACCACTCCTGGATAATTTTTGTATTTTTATAGAGATGGGGTCTTGCTATGTTGCCCAGGCTGGTCTTGAACTCCTGGGCTCAAGCATTTCTCCCACCTTGGCCTCCCAAAATGCTGGGATTACAGGTGTTAGCCACTGCACCTGGCTCAGTGAATGACTTTTTATGACCTGATCACATGCCAACCATTATCATCTATTAGAGATGGAAGATCTAATGTTGTAGAAAATGAAGGGGATTGTAATAGTTGCAAAGTTGTGGAGAAGGTACAAGGGAATGGGATCTTAAAGCATGAGTGGAGGCAATGGTCTTAGGTAAGAATGCTTCTTTTTTTTTGAGACAGAGTCTCAATCTGTCACCCAGACTGGAGTGCAGTGGCTCTATCTCAGCTCACTGCAACCTCTGCCGCCCAGGTTCAAGTGATTCTCCTGCCTTAGCCTCCTGAGTAGCTGGGTCTGCGGGTGCTCATCACCATGCCTGGCTAATTTTTGTATTTTTAGTAGAGACGGGGTTTCACCATGTTGGGCAGGCTGGTCTTAAACTCCTGACCTCAAGTGATCTGCCCACCTTGGCCTTCCAAAGTGCTGGGATTACAGGCGTGAGTCACCACGCCCAGCCAGAATGCTTCCATTTTAACAAGAAAAAAGGGCATTCTGTGTAGATACAAATGTAGGCAGACTGATGGATTTGCAAGGAGGAAAATGAGTTGTTTTCCTTCAAAAAGCATCTAGCTTCTCAATTAAGTGTAAGGCAATAGCATCAGTTGAGAGTCACCAGAGAGGGGGTAGTGGAAATTTGAAGGGAGAGGAAGAGGTATGAAATCGTCACATCAGCGAGTGGAAAGGTGACTATAGAAGGAAAAATAATAGAACTGTCTGCCTAACTGTCTGCAATATTGAGTGCTCATCTGAGATTTGTGGTACGGTTATATAATTTTCTCCAACAATCAAATCAGTCATCAATCATCTCACTTCCTAGTCAAAGAAATTGTAGTCATTTCCTCCCTTATGTTTTATTTATCCTCTTATTAGTTCAGAGGGTAAAACATTAAGCAGGAAATTCAAAACCAAGCCATTAAGAACAGCATACCTGATGCTACATGGTACTACTTGGAACATCCTCCCAGAACTTACCCCATTCTCCCATAGGCCTTGCTGTACTTTGAATCAATTGCTATTGCTTTTTCACAATCCTTTATCGCATCTGTGTAGTGACCTAATTTGCTCTGAGCAGCAGCCCTAAGAGAAAGAAAACAGAATTTTATTAAAGGCAGTTTTCAAGGCACTAATTTAGATTTTCAGGTACTAATAATACTACCTTTTTCTTGTTCCAATTTGTAGATCACTCCCACTAAATTTCTAAGTCAAACTGTCTAAGATAATTATGTAATAAAATGAAAAAAAAAAGCTCAGAAACTTCTGTGCAGAAAAAAGTATGCAGGCTGCCTTTCACTGTTTGCTTTGCTATAGAAAGGACAAATATGTAAGTCATACAACTGGTCTACCTATTTATACCCTTTCTAGTTTGTCCAAACAGAAAAGTGAAAAAGCTAGGACATCTTGGCTACTATGGAGGCACAAAGAGTGAGTTATTGCTGTGAATGGCTACACAGAGGGTTGTGCTATTATCACTTTAATGGTAGGGTTAAACGACAAGTAAAAGTGATATCCCAGTCCCCTGGCACTTTCTCTCATTCACTCATTTCTAAGGCCAACTGTATTTTATTTCTTTCAGGCTCCCAGAAGTTCTCATAATCTTGTCCCTCATCAAAAGGTTGAAGAGCCAACTTTGGAAAAAGAACACTTGCCTAGATCAAAATCCCTGCAGTTGTGAACTCTCCTCAATAACGTTTCCAAATAGGAAGAAATAGCTCAGAGGAGAAACAGGAAAGAAGAGAAGCTCTAAGACAGATGCTCAGAAGTCAAAGTGGGGTGCCAGCAACCAAGAAACAGAAGTTTCTTGGACCAAGGAGGGCCAGGGTGTGCTGACCACTTCTTCAATTTCTCACAACTGCAAAGGAGAATGCTATGCTGCACAGCACCTCTGCCTCCAACACTGTAACTCCAAGACCTGGTACCCTTTGCATTAATAAAGGTAAAGAAGCACTCCCTGAAAATTTTGCTTGCAAGCCCAGAAATGAACTTAGGCTCCTTCATGTTCTTCAGTCTACAGACAAGAGTCTCACGCCAACCCAAGTCTCTGACCTCATGTTCCTCTCCCACTGCAATCTGAGAAGCACTACTCTTGTTTTTGCTACCTTTATTCTCTCTTTACCCACATTTGTTTTTTTTTTTTTTCCTTTTTGTAGCAAACATGGTCTCGCTATATTGCCCAGGCAAGTCCTGAACTCCTGGGCTCATGCTATCCTCCCGCCTCTGCCTCCCTAAGAGCTGGGATTACAGGCATGAGCCACCGCACCTGGCCCCATATATGTTGTTTTAATTGTCCTTAAAAACAATCTTTTTGCTTAACCACCCAGTAAACCATCTCTCTTCCTTGAAATTAGTCAAAGGTCATGTCTTTCAAGGACCTAGCTGGAATCTAATAAGCACACACGAAAACAATAAAGCTGATTAAAACACCACCTAGCTCCAAGTATCAGTGAGGATCCTTGCTAATCCTCAATATTTCTTAAGTATGTTCTAATCTCCTCCTGTCAATCAAACTATAGATTAGGGTTATCTAATACTACTTCTATATCACATCCAGCTTATTATTATACTCTACAAATACTGGATGTACATAGTAATAAATCAATTATTTGCTAGGTATCCATGAACAGATGTGTTATGTAAAACCAATCCTGGATAGAAGAAGCTAAAAGAAATACTGCCAATTCTGGAAGCTGAACCTGGGAATATAAACCTACTAAATTTTCACTAAAAATTCAGCACATTTAGTGGGAAGAAAAGGAGAAGAAATAGGAGTTTAGTTCTAATTAACAGGAAGATGATGAGAAATTCCCATCATAGCCTGGTTTCCACAAAGCAGATTAACAACATGTGAGTCTGGATCACTGACTTTTCCCCATCCAATGTGAGGATTCCAGGTCAATAAGCATTCATTAAAGTTATGCTGTATAAGGAGCACAACCTTCCAGACAAGTACAGATCTTCCTTTTAGAGTAGCTTAACTCAGAGAAAATTTTAAGAGACCAACCTTGAAAAGTTTATATACTTCAATGGGTGACACATAGATACATACGTACTCAGAAAGGAGATTTCAAGAAAACTCATATTTATGCTTGGCCTTCTAAGCCACAGTGCTTTCAGGACAAAAACTTTGTGTCACAATAACAATAAGGGAGGAATGAGACATTGTCTCAGAGCAAGCTCCTTTTTCTACCACTATAGAAAGCTCTTGTCGACAGGTGATTTTAGTCCATAGAGCCAGGAAGGTCCCTCAGAGGCCTCAGATGTTCTGGTCTATTCTGCCTGGTTGCTTGAAGGAGAACAGTTCAGAGAGAGAAGTAATGCAAGGAATTAACTGAATGACAATGGAATCCTACCAACTCAGGGAGTTTTTTGTTATTGTTGTTGTGTTTGTGTTTTTGAGACGGAGTCTTGCTTTGTCGCCCAGGCTGGACTGCAGTGGCGCGATCTCGGCTCACTGCAACCTCCGTCTCCCAGGTTCAAGTGATTCTCCTGCCTCAACCCCCCAAGTAGCTGGGATTACAGGTGTGTGCCACCATACCCGGCTAATTTTCGTATTTTTAGTAGAGACAGGGTTTCGCCATGTTGGCCAGGCTGATCTTGAACTCCTGACCTCAAGTGATCCGCCCACCTCGGCCTCCCCAAGTGCTGGGATTACAGGTGTGAGCCACTGCACCTGGCCAGGAAGTTGAATCTGGGATTACAAAACTGCTAAACCAAATTTCATCTAAGAATTCACAACATTTATTGAGAGAAAAGGAGTTAATGGACTTTTTGAGACAGATTTTTAAAATAATTTTATTATATATAATAAGCAGAGCCACTGGAAGAAAAAAAATCTTGTCCAGAAACGGAGCATGAGATATATACTAAGTCCAGGTCTTATATCTAATTCATTAGGCAAGGCAATACTATCTGCAAATTCACAGGCCTAGTGTCTGATCTATCACTGACATCTGATTCTGGAAATCTGATAACGGTGATTTTGTAGAACAGCAAATGCCTCAATCTCATCTCTTTTCTGCCAAGAGTCTCACCTTCAAAACAGTTTACTTGTCCGCACATATGCACAGAAACATGCAAGAAGGGTAAAAGGGCTCATGGGAGGATGGAGAGAGAAAATTTTGAAAAGGGAATTCAGAGAAAGAACTATGTGGTTTTGAAAAAACAACAAATCTGTTCCTAAACACTTGCTAAACACCTTCAGGAAACTGAAAGGCAATACTTGCCTTTAGATATCTGCTTTGTGATTTTTAAAATACAATCAGAAAATGACTCCTCTATACATAATACATAGGACTTAGCATACTCTGAGCATCTGGAATGTTACCTAGCAAAAGTTTTCAAAGAGAACAATAATACCATGTGGATTGCATTTTAAGTGTTTCATATATGGCTACATTCAGGATTTAATGTTAACTATTTTTAATTTTTCTTTTTTTAGGTGGAGTCTTGCTCTGTCGCCCAGGCTGCAGTGCAATGGCGTGATCTTGGCTCACTGCAAGCTCCGCCTCCTGGGTTCAAGCCATTCTCCTGCCTCAGCCTCCCAAGTAGCTGGGATTACAGGCGCCCGCCACCACGCCCAGCTAATTTTTTGTATTTTTAGTAGAGACGGGGGTTTCACCGTGTTAGCCAGGATGGTCTCGATCTCCTGACCTCGTGATCTGTCTGCCTCAGCCTCCCAAAGTGCTGGGATTACAGGCGTGAGCCACCATGCCTGGCCTTTTAATTGTATTTCTTTGTTTAGTTAAAATTTATCTTTAATAAATGCATATTCATGCCTTCCCAAAACACTAGTCATTCTACAGGTACACATAACATTACAATATATTAAGATTATCTAGCAAATCTAAAGTAAAAACACTTATCTGTGTACCTAAATCTGGCTGTAAATTAAGGATGACAACTATTACATCTACTTTGCACAGAATCTCAGAGCAATCAAGGACCATTTATCTGATTTGTTAACACTTGCTATATCACATCTACCAAAAAAACTCTTCTAAAATGACTGGGAACAATACAAGTATAATTATTGTCTGACATGCAAATCTTTCAACTCAAAGTTTCCATAATGTCTCCTGCCCTCATAATTATAAACCAATATAATTGTAATTTATAATTATAAACCAATTATATTGGTTTATAATAACAACTGAAGGATACTGAAAGATACAGCGAAGGAGTAAAGCTACACCACTCCATTTGTTCTTCTCTAAATATTTCTACTTGATTCATTCAACTAATATATCTATTGAGGGCCAGTGAATGCACACTTTTCTAAGAATAATGGATACAGCAATAAGCAAAATAATATTCCTGTCCTCAATAGCACTTAGATTCTAGTGGGGGCATGGAGTGGGAGGAGAAGTCTGGCAGACTATAGAGAAAAGGTGGTTTTAGGTCTAGTTTTCTGCCAATCTTTCTTCATACAGCATGACTGAGGCCCTTACTTTTCAGACTAATTATAAAAATGTTAATATTTATTTAAAAATAAACATAGTCCTTTGCTTCAGTTTAAAAAAAATTAAGATTTGAAAGTATAGGGTTCAACAAACCAGTTTTGGTAGTTCATGTGAAAAAGTGGTATGGGTTTCTCCAACTTAATACTCAATACAAAGTAACAGCAGGACAAGAATAACCATTAGAAGAAGAGATATAGGATGTGTAACTTCCAAATAATTAGAAAGAAAGAAAAAAAATCAATCCAATAGAAGGGGGGGATGTGGGGGAGAGAAGAAGCAGCCAAGAAAAAGGATGCTTAAAAAGAGCCAGGTGCAGTGGCTCATGCCTGTAATCCCAACACTTTGGGAGGTCAAGGCCAAGAGGATCACTTGAGTCCAGGAGTTTGAGAACACCTTGGGCAACACAGTGTGACCCTGTGTCTACGAAAAATTTAAAAATTACCCAGGTGTAGTGGTGTACGCCTGTAGTTTCAGCTACTCGGGAGGCTGAGACAGGAGGATCACTTGAGCCCAGGAGGTCGAGGCTGCAGTGAGCCATGTTCATGCCACTGTACTTTAGCCTGGGTTACAAAGCAAGAGTCTGTCCTCCTCACCCCCCTAAAAAAGGTAGCAGAAAACAATTCAAATTTATCACACAAAACTCAGATTCTCAACTTGGATACAAAAGATATCACTTAAACCATAATCATACACAGGTTGAAGTTAAAAGGACAGCAAAAGACAAACAGGAGAACTGAAACAACAAAAAAGAAAGCTGATGTAGAAACACTAATATTAAACACAAGGCAAATCAGATCATTAAGGATAGAGAGAGGTATTATTTTTACTAATCATCCTTTTAAATTTAATTTTATGTAAAAAACGTACAAAGTTCAGAAGTTAAACCTACATTAGAAGTCTCACTCTCATCCTATAGGGGATGGGTGAGAATGGGGTAGATGGGATAGAAATGGGAGTAAGACTTCAGAAAGATGAAAAAGCAAAACTTCAAACTGAATAAAACAAACAATTGATCCTAATTGTATATCAAAAACAATTCAAATCACTTTTGAGCACAGTATTCTCAGTATATATGCTTAGTGAGATGCATTCAAAGACAAATGAAAAACTGCAAAGAAATCCTGAAGTTTACATAGCAGGCGTGCTAGTGGTGTAATATTGGCTTATAATACCAACTGAAGGATACTGAAAGATACAGCAAATGAGTAAAGCTACTGGTGGTAATGGAAGAAGGGTTTTCACCATGGGAGAAGGAAGATACAAATATAAAATGGGGGAAGATAAGGGAGGATTCTGTGATGCTAGTGAATTGAAGGTATCTGTATAAACTGATACTTTTCAAAAAATCAATTTCCTAGCTCTGTCCACTGAAAGGACCTAGAAGCAATAAGACCTTAGTAGCAATGATCATGTCCTGCAACCCAATCTTGGTTTCTAAATACATCCTCCACTGAAAAGGACAGAGCTTCCTTGGAGAAATAGTTGAGCTCAAGGCTACAACAGGGAAAGTACAAAGGAAATATGGAATGTCTTATTATCTCAGAAAGCAAGAAAGTGGTTGGTTTTTTTATTATTTTATTATTTTTTTTGAGACAGTCTTGCTCTGTCTCCCAGGCTGGAGTGCAGTGGCACACCCAGCTGTTTTTTGTATTTTTAGTAGAGACAGGTGTTTCACCATATTGGCCAGGCTGGTCTCAAACTCCTGACCTCAAGTGATCCACTGGCCTCGGCCTCCCAAAGTGCTGGGATTACAGGCGGTGAGCCACTGTGCCTGGCTAAGAAAGTGTTCTTTAAAAATGAAGTTACAGGCCGGGCGCAGTGCCTCACGCCTGTAATCCCAGCACTTTGGGAGGCCGAGGCAGGCAGATCACAAGGTCAGGAGATCGAGACCATCCTGGCTAACACAGTGAAACTAAAAATACAAAAAAAATTAGCCGGGCGTGGTGGCGGGCGCCTGTAGTCCCAGCTACTCGGGAGGCCGACGCAGGAGAATGGCGTGAACCCGGGAGGCGGAGCTTGCAGTGAGCCGAGATCGCGCCACTGCACCCCAGCCTGGGTGACAGACCGAGACTTCGTCTTAAAGAAAAAAAAAAAAAAAAATGAAGTTACATAAAAGGATACACGACCAGTTTAAAGGGGCTCTCATTAGCCAAATGTGGGATAATTTAAGAACCAAAAATAACTATTAAGGTAACTGATTATAACATATTGAATAGCGAATTTTTAAAAAATTAACGAGTCCAGCTTTTTTGACACTCAAAAAAGCTTCAGTGAGGAAGAGGGAGAAAGCCGAAAAAGGAAGAGAGGAAAGCTCTTCTTTATAGAAATATGTGAGGAAATATATGTAAAGGAAACGATAAAATTAGAAAAATCACCATTTTGCAACTATCAACGTATGTGATAAGGAGAAAGATCATGAACAGATGATAAAATATTTAATAGAAGTTTGTTAGGGAATAATTTTTTATTCACATCACCAAACCCTACAGATTACTTATAAATTACAAAAGGAACAATAGATCTGGTGGTCATCACCTTAAGATATCAAACTTAGAGTCACCAGTAATGGGACAGTCTGAAAATATGTACCTCCTAACACAATGCAATAAGTGGTACACATAATTATTTTTGTAGGCTTCATAACAAAATTTAACTTAAATTTAATCATGAGGAAGCACCACATAAATCCAGAATATGGCTCATTCTATAAGACAATTGGCCTGAACTCTTCAAAAATGTCTATCTCGTGAAAAACAATCAATCAAAAAAGTCAGGGATACTTTTTAGATTAAAAGAGACAAAAGTGGCATAACAAAATACAATGCAAGAAATGTGGTTGGATTCTGGATAAAAACACATAGCTATAAAAGATGTTTTGGGGACAAATGGAAAGATTTCAGTATTAATACTAATTTTCTTACATGTAAATGGTATGATAGTTATATGAAACATATCCCTATTCTTGGGAGATATAGCTGAAGTATTTGGGATCAGCAAGAAAATTTTATGTATTTGTATATAGGCATATACACACCCTCCCACCCCATATACCCCAATAGAAAGACAAAGAGAGGCCAGGTGCGGTGGCTCATGCCTGTAATCCCAGCACTTTGGGAGGCCGAGGTGGGTGAATCACTTCAGGTCAGGAGTTTGAGAAAGCCTGCCCAACATGATGAAATCCTGTCTATACTAAAAATACAAAAATTAGCTGGGTGTCCCGTGGTCCCTGCTACTCAGGAGACTGAGGCATGAGACTTGCTTGAACCTGGAAGGCAGAGGTTACAGTGAGATCATCCCATTGCACTCCAGGCTGGGTGACAGAGTGAGAGAAGGACAGGACAGGATGGGACGGGAAGGGAAGGGAAGGGAAGGAAGGGAAAGAGAGAAAGAGAGAGAGGAAGGAAGGAAGGAAGGAAGGAACGAAGGAGAGAGAGCAAGGAAGGAAGGGATGAATCAAGAAGGAAAGAGAGAAAGAAAGAGGAGAAGGGAGGGAAGGAAGGAAGGAAGGAGAAAAAGAAAGAAAGAGAAAGGGAGGGAGGGAAGGAAAGAAGGAAGGAAGGAAGGAGAGAGAGAGGGAAGGAAGGAAGGAAAAGAGGAAGTAAACATGGCAAAATGTTAACTACCATTGATTCTGTGATGAACATACATATAGAGAGAGATGTTCATCATACTATTCTCTCTCAAGAAGTTTAAATAGGTTTAATTTTTTTTTTAAATAGACACACATACACGCTGCCATGTCACTGTTTCATCATTAGAAGTCATCAGGTAGAGACAACTTTCCCTCCTAAAATTCACTGAACCAATTCAGCTGACTTTTGTGGAATACCTATAATATCCTAGACACTGAACTCGAAACTACTATACAAAGATGAAGAGAATATCTCCCTGCCCTTCAACCTTTCCTAGTCTAATAGGGAAATAGATATGCAAATAAACAAATACTATAATAAATTGCAAAAATGGAAGTATAAAAGGAAGAGGCAACACAGAGAAAGGTGTGGCTAACCCTATGCCAAGCTGTCTAACAGAACTTTCTGCAACAGAAAAGTTCTGTATCTGTACTATCCAATACAGTAGCACCTAGCCACATGTGACTAATGAGCATTTGAAATATGCTAATGCAACTGAGGAACTGCTAATGCAATATTTAATTGTATTACATTTTAATTAATTTATATTTAAATCACCACATGTGGCTGGGAGCTACCATATTGGACAGCACCACTCCACAGGACACGGAGGGGAAGGGCATAGGGGCATGGTCAGGAGGTTGGGAGGAAAAGACATTAAGAAGACCAGGCGCAGTGGCTCACACGTGTAATCCCAGCACTTTGGGAGGCCGAGACGGGTGGATCACCTGAGGTCAGGAGTTTGAGACCAGCCTGGCCAACATAGTGAAACCCCGTCTCTACTAAAACTACAAAAAAATTAGCTGGGCATAGTGGCAGGAGCCTGTAGTCCCAGCTACTCAGGAGGCTGAGACAGAAGAATTGCCTGAACCTGGGAGGCAGAGGGTGCAGTGAGCCAAGATCGTGCCACTGCACTCCAGCCTGGGTGACAAGGAAAAAAAAGAAAAGAAATTAAGAAAGTCGTCCCAAAGAAGCAACACCTAACAGGGTTTTTTGTCTTTTGTTTTTTGAGACAGAGTTTCGCTCTTGTAGCTCAGGCTGGAGTGTAGTGACGTGACTTCGGCTCACTGCAACCTCCGCCTCCCGGATTCAAGCAATTCTCCTGCCTCAGCCTCCAGAGTAGCTGGGAATACAGGTGCGCACCACCACACCCAGCTAATTTTTTGTATTTTTAGTGGAGACAGGGGTTTCACCATGTTGGCCAGGCTGGTCTCAAACTCCTGACCTCAGGTGATTCACCCACCTCGGCCTCCCAAAGCATAATGGGTTTTGAAGGATGACTAGTAGTTGACCAATTAGATAAGGTAGGAAATATTCTAGGCACAGGGGGAAGCACATACAAAGCACAGAGAGATGTCCCAACATGGTATTTTTAAGAAATCAGTAAGTTTCATATGACATGTGCATAGGTAGTAGAGAGAAGAGGAATAGGGTAGGAGGAAAAGTGAAGATAATGAAGTTAAGAGAAAAGAAAGAGCCTAGATTAGAAAAGATCTTATGCGTCATGTTGAGGAGCTTAAATTGGATCCTGTAGGTATTTTGGAACTACTGAAAGCAAGCATTAGATGATCAATTTCACATCTTAGAAAAAAAACGTCTTGGCAGAAGACAGGAGTGGGGAGTGCAAGTAGAAATGGAAAGCCATTTTGATGTCCCTATTGCACTAGTTCAACCAAAGTTAAGAACCTGGACTAAGGGAGTAGGAAATAAATTAGCTATTTGGGAGGTGTATGGAAAAGGGAAACAGAAAGACACCCTGAAATCTGGCTTCAGATTCTGACAATAAGATAAGAAATAAGCAGGGAGGATCAGACTCAGAGAGAAGAGTGGGTGTAAGGAAGGAGGGGGACTGTGTTTCAATCTTAACAGCTTTGGATCACAAACTGCAAGTTAGGGTGAAAGCAGATTTGTGCAGCTCACAAAAGGAACAGGAGAGGCGTCTGAGCCTCAGAGGCCAGGAAAGGAAAGAGAAGACAGGCTATATTTGAATCTTCTGGAAGATGAAGCGAAACATGCCAATGTCTGAACTGAATAACAACGTGGTCTGTGCTCTCTGCCTCTGTTGTCTGGTTATCAGGGCATAACTAATGAAATTTCAGTGGAACAGTACAGTCAGAGTCACATGTTTCCAGGCACCCTTGCTTTCTTCACCTTATTAGAAACAAAAGCACAAATATGATTTATGTTCTATTTTTACAGAGAGACGGAAAAAAATTAAGCTACTTCACATTTCTCACATCATGCATAAATAAATTATGGCAAAAATCTATTCCTACAATTAAAGAAGCCTTACCTTGTTTTTGAAAGAAACAAATGTTGCAAGTCTAGGACTATGCTGGGGACTTTGTACATATTATCACTCCTTACAACTACCCTTTGAAGTGGATAATATCCTTATTTTACAAGTGAGGAAACTGAGGCTTAAAAAGATACAGTAACTGCCCAAGGTCATGTAGCTAGTAAGTGCAGAACAGAGATTCAACAACAAGCTCAAATCCCAGTGGACTGACTGACCACATGCTGCTCACAGAAGAGGAGGAAACAAAATGCGAAATAATGAGGCCTCTGTTCCCATCTTTCTCAGAGCTCACACGGCTACGTGCTGTCACTAGCATTCTTATTACAATGGCCTGAGGCTTCTTGATTGTGCCTTTTATACTAAGCTCTCCAATCTGAAATGCCTTCCCCTCTCCTCTGCCTATCCAAGTTCTACTGGTCCTTCAAATCCGACTCCAGTTCTCCATCACCTAAGAGGCCTTCCAAATTCCCTGCATCATGCTCTCTCTCTCTCCTGTCTTTTATTGCCTTAAGTCATTCAACTATCCATCCACCCCTGAAGCATGAGCTGACTATGGGTAAAGTACTCAGCACTGAAGTACAAAAGAAATAAGAACATTGTGTTTGTGTAGAGACAGAAGACATCCAAAACTGTTGTTCATTTCATATCATGGAGAACTTGGTGGTGTTTTAGACCTATACTCAATCAGTTGTTGTTTTATGTACACAAGTGTTAATGTGAATGGCTGGTTGCTTCAGTATCTTTTATACACTTCATCCTACAAAAATTGGCTGAATTCCTACAAGGCACAGTATAAGGTGCTATAGGGGATACAAATAGATACAAGTGCCAATCTCTGCCCTTCACCTGAAGAAATAAAACAAATATGCATATAAGATAAGGCAGAACGTATGATAAGCATACGATAAAACATATGACAAACCTACATAAATGTTACACATTGTGGCAAGTGCTAGAAGTATATTCAAAAAGCAAAACTACATGGTATGTTTACAAGGAAGGATTCAGGTTTTCCTTTTATCAAAGTGGAGCCTAAAGCATCAGTAGGATCCTAAAAGGCCAAAATAGAAGACAAGTACCAGAAAAGAAAGAGTCATGCTTAAGAAATGTGCCAGATGATCATTTTCTAACAAATTAAAAAGTCAGTTCTATAAAAAGTAAACATTAGTTCATCCTAGTGAGTTGAGTATGTAAAAAATATTTTGATTAGTAATAAAATTGTGAAAATGAATTTAAAATGAATATTTAGATTGGCTATTCTGAGCTTTCAATTCTTGGCAGCCAGCTGGCAAAGAAAAATGGCAGAGGTAGTTGGCAAGATTACAGGCTACTGAGATATTTATAGCTACTAGAGTCTCAAAAAAACCAAAGTGATCCTAAAGCTTTGTTTAGTACTTATATTAAATGTATAAAGTTTTCTGATTATTTAATATTAAATAGCATGCTCTTTTACTGCACTTTTCAGGGAAAAAGATACAATTTAAGTGCAAAAGAGAAGCATAATTATTGATTTCAGTTTTACAAAAATTAAATAAAAAGCAAGCATAGGTATTGCCAAAAATTTCTTCTAATACAGTACTGGTGGATATAAGACTATTCTCATCAAAAATAAACTTTGTAGGCTCACATTTTCCATATTTATACTTAAAAGTACATGGCTTATTGTGCTGTACAAATAAGAAATTTTGTGATAATATTTGTATCTGGTTACAACATTTCATGACACTCAAGTATTTATTTCAAGACTGCATATGTTAAAACACTAAAACATTATATAAATTAATCTGATTACACAGAATAAAACTTAACCATCAAACCACAGCTAAGAGGATTCATTCTCCACAAACTATTTGGATTTTCTATTTTGGGGAGCTACATTGATGATTAATAAAGGAATTTTTGTGTATGTGAAGAAGAAAATGAAGTTCTCTAGTGAGGCCAACTAAACTTCTTAAGGATATGACCTCCCACAAATAATAACTATAAAATCTGGACAACATTTAAAAAAAATTGTTTTAACTAGAAGCAGCCCAGGTGGCCATAGATACAAAAATAGCTAAGCAAACTGATATATTCAAACAATAGAATATTATTGATCAATAAAAAAGAATGAACTAATACATGCCACAACATGGTTGAATCTCAAAACCGTTACGCTGAGCAAATAAAGTCTTGCACAGAAAATATGTATGATTTCTTTCATATGAAACTCTAGAGGAAATGAATCTAATCTATCAAAACAGTGGTTACCTCTGGTGAGTGTTGTAGGCAACAGACTGTGAAGGGGTTTAAGGAACTTCCTGGACATCTGATGGTAGCTGGGATTACAGGCACCCTCCACCATGCCTGGCTAGGATGGTAATTTTCAATATCTTGATAGAATTTTAGGTTATACAGGTGTATGTATTTGTCAAAACTCCATGAAAGTACAGTTAAGATTTATGCATTTTTTGTAAGCAAATTTTACCCCCAAAAAAGTAAATACTAAACTCTAGTTAATGATATGCATGCTAAGTATTTAGGGAGGATGTATATTGATGGCTGCAAGTTGACTTGAAATGCATCAAATGTACTATACTGCTTGATCTCCATAACAACCCTACAAGGTAAATACTAGTATTACCCACATTTTACAGATAGGGAAACCAAGGCATAGATGCACTAGGAAATTTGCTCAAGGTCCCATAGGTAGTAAGTGTCAGAGCCAGAAATTAGAATCCACAGAGTCTGGAACCATCAAAAATAAATAAGTGAGACCTAATTAAACTAAAAGCCTTCTGTACAGCAAAAGAAATAATCATCAGGGTAAACAGACAACCCACAGAATTGGAGAAAATATTTGCAAACTGTGCATCCAACAAAGGACTAATACCCAGAATCTACAAGAAACTCAAACAAATCGGCAAGAAAAAAACAAATTATCCCACCAAAAAGTGGGCAAATGACATGAATAGACATTTCTCAAAGTATACAAATGGCCAACAAACATATGAAAAAATGCTCAACATCACTAATTTTCAGGGAAATGCAAATTGAAACCACAATGAGATACCACCTTACTCTTGCAAGAATGGCCATTATTAGAAAGTCAAAAAACAACAGATGTTGGCATGGACGTGGTGAAAAGGGAATGCTCATACACTGCTAGTGGAAATGTAAATTAATACAACCTATATGGAAAACAGTATGGAGATTTCTTAAAGAACTAAAAGTAGAGTTACCATTCGATCCAGGAATCCCATTACTGGGTACCCACCCAAAGAAAAAAAAATCATTATATCCAAAAGACACCTGCACACATGTGTTTATTGCAGGACAATTCACAAGTGCAAAGATGTAGAACCAACTAAGGGCTCATCGGCCAATGAGTGGATAAAGAAGATGTGGTATATATGTATATACTATGGAATACTACTCAGCCACAAAAAAGAACAAGATAATGTCTTTTGCAGCAAGTTGGATGGAGCTGGAGATCATAACTCTAAGTGAAATAACTCAGGAATGGAAAACCAAATGTTGTGTATTCTCACTTATAAGTAGGAGCTAAGCTATTGGTACACAAAGGCATACAGAGTAGTATAATGTACTTTGGAGACTCAGAAGTGGGAGGATGGGAGGGAGATGAGAGATAAAAAACTACATGTTGGGTACAATGTACACTACTCGGGTGATAGTTTCACTAAAATCTCAGACTTCACCACTATACAATTCATCCGTGTAACCAAAAACCACATGTACCCCCAAAGCTACTGAAATACATATATATTTTTAAAAGAGTCTGGGTTCAGAACCCCTGCTCTTAACCACTTCTCTATTATAGTTCCAGTAGTTGACTGGTTTGTTTGGTTTTTGTTTTTGCTTTTTAGTAGAGACAGGATTTCATCACATTGGCCAGGAACTGCGAACCTCAAGTGATCCATCCGCCTCAGCCTTCCAAAGTGCTGGGATTATAGGCGTGAGCCACTGCACCCAGCCAACTTGTTATTGATATAAGATATGGTACTCTTCTCAAGTTTGTGGATAACATGAAAATGGGAGTAAGAGCAAATTCATTACTTTACAGATTACTTATCAAAAAAGCTTTAAAAGACAAATAAATAGAAGATTATAACAAGATAGAATTTGATAGGGGCAAAACTTAAGAGCCTGCATTTGAGTATAAGCAACCAATTGTTCCTCCAGTGGCAGTGCTAGTGCATAGCAGGTATTTGGTAAAAACCTGTCAAATATATATACGATTGAGTTATATGATAGAATCTATGAAAAAAGAGGGATGTAATATACCAAAAGCAAAATATGAACTTAACAAATAATGCTAGAATATGCTGATATATAGTTATGCTATCTAGAAAGTAGGTTAAATGAGAGTCTTACAAGACTGTTGGTCTAGTTAGACTAATGCCAGGTATACTGTCTTATCTTCTGGGAACTATATCTAACAGACAGAGGTAAACTGGAACAAGTTTCAAGTGAAGGTACAGGACTTAAAGCTGTACTACCTGAAGTTTAACAGAAGAAATTTCAAACATTGAATGTGGAGAAAAGAAAAGTGAACATGGTAGCAAATTTTAAAATGTAAGGTACTGTCATGAAAAAGAAGAATGAGCCGGGTGCGGTGGCTCATGCCTGTAATCCCAGCACTTTGGGAGGCCGAGGCGGGTGGATCACGAGGTCAGGAGATCGAGACCATCCTGGCTAACCTGGCTAACGTGGTGAAACCCCATCTCTACTAAAAAAAATACAAAAAAATTAGCCACGCGTGGTGGTGGGCGCCTGTAGTCCCAGCCACTTGGGAGGCTGAGGCAGGAGAATGGCGTGAACCCGGGAGGCGGAGCTTGCAGTGAGCCAAGATCGCGCCACTGCACTCCAGCCTGGGCGACAGAGTGAGACTCTGTCTCCCAAAAAAAAAAAAAAAAGAAAGAAAGAAAAGAAAAAGAAGAATCATGGCTGGGCGTGGTTGCTCAGACCTCTAATCCCAGCACTTTGGGAGGCTGAGGCAGGTAGATCACTTGAGGTCAGGAGTTCAACTCTGGCCTGCCCAAGATGGTGAAACCCCATCTCTACTAAAAATACAAAAATTAGCCTGGAGTGGTGGCACATGCCTGTAGTCCCAGCTACCTGGGAAACTGAGACAGGAGAATCACTTGAACCTGGGAGGCGGAGGTTGCAGTGAACCAATATCCTGCCACTGCACTCCAGCCTGGGCAACAGAGCAAGACTCCGTCTCAAAAAAAAAAAAAAAAAAAAAAAAAAGAATCATAATTATTCCGGAATTACCCTTAACTAAAACCAACCGACAGAAGCTACAGGAGTTATAGGAAAACAAATTCAGTGTCAATATAAGGAAGACCTTTCTAACAGATATAACCTAACCACAAAAGAAAAGGTAGGGGAGGAGAGTGCTATCTCAGAAAGGTGTGACTACCCTAAATATGATAATAATGAGTTTATGAAATATTGGATCAAGTTAACTTAAAGATCTCTTTCAAACCTAAGAACCTACTATAAAATAAAAGGTGATAAGGCCGTTATAACAAGTTTCGAATGGGTTAAAATAGTAATGCCAGTAACCAAAACAGACTTGAGATGATAAAATTTAAATGAAAGGAAAAATAAGAAAATAGAAGTTATTTGTCAAGTCTGTAAATGGGGAGAGCTTTAAGTCTAAAAGCACTGGAATAAAATTCAAAGGAAAAGAAAAATTGGACTACATAAATTTTTAAAACTTTTACATATGAAAAACATTAAAAGGCAAATAAGACACACGGATTTTTGTTCTATATCTTTAATATAGGGCTCTGCTGTCTGATATAGCAGCCATAAGCCATATGTGGCTATTTAAATTAAATTTTTTTTTTTTTTTTTTTTGAGACAGAGTCTCACTCTGTCGCCCAGGCTGGAGTGCAGTGGCGCCATCTTGGCTTTCTACAAGCTCCGCCTCCAGGGTTCACACCATTCTCCTGCCTCAGCCTCCTGAGTAGCTGGGACTACAGGCGCCTGCCACCATGCCCGGCTAATTCCTTTGAATTTTTAGTAGAGACAGGGTTTCACTGTGTTAGCCAGGATGGTCTCGATCTCCTGACCTCGTGATCCGCCCGCGTCGGCGTCCCAAAGTGCTGGGATTACAGGCGTGGGCCACTGCGCCCGGCCTAAATTAATTTTAAATTGATTTAGACATTAAAAATTTAGTTCCTCAATTGCTCTCTAGCCACATTTCAAGTGCTCAACAGCCACTGTGGCTAGTGGCAACTGAGTTGGACAGTACAGATATAGAACATTTCGATCACTGTAGAAAGTTCTACTGGAACTTCAAAATTTAAAACAGAATAATTTAATTCAGGGAATTTATTACATAAGGTGGCAGAAGAGCTGAGAGGCCAAACAGGGTTGTACAGCAATCCAGAAATTCACAACAGGAAGCCACTACCATCCCTAAGACTGAAGGACAAAGTACAAAGTCCAATACCGAAGGTCCCCTGGCAAAGACCAAAACAACAGTATGTGTCTCGGGTGGAAGTAGGAAGACAAGGATGAGAAGCAGCCCCTGCTGAATATACACCATGATGTTAAAAAATAAAATTAAATTAAAAAGCAGAAAGAAATACCTAGACTTCTCTCTTCCTTCTACCCTTCAAATCTCCTGCCAGTACCTCCATGGCTGAACCCATACAAAAGCCAGATGGTAAAAGAGACTGGGAAATGCAGCCTATAGGGTTCAGACCCGTGTTAAAAAGGACAGAGCCAAGAAAGAGGAAGAAAGAAGTCTGGGGTCAAACAAGCTAAGAACTGGTAGGGGTACTCCTCCTGCTGTGTCCTCACATGGCAAGAGGGACAGGGGAGCTCTCCAGAGTCTCTTTCATAAAGGTACTAATCCTCGCCTCATAACCTAATCACCTTCCAAAGGTTCCACCTCCAAATACCATCACATTGGAGATTGGGTGTAAAATTCACATTAGTATATGAATTTTAAGGGGATAGAAACATTCAGTCTATAGAAGGTATAAATAGAAAATTTAGGAAAAAACAAATAAAAATGGCCAACATTTGAAAAATATCCAACCTCACCAGTATTTAAATATAAATTAGAACAATATGAAAACAAAATTAAATTAGCAATAATTAATCATTTGCATACTTAGTGCTGATCAAGGGTGTAGCCAAAACAGATACATTCCTAGGGAGAGAATTTTCAAAATATTTTCAAAGAAGATGGGACAGTTTTGTAATTTGCATCAACAATTTTAAAAATAATTTGCACTTCTAGATCTACTAAGTGCATTTCCAGGGATAAATCCAAAGTCCAGAAAATCTAAAGCATGAAAAATATTTTAGAAACAACAGATGTTCATTGCAGCTTTATATGATAATATTGAAAAAAAATGGAAGCAACCTCCATGTCCACCAGTAGGTCAATAGGTAAGTAAACTAAGGTATGTCTATCTCCCTATTCAAAAATAACCCTTGCTGAGTACTTCTTTGCTAGCCACAATGATAGGTGCTGGAAATATAAAAAAGAATAAGCAGTAGTAATAGAGATTAATTTGTAACCATTTAAATAATGCTTATGAAAGACTGCAATAAAATAAGGACATATTTTTGGTAAAACCAGTGAACAAAGGTGAATCTAAAAATGAATAAACTGGACGAGTGTGGTGGCTCATGCTTGTAATTCCAGCACTTTGGGAGGCCAAGGCAGGTGGATCACTTGAAGTCAGGAGTTCAGGACCAGCCTGGCCAACTTGAACAGTGAAACCCCATCTCCACCAAAAAAAACAAAAATACAAAAATTAGCCAGGCATGGTGGTGTGCACCTGTAGTCCACCTGATGTCCCAGCAGAGGCTGAGGTGGGAGAATGACTTGAACTCAGGAGGCAGAGGTTGCAGTGAGCTGAGATCATGCCACTGCACTCCAGCCTGGGTGACAAAGTGAGACCACGTCTCAAAAAAAATAAAAATAAAAATGAATAAATTTAGGCCGGGCGCGGTGGCTCACGCCTGTAATCCCAGCACTTTGGGAGGCTGAGGCAGGCAGATCACGAGGTCAGGGGATCGAGACCATCCTGGCTAACACGGTGAAACCCCATCTCTACTAAAAATACAAAAAAATTAGCCGGGCGTGGTGACAGGCGCCTGTAGTCCCGGCTACTTGGGAGGCTGAGGCAGGAGAAGGGCGTGAACCCGGGAAGCGGAGCTTGCAGTGAGCCGAGATCATGCCACTGCACTCCAGCCTGGGTGACAGTGAGACTCCGTCTCAAAAAAAAAAAAAAAAATAAATAAATAAATAAATAAATAAATTTATGTAAGACAAAATATGCTAACAGATTAATAACAGTGGTTGCCTCTGAGTGGTAAGTTGGTTAAGTTTATTTTTTCTTCCTTCTTTATATTTTTCTGAACTTTCAAAATTTTCTAAATAATTAAGATTTGCATTTTCCTTCAGAGCTATTAATCTAAATGTTTAAGAATTGCAAACCTGCCACAATAGTGCTAGTTTACCTGTTGCAATAGTAAACTGCATTATTGGGATCCAATTCTATTGCCTGTGTGTAACAATCCACTGCAGCAGCATAATTTTCTTCTTTCATGTGGTTATTGCCTAAAATAAAGTAACCAGTATGTACAGTAAGTATAATATACATTAAAAACATACACTCTTATAGACACATTTTAATCGTGGAAACTATAATTATATGAAAGTCGGCCTCATGATTTTTCAGTCACACTGGAAAAAATTTTACATTGTACTATAGAGTTGATATTATTTAGCTTTCAGTGTGTTTGAATCATTTTAACAATGCAAAGTCTTTTAAAAAATTAATGTTTATATACCTTATAAAATCCAGACTTAAAAGAGTAAATGCAACAATTATGACTATCTCATGGCAAAAGTGAATCTCTTCTCACCTTCCTTATCTTCATCTCTCTCCTCCCTTTTAGAGCTGCCCCAGCCCGTTCCAGATGCAACACCCTCCCTAATCACCATCTCAATCTGGACCTGGTCTTCCACTCTTTCCCTGTTAAAACACACATCTGCTGATAATCAAGTTCTCAGAACACTGCTGAGGATAAGCTGATAAAACTAATCATGCTATCATGATAGTGGCAGATAATATTTTTATGTGCTATCCCTTCCAGAGTTAGACTCTTTTTAAAAGGGGATTTAAAGAGATTAATTTCTAGAAAGAGAATTTCAGATACCATGGCTAGCCTGCAAAGTACTGATTTTCAGGAAGGGCATCTGCAGATACATCTGGCAGTAATTTAGCTAAGTTAATAAAATGTCAGCAAAATAAGAGATTTCCTATGGGTATTTTTTGTATACCATTAAATGAAAAAGTAGTGTCCTCTGCACTTGTAAGAACCAATGGTTCAAAATATGTCTGGGCGTGGTGGCTTATGCCTGTAATCCCAACACTTTGGGAAGTGAAGGTGGGAGGATCACTTGAGGCCAGGAGTTCGAGTCCAGCCTGGGCAATATAGTGGGACCCCCCCTCATCTCAACAAAAAGAATAATTAAAAAAATTAGCCAGGCGCAGTGGTACACACTTGTAGTCCCAGCTACTTGGAGGCTGAAGCAGGAATATCACATAAACTCAGGAGGTTGAAGCTGCAGTGAGCCATGATTGTGCCACTGCATTCCAGCATGGGTGACAGAGTGAAACCCTGTCTTTAAAAAAAAAGAAAAAGAAAAAGAAAATATTAGAAACAATGGAGATTAGGAGGAATGATTTACATCTCAAAGGTATCTGTGATTCTTTCCAGTTTTCTTAAACCAGAAACTCTCACATTAGCCTTGTTCTTAATAGATCATTAGCTGCTTAACAGGAAGAGTGGGGCATAAATTTCCAAGGAACAAAAACAGAATATTCAAATTACTGTAAATTAGGAATCAAAAATGAATATAAAGGGTGACTGCTAATAAGCACATGGTTTTTGTTTGGGGGGTTATAAAAATGTTCTGTAGGCCGGGTATGATGGCTCATCCTTGTAATCCCAGCACTTTGGGAGGGCAAGGCAGGAGTATGGCTTGAGCCCAGAAATTAGAAACCAGCCTGGGCAACATGGTGAAACCCTATCTCTACAAAAAAAAAAAAAAACACAAAAATTAGCTGGGGTGGTGGTGTGTGCCTGTAGTCCCAGCTACTCAGGAGGCTGAAGTGGGAGGATTGCTTGAGCCCAAGAGGTTGAGGCTGCAGTGATCTGTACTGTTGCCACTGCAATCCACCCTGGTCGAAAGAGTGAGACCCTGTCTCAAGAAAAAAAAAAATTTCTATAATTGATTATGGTAATGGCTGCACAACTCTGTGAATATATGAGAAACTAATGCATTGTACCCTTTAAAGAAGTAAATTGTATGACATATGAATTATATCGCAACAAATATCTTTTCAAGTTAAAAAAATTAATTTGGATCTTCCCCAAAAAAGAAATCAATAGAAAGCCTCTAAGGAAACTGAGAGGTTAACATTGTTTTTTATGAAGAAACAAAAAGTTTATATTAGCAAAGATAGTTTGATTTCCATGTCAAACATTTTAATTTTCTGGGTTATTGAGACTTTGATGTTGCTGTTGGGCTCTTTGTCTTGATGGCATTTTATGATTACATTATAAAACTGTACTGTATGTCTTTTCCTGTGTCACCTCAAAGGTGTAGATATCATAATGTATATATACATACCACAAATATTATACACATATATACTATAAGTTAATGATAAAAGGCTTAACATATTTAACATATAAAATACTTAACATATAAAAATTCAGGGTTGGGTGTGGTGGCGCACATCTGTAATCCTGGCACTTTGGGAGGCCGAGGTGGGTGGATCACCTGAGGTCAGGAGTTTGAGACCAGCCTGGCCAACATAGTGAAACTCCATCTCTATTAAAAATACAAAAATTAGCTGGGCGTGGTGGCACATGCCTGTAGTCCCAGCTACTCGGGAGGCTGAGGCAGGAAAATCACTTGAACCTGGGAGGCAGAGGTTGCAGTGAGCCAAGATTGCACCACTGCA
Organism: Homo sapiens; assembly: GCF_000001405.40. NCBI lineage: Eukaryota > Metazoa > Chordata > Mammalia > Primates > Hominidae > Homo > Homo sapiens. The sequence goes on from NC_000005.10 coordinate 65,706,798, forward strand.
CTCCAGCCTGGGCGACAGAGCCAGACTCCATCTCAAAAAAGGAACAAAGTAGCAAAAATAAATATTGACAAAAATATCAAAGACAGTGTTATTTAGGATTACAAAATTATCTGTCTAGGTAAGTAAGACATGCTCAAACAGTATCATGTAACACTACACAGCCATTAAAAACAGTGATATAGGCCAGGCGTGGTGGCTCAAGCCTGTAATCTCAGCACTTTGGGAAGCTGAGGTGGGCGGATCACATGAGGTCAGTAGTTCAAAACCAGCCTGGCCAACATGGTGAAACCTCATCTCTACTAAAAATACAAAAAAATTCACCAGGCGTGGTGGCACGCGCCTATGATCCCAGCTACTCGGGAGGCTGAGGCAGGAGAATTGCATGAACCCAGGAAGCAGAGGTTGCAGTGAGCCGAGATCCTGCCACTGCACTCCAGCCGAGGTGGCAGAGAGACTCTGTCTCAAAAAAAACAAAACAAAAGCAAAAACCACAGTGATATAGGTATATATTTACAGACCTAGAGAAATGACCATGCCCAAGGAATAGGAACAGTATAATTGTTTCATATCCACCTTTTTAGATACCAGCTGATTTTATACACACACACACACACACACACACACACACACACACACACATATATTTTTTTTTTTTTGAGATGGAGTCTCCCTCTGTTGCCAGGTTGGAGTACAGTGGCGTGATCTCGGCTCACTGCAACCTCCGCCTGCCGGGTTCAAGCAATTCTCCTGCCTCATCCTTCTGAGTAGCTGGGATTACAGGCACATACCACCATGCCCAGCTAATTTTTGTATTTTTAGTAGAGACGGGGTTTCACCGAGTTGGCCAGGATGGTCTTGATCTCCTGACCTTGTGATCCACCCACCTCGGCCTCCCAAAGTGCTGGGATTACAGGTGTAGACCACCGTGCCCGGCCATGATATATATTTTTTTAACTCAACTGCCTTCTTCAAGGTATGAAATAAAGAAAAGGCTAGAAAATGTTTCTGAACATAGCATATTCCCTAGTAACCCTCTGTCTATATATAGAACAGAGGATTTATTGGCTGTCACTCACTGCTAAAGATAAGGACTATACCCTAAAGCTTTGTAGTACAAATCTTACAGGCCTCACCTGGCTCCCGTCTATAGCTTAACATAGCTGACATAATGGAAAAATGGAACACAAATCCTCAACAGTGACTTATTTCTTAAAACCAAGAATGCTTCAATAGCCAACTAGTATAAAATTTAATAATGTAGTAATCAAAAGTGCTAGCTAATAAACAAGTACCATGTGCCTACCTTAACAAATTTCAAAGAACTCAAAAACACTAAACATATGAAAGATAAAATAATGCTGAAAACTATTTTCCTCTTTTTAAGTTAAAGAAGAATTTGAGATCCTACAGTATAAGTAGCAAAAACCGAAGCAATTCGCCCTTAAGTTATGTGTTCTGCAACTTTTACAACAGATCTGCTTCTCTTGAAGCAAGCCGTAACTGTACTGCCCACAAGCCATTCTGTACTTCCAGGCTTCTTACCCATCACATTCATTTCTGTTTCGTAATTGCCATGTGCACTTATGACAATCTAGTCTTGGTGGTGTAATCAGAACTATATCAATTGACAGTAATTTCCTCCAGTTTCAGAAAGCTTTACTAAGTAAGTCATTTTTGTATGAAATATTCACCTTCATCTTTTAATTGGTCAGCTTTTCCCACATCTTCAGGCACTGAGTTTGAAAGGGGCAGAACGTCATTCTGAAATTAAATAAAAATCAATGCACTTCCCTTTAGCTACATAAAGAATCATCCTAGAGTACTATAAATAAATAATAAATTACCCACATTTTAAATCATCTGTAACTCCACATCATGAAAACAACTTCCTAAATAATAGTATTAACAAAAATAGGGGAAAAGTCCTCTCATATATTTTTTATTAGAAATATGAATATCTGTGACTGGGCGTGGTGGCTCATGCCTTAATCCCAGCACTTTGGGAGATCAAGGTGGGTGGACAGCTTGAGCTCAGGAGTTCGAGACCAGCCTGGGCAATATGGTGAAACCCCGTCTCTATAGAAAACACAAAAATTAACAAGGTGTGGTGGCATGTGCCTGTAGTCCCAGCTACTTGGGAGGCTGAGGTAGGAGGATGGCTTGAGCCCAGGAGGCAGAGGTTGCAGTGAGCTGAGATCATGGCACTGTACTCCAGCCTGGGCAACAGAGCCAGACCCTGTCTCAAAAAAAAAAAATAAGAATATGAAGAATATGTGAATCAAAGTTTTAAAAAATGTGCATTTCCCATACCTGGCAATCCTGCTTCATAAAAAAAAATGGAATTAGTATGTAAAGAATAGGAATAGAAATATGATCAAGGGATTGTTTATATTAGTGAAAATTTTGGAACAAAATGTCTAATATCCTATCTAAGATATACCCTACTAAGTCAAAATCACAATCTACAAAAAATCATTTATAATATGATATTATATAAATATGTTCACACACACATTAAAAACAGCCTGGAAAGATGTGTATCAGAAGTAAAATTTTAATTTCTTGTATCTTTGCATATTGTCCAGTTTTTTTTTTTTTTTGAGATGGAGTCTCGCTCTTTTGCCAGGCTGAAGTGCAGTGGCATGATCTCGGCTCACTGCAATCTGCGCCTCCCAGGTTCAAGAAATTCTCATGCCTCAGCCTCCCGAGTAGCTGGGACTACAGGTGCATGCCACCACACCCAGCTAATTTTTGTATTTTTCGTAAAGATGGGGTTTTACCATGTTGGCCACAATGGTCTAGATCTCTTGACCTCGTGATCCACCCGCCTCGGCCTCCCAAAGTGCTGGGATTACAGGCATGAGCCACTGCGCCCGGCCGTGTTTTCTTATATTGTAGTAAAATTAATATATGTTCATTGCTTTAAAAAAGTTGGGGCTAGTGTGGTGAGCAGCCACCACACCTGGGTAATTTTTTTATATTGTATAGAGACAGGGTCTCCCTATGTTGCTCAGGATGGTCTCAAACTCCTAGCTTAAGCAATCCTCCCACGTTGGCTTCCCAAAGTGTTGGGATTATAGGCATGAGCCACCATGCCCAGCCCTATGTACTGTAGTATATATCCATCATTACCTTTGTCTTGATTAGAGTTTCTACAAAATTGATAGCTCTACATCAGAAATATATTTTGCAAATTAGACATAAAGATTCACAAGTAAAAAAAATTACTGACAAAGTATATGGGTCTTGTCCTTATTTTTTTTTAAATCATTATCTACTAATCAGTTTTCCCAAGCATAAAATATTGGAATAAAAATATAGAAACAACATGAGAACCTTCCTAAGTAGAGGTCACTGCTTAAAACTGACTGTAGTTACTCAGGATCTAAATATAATTCAAAGACACATTATTGTCCTACAGCACTTGGCTTTAGGGTTCCTTGTATTTTAAATTTTCCAATAAGCCTAGGCACTTTATACATGGGAAAAAGTGATTTGGGGGTCAGAAAAATAGCATATTAAAAAATAGATTATAATCTCTTCTGTCTTCCCAATCCTTCTAAATTATTTGCGAAAATTGCCACTGTTTTATACTTTGAAAACTAATTATCATATTCATTGCATAAATTTGAGCAGTTCACCATGTGGGGGCAAGAGCTACCTATTCTAAATAAAGGGAATGAATCCACTTGATATATAAACATAATTGGAGAAAAAAAATAGAAAAGCAGTATCCTAAAGATAAAATGACCAATATAACAACCAAGTACACTTGGTGAAACAAATAATTTCTTTAATTACAACAATCGTCATGCTATTTCAGGTGAATTTACACTTTCTCTGCCATATTCTGTTAATAAACATATATGGAATGAAGCCATAGCTGTAAAATAGGACTACTAAAGAATTATGAGACCAGGCATGGTGGCTCACGCCTGTAATCCCAGCACTTTGGGAGCCAAGGCGGGCGGATCATGAGGTCAGGAGTTCAACACCAGCCTGCCCAAGATGGGGAAACCCCGCCTCTACTAAAAATACAAAAATTAGCCAGGGCCGGGTGTGGTGGCGGGTGCCTGTAATCCCAGCTATTCGGGAGGCTGAGGCAGGAGAATCACTTGAAACTGGCAGGCAGAAGTTGCAGTCAGCTGAGATCATGCCACTGCATTCTAGCCTGCGCAACAGGACAAGACTCTGTCTCAAAAAAAAAAAAAAAAAAAAATAGCCAGGCGTGGTGGCACGTGCCTGGAGTCCCAGCTACTCGGGAGGCTAAGGCAGAAGAATCGCTTGAACCCAGGAGGCAGAGGCTACAGTGAGCTGAGATCGCACCACTGCATTCCAGCCTGGGCGACAGGGCGAGACTCCATCTCAAAAAAAAAGAAATATGATACCACATATATAACACAACTGAAGATATACTAGGCAGCCAGTTTCAATAAACTGTATTTTAACGATAGTGAGCAACAAATTTCTTATAATTAAATGCAATCAGGGAGATACAGCAAAAGAAAGAAAAAGCTTTATTCAAACAGAGGGTAAAAGTCAATTAGAGTTTCCTGAGAAGGAAAAAAAAAAAAAGTAGTTCTAATATCTTCAGTATTAAGTCAATGGTGACAGTAGCTAAAGAGTGAGAAAATCTAAGAACTGTGTCAAGCACAGGCCTCACCTACCTGACAGCAAAGAAGGTCTGCTTTAGCCATAACCATATCTAGCCACTGAAACAGGGTTCCCTGAGGGGGCCACAGGCCCAGACAATGAAAGAACCACAGCCCACCATCACCAAAGGGAAGAAAAAGGGAGCTCCCTGATGAGGAACAGAGATAAACATCACTATCTCCTTATATCTTGTCATACAATAAGAATTCATCCGTTTGATGAATTAATGAATAACTGCATTATTTTTCTCCCAAGTGTAATAAAAGGGGATGATTTACTGCCAAGTTGCCATCTTCATTGCAACTCTAACAACCTCTTCCCAAGAAGTTCTAGAAACAGAGCCTGGAAGATCCAGTCAAGTGTGGTATTGTCAGCAATGTCCACTCCAGACTTAAGTGTGTAAGATATGTTTCAGCTTCACTCCAGAATTCTTCATTATATACTAAAGCTCAAGTACGGAGTTAGAAAAACAAAAGGAGCCCACGAGGCACCACAATGTCATAAAGAAACATGTGGGCCAGGTGTGGTGGTTCAAGGCTATAATCCGAGCACTTTTTGGAGGCCAAGGCAGGACGATGGTTTGAGCCCAGGAGTTCAAGACCAGCCTAGGCAACAAAACAAACAAAGACCCCGTCGCTACTAAAAAACAAAAACAAACAAACAAAAATTAACTGGGTGTAGTGGTGTGTGATTGTAGTCCCAGCTACTCACGAGTCTAAGGTGGGAGAATTGAGGACTGCTTGAGCCCAGGTGGCTGAGGCTGCAATGAGCCATGATCACACCACTAGACTGCAGGCTGGGTGACAGAGAGAGACCTGCCTCAGAAAAAAAGAAAAGAAAGAAACAAGTGGGAGTTCACCCACATGTGGGAGCCCTAAACTCCCTAAACTTAGCATTTTTCAGACAGTCTTATGGTCTGTTTCCTGAAAAGGCCAGAAACCCAAGACCATGTATAAATAGTCCCCAGGAGCAGGGATCAGAAAACTTGGATTTCAGTCTTAGTTTTGCACAGTGACCCTTAACCCTTCCCTGTTTTAAGGAGCCCCATCAATGGGCAAATTTGATGAATTCTGCTTCAGAAATGACGATTCAATTCCAGAGGAATCCATTTCTGCATGGCTGCTTCCTAGACATTAAAACTTTTTAAACCTGTATTCCACGTTTTAGGGAAACATCAATTCAGATGCTGGAAACCAAAAAATACTCAGATTCATTGAAATGACATTCAAGAAAAAAAATACTCAGATACTGTAAAGAACTTAAAAGTCGACTAATACATACCATTAAATATAAAAGGTGAGAGGATGAAAATAGTTATCAATATGAAAATCTAAAGCACATTAAATGAGTTATATTTTAGATACCCAATTATATCCATATAGACAGACTATTTACCTTATATACAGGATGAAGTTAATTACTCATATACCTGGCCCCTCAGCTATTAACAATCTATTAACATAAAATTGTAGTCATATCAGTTAATAATGAGAAAATAATGACAACATACCTTACAGAAGGAACTGGTAAACATTTCTGTCAAAGGCTGTGAAACTGCTAGGTGTGTATCTTCTGGGCTGATCTTAAAAACTGTCTCCAAGCACTGAATTGCAACTTGAAATAAATTTTAATAGTAAAAAACAATTAGCAATTTTAAAAAAGAAACAAGTTTTTTTTTTCTGATAGAACTGCAATGTATGGAAATTCAGTATTTATGATCACAGAACATAAGGAAAACATTGGTTCAGCTGCAAAGAAATTTCTGTTTATAGACTAGCTATCCAAGGAAAACACACTGATTTTCCTTCTTCCTTCCTCCCCCTCACACTCTCCCTTTCCCTTCTCCTTCCCCTTCCCTCCCTTTCTTTCTTTCTTCCCAATTTTTTTTTAGAGACAAGGTTTCACTTTGTGGCCAGGCTGGAGTGCAGTGGCACAATTATAGCTCACTGTTGCCTTGACTTCCTGGGCTCAAGGGATCCCCCTGCCTCAGCTCCCTTAGTAATTGAGACTATAGGCATGAGCCACATGCTAACTGTTTAAATTTTTTTGCAGAGACAGGGTCTTGCCAGGTTGCCCAGGCTGGTCTCAAACTCCTGGGCTCAAGTGATCCTCCTACCTCGGCCTCCCAAAGTGCTGGGATTATAGGCATGAGCCACCACACCTAGCAACAACTGGATTTCTTATTCCTCACTTAAGGAAAAATGTTGTCTAGAATATAATTTCTCAATATATGTATTACATCATATTCTTGTTGAAGGCTACCAGAAAGAGCAAGTCATTAATAACAACTTACTCAGCCAAGTGTGGTGGGTTACGCCTGTAATCCCAGCAGTTTGGGAGGCCAAGGAGAGTGGATTGCCTGAACTCAGGAGTTCAAGGCCAGCCTGGGTAACATGGCGAAACCCCATCTTTACCAAAAATACAAAAAATTGGCCAGGCGTGGTGGCGCACACCTATGGTCCCAGCTACTCAGGAGGCTGAGGTGGGAGGATTGCTTGAGCCTGGGAGGAGGAGGATAGCTTGAGCCTGGGAGGAGGAGGTTGCAGTGAGCCAAGATCTCACTACTGCACTCCAGTACGGGTTGAGACCCCATCTCGAAAAAACAAAAACAAAAACAAAACAAAAAAAGTACTCTCACTACAAACCTAAAATATTATTTTTTTAAAAAATGTGAGAAACAGAATTCTCCATTAATTAAAAACATTAATAGTAACAGAACATAGCCCCCAGCACATAGGAAGAAGCACTAAATATTAATCTTGGTGTACTTATGTGAAGATAGATTTTAAAAATTCATTCATCTATGCAAATTTGCCAAGTGCCTACTATCTGTAAGGCACTGGTCTAAGGTGGTAGAGAAACAGTAATAAACCTAACAGAAAAAAATCACTGTCTACATGATAAAGCTTATATTTTAATAAAGGAAGACAACAAATATAATAAGCAAAATATAAAGCATGTTAAATGCTGATAGGGGCCTTGTCTATTTTTATTGTATGGCAAAATAAGTGGTTGGTATGGCTAGGGTATACAGTGGGTGGAAAGACATGGTGAGGGATTATGTTTGAAGTCTGTCGTTGGAGGCCAGGTTCGGTGGCTCACGCCTATAATCCCAGCACTTTGGGAGGCTGAGGCAGGCAGATCACCTGAGGTCAGGAGTTCAAGACCAGCCTGGCCAACATGGTGAAACCCCATCTCCGCTAAAAAAGTAAAAATTAGCCAGATGTGATTGCATGCCCCTGTAATCCCAGCTACTCGGGAGGCTGAGGCATGGGAATTGCTTGAACCCAGGAGGCAGTGGTTGCAGTGAGCCGAGATCACCCCACTGCACTCTAGCCTGGGCGACAGAGCGAGACTCTGTCTTCAAAAACCAAAAGAAGTCTGTCATTAGATGACAAGGCACCTGAAATTGCATTTTTAAAAAGATTTAGACTTCAAGGAATGAGCAAATGGAGAACCATTAAAGAATTTAGTGAGGGAGAATAACGTAACTAAATTATGTTTAGAACTAAAAGTCTGGCAGGAACATTGAGAATGAATTAGAGAGAAAAGTTGGATTTGAGAAATTGATTGGGATTAGTGAAGTTGGGATTAGTGAACAAAGCTAACCACAGCCTTGGAACTCAGGCCTGTCTCGTTATCCTTATTAATCCAGGCTGAAAAAATTAAATAACCTGGGTACAATAATTTAACTTACATTTACCTCAAGATTCTCATTTATCAAACAGAGATTATTACATTTGATCTTCCTTTTAGAAGAATCTATTCCTATTTATTCCTAATGAAAATAATAGACATTCAGGAATAAGTCACAAAATCTAAACAAATACTATATATACTTATTGTTTCACTGTAACACCGAACAAAAATAGTCTGGTACTGATAGAGAAAGATGAGTGAAGAATTCTATTCAGTAATACCACATCCTATCTGTATAACACTTAATTCAAAAGTTTTCACATGCTATGTACCTGCCATTCGCTGATTCAGATTCTCTTCACAAATATATTGGCTGCAAGGAAGGCAAGTATCTCTACCAAATAGACTTAGAAACTAAGATCCAAACCAACTAAGGGAAATGCCCGAGACCATTGGATTCAATTCAACAAATATTTATTAAGCACCTACTATGTGTCAAGCACTTTTCTAGACACTTTTGACATATCAGTGAATAAAACAGAAAAGATCCCTAACCTCTTGGGATTTCCTTCCTAGTAGGAGATGGAGAGGTGGACCATAAACAATAAACAGGTAGTAAAGGGTAAGGAGGATGGAGAGTGTGGGCAGCTGAGCAGAAAAGCAGCTGCAGGGTTTTTGTTGTTGTTGTTGTTGTTTTTGAGACGGAGTCTCGCTCTATTGCCCAGGCTGGAGTGCAGTGGCGTAATCTTGGCTCACTGTAACCTGTGCCTCCCGAGTTTAAGCTATTCTCCTGCCTCAGCCTCCTGAGTAGCTGGGATTACAGACGTGTGCCACCACGCCTGGCTAATTTTTGTATTTTTAGTAGAGAGGGAGTTTCACCATGTTGGCCAGGCTGGTCTCAAATTCCCGACCTCAAGTGATCCGCCCGCCTCGGCCTCCCGAAGTACTGGGATTACAGGTGTGAGCCACCGCACCCGGCCCACAGCTGCAGGTTTAACAGAGAGTTCAGGGTAGGCCTTACTGAGAAAAGAGATTTGACAAAGACTTAAAGGAGACGGGGGTGTTAGCATTATCTGTGAAGACCATTCCAGGCAGAGGAACCAGCCAGAGCAAAAGCCCTTAGGCAAGAGGATATGGTACATTTATAAAGAGAAAGCTAATAATGGCTGAAGCCAAATGAGAAAGGGGAGGAGTAGGTGAACAATATGTCACAGAAGTCAAATTATATAGATCCTTTAAACAATGTTTTGAGTAGATAAATGATAGAAACTCACATACTCTGTTTGTAAAGATCACTGGTGCCTGTGTTTGGAACAGCCAATGGAGGGGCAAGAATAGAAGCAGAGAGACCAGTTAGAGGCTATCACACTAAAACAGTCAAGAAATAGTTCAGTCCAGAGGTGGTATAAGAGATGTCAAATCTAGACATATTTTGAAAGTGTAGCCAACAGGATTTATTGAATGATTAGTTACAGGGTATTTGAGAAAGAGAAGAGTCCAGAATGATACCCAAGTTTCTGGCCTGAGCAACAGAAAAGATGACGCTGACATAAACAGAGATTGGGAAATTGCATACAGAACAGATTTTGGGTGGGGGAATCAGAAGTTCGGTTTTGGCCATGTTAAATTTGGGATGCCTATTAGACATGCAAGTGGAGATATCTAGTAGGTACTTGGATATATAAGACCTTCAGAAGAAAGGTCTGGGCTGAGGGCATAAATTTGGGAAATAGCATATAAATAAGGGGTATTTAAGGCTAAGAAGCCGAATGATATCACCAAAGAAATGGGTATAGATAATGAAAAGAAGAGGATCAAGCAGTGGACCCTGGGTACACCAGGTCAGGGAAAAGAAGAGGAACCAGAAAAGGGGACAGAAAAGAAGCAAACAATGAGATAAGAAAGCCAAGAAAGTATGAGGTATCCTGGAAACTAAATAAAATATACTGGGGGTGGTGGGGGTCATTTCATGAGGAAATGACCATCAACATTATCAATGACAGCTAATAACTCAGATGAAAGCTGAGAACTGACCATTAAATTAAACAACACAGAAATCACTAATGTCCTTGATGAGAGTGGTATAGATTGAGAGATTGAGGCAAAGGCTTAATCAGAATGGGTTTAAGAAGAATAGAAGGAGAGGAGTTGGAGAAAGCAAGTATAGACCATTCTTTCAAATGGTTTTGCTGCAAAGGGAGACATACAATTAAGCAGTAATTATTTGCTGTTTGTTTTTGCTTTTTTGAAGAAGGGAGAATAATGGTAAGTTTATATGATGATGGAAATGATCCAGTAGGGTATGAAAATTTTATGATGTAAGATTAAAAAAATAAAATAACTAAAGTGATATCCTGGAGTAGGTGAGACAGGATGGGATCTAGTATACCAGTAGAGGGGTTCCATTTAGAAAGGAACATGAATAGTCCATCTATGGTAATAGCTAGTCAAACAGGCAGGCAGGCCGAGTATGTGGGTGCCATCATATCCAGCTATTTTCTTATTATTTCAGCTTTCTTGGTGGAGTAGAAAGCAAGGTAACCAACTAAAAGTGAGGACAGTGAAGGAGGTTTGAGGGTTTGAGAAGATATGAGAAAGTGTTAAAATGGTCATCTAGGAAAATAAATGTATGAATGAACTTAGAACAGATACTGTGATTGCCTGACAGCATTAAAGGTCTACTTGAAGTTCACAGTCATGAATTTAAAGTGGGACTAGTCAGCAAAGTTGTGTGTTTTGCTCCATTTATTTACGGCTACATGAGTGGGTGTGAGTAGTTGGGCACAAAGTAGGTGGAGAGTTGGATTTAAACAAAGTTGGGCTTTGCAAGAAAGGGAAGGAGATACAAGGGAATAATTATAATTATCAACCATGGAATTTAAGATGAGTAAGAAGAGGTGTGGGGAAAGGTGAGGCATGAACAGATTGGAGGTACTGGTTGGGTCAAAGAATAGCTGGAGTAGGGATTCTAGAGGGAGTAATCTTGGAAAGACAGGCAATAGTGGTCAGGAAGTGAAATGTTTGGGATAGAGATTAGGGAAGGAATGCAATTCTGGTAATGATTAAGTCTAGGGAAGGCTTTCTCAATCTCCGCATACTGACATTTTGGATCAGGTAATTTCTTCTTGTCAGGGGCTGTCCTGTGCATTAGCAGCATCCATGGCCTCTACCTACTCACTAGATGCCAATAATACCAGCCACCCGCCTCACCCAGTTGTGACAATCAGAATGTATCCAGATATTGCAAAATCACCCCCAAGTTGAGAACCACTGATCTAGAATATGATCAAGTGTTTGAGATCACTGGATGAGGTCAATAACTGAGAGCCAGGGAACTAAAATAATCATCAATCAGTATATTGCAATTGCCAAGAACTAAATAGGAGTAGTGCTAGAGAGAGTGACAGTGAGCAGGAACCACAATTAGTCAAGGAATGAAGCAAATGTCAGTAGATGACAATAATTAAGAGGAGTGGGTGACATAATCTGATGGCAAGACAAAGCTGATGATATACCAGCTTCACAGTAGTGGTAAAGCTGGTATTAGAACTGAGGCTTCTTTCCTAGGGCTTTTAAAAATGTCTAGAAGGTGGGCAGACACCTCCACATGATTTCATGTTCAATTAAATTAGACTCACAGAGTCAAAAATAGGGGTCAGTCAAAAACAATTGGCACCCTTTCTGACTGCCATATATAACAAACAGCTGAAGGCACATATTTTTGGCTGAATACCATCCTAAAAATAGGACATAACATCTTGGTTTGAAAAAAAAACCCTCAATTTTCTTTCTGGCCCTTAAAACTTTTATGCTGCTTTTGATTAGAAAAGAAACATCTTTTCTTAAATGACTGCATTTATCTGTTTGCTACAGAGCAATCATAACTAACATTCTCCTTAGATAACCAATCAACTTTATTTTCACATAGTCTAATCATCAAGGAGAACAAAAAGACCTTAATATTAAATGGACTGATTGCAATGTTCTCCAACTGTGCATCACCTGCTCCTCTCACTGCCACCTGGAAAGACATCAACTAACCAGACTGCAAGGAGGTTTAGAGCAAATGCCCAATTTTCATCTCCACCTCCTAAAAGCATATTCACAGGGAAATGCTTGTTGAAATTATAGAAGCAGTTTCAAGATGGGATTTATAACTATACTGTCATTTATTAAGTTCTTCCAAATGCACTCTCACTGCAATAATTAAGACTTTGGGGCTGGGAGGGGTGGCTCATGCCTGTAATCTCAGTACTTTGGGAGGCCAAGGCGAGTGGATCACTTGAGCCCAGGAGTTTGAGAACAGCCTGGGCAACATGGCGAAACTCTGTCTCTACAAAAAAAAATACAAAACTTAGCCGGGTGTGGTAGTGTACTCCTGTAGTCCCAGCTACTCAGGAGGCCGAGGTGGGAGGATCAATTGAGCCCAGGAGGTGGAGGTTGCAGTGAGCCGAGATTGTGCCACTACACTCCAGCCTGGGTGACAGAGCCAGACAGACCCTGTCTCAAAAAATAAATAAATAAATAAAAGACTTTAGGCCACAGGGACACCAGATTCACTGAACCTCCACAAGCCCATCTGCAGAATTCTACCTTGTTATGGTTGTACTGAATTTAAATTTTATAACACATAAACATGAAGAACAAAGACGGTGTCGAGGAAACACATGATGCTATCACCCACATCCTGTTCAACTTTACAGATTACCGAATCCAATATTAAAGTTAACGTAAAACACAGGTGAAATGCTCCCATTTCAAGTTCCAAATTAGGCACTGGTCAGATCTCACTAGTGGTATAATTATTAGACTTTTACATAGTGCTATTAAAATGACTCAGGTATTTTTATATATTATTTCTAAACTGGATGCTTTCCTATTAGGAAATGGAGACAACAAGATCTTCAGAGTATTAACCAGGATTTAAATCTCAGCTTTATCACATATCAGCTGTGTTATCTGCTTACGCTATTTGGTTTCATTTTCTTTTTCTTTTTTTTTTTTTTTTTTTGAGATAGGGTCTCGCTCATGGCCCAGGCTGGAGTGCAGTGGTGTGATCTCAGCTCACTGCAACCTCCACCTCCTGGGTTTAAGCCACCCTCCTATCTCAGCCTCCTGAGTAGCTGGGACTACAGGCAAGTGCCACCACACCTGGCTACTTTTTGTATTTTTAGTAGAGACAGGGTTTTGCCATGTTGCCCAGCCTGGTCTTGAACTCCTGACCTCAAATGACCTACCTGCCTCGGCCTCCCAAAGTGCTGGGATTACAGGCATGAGCCACCAAGCCTGGCCCTGGTTTTATTTTCTCACTTGTTAAATGGGGATAATACTAACATAACAGTTGCTGTGAAGAAAAAATTGCCTATAATATGAACAGCATACTTCTGACATATAGTATTTGTTCAATAAATGAACAATAGTCCTCTTAATTTGTTGTTAAAACAAACAAAACAAGCTTCAGAAAATGGAAATACGATAACCTTATAGTCAGGCCTCTCCTCTTGAAAGATCAAAAAAAATTCTGATTATGTTACAATAGATCATCAAGTTGGGCTTACAGCTATTTTAGTCTTCGTTTATAATTATAATATAAATGAACACAAAGAGCAGATGCATACCTTCCAAACTTTCTTGTTCATCCGAGGTGTAAGTGTCCATCTGACTTTGTTCCCGTAAGAAACGAATAACTGCATAAACCAGGTGCTTGATAGATGACATTTTAGAAGCTTAAACACTTTTCCTTGATAAGAAAAATGAAAACACTGAACTAAGTTATTTTAAAGAATCAGTCAGGAAAGTCATAAATTACAAAGATGATATGGGTTATAAAGTGTATTAAAGGTAAAAACAAAACACAAAACTGTATGACCTTTCATCTTTTCTCTTTGTAAAGAGTCAGGAGAGCACAAAGTATTGTGAAGGTAATTTATTACATATTTTCATTAATACCCAGTGGTATACGAGTATGTTAAATCTTGGAATAAGTAAAAATGTCTTCAAAACATGTACAGCATAAGCTTAGACTGTCACTGCATATCTCACCATACAGAAATCCCCTAAAGGCCTCAGTACTAAGTTAAGAGGCATTTCATACTGCTGACTAAAAGCTGATGTATACCAAGCATCTTCCTCTTTTTCATGGGATCTAAAAAAAGTATTAATAATGTACACTCTACCCACTTTTGTAGGTTGAGAGTTATTTGATGAGGAAACACATTCGCGAAAGGTTATTCAAGTGGTGAGTGTCGTTCTTAATAAAAATGGCATTTCTATTTAATCAGCAGACATGTCAGGAAATCGCTGCCCAAGTCGATGGATACTACAAGCCGACCGGCGCTCCCTGCAGAGGCTGTGCTCTCGTGGACAAGCTGGAAGCTCCCGGTCATGTTCATTCACATGGAATACTATCGCATCCAAACAGTGGCGCAGGGCCAGGCGGCATTCATGGCTGATTTCCACCAAATCGCATCATCCATCTGCTCCCCAGGTTCCCTAATTCAAAGCCAGGGTGTGGTACCCGCCGCTATAATGTTTATTATTTGTGTAGTTATTTTAAAGGCGATGTCAGCCTCTAGGCCACGGGGTCATAAGCACTAAATAAGGCCCCAGGGCAGAAGGTAAAAACAGAATGGGGGGAAAAGGGGTGAGAAGAGGGAAATAGGCTTCTCCCCCTTCCTCTCCCCAGAGCGCATCGAGCTCCCCCTCCCTTCCGTCCTCCCTCAGGTACCCGGCCTCGCCTCGGCCCTGCCCGGTGTGCAGCGGGTGCCGGTGCGGGCCCCGGTCCGGAGCGGCGGGAGGCGCACCCTTGCCAGACAGAAGCCCCTTACCAAGCAGGAGGACGCGAGACGACTGCTGCTGGCCCGCGGGGTTCCGTAGGCAGGCCCGCCCGACCCCTGGTCCTCGGGGCTGGAGCCCGGCTCGGGATCGCAGCACTGGTCGCGGCGGCGCAAACTTCCCCGGCCCCTAGGCCGTAGACCCCAGAACCCACCAGGCTGTGCTCTCTCTCAGGCGGCAGGGTCTGGCCAGCACCGCCCCTGGGGCGGGGCCGGACGCGAGGGCTGGGGCGGGGCCAGACACGCGAGCTGGGGCGGGGCACGGCGCGGGGCGGGGCTGGTAGGCGCCGGCGTGGAGCTGCCGCACGTGGGAGGGCGCTGGCCAGGCAGCCACTGTGGCCTCTGCGGCTAGGCCGGCTCGAGACTCCCGGGCGCCCAGGCGCTGCCGCCCGCCTCGCCGCCCCACGCCGAAGGACCACGCGCCCGCCGCCGCCAGCCTCTCAGCGCTCCCATGATCGCCCGGTGCCTTTTGGCTGTGCGAAGCCTCCGCAGGTACCTCCAGCGCGCGGGTTAACCTTGGCCGTGGGCAGGGCGGGGTCTTTCGCCGTGTGGTGCCTGGAGCCCGGACCCACCCCTTCCCGACCGCGCCTCTCCGACGCTCCCGGGACGCACCCTCCCCGCGGCTTGCAAGGTGGACCCCTGGGGGACACCTGGCGCGGCCACCTGGGGCCACCTTTCCCGCCTCCGCTCCCTCGGGAGGACGTCCATTCCTCTTTGTTTGGGACTGCCTCAGCCGCAGTCAGCGAGGCTGGTCACAGACGCGGCCCAAAATGAATGCAAATAGTTTGGATAAGAAAATCATTTCACGTTCAATCCCAATGCAGAACTACAGACCTGTCATTAAAAGTGCCGCAGCTGTGGACTCAGAACAATTGTGTTTGCTCCTCGCGCCCATTATTAGCATTCCAATCGTTTAACATCCACCCGAGATGAAACCTCTTTGGTGGTGTTGCTTGTTTCCGTCCATGCTCTCTGACTTCCTTTTTTATTTTCCTCCTCCCCATAAAACAAACATTCTGCCTCTTGCCGGTGCAAATTGACTTGGCCCAAAATGGAGAAAATGATCGCTTGGACACGGCTTTGGGCAGCCTGAGCTGCTGTTTTGGATTGCTTCCTAGCCCTCTAACCACACCCCACTGCAACAGACCAGTAGCAAGATGGTGAGGGAATTAAATTCTTTGCACGGATGCGCTGGTTTTCGGAAACAATGCCGCCACCATCCCCGTTTCCAAATCTGCCCAGAACTGTAAATCCAAATGAAGATTCAACAGAATAAAGAAAATGTGTGCTTCTTGCTAGCTATCAACAAAACTACTTTGTAACATGTCAGCATTTAAGCTTTCTACAGTTCCCTTTTGCACATTGCCACTCGTCTGTGTGGATGGAGCTTTGTGTTGCTCAGTCCGTAGAGTTAGGGAGCAGGCAGGCGACAGTGGTTAATTACAAAGAGTTAATGTGGTGATTGGTGACCATATTTCAGCCTGTCGTTTTTTGCTAGTCTCCAGGCTGCAATCGATATAGCTGTCAAATGAAGTTATACCAAGAAATGAAGACTTCACATAATGCAGGGGTGAGAGGAGGGAATAAATCTTCATATAAGAGCAATTCTCGGCCGGGCGCTGTGGCTCATGCCTGTAATCCCAGCACTTTGGGAGGCCGAGGCGGGTGGATCACGAGGTCAGGAGATCGAGACCATCCTGGCTAACACGGTGAAACCCCGTCTCTACTAAAAAATACAAAAAATTAGCCGGGCGTGGTGGCGGGCGCCTGTAGTCCCAGCTACTCGGGAGGCTGAGGCAGGAGAATGGCATGAACCCGGGAGGCGAAGCTTGCAGTGAGCCGAGATCGCACCACTGTACTCTAGCCTGGGCGACAGAGCAAGACTCCGTCTCAAAAAAAAAAAAAAAAAAAAAAGAACAATTCTCAAACTTTTTATTCTCAGGACCCCTTTACCTTTCAAAAATTACCGTGGACCTAAGAGCTTCTGTTTGTGTGGTATATCTGTCTATATTTACCATATTAGACATTAAAGCTGGAAAAAAATTAAAGTAGTTGTTAATTTACAAAACTAATAAATAGGCTAGGTGCATAAATAGTGATTTTAATGAAAAATAACTATTTTCCAAACCAACCCCCCCGCCCCCCAATCAGTGAGAAGATTAACATTGTGGGGTTTTTTCCCTTTTTTTTAAAATTGTGGTAAGATATAACAAAATTTACCATTTTGATAATTTTTAAGTGTACAATTGAGAGGTACAGCCAACACCACTGTCCATCTCCAGAACTTGTCATCATCCCAAACTGAAACCCTGTACCTATTACACAATAACTGCCCATTACTTCCTCCCCCAATCCCTGGTTAACCATTATTTTTTCTCTATGAATTTGAGTATTTCAGGTCCCTTATATAAGTGGAATTAGACAATATTTGTCCTTTTGCGTCTGGTTTATTTAGTATAGCGTTTTTAAGGTTTATTCGTTTTGAAGCATGTGTCGGGATTTCCTTTTTAAAACTGAATAATATTTCATTGTATGTATATACCACATTTTGTTTATCCATTTGTCAGTGGACATTTGGGTTGCTTCCACCTTTTGGCTATTGTGAATACTACTACTATGATCATTAATGTGCACATGTCTGTTTGAATCCCTGCTTTTAATTCTTTGGGATACTGTATGTACCTAGAAGTGAAAATTGCTGAGTCATAGGATAGTACTATGTTTAGTTTTTGAAACCATACTGTTTTCTTCAGTGGCTGTACCATTTTTACATTCCCATTGGCAGTACCTAAGGATTCCAATTTCTCCACATCATCATCAGCACTTATTTCCTGGTTTTGATAACAGTTATCCTAGGAGTGGCATTGTTTCTTTTTTTTTTCTTTTTTTTTTTTTTTGAGACAGAGTCTCTCTCTGTCGCCCAGGCTGGAATGCAGTGGCGCTATCTCGGCTCACTGCAAGCGCCGCCTCCCGGGTTCACGCCATTCCCCTGCCTCAGCCTCCCAAGTAGCTGGGACTACAGGCGCCCGCAACCACGCCCGGCTAATTTTTTTTTTTTATTTTTAGTAGAGACGGGGTTTCATCCTGTTAGCCAGGATGGTCTCGATCTCCTGACCTCGTGATCCGCCTGTCTCGGCCTCCCAAAGTGCTGGGATTACAGGCGTGAGCCACTGCGCCCGGCAGAAGTGGCACTGTTTCGCATTTTTGCAAAACTAATGTGTGACATAATAGAAGGTAACTGGATTCTTATGTCTGCCTCTGCATTTAAGCTGCTGCACTGTTTCATTTTGGTTTAAGATGAAGAAAATCCCACCTCACAGTCATATGAAGTTGGAAAGAAGAATATTTTAATAGCTTTTTAAAGATAATCATGGATGTTCTTTGATATCACATCAAAGTTTGACAAATCGTAGCTTTTTAAAGGTTAGTTACAAAGTGGAATTTGAAACTATATCAATGTACTTGTTTTACACTGTTACATTAATATCCAATGGTGTACCTTACACTTTGAATGGATGTTGAATCCATGCCTGTTTTTTAAAACATTAAGCATAAGTCCTTCGGAAATTTTAGTGGTTCACTGTGTTATACAGTTCTTCCTAATGTTGACATATTTCATTATACAGTATCAAACAATCACTTTCCTTAATGTCTTCCTATTTAGTCGGAAAAGTCTTCAAGTATTGGGAAGCTGTCAAGCTCACAGTGGCAGATAGGATTTTCCAAAATTCTAGTTTTCACTTGAAAGCTAGAATTTTATCATTGGTAACACAAACTGTCAGTTGTTTTACTTGAAGTGACAATCTCACTTTGTTACATTTTTGACAGAATTTCTGCCACATACTTAAGTCTGAATAACCCTGGTTTGTCTGTCAGTAGTTTTTTTCTGGTAAAAATGGTGTTCCATGGGCTGGGCACGGTGGCTCACGCCTGTAATCCCAGCACTTTGGGAGGCCATGGCAGGTGGATCACGAAGTCAGGAGATCGAGACCATCCTGGCTAACACGGTGAAACCCTGTCTCTACTGAAAATACAAAAAATTAGCCGGGCGTGGTGGCGGGCGCCTGTAGTCCCAACTACTCGGGAGGCTGAGGCAGGAGAATGGCGTGAACCCGGAAGGTGGAGTTTGCAGTGCGCCGAGATTGTGCCACTGCACTCCAGCCTGGGCGACAGAGCGAGACTCCGTCTCAAAAAAAAAAAAAAAAAAATGGTTTTCCATGAAAAAAATCTATTTCAGCTCACAGTTCAACCAATTGCAAAAGTGCTTTTGATTTGGGCAACCAAATCCTCAGGACAACCCTTATACTCAGGTACACAGCAGAAATGCTTTGTGTGTACTTGGTCACATATAACTCAAAGGTAGAGATTTAATAAAAATTCATACTTTTTACCATTTCATTAAGGATATTCTAAAATGAAATTGACATTATTTTTAGCCTGAGTGCATGGCAATGAAAAATATAGCTACTAGTATAGTTTGGTGTCATTGCCTCAATTTGTGCTGAAGTACCAACAGTATTATCCACCATTCCTTTTCGCCATCAGTGCAAATGTTCATAAAGTAAAAAGGATAAATAATGTCTTAGTATTGTTATGAAAGATTTTTAACCTCACAGATTCCTTGAAAGTGTCTCAGGAACCCCTCCCCATACCTCTACCTTTAAGGTTTGTGGACTACATTTTGAGAGCTGCCGATATGTGGTATTAGATTCTTTGTTTATGCATGGAAGAAAATAAATATACTAATAGCCAAAAAATTATTACCTTGTTAGAAGCTACCATAAATATATTAACTAATTTGTTACATAAGGGCATATCTTACAGTTAATCATCATATATGGTAGTCCTTAACCCAGGGCTTCCTTGACTTAATCACAGAATCTGCTCTGTTTCAAAATCAGTATCTTCCAAAAGAGTTCATATTAGACAACATGGAGGACCCCCTGTGTTCTCCTGTTTTTCCTGTTTCCTCTGACACTTGGGAGTTCATTTTAGTGTTATGGAGTAACTAGGCTTTTGCCTAACTGACTTACAGTTTCCATTGGGTTTTCTTGTTGGCAGAGCTGCTATATCCCCTTCCCAAGGCCAGCTTCCAGCTAGGATCATTGATTGGGGTGTTCAGCCAACTTCTTGGGAATAAGTGGACTGAGAATCTGGAGTTTGGATTATAGTTGCTGTTCAATTCACTTTGTGACCTTAAAAAAATCACTCACTCCCTTGGACCTCTTTCAAGTTATGTACCTATGTATGTATGTATTTTAGAGACAAGGTCTCACTCTGTCATCCAGGCTGAAGTGCAGTGGGGCATGATCATGGCTCACTGCGGTCTCAAACTCTGGTTTCAAACAATCCTCCCTGCCTCAGCCTTCTGAGTAGCTGGGACTACAGGCGCTCACCACCATGCCCAGCTAATTTGAAAAAATTGTTTGTAGAGATAGGATCTTGCTATGTTGCCGAGGCTAGTCTAGAATTCCTGGCCACAAATGATCCTCCCATCTCAACCTCTGAAAGTGCTGGGATTACAGGAGTGTACTATCATGCCTGGCCCAGGTTCCTTATATTGTAAAATGAAAAGGACTAGACTAAATAATAGCTAAGGCCTTAAAAAAAAAACAAAAAGCAAAAAACCTCTATATTGCCATAGCAAACCAGGAGAATTCCTCCTCCTACCTCAGATTGTACAGCATGTGACCCAAGCAAAGCCTAATGTATATTATAGAATAAGAGGGATGAGTGACATGGTCAAAGAAACAAACGAGAAGGTTGACTCAACAATATTTAGCCGAAACAATAGCTGTAATAGCCTAGCTTCCTCTTGCAATTAGAAAAGACAGCTTGGTTTGTTTTTTGGTTTTTGTTTTTTTGAGACAGTCTCGCTCTGTTGCCCAGGCTGGAATACAGTGGCATGATCTCGGCTCACTGCAACCTCTGCCTTCTGGGTTCAAGCAATTATCCTGCCTCAGGCTCCTGAGTGGCTGGGATTACAGGTCCCCACAACCACGCCTGGCTGATTTTTTGTATTTTTAGTAGAGCTGGGGTTTCACTATGTGGGCCTGGCTGGTCTTGAACTCCTGACCTCAAGTGATCTGCCCACCTCAGCTTCCTAAAGTGCTGGGATTATAGGCGTGAGCCACTGCACCTGGCCTAAAAAACACAGCTTGGTTTTTTAAAATGATGACAGCAATGCGTGTTCATTATTGAAAACTTAGCAAGTAATGACAAGCAAAAGAAAATATTAAATATATATATAATCCAGCCACCTGGAACAGCCAATTCTTAACAGCTTTCAAAATTTCCTCTATGAACAGACTTTCTTTTTATAAATATGATATTGTTATTCTTTTATAATTTTTAATATTATACAAACATCCCCTAAAATATAAATAGCTATAATATATTCCTTTTGGGGATGTATGCAATTTGATTAATATACGCCTTTAGAAATGTCAACTATTCCCAACTTCCTGCAATGAGTAATAGTGCTTGGATAAACATTCCTATTGTCCTTTTCCAAATCTTTAGTTATTTTCTTAGTATAAATTCTTACAAATGGAATTTGTACATCAAAGGGCATGCATACCTTTCAGGTCTTTGGTACTTATCATCTTATTCTATTCTAAAAACTTTCTCCCAAATTATAACCTTACCAGGTGAGTAAGTAAATGCTGGTTTCCTATACTGTTACCAACATTGAGCATTTTAATTTTTTTTATCCTTACCAGTTTGATAAGTGGAAATTTCTCTTATTATAATTTGCATTTTCATACATTTTTGGAAGGTTTATTCAGTGAGTATAATTCCTAAACAAAAATTCAGGAGTTGTGGTCTGGAAACCAAAAAGTTATTTGTTGTCTGATGTGAAAATTTATTTATATGGAAAATCTTAGAAAGTCAGACAAATTCAATTACAGTTTTCTTGGTGTTTTTGTTTGTTTGTTTGAGACAGAGTCTCACTTGGTTGCCCAGGCTAGAGTGCAGTGGCATGATCATGGCTCACTGCAGCCTCGACCTCCCGGGCTCAAACGATCCTCCCACTTCAGCCTCCCGAGTAGCTGGGACTACAGGTGTTTGCCACCACACCCGGCTAATCTTTGTATTTCTTGTAGAGACAGGGCTTCGCCATGTTGCCCAAGCTGGTCTCTAATTCCTGGGCTCGAGTGATCTGCCCGCCTCAACCTTCCAGAGTGCTGGGATTACAGGCATGAGCTACTGGGCCCAGCCTAAATTACAGTTATTAATAAACTTAACAATATTTACAGGTCTAAGTGTAATTAAATAAAATTGAGATTATTCCTCTAAAACCAGTAGGCATAATCTCCAAAATGTTAAGAGAACAGTATTGGGGAAAAAAATCTAGTAAAGAAAGGGTTTTTTAAGTTAAAGTATCAAGAGCTAGGTTGACATTATTTGTACAAATGGATTTGGTTATAAAATAGGTTTTCTTTTCTTTTTTTTTTTTTTTTTTTTTTTAGGATGGAGTCTTGCACTGTTGCCCGGGCTGGAGTGCAGTGGCACGATCTTGGATCACTGCAACCTCCGCCTCCTGGGTTCAAGTGATTCTCCTGCCTCAGCCTCCGGAGTAGCTGGGATTACAGGCACCTGCCACCACGCCCAGCTAATATTTTGTATTTTTAGCAGAGACGGGGTTTTACCATGTTGGCTAGGCTGGTCTCGAACTCCTGATCTCATGATTCACCCGCGTCGGCCTCCCAAAGTGCTGGGATTACAGGCGTGAACCACCGTGCTCCGCCGAGGATTGATTTCTTTCTTTTTTGTTTGTCCTTTAACCCTGGTTTTGGTCAGAAGCAACCTGGTTCTTTCTCAGAGTTAAACATTATCACCTCTTTGGTTAAGACAAAGCACAGGACTTACTTGGGAAGAATCCCCTGAATTAAAGATATGAAGAACCAAGGAAACTGATGTGTATTGAATACATATGTAAATGCCAAGCTGCCGCATTGCAAAGTGCATGTAGCATCATAGAGTCGACTATATAAATCTAGAAACAGCTCGCCTGAGTTTGAATGCTGGTTTTGCCACTGACTAGCATTGTGATCTTAGGCAAGAATACTTAAGTTCTCCGTATCTGTTTCCTCCTCAGTAAATTGATAATTGATTGGCTGATTTCTTCATTCACCAAATATTTATTGTCTATTATATGCGAAATAGTATTCTTGGTCTGGGGATATAGCAATGAACAAAGCAGATAAAAATCTTTGCATTAATGGAACTTACATTCCAGTGGGAGAGACAACTAAGGAAAATATAAAGTAAGTTAGATGGGAAAATGTGCTGCAGAGCAAAAGTAAAATGGGAAAGGGGAATGCTCAGTACCGATAGGAAGGAAATTGTAGAGTCAACAGGAAAGGCTACCAAGAAAGTGATATTAATACTTGAGTAATGATCTAAGAGAAATGAGCAGTTGTGCTATGTGAATACCTGAGGCAGGTCATTCTAAGCAGGAGAAACGGCACACACCAAGGCTCTGAAAGCAGGGCTATGCCTGGTGTTTTTGAGAAAGTAAAGAGACCATTGTGACTAGCATGGAATAAATGTCAGGCAAGTAAGTAGGAGATGAGACAGGGAAAAATTGGACTCATCCTTTTTTTTCTATTTTCTTCTTTTTTTTTTTTTGTTTTATTCGTTTGTTTTTAGATGGAGTCTCACTCTATTGCTCGGGCTAGAGTGCAATGGCGCAATCTCAGCTCACTGCAACCTCCTCCTCCTGGGTTCAAGCAATTCTCCCACCTCAGCCTCCTGAGTAGCTGGGATTACAGGCACCCGCCATCATGCCCAGCTAATTTTTGTATTTTTTGTAGAAACAGGGGTTCACCATGTTGGCCAGGCTGGAACTCTTGACCTCAAGTGACCCACCTGCCTCTGCCTCCCAAAGTGCTGGGATTACAGGCGTGAGCCACCGTGCCTGGCCTGTACTCACCTTTTAAGATTGAAACAAATATAGAACACTTTGAACATTGCCTGGTTATATCCATTCCTATTACCACAAAAATGCTGTATAACAAACTGAATTTCAGTGGAGTACAATGATCAATGTTTATTTTTGCTGACAAATCTAGATTTTGGCTGGGCAGTTTTTCTGATCTTAACTCATTCATGCTCCTTCAGTCAGCCATGGGTTGTGTAGGCAGCTCTGCTGATCTCTGCTATCCTCTCTCACATGTTTGGTGATGTAGGATGGCCACAGCTGGGGCTATTTGGCCCTCTTTCCTGTGACGTCTCGTCCTCCAAGAAGCCACCTCTGGCTTGTTCTCATGTCAGTGGCAGGGTTCCATGAGAGAGTGGAAGGCAGTTGGAACTGGAACCTCATTAGCTCTGCCACATTCTACTGGTCAAAGCAAGTCACAAGGCTAGCCCAGATTCAAGAAGTGGGGAAACAGACTCTATCTCTTGATGGGTAGAACAGCAAACTCACATTGTTAAGAGACATAGACTCATAGCAGGTAGAAAATTGAGGCCATGTTAGTTATCAGTCTACCACATCGGCACATAATAAAATCTCGAGAAATATTAGTTACTGTTTTTACTTGTGTGAATTGCCTAGTTTTATTTTGGGATTTTTAAAATTAGGATTATTACTTTGTAAGAGCCCCTCATAGATGTTTCAGTTGTTTTTGATCTTTGAACTTTTGGGGTAGATTATTGTTGCTTTTTGCTTTTTTGCTTTATCCCTACAAAAGTTTAAATTTTTATACAGTCAGAAATATCAGTCTTTTCCTTTATGATTTCTGCCTTTGGTCTCATTCCTAGAAAGTCCTTCTCCACCCCAAGATTATGTATTTTAAAAATCACCTACATTTTCTTTTTTTTTTTTTTTTTTTTTTTTTTCAGACAGAGTCTAGCTCTGTCACCCAGGCTGGAGTATAGTGGAACAATCTCATCTCTCTGTAACCTCTGCCTCCCAGTCTCAAGCAGTCCTCCCACGTCAGCCTTCCAAGTAGTTGGGACTACAGGTGTGAGCCACCACACCTGGCTAATTTTTGTATTATTTGTAGAGACAAGGTTTCACCATGTTGCCCAGGCTGATCTCAAACTCCTGGGCTCAAGCAATCCTTCCACCTCAGCCTCCCAAAGTGCTACGATTACAGGCATGAGCCACCACACCCAGCATCTACATTTTCTTCTAGTACTTTTATGTTTCATTTTTCACACTTAAACCCTTTATCTATCATGAGGGCTGACTTTTTTAAAAAGACTTCTTCAAATTATTGAGTGAAACAAAAAGGAAATCAACACCGAAACTGCAAAACTGCAAGAAGTATAAAAGGAAGTCCAGCTTATGAAATCTGGATTTCCCGTTCACCATAGCTTACATTAGAAAGACTCTGCCCAGAGGGATGGCCCGGGCCAGATGCTACAGAGAGAGACATGCAGGGAGCTAGTTAGTCAGGGGTTCAGATCTAGGGAGGGTGCATTTGTGAATTCCTTTTTAGGAAGTGTGTTTGAAGTTAATATGATGAAACTTACACTTCATATAGAGGAGAGTATGAAAGAAGGGAAAGTGCATCAAACCTGTGCGTTTCACAGTAGAAGCTCCGTCCTCACAGCTTAGTAAACACCAATGATCCTGTCTCTAATTCTCTGTCTGTAAAAGGTTCTTTTGAACCCCAGGAAAAGTAGTTGACATGAGAAAAGCGTGCTTCTTGGACAGAGGTGAGGGAGTAGGCAGGAGAGTGGTATAAAGTGATAGGTGGTTTGCAGACGCGGGCACGTCAGGGAACCTTTGCAGACAGGTGGCCCTAGCTGATGTCCCTAGACCTTGCTCAGTTGAGTTCTTTGTGCACATCTCCCACTGGGCTCCTCTGGCCCAGAGATGAGGTTGTCTGCTGAAAGATGCAGTAAAGAGGCTTTAAAGATTTTGTGGCCTTGAACCAATCACACAAGCAAGGCTGAAAGGACTGAGCCTAAAATGGAGCTGCCCCTGAATGATCTGAGTCTTCATCAGGCAGCACCTTGCACACAGACCATCATCTGATGATGGGAACAAACTTGTGTTTGGGTGAAACAGGCTTCCCCATTGCAGTTACTATAACACCTGTGTGGTAGTAAGGTGCAGAATTACTCAATGCCCACTTCAAGTTTACCATTGAGATGATTTCCCACCCCCCTCCTCTAACTGGCACCATTGCCCATAACTAATTTCTTGCTCTCCCCAGGTGCCTCAAGAACCTCTTGGGGGCCTTTATATTCTGTCATGCTTACCTAGCTGATCGGGACATGGAGTGTCTGTCTTAGTAACCAAGCCTCAGTCAGCTAAAGGAGCTGCATCTGATTCATATCCTAATGTGGACCACCAATCTTGAGCCCCTTGGAGCTCTGCTAGAGAAAGTTGCTGCTACTCTCGAGACCCTCACGTTAAAGGACTGTCAGATCCAGGACTCCCAACTCAGGCTCCTCCTGCCTGCCCTGAGCCACTGCTCCCAGCTCACCACCTTCTACTTTCATGGAAACGAGACCTCCATGAATGCTCTGAAAGACCTGCTGTGTCACACAGGCGGGCTGAGCAAGTTAGGCCTGGAATTGTATCCTTCCCATCTGGAGAGTCTTGACAACAGGGGTCATGCCAATTGGGAGATCCTTGCCCCAATTCGGGCTGAGCTGATGTGTACAGTCAGGGAAGTCAGGCAGCCCAAGAGGATCTTTTTTGGTCCCGTCCCCTGCCCTTCCTGTGGCTCATGGCCATCTGAGAAAGTGGACCTCCATCTTTGCTCTTAGGGAAGGCCTGATTAGTGGGATGGATACGCTTTCTTCTGGACCCTTGGGCACTAAAATCTAGGACACAGGTGCTTTTTTTTTTTTGATGGAGTCTCGCTCTGTCCCTCAGGCTGAAGTGCAGTGGCACAATCTCAGCTCACTGCAACTTCCACCTCCCAGGTTCAAGTGATTCTCCTGCCTCAGCCTCCCTAGTAGCTGGTGTTACTGGCATGCACCACCACACCCAACTAATTTTGTATTTTTTTTTCTTTTTTTTTTTTGAGACGGAGTCTCGCTCTGTCACCCAGGCTGGAGTGCACTGGCACGACTTCGGCTCACTGCAACCTCTGCCTCCAGGGTTCATGCCATTCTCCTGCCTCAGCCTCCAGAGTAGCTGGGACTACAGGTGTCCACCACCACACCCAGCTAATTTTTGGTATTTTTAGTAGAGTCAGGGTTTCACCAAGTTAGCCAGGATGGTCTCAATCTCCTGACCTCGTGATCCACCCGCCTCGGCCTCCCAAAGTGTAATTTTTGTATTTTTAGTAGAGACAGGGTTTCACGATGTTGGAGGAGGCTGGCCTCAAACTCCTGACCTCAAGTGATCTGACTACCTTGGCCTTCCACAGTGCTGGGTTTACAGGCATGAGCAGCCTGGCCCGGTCAGGTGCATCTTAAAGGAAGCACACGGTCATGTGTTTCAGGCACGTGCTGACTGTGAGTGGAAAAACAAAGGTGACTCAGCTGGGGGCAGAACTGGGTGAAAATGCTGACTTGGCATCAATAAAGCCTTCAGGGACCTGTTTCCTAGACTCAGAAATGGAACCTGAAGTTCTAGAATGATGCAGGAGTTACCCTCGCACGGATGGTTATTTAAAAATGTCAAAAATAAATGGAACCTGAATGGAAAAAAAAAAAAAGAAAGACTCTGCCCATTCTGCCCACTCTGAGATTGTCTATGCTTCCTGTTTGGCATTCAAGAGGAAGTCCTCATATTTCCCAGCCATATTTTGCTGGTATCTTTAATATTTAATCCCACTTGTGGTCAACACCGAAAGGAAAATTCTATTTCTGCCTCACATCTCAGGTGGAGTTGTAGTGACTGAAATAATCACAGGTTGATGAAGCCTGCTTGCTACAATGTATAAGGTCCATACTGTCAGGGCTACATAG